>NC_000012.12:11459650-12084650 GCF_000001405.40 Homo sapiens | reverse complement strand
ACTTGGTCCTGTCTGATAGGCGAGGGAACACTGGATGGGGTGGGGAGAAGACAGAAAGGCTGTCTGTTCCTTGGAGTCTGTTTTGGGGGTCATCGTGGCGCCAGGAAGAGCAGGCCAACAGGGTCGGAAGGTCCCATTTCGCCTGTGGTCTGAGGCATTTGTTTTAAAGAGAAAGGGCAGGGGGTTGGGGTGTGACTTCCTTATGGACTGCTCTTTCCCACTCAGTATCCACTTTCTTCTTCTTCCTTAGTAACAGACCTCTAAAATGTGAGGGGCAGCAATGAACCCAGCTGAACAAACTATATTCCCTGGGCTCCCTTGCAGTAGGGAAGGGCCAATGAGATGTCAGAAGCTGGGGGCAGTTTCAAGAAAGCTCTCGAAAAGGGAGCTAAGGCTGGGTGCGGTGGCTCACGCCCGTAATCCCAGCATTTTGGGAGGCCAAGGCGAGGCCATCATTTTAGGCCAGGAGTTCGAGACCAGCCTGGGTAACACAGACCCCATCTTTACAAAAGATTAAAAAATAATAATAAAATAAAAGGGAGCTGAATTACCTAGAAAGAAGGCACCCTTTGCCCTTCCTTTGCTTCCTTTTTATTCTTGCCTGAGATGTAGACATGATGGGTGAAGCCCCAACAGCCACCTTTAGAATATAAGGTGACTTTGAGGTGGAAGCCACGAGCTGAGGGATGGCAGAATTCCCAGGAATTCTTTTTTTCACCCCGTCATCCAAGCTGGAGTGCAATGGTGTGATCTCAGCTCAGTGCAACCTGCGCCTCCCAGGCTCAAGTGATTCTCCTCCTTCAGCCTCTCGAGTAGCTGAGACTGCAGGCGCGCACCATGGCGCCTGGCTAATTTTTGTATTTTTTTTAATAGAGACGGGGTTTTGTCATGTTGCTCAGGCTGGTCTCAAACTCTTTGGCTCAAGTGATCTGCCCACCTCAGACTCCCAAAGGGCTGGGATTATAGGCATGAGCCACCCTGCCTGGCCATTCCCAGAAATTCTTAATAACTTTGTGGAGCTGTCATATCATGCCTGAGCTGCCAAACTTTTGTCCTCTTTTAAAGGAGAGAAAAGCAAACCTGTATATTATTTAAGCCATGGGTATTTGAGTGTTCCACTGTATATCGCTGAACCTCACCTTAACTATAACATTCCACGTGAGCAAATCGTAGCTATGGAGAAACAAAAGATTCACAAGTGAAAGAGCCTGGGTTGGTAGTCTTTAAAACTGGTGTTATTGTCCATTTCTCTGCATCCTGAGGCCTCTTCCTAACAGAGTTTGGTCTTGGGACATAATCTCACAGTTCCCATGTAAGCCCGGTACTGAGGCCTGGCAGTGGCTGTACAAGGCTACATAGTGACTTACAGTTAAAATAACCCAGGTGAGGCCAGGCACGGTGGCTCACGCCTGTAATCCCAGCACTTTGGGAGGCTGAGGCGGACAGATCACGAGGCCAGGAGATCGAGACCATCCTGGCTAACACGATGAAACCCTGTCTCTACTAAAAATACAAAAAATTAGCCGGGCGTGGTGGTGGGCGCCCGTAGTCCCAGCTACTCGGGAGGCTGAGGCAGGAGAATGGTGTGAACCCAGGAGGCAGAGGTTGCAGTGAGCCGAGATCAGGCCACTGCACTCCAGCCTGGGTGACAGAGCAAGACTCTGTCTCAAAAACAACAAACAAACAAACAAAAAAGAACCCAGGAGAAACCAAATTTGCAAGGCCTGATTTGTATGTGGCAAAATAGAAATAGAATGTGAGGCTCTCTTGGATCACGCTCAATGTAAAACCGACACAAGTAACACAAGTAAAAAACACACAATTAACTGACTAAATGCAAGCGTGAGGAGAAAGGTGATAAGGGAAGATAAGCTGTAAATATGTGTTTAAAGCCTTCTTAGGAGGTAATCATTTTTCATTTTTTATGGAGAATATTATTCAGCCATAGGTACTATTCAGCTATTCAGCACATTAACACATCACCTAAGTGTTTTTGAATGTAATCTTTAATTCTCAATCTCACATAAAAGTTTTCTTTCCCTACTGAAAAAAGAAATAAAAGCTTCTCTTGAAATTTTAGAAAATAAAAAAAATGTCAAATGACACTCCAGTAAATACTGAAATACAGAATGCAATTTATCTCAGGAAAAACCAGAAGACTAAGGTCTGTAAAAGCTTTCTCTGTCTGCTGGCAAAGTCCACAGTACAGGCCAAGTAGAAAAGCCTATTTAGGTGCCTCCAAACTGTTCTTTGCCCCAGAGCCCAGATGCCACCCCCGGCAGAAGAAGCCATGGCTGGGTGAGGGCAGCTGAGGGGTGGGGAGGCAGATGTGGAGGGAAGGACCACAGGGGGCCGCTCCCTCTTGCCCTAGACCTGCCCTAGCTGGGCAGAGTTCAGAGAGCAGATGCCTTGCTGTAAAAATGAAACAAGTCTAGGGAGAGGCCTGGACTTCTGGTGAGTCCAGGCTCTGCTACTTCCTGGATGTTTCCTTGGTAAGCCCTTTTTGTGGGACTCCCATTTCCTCATCCTGTCTGTGCCATGAGGTTCCCTCAGATGATCCTGACCATAACTCCCACTGTTCTAAACATCTGAAACTCTAATGGGAAAAGGGAGTTTCCTTGATCATAGTGAGTGATCTAAAGCTGTCTATGAGTGGGCTGATTCTCCAAGCAAGCCAGGACTGTCACATTTAAAAACTGAGACATTACTGCCACCTCTTGACTAATTATTGACAAGTTACCCAGGCCAATGAAACTCAGCAGGAGGGGGCCTTTCTTTTAAAATCTGGCTTTGCGGCTGGGTGCAGTGGCTCACACTTGTAATCCCAGCACTTCGGGAGCCCAAGGTGGGCAGATCACGAGGTCAGGAGTTCGAGGCCAGCCTGACCAACATGGTGAAACGCTGTCTCTACTAAAAATACAAAAATTAGCCAGGCCTGGTGGTGCGCGCCTGTGATCCCAGCTACTCAGGAGGCTGAGGCAGGAGAATTGCTTGAACCTGGGAGGCGGAGCTTGCAGTGAGCCGAGATTACACCACAGCACTCCAGCCTGGGCGACAGAGCAAGACTCCATCTAAAACACCTTAAAAAAAAAAAAAAAATCTGGGCTTTGGGCACTGGGCTTTGTTGAAGGGGAAGAAGATGCTTATGCCAAGGTGTGCGCATGAAGGGCAACTGTCTTTTTTTTTTTTTTTTTGGAGACAGAGTCTCATTATGTCACCCAGAGCTGGGGTGCAGTGATGTGATCTTCGCTCACTGCAGCCTTGACCTCCTGAGCTCAAGTGATCCTTCCACCTCAGCCTCCATAGTAGCTGGGACAACAGGCATGTGCCACCATGCCTCGCTAATTTTTTTATTTTAATTTTTTAATGGAGACAGGGTCTTGCTATGATGCCAGGCTGATCTCAAACTCTTGGTGTCAAGTGATCCTCCTGCCTTGGTTTCCCACAGTGCTGAGAGTATCGACGTGATGGGCTCTCACTCTGTCACCCAGGCTGGAGTGCAGTGGCATCATCTTGGCTCACTGCAACCTCTACTTCCCAGGCTCAAGCCATCCTCCCACCTCAGCCTCCCGAGTAGCCAGGACCACAGGCGTGCACCACCATGTCTGACTAATTTTTTTGTATTTTTTGGTAGAGACAGGGTTTTGCCATGTTGCTAAGGCTGGTCTTGAACTCCTGAGCTCAACCGATCCACCCACCTTGGCCTCCCAAAGTGCTGGGATTACAGGTATGAGCCTCAGTGCCTGGTGAAAATGTTTCATTAAGTACAATTAATTTTGTCCAACTGAGGGAAGATTTTGTCTAAATGCTTCTCAGTTGTTTTTGTAGGATGGTTTGTACTTTGTCAAGAGTCCTTTTACTCTTGCTCTCTGATCTTCCCATCAACCATACGAGGTGGAGAGAGTGGGGTACCCAATGTACAGATGGAAACACAGAGGCCCTGAGCGAATGAGTTGACTTAGGAAGAGCAGCGGCCCAGGCAGCCCAAGCAAGCCCCTGGTTAGGGCTCGTTCTTTTTTTTTTTTTTTTTTGAGACAAAGTCTTACCCTGTAGCTCAGGCTGGAGTGCAGTGATGCAATCTCGGCTCACTGCAACCTCCGCCTCCCAGGTTCAAGCGATTCTCTTGCCCCAGCCTCCCGAGTAGCTGGGAATACAAGCATGCGCCACCATGCCCGGCTAATTTTTTGTATCTTTAGTAGAGACGGGTTTTCACTATGTTGGCCAGGCTAGTCTTGAACTCCTGACCTTATGATCTGCCCACCTCAACCTTCCAAAGTGCTGGAATTACAGGCATGAGCCACTGCGCCTAGCCTCCTTCTTTTATATTGGTGTCTGGTACAGAGGACTAGGAATTTGGGAAACAAGCTTATTTATAGACAGTGGAGAAAGAAAACCAGTCCCAGCACCCTTAACTTCCATCATTTCCTTTTAGTCATTTTTTTTTTTTTGACGGAGTCTCACTCTGTCACCCAAGCTGGAGTGCAGTGATGCCATCTTGGCTCACTGCAAGCTCCGCCTGCTGGGTTCACGCCATTCTCCTGCCTCAGCCTCCCGAGTAGCTGGGACTACAGGCACCCGCCAACACGCCCGGCTAATTTTTTGTATTTTTTAGTGGAGACGGGGTTTTACCGTGTTAGCCAGGATGGTCTCAATCTCCTGACCTCATGATCCACCCGCCTTGGCCTCCCAGAGTGCTGGGATTACAGGCGTGAGCCACCGCGCCCAGGCAGCAACTCCTTTTAGTCTTGAGAAAAGCAGGGCAATTATGATTGAACACTAATAAGTTGGAAAGCTGAGGCACAACGCATGCCTTCTCTAAAGCCACTTTACAACATGAGAAGAGATGTACCACTCTGGACACAAAGAAGGGAAAAACCAGGAAGCGGGAGAGAAAGAAATCCCAGATGCCTACCTTCATGCTCCAAGCACTGCTCCACGTTAGAAAGACACCTGGACCACTGCTGGCTGTGCGAATCTTGGTATTCCAACGTCCTTTGACCCTGAGCAGAGACCTTGGCAGGCGTGCTCTGCGAATCTTCCTTCTCCACTACTCCAAAGAATGCTTTCCAAGAAGACTTTTTCTTGCCAAGGTTTATGGCCTTCTCACTGGATTGGGAATTTCTGCAAGGCCATGACACCTCTGTCCATGACTCATTTGCTGAACAATTCCCCAGGCCCCTCTGGGACAAACTTCTTGTTCTCAGCAGCTTTGGTGAGAAGAGAGCAGGGGTGCTCTTGAAGACATGATGTCTGGTGTAGTAGGCGAGGATTTTGAATTCTATGGTGTTTAGGTCATCATCATCTAGGGGGATTTCTTCCAGGTCACACCCACTGGTGCTACACATGTTGGGCCTGTAACAACAAAGTCCACACTGTGCCCTTCTATGCAGGGCCACTTACCCTTTGCAGGTTAGGAGAGACAGGGGTGAAAACTCAGGAAACATTTATTGAACATCTATTGTGTTTGTGCTGGAGGGTAGAGAGGGAAAAGCCACAGTCTTACTAGGGTGGGAAGAGAGACATGGCCATAGATAACTCCACATAAAGAAAATGAACTGCCGGGTGCGGTGGCTCACGCCTGTAATCCCAAAACTTTGGGAGGCCAAGGCGGGCAGATCATGAGGTCAGGAGTTCAAGACCAGCCTGGCCTATACAGTGAAAGCCCGTCTCTACTAAAGATACAAAAATTAGCCAGGCATGGTGGCGCACGCCTGTAGACCCGGCTACTTGGGAGGCTGCGGCAGAAGAATCGCTTGAACCCAGGAGTCGGGGGTTGTAGTGAGCTGAGATTGCGCCACTGCACTCCAGCCTGGCGACAGAGTGAGACTCCGTCTCAAAAAACAAAAAACAACAGAGAGAGAATGAACTAATGAACTAAGTAAGAGGTCTAACAGAGATGCAGATAGCCAGGTTAGAAGGCAGGGATAGGTGAGCTTCAAAGAAAGAGGCAAGTGAAAGCTTTTGGAAAGCTAGAAGGAGTTAGACAGGTGGGTGGATATTGGGGCTACAACAGGGCGGGCAGAGGGGAGATTATAGGTGAATTCAGAATGTGTTTGAAGAGTGGTGAGAGAACTGGGACAGCATACGTATGCAGTTTGCAAATAGCCAGGGCTTGAAAATAGTGGAGGGAAAATAAGTGAACTAGCACTTGGGTCCAGATTATGGTGGTCTTTGACTATCAGGCTGAAGCTTCGCATTTTCTCACGTTGATCAGTACATTTCAAAATGAGCTGTGGACTGTGGAGTTAAAGGTCTTGCTGGGGAGGTGGCAAAAGAGGGAGGCCAATTCAGGGAAGAGAAATGCCTGGGACCTGACCCTTCCCTTCCTCGGTTCCTTCTCCCTCTACCCTCTGCTTTAGCTTGTCCCGGCTTCTCTCTCCTCTCTCTCTCTCTTTCTTTTTTCTTGCTATATTTGGTATGCCATGTAAGATTTCATCTGAAAAAAGCATCCTGTTATTTTATTTTACTTTTTACGAATTTGAAACACACTGATGGAGGCAATGGAGAGCTGTTCAAAGTTTTGAGTAGAGAGTGATGTGATCACAGGCATGTTTGAAAAAGATCAGTACAAGCACTAAAACAACAGGATGCAAGCATTTCTTCTTTATTTCCATACGAATAACAGGATAGATAAAGAACTGATTTTGTTCAATTTCCTTTGCTTGAGCTTACATGAAATAACTCCTTCTCTGGTTTCCTGCTAGGAAAGCAGTTCTTTTTGCTAATAATCTGTTTCCTTCTGCTGTCTGTTAAGGACTACATTTTCCTTTTAGTCTCAGATGCGAGAAAGCTCAGATCTACCGTGTGAAATGTCCCAGGCAGTGAGCGTATCAAGAATTAGCTTGGGCTTCTCAGTCTAACAGTCCCAAATTCAGATTGTGGCCATGCCAGTGACTAGTTTTGTGACCTGTGGCAGGTTACTCCATCTCTCCAAACATGAACTTCCTGCAGGCAAATTGTAAATAATAATAGTCATCTTGCAGGGATATTGTAAGGGTGTAAGATACACAAGAGAAGTTCCTGCACAGAACCTGGTTCAAAAGTGGTAGCTATGTTTTTTTTCTAGTTCAGCTGTTGTCCTAGGCCCCAGGCTCTCTTTTTTTTTTTTTTTTTGAGACTCAGTTTTGCTCTGTTGCCCAGGCTGGAGTGCAGATCATAGCTCACCACAGCCTCAACCTCCCCGGCTCAAGGGATTCTCTCACCTCAGCCCCTCAAGTAGCTGGGAACACAGGCACATGCCACCACACCTGGCTAATTTTTTTGTTTTGTCTTTTAGAGACAAGGTCTCGCTATGTTGCCCAGTCTGGTGCGAAACTCCTGGGCTCAAGTGATCCACCTGCCTCAGCCTCCCAAAGTGCTGAGATTACAGCCATGAGCTACCATGCCCGGCCTCAGGCTCTGTCTTAATATGGCTCTTAATAATGTTCCCTTCCCTTTCTGGTCCTAATTTAAGACGGTCTTTCGGCATGTAAGCTGCTGTGATGATAAAGAAGCTGCAGTAATATTAAGGGGACTGGCTGGCATGTTCCTCTTTTTCTTTCCACTGTACCTTGTCATACCAGGACCAAATGATAAAGAAATGGGACAGTAACTGCAGACAGGGTTTGAGGCAATGTGAGGTGGTACAGACAAGTTGGCCTGGGTGTCTGAAGGATGGATAGCCACGGCTGGCTCAGCTTCTAACCTGCAACATCCTTGGGCAAGTCACGCCACCTTTTTGTTCCTCGGTGTCCAAGTTGTTAGATAGAATAAGGATATTCTCTAACTTTTCCCCCTGGTTCTGCTATTGGAAGGAGGTGTAGGAGCTGAAATATCTCCCCTGAGGGCCTGCTGGATGCTGCCTTTTTCCATCACTGTCTCCTCTCCTTTACTTAGAAGAGGCTCACATTGGCTGATAGCGAAGCTGTTGATCTGAGGAACTGCTCCTTGGCCAGGCCCCAGGAAAGCAAGGGTCCCTGGCTAGGTGCGTTCTGATGGAAGTGAGCCTGGGAGGGATGCAGCGGGCTATGCTGCAACATCAGGTGATGCTGGAGGGGACAAAAATGGCCCTCCCAGTGCAGCAAAGGGCAAGTTGCAAAACCCACCAGACCAACTACACAGATACAATTATACAACTTCCAAGCCCCGCAAACCTCCCTCACATAACTGGATGTAAGCAAATGCTTGAGGAGTATGGCATGAAGTGGGGGTCATGACTGCAATCCTTCCTCCTCCTCTGCTGTTTCTTCACATTCCTGTCTTATTCCAGGGCTTGGACAATCTTTCTTCCCGCCACTGCTCCAATTTCACATTCACTTACATGCATTTCACTTACATGCAAATCGTTTGCTCTGTAAGGAGTCACGTCAGTGTCTCCTCGAAGGTCATGTTCCTTACTGCTTTTCCACTTACCCCTTCCCGCTCCCCAATTCCATCCAATCCCACCCTCCCCCATGCATTTTCCGGGCATCCCACCCTCCCCCATGCATTTTCCGGGCATCCCACCCTCCCCCATGCATTTTCCGGGCATCCCACCCTCCCCCATGCATTTTCCGGGCATCCCACCCTCCCCTCATCCATCCTGCAGCACAGCCCTGTCCATTCTGCTTGTACTGGACATCTGGTGACCCTATACTCACCCCAGCTCCACTTCCCTGTTCCCAATGACCAATCTTGGTCTCACTAAAGGTGAGACAACCATTATGTGTCTCCTGATCCAAAAACATTGGATCCGAATCTGATCAAGCCTCTGGATCTAATGATCAGTTTACAGGAAATACAGGGGACAGAGAAATAAACTAATGACCACAAGAAGGCAGCTATCCAAATTCAGTATCTGGTAAGTTCTGCAAGACAAATGGCCGGTTTCTTCAACAAATAAATGGCGCCAAAAAAAGGTGAAGACAGAGAACTGCTACAGCTTAAAAGAGACATAAGAAACATATCCGGCAGGGGACGATGGCTCACGCCTGTAATCCTAGCACTTTGGGAGGCCAAGGCGGGTAGTTCACCAGAGGTCGGGAGTTTGAGACCAGCCTGACCAACATGGAGAAACCCCGTCTCTACTAAAAATACAAAATTAGCCAGGCATGGTGGCACATGCCTGCAATCCCAGCTACTCGGGAGGCTGAGGCAGGAGAATCACTTGAACCCAGGAGGCGGAGGTTGCAGTGAGCCGAGATCACGCCATTGCATCCAGCCTGGGCAACAACAGCGAAACTCCGTCTCAAAAAAAAAAGAAAGAAAGAAAGAAAGAAAGAATAGAAACATATCAGGCAGGGCACAATCGTTCACGCCTGTAATCCCAGCACTTTGGGAGGCAGGAGTTCAAGAGCAGCCTGGCCAACGTGGTGAAACCCTGTCTCTAAAAAAAATACAAAAATTAGCTGGGCATGATGGCAGGTGCCTGTAATTCCAGTGAGTTGGGAGACTGCAACAGGAGAATCACTTGAACCTGGGAGGCAAAGGTTGCAGTGAGCGGGGATCGCGCCATTGCACTCCAGCCTGGGTGACACACGGAGACTCTGTCTCAAAAATAAATAAATAAATAAAAAGAAAAAAAAGAAACATATTAAAAAAAAAGAGACATCAATTAGATGTCATGAGTGGATCTTTATTAAATCGTAATTCAAACATACTGTATAAAGATGTAGATATCTTTGAGATGATAGAGAACTAAACACAGTACAGTGTATGTTTTAGATGATATTAAGGAAGTATTGATCATCTTGGCTGGCACCGTGGCTCACACCTGTAATCCCACCACCTTAGGAGGCCAAGGTGGGAGGATCACTTGAGACCTGGATTTGGAGACCAGTCTAGGCAACAAAGTAAGATCCCATCCCTATTTTTTAAAATTTAAAAATTAAAACATTTTTTAAAAAGATAATCTCATTAAATGTGGTAACATTGCCATTAAAAAGTACATATCTGGGCTGGGCGCGGTGGCTCACGCCTGTAATCCTAGCACTTTGGGAGGCCGAGGTGGGCAGATCACTTGAGGTCAGGAGTTCAAGACAAGCCTGGCCAACATGGTGAAACTTTGTCTCTACTAAAAATACAAAAATTAGCCAGGTATGGTGGCACATGCCTGTAATCCTAGCTACTTGGGAGGCTGAGGCTGGAGAATCACTTGAACCCAGGAGGTAGAAGTTGCAGTGAGCTGAGATGGTGCCACTGCACTGAGTAATAGAGTCAGACTCTGTCTCAAAAAAAAATAATAAAAAGAAAAAAAGAAAAAGGTACATATCTTCAAGTATATATAGTGTACATGTATATAAAAACAAAGTAGACATACTGTAAGATATGAAGGCGGGACTTTGGCTGGCTTCCCCAGCACCTAGAGTAGCGCTTGATGCTCTACTGACTGAGCTATCCGGGCTCTCTAGAATAGTGCTTGATACATGGTAGGTGCTCAAATATCTGATGACTGACTGAATGAATGATTATAGGACTGCCAGACACATTCAGAATACAGGACACATTTGGTCACATTTGAAGTTCAGATAAAGGGCAAATAATTTTTTAGTATATGTCCCAAATATCATGAGACTAATATATAATAAATATTAGTATATGTCCCAAATAAAATATTATATGCTAAAAGACACTTATATTTGTTATTTATCTGAAATTCAAACATAACTGGCTGTCTTGCATTCTTGCTTGCTAACTCTGGCCACCCTAGGAGGGGAAGCTGTTGCTGAGACACACTGAGACCTGAGGTGCGTGCAAGCAGGCAAAGCGGGCCACCAAGCAGGGTGAGGTCAGAATTAGGTGCGGCAGACTTGGTGGGGAAAAGGCTGAGTCTAGCAAGAGACCAGACATGGAATTTCTCAGGAGAGGATTCATGAGGCTTTTGATTCAAGGCTTCCTTTTGGACAGAGTGGCTCAGGGCACTGCAGGCCAGATGTGCACCCTGGTCCTTCAGGAACTGTGTCCTTGGGTAGGAGGCTGTGCGCCCTCGTCAGACCAGTAACACTGTGCTGCTGAAGAAATTTCCATGTATGTTAAAAACATCCAGACCTTTTTAATATAACACGAGGGCTTTAAAATTGTGTGTGTGTGTGCGCGTGCATGCATGTTTGTGTGTGCGTGTGCATGTGTGTGTGTGTGGCGGGGGGAGTATTGTCACTGGAGAGAGGGCTTCTTTAAGAAACAAGCTTGCTAATGCTATTTCAGCAGCAACATCAGAAATCGGGGAAACCACTGAAGTCAAGACAGAGTACTTAGTCCTTCCATTTAGTAAAATGTGAGATTTTTGTTGTCTTACAGGCCAGAAAGGCTGTGACTTGGCCCAGTCGACAGGCAAAGCTAAGAATGAGAGAGGATGAGAGAGAGGAGAAAGAACAGTGCTCAGGAGCCAGCCCCAGAAGGAGGCTACCCTACAGCGGAGGGAGCGGGGGCCTCCGCCACAAGAGCCTGGAGAGCAGGGAGCAAAAGAGAACAAACGGAGACAAAGGATTAAGAGGGTTTTAATGTATTTAACAAATGTAGATGCCGGACCCAGTGGCTCACGCCTGTAATCCCAGCACTTTGGGAGGCCCAGGGAGCAGGATCGCTTAAGCCCAGGAGTTCAAGACCAGCCTTGGCTCCGTCTCTACAAAAAATGAAAAAAATTAGCTGGGCGTGGTGGTGTGCACCTGCAGTCCCAGCCACTTGGGAGGCTGAGGGGGGAGAATCGCTTGAGCCTGGGAGTTGGAGGCTGCAGTGAGCTATGATCGCGCCAGTGCACTCCAGCCTGGGTGGCAGAGGGAGACACTCTCTTAAGAAACAAAAATAAAGAAAAAAAAAAACCCACCCACACAAACACAGAGTTTTTGTTTCCTCTAATCCTTGTTATAAATTACTTGATTGTTCAGTGTATAGCTAAGTCTTACTTTCAAGCAGCAGCGATCGAGTATTATCACAGGTTAGATCCCTTCTGCTTTCAGCTCTTCCTACAGAAATTGTACTCTATACAAGAAGCCCAACTTTGGGGTTTATGGAAAGGTAAACCATAAGTTTTATGCTTATGTTGACAGAAGCCCTGGGTGGGGCCTCTGAATGCTGGTTCAGAACCTGGAGGGGAGATTTCCGTTCCTGGGTGAGACCTGTGAGGCTTATTCTAATTCAGGGCCGCAGAGGACACAACCCTGCTTCACTGCCCTATGTTTACCTTCCTGATCCTTACCTGTAACAAACCTGCACTCTCAGAAGCAAGGCTACAGAGGTTCTTTTCTTGGTCTCTTTCCCTCCCCGAGGTGGCCGGGGTCCTCCACGTCTGGCCCCAGCGTGTCCTCTGGGAACACTGGCTGCCTGGCCGGGTGTGCTGAGAGGCCGGCTGGGAAGGCCACACTGCAACGAACACCTACATTCCAGGTATTGGCAGACGCACTGTCGCACGGTTCTCGCTCTGCGGACTCACTTGTTGAGGTGAGATTTCACTTCCCTCCCGGTGGGTGGCAGCTAACGGATAAGCACACAGAGGAAACTGCAGCAAGCACCTCGTGTTTCCACACACAGAGGCGGCCACCACCCAGTGCCCCAGTTACGCTGGACACCTGGTTCGCTGTGCCTCTGCCTGTCCCAGCGGTGAGGGGTGTGGAGAATCCCTTGGTGGCTGTCCCAGCAGAAGAGCTGACTTCATGTGCTCAGGACACACAGTTGAGGCCTGAGTGGATCTCGTGGGCACTGACACTCATCCCCACGGAGCCTCCCACAGCACATCCTAAGCTCAGCTTGGTTCTGTTGTCCGGAGCCTCCCCTTCTGCCCCTCTCCTCTCCCCCTCACTTCAGACCTCTCAGGCTCTTCGTGCCTTCTGCCTGGACTGTTCTTTAATACTAAAGGTGAAATGAGGAATGAGAGAAAGTGCCTTAACTTCCCACAATAGAAGCTGAATGCTAGACAGAGCCTCAGGTCATATTCACCAAACAGAAGGTCCGAGGCTCTGATTGTGGAAAGAAGGGGACAGGGAGCTCAGGGAGGAGGGAGCTTTCTAGAGGGGAGAGAGGAGAGAGAAGGGTCTTCCATTTACCTGTGCCTTAGACTCAAGGAATTCTCTGGGGGTCTAGACCTCCTGCGGATGAGTGCCCAAGTTCCCACGAGGTACTCAGGACTCTGATCTCAAACCAGGAATTCCCATGCTGGCTTCAGTCCCTGAATCCTCGTGGTCTCCAGCTTGGGCAGTGGTGTCCCTGGCCACGGAATGGCTGTCATGTCATTGCATACCTCCCCAGATACATAAGCAGAGAAGACTGAGTAACGTCACATACCTCAACCAGTAATGTGTTCTTAACTGAATGTCCCAAACCCTTTGTAGCAAAAGAGAAATGAAAGAGAAACCTAAATAACCTTTCTTCGTCTTTCCTGGAAACCCCGCTAAACTAGATTCTCAATGTCATTTTGTGTCCTGAGACTTACATGATAAGAACTTTGTAATAAACCCAGTAAAGAGCTCCCTGAATTAGACTGCCTCATTTGGCAAACAGCTAAAGACCAGGCTGTGTCCTCCTGCAAAGGCTGAGGATGAAGACTGGTGCCTCCTGGTGTTACCTGGTCTGGAAGCTGTCTGTGATTTCTTCTGCTTCAGGTCAGGTGGCAGTAAGGATATTTCTATACCTGAGTCTCTCTCCACGAAACTTAAGAGGAAACTTTCAACAGGTCTTCTTGGCTTGTCGTTTGGAAAGACTCAGGTAGTTTAGAGCCCCAGGCTCTAAACTTTCTTCAGGTTTAGGACTCAGCCTGAAAAGAGGCTTAAAGAAGGAGAACCACTTCCTTATTACGCCCTGCCCCTGGCTTTTTAATTGAAGGAGGGGCTGATCTTTGCCCGTGTAATTTGACTCTAAAAGGAATTCTATATCCATTACCTAGCACTCTTCCTGCCCTTTGGGATAACTAGGTGGGTGTTCTGATACTTCTTTACTATCCTTATCAGTTGTTAGTTAAACAAATGTTTACTGACCGCCTAACATGGTACAGGTACTGTACACATATTTAATCTTTTTTTTTTTTTTGAGACAGAGTTTCACTCTGTTGCCCAGGCTGGAGTGCAGTGGTGCGATCTTGGCGCACTGCAACCTCCGCCTCCTGGGTTCAAGCGATTCTCATATCTCAGCCTCCTGAGTTTCTGGGATTACAGGCTTGCACCAGCACGCCTGGCTAATTTTTGTATTTTTAGTAGAGACAGGGGTTTCACCATGTTGGTCTCGAACTCCTGGCCTCAGGTGGTCTGCCCTCCTCGGCCTCCCAAAGTGCTGGGATTACAGGCGTAAGCCACTGCGCCCGGCCAACATATTTAATCTTAACAACATTGAGAGGCAGGCGTTACGATTCCCATTGCACAGATGAGGAAACTGAGGCTCAGAGAGGTGAAGTATCTTGCTACGGATCCCTATCAGTTGAGCTGAGATCCAAATCGTGCTCTTTCTGGCTTTACACTCTATCATGTCACCTCTCCTATGTGACTCAAAGATTGTGTTCAAGTGGAACCACTGGAAAAGTGTTCAAAAAGGAATCTAAGCACAGCCATAGTAAAAACCACAAAAACCCACTGAAAGGCCAAATGTCATAACTTTAGAGATGGAATTCCCTATTATATGAAATAGGAAACAGTTACATCTGATTTTATGCTCTTTCCAGAGTCTTAAGTGAAATAGATATATATGGCCATGCTTGAGATCATAAACCCTGGACCGCTGGTCAAACTGTGACGATGAAGGAAGTGTGAATAGTGAAAGGGGAATTAATGCTATTTTCGTAAAAGTGGGGAAGAATGGGTCATTTAAATATTAGGCAAACAGATCCACAAGAGACAAACAGATGGTAGTTATGGGAAAGTTAGATATTTAGTAACTCGAGGTGAATTTTCACCAGCAAACTAATATTTTTTGCACCAGTGAGGTCAATGTAGAGGGTATTAAAGAAATACTAAGAATGATTTTTCTCTTTTTATAAAAACTTGCCACCTTTTTTTTTTTTTTTTTGAGACGGAGTCTTGCTCTGTCGCCCAGGCTGGAGTGCAGTGGTGCGATCTTGGCTCACTGCAAGCTCCACCTCCTGGGTTCACGCCATTCTCCTGCCTCAGCCTCCCAAGTAGCTGGGACTACAGGCGCCCGCCACCAAGCCTGGATAATTTTTTTTTTTTTTTGTATTTTTAGTAGAGACGGGGTTTCACCGTGTTAGCCAGGATGGCCTCGATCTCCTGACCTCCCGATCTGCCCGCCTCCACCTCCCAAAGTGCTGGGATTACAGGCGTGAGCCACCGCGCCTGGCCAAAAACTTGCAACCTTTTTTTGGGGGGAGACGATGAGATATATTCACTGGAAACAATTCAAGAATAAACAGGGTCTGGCTCAGTGTCTCAAGCCTGCAAGCCCAGCATTTTGGGATGCTGAGGTGAGAGGATCACTCTGAAGCCAGGAGGATCACTTGAAGACCAGCCTGGACAACACAGTGATGAGACAAGAGTTCTTCAGGACTGGTTTGCAAGGTACAGGTCACAAAGACACCACTGATAAAATGACATGTAGTAAAGCAGCAGCCCAAATCTATCAAAACCAAGATGCGATGAAAGCAACCTCCGGTCGTCCTCACAGCTCATTATATGCCAATGATAATGCACTGTTGTGCTAAAAGACACTCGCTCCTACCAGCCCCATGTCAGTTTACAAATGTTATGGCAATGTCTGGAAGTTACCCTATATTGTCTGAAATGGGAAAACCCTCAGTTCTGGGAACTCCCCACCTTTTTCCCAGAAAACTCACGAATAATTCACTTTTTGTTTAGCATATGATCAAGGAATACCCGTATACTCAATCAAACAGCCCATGCCACTGCTCTGCCTATGGAGTAGCCCCCCTTTTATTCCTTAACTTGCTTAATAACCTTGCTTTCATTTTACTTTGTTGGCTCACTCTTGAATTCCTTCTTGTGGGAAGCCAAGAACCCATGTGGCCTCCCAGACTGAACCCCAATTTTGGGATTCACGCTGTGATAGTAAGACCCCATCTCTTAATTTTTTTTTTTTTAATTAGCCAGGCATGACTCACGCATGTAGTGCTAGCTACTCAGGGGGCTGAGGTGGGAGGATCACTGGAGACCAGGTATTCAACACCAGCCAGACAACATAGCATGGTGGCACATGCCTGTAGTCCTAGCTACTTGGTAGTCTGAGACAGAAAGATTGCTTGAGCCTAGGAGTTCAAGGGGGCAGCAAGCTAGGATCATGCTATTGTAGTTTAGCCTGGGTGACAGAGTAAGACCCTGTCTCAAAACAAAAACAAAAACCCTGTCTCAAAACAAACAAACAGAAAAACAAACAATAAAACCACAAAAGCATATAAGCAATAATAAAATCACATCACATAGTATGTCCATACTGGAGTTCTGAGTTACATAACTAAACAATGTTTGTTGCTGAAACCATTTAGGATCCTGAAGAGTCTTGGTCATGCACAGTGGCTCATACCTGCAATCCCAGCGCTTTGGGAGGCTGAGGCAGGAGGACAGACTGTGTCCTGGAGTTTGAAACCAGCCTGGGCAACATGGTGATAACCCCATCACTACAAAAAAATAAAAAGTTAGCTGGGCGTGGTGGAGCACACCTGTAGTCTCAGCTACTCAGGAGACTGAGGCGGGAGGATTGCTTGAGCCTGGCAGGGGGCCGGGGGCTTGAGGCTGCAATGAGCCATGATGGCACCACTGCACTCAGCCTGGGTGACAGAGCCAGACCCTGTCTCAAAAAAAAAAAGTCCTGAAAGGTTTTGGTAAAGCAACTATTAACACAGGGAAGGGGCAAACCCCACACGGAAGCTGAGGAGAGCAACTGTCCACCTCTCATTCAACTATGTTATCTCCACGCCTAACAAGTTGGCCAGGGACAGGTCACAACACATGTTAGATATTAAACAGCAAAAGCAAAAACCACTTTTCTCCCGATTGTAAACATAGACATGCTGTTGTAGAAAACTCGTAAAACAGGGTCATAATAAGGATTGCCATAATGCAGTCATTCAGTGGGAAATGCTGCTAAAAATTTGGTGGACGTCCCTTCTTTTCTTTGAGAAAAAGGAGACACAGGACAAACTCTCTGCCCTCCCCCTCTCTATAAGGAAAGTCAGGATGATTCTTTTTTTTTCTTCAGACAGAGTCTCACTCTGTTCCCCAGGCTGGAGTGCAGTGGCACGATCTCGGCTCACTGCAACCTCTGCCTCCCGGGTTCAAGCTATTCTCCCACCTCAGTCTCCAGAGTAGTTGCAATTACAGGCATGTGCCACCACGCCTGGCTCATTTTTGTATTTTTAATAAAGACGGGGTTTCACTATGTTGGCCAGACTGGTCTCCAACTCCTGAGCTCAAGATATTTGTCTGCCTCAGCCTCCCAAAAGTGCTGGGATTACAGGTGTGAGCCACCACGTCCAGCCATCATAACTTCTAATAAACTTATTTTGTAAATAAAATTTTTTAGTGGCGACATCATTCCAGTGAATGATAGCACTAAAAATATTCATCCAGAGGAGAATCACTTGAACCCAGGAGGCAGAGGTTGCAGTGAGCTGGGATCACACCACTGCACTCCAGCCTGGGTGACAGAGCGAGACTCAGTCTCCAAAAAAATCAAAATAAAAATCAAATCAAATCAAATAATCAGCCAGCCAACTATTTTTAAATGTTTTGTTTGTCACCAGGTGCGGTGGCTCATGCTTGTAATCCCAGCACTTTGGGAGGCCAAGGCAGGTAGATCACGAGGTCAGGAGATCGAGACCATCCTGGCTAACACAGCGAAACCCCGTCTCTACTAAAAATACAAAAAATTAGCTAGACATGGTGGTGGGCGCCTGTAGTCCCAGCTACTCAGGAGGCTGAGGCAGGAGAATGGCGTGAACCCGGGAGGCGGAGCTTGCAGTGAGCCGAGATTGCGCCACTCCAGCCTGGGCGACAGAGCGAGACTCTGTCTCAAAAAAAAAAAAAAAAAATAATAATAATAATGTTTTGTTTGTCTTCAAGTGCTTACTGTTACAAATAATGCTGCAGGGTAGAGCTTTTCATCTTTGCTCACATTTTCTATTGTTTCCTGAGAAATGATGCCTGAGAGTGGAATTATTGGGTATGAATATTTTTGAAATTGTTATATATGCTTTGAATTCACTTTAATCTATGATTCTGGAATTGATTTATATCATCACTGGAAATATATCTTAGATAAAAATGCCTAAGAGTTTGAATAATATAGATAAAAAGCCCATCCTCAGGAAAACGTTGGGGTTTTTGCCCATCACTGAGTAACCAAAGAAGACTTGAAAGGCCAGATGAGCAGATTTTAGAGTGGACACCAGATTACTCTGGGGTTTGACATTTATCCTTGTTTTGATATCAATGATGAAACTCAATGAAATAGGATCAGAGTTGGAATGGAGCAATAAAAGGCTGTGACTGGTTGAAATGAAAGATTTGGGAAACGGAGCAGAGGAGAAGCACTATTCATTATGAAGAACATCTGTGAAGGGGTCAACATGCCACTCCCCAAAGTACAACACTTTAACCTTAAGATCATTTTGAGCTGAAGGCAATGAAGATGAAGCAGACACAAGAAAAACTCTCGGCCAGGTGCGGTGGCTCACGCCTGTAATTCCAACACTTTGGGAGGCCGAGGTGGGTGGATCATCTGAGGTCAGGAGTTCAAGACCAGCCTGGTCATCATGGCGAAACCCCATCTCTACTAAAAATACAAAAATTAGCTGGGCATGGTGGTGGGTGCCTGTAATCTCAGCTACTCAGGAGGCTGAGGCAGGAGAACGCTTGAACCTGGGTGGCAGAGGTTGCAGTGAGCCAAGATTGTGCCACTGCACTCCAGCCTGGGCAACAGAGCGAGACTTCGCCTCAAAAAAAAAAAAAAATAGAAACAAAGAGAAACTCTCTGCTCCCCATGTCTCCCTACCAGGGAGGACAGGAAGATTCTCAGTCGCTGGAGACAACTCTGGACTCTTAAGCAGCCCAGAGATGGCGCTGGAGGAACCTACATAACCAACCTCACTAAGGCAATCTTTATCTTCCATTACTTTTCCCATCTACTTACCTTCCCACAGTTTGCCACCTCCAGAAGCCTAAAGCTCTTTCCCTTTGTCTTGTCACTTCTTCTTCTTTTTTTTTTTTTTTGAGATGGAGTCTCACTCTGTCGCCCAGCCTGGAGTGCAGTGGTGCAATCTCTGCTCACTGCAACCTCCGCCTCCCCGGTTCAAGCGATTCTCCTGCCTCAGTCTCCAGAGTCACTTAGATTACAGGTGCACGCCATCATGCCCAGCTAATTTTTGTGTTTTTAGTAGAGACAGGGTTTCTCCATGCTGGCCAGGCTGGTCTCAAACTCCTGACTTCAAGTGATCCGCCTGCCTCGGCCTCCCAAAGTGCTGAGATTATATGCGTGAGCCACTCACTGCACCCGGCCTGTCTTGTCACTTTTTTACAAATTTATATTTTTTTAAAAGGTGCTCTATAAGCCCAATTTCTGACCACTCCTTTGAGTCACTCATCATTGAGCGATCCTGTGTGTATGCATGTGTTAATAATAAACTTCTGTCTGTTTTTCTTTTGTTAATCTATCTTTCGTCAGTCTAATTTGCAGGGCCCCAGCCAAAAAACCTAGGAGGGTAGAGGAAAAATAAATTTTCTTCTCCCCTATACCTGTAGGAAGATCCTCTTATCTGTGGTTTGAGTGAAGACAAAATAATAGAAGGATTGAAGTGATAGTGCTGTGTTGCTATAACTGGCCTGGCCAGAGATGAGATGGAGAAAGACGTTCTTAGTACAGAGATCACGCCCTGCACCAAGGCAGGAGGTAATCGTGATAGGAGATCTGACTACCATGACTTCCATGGAAGACTCCTGATAAACATAGGTCATTTCACACTTGCTGCTAATACCATCTCTTAAGTCAAAGGAAGCCACGGTGATAAACATTGTTCTATCCTTGCATTTGGCTGACAAAGAGGCACTGGTTGGTCTCATAGAAGCAATGGGAACCTTGGAGACAGAATGTTCATTTTACTGTAAAATTGGAGATGGTTGAGAGAGAATTCTGAGCCTAGTTGGGCAAAATTTTTAGAGTAAAGATAGGCATGCTGTTGTGGCCATGGCTCCAAAGAGGCCTAACAATAATAGTTCTTATTTTACTGAGTCCATGCCAATTATTAACTCAGCTGTGTAGTAGGCACGACAGTTATGCCCATTTTACATATGAAGAAACTGAGATACAAAAGAGTTAAGTAGGTGGGATATGGTAGCTCACACCTTTTGGGTGTGCTTTTGGGAAGCAGATTGCATGAGGCCAGGTGTTTGAGACTAGCCTGGGTAACATAGTGAGGCCCCATCTCTACAAAAAAAGAAAAAAAAAATCAAAAAAATTAGCCAGGTATGGTACTGCATGCCTGTAGTCCCATACTCTGGAGGCTGAGGTGGGAGGATCACTTGAGCCCAGGAGTTCAAGGCTGCAGTGATCAAACCACTGCACTCCAGCCTGGGTGACAGAACTGTCTCAAAAAACAAACAGGCCACACGTGGTGGCTCATGCCTGTAATCCCAGCACTTTGGGAGGCTGAGGCAGGTGGATTACTTGAGGTCAGTTTCATGCATGTCCATGTGAAGAGACTACTAAACAGGCTTTGTGTGAGCAACATGGGTGTTTATTTCACCTGGGTGCAGGCGGGCTGAGTCTGAAAAGAGAGTCAGCGAAGGGAGATGGGGTTTTACAGGATTTGGGTAGGTAAAGGAAGAAGGGGGGTTGTTCTCTGGCGGGCACGAGTGGGGGTCACAAGGTACTCAGTGGGGGAGCTTTTGAGCCAGGATGAGCCAGGAGAAGGAATTTCACAAGACAATGTCATCAGTTAAGGCAGGAACAGGCCATTTTCACGTCTTTTGTGGTGGAATGTCATCAGTTAAGGCAGGAACTGGCCATCTGGATGTGTACGTGCAGGTCACGGGGATATGATGGCTTAGCTTGGGCTCAGAGGCCTGACATTCCTGTCTTCTTATATTAATAAGAAAAATAAAACGAAATAGTGGTAAAGTGTTGGGACAGCGAAAATTTTTGGGGGTGGTATGGAGAGATAATGGGCGATGTTTCTCAGGGCTGCTTCGAGTGGGATTGGGGTGGCGTGGGAACCTAGAGTGGGAGAGATTAAGCTGAAGGAAGATTTTGTGGTAAGGGGTGATATTGTGGGGCTGTTAGAAGAAACATTTGTCATTTAGAATTATTGGTGATGGCCTGGATATAGTTTTGTATGAATTGAAAAACTAAACGGAATAAGAAAAGGAGAAAAACAGGTATAAAAGGTCTAAGAATTGGGAGGACCTAGGACATCTGATTAAAGAGTGCCTAAGGAGATTCAGCATAGTCCTGCCAGCAAAGATTATTTATTTACTTCAAGAGTTAAGAGTGGCAGTTTGGGGATAGCACCAGGAGATATCAGCTGTGATGGCTTGGAGAAACAGTGTAAACTGGCAGTGTAAACAAGAGCAGGGCATGTATGATTAGTTGAGAATGGTGAATAGGAGTATGACTAGACAGAAGATAGTAGGGATGACAAGTTTTTTGGGGCACAGTCTAAGTTGGTCTGCTGTCTGGAATGAGACTGGGGCCTAATAAAAAGGAGCATCTATATGGGAGCTCAAATGGGCTGTACCTTGTAGCATTCTGAGGACAGGCCTGAATTCTGAGAAGCGAAAGTGGTAAAAGTATTGTTCAGTCCTTTTTAAGTTGGTGGCTGAGCTTGGTGAGGTGTGTTTTTAAAAGACCTTTAGTCTGTTCTACTTTTCCTGAAGACTGAGGACTGTAATGGATATAAAGGTTTCACTGAATACTAAGAGCCTGAAAAACTGCTTGGCTGATTTGACTAATAAAGGCTCGTCTGTTATCAGACTGTATAGAGGTGGGAAGGCTAAACTGAGGAATTATGTCTGACTGAAGGGAAGAAATGACTGCGGTGGCCTTCTCAGACCCTGTAGGAAAGGCCTCTTCCTATCTAGTGAAAGTGTCTACCTAGACTAAGAGGTATTTTAGTTATCTGACTCAGGGCATGTTGAGTAAAGTTAATTTGCCAGTCCTGGGTGGGGGTAAATCCTCAAGCTTGATGTGTAGGGAAGGGAGGGGACCTGAATAATCCCTGAGGAGTAGTAGAATAGCAGATGGAACACTGAGAAGTTATTTCCTTGAGGATAGATTTCCACGATGGAAAGGAAATGAGAGGTTCTAAGAGGCGGGCTAGTGGCTTGTACTATAGTATAGCCTGCCTTTGCTGGTGTGTGGCAATTAGGCCTGGTGGAACCGCCATCAATAAATCAAGCGTGATCAGGGTGAGGAACAGGAAAGAAGGAAATATGGGGAAATGGGGTGAGTGTCAGGTGGATCAGAGAGATACAGTCATGGGGGTCAGGTGTGGTATCAGGAATAATGTGGGAGGCCAGATTGAAGTCCGGGCCAGGAACAATGGTAATTGTGGGACTTAACAAAGAGTGAGTACAGCTGAAGGAGCCGGGGAGCAGAAAGTATATGCATCAGGTATGAGGAAGAAAATAGATTTTGGAAGTTATGAGAAATGTAGAGAGTAAGTTGAGCATAGTTTGTGATTTTGAGGGCCTCTAAAAGTATTAGGGCGGCAGCAGCCACTGCACGGAGACATGAGGGCTAGGCTAAAACAGTAAGGTCAAGTTGTTTGCATAGAAAGGTTACAGGGTGCGGTCCTGGCTCTTGTGTAAGAATTCGGACTGCACTAACCATGCCTAGGAAGGAAAGGAGTTGTTGTTTTATAAGGGATTGAGGTTTGGGAGATTAATCGGACACGATCAGCAGGGAGAGCACGTGTGTTTTTATGAGAATTATGCTGAGATAGGTAACAGATGAGGAAGAAATTTGGGCTTGACTGAAGTAATGGGGGCTGTCTGTGAAGCCTTCCGGCAGTACAGCCCAGGTAATTTGCTGAGCCTGATGGGTGTCAGGGTCAGTCCAGGTGACAGCGAAGAGAGGCTAGGATGAAGGGTGCAAAGGAATAGTAAAGAAAGCATGTTTGAGATCCAGAACAGAATAATGGGTTGTGGAGGGACGTATTGAGGATAGGAGAGTATATGGGTTTGGCACCACGGGGTGGATAGGCAAAACAATTTGGTTGATAAGGCATAGATCCTGAACTAACTTGTAAGGCTTGTCTTGTTCTAGGACAGGTAAGATGGGGGAATTGTAAGGAGAGTTTATAGGCTTTAAAAGGCCATGCTGTAGCAGGCGAGTGACAACAGGCTTTAATCCTTTTAAAGCGTGCTGTGGGATGGGATCTTGGCATTGAGCGGAGTAAGGGTGATTAGGTTTTAATGAGATGGTAAGGGGTGTGTGATTGGTCGCCAAGGAGGGAGTAGAGGTATCTTATACTTGTGGGTTAAGGTGGGGAGATACAAGGGGAGGATGTGAAGGAGGCTTTGAACTGAGGGAAAAGGTGGTAATTAGGTGTGGCTGTAGCCCAGGAATAGTCAGGGAAGCAGATAATTTAGTTAAAGTGTCTCAGTCTAATAAGGGAACTGGGCAGGTGGGGATAACTAAAAAGGAGTGCTTAAAAGAGTATTGTCTAAGTTGGCACTAGAGTTGGGGAGTTTTAAGAGGTTTAGAAGCCTGGCCATCAATACCCACAACAGTTATGGAGGCAAGGGAAACAGGCCCTTGAAAAGAAGGTAATGTGGAGTGGGTAGCCTCCGTATTGATTAAGAAGGGGACGGGCTTACCCTCCACTGTGAGAGTTACCTAAAGCTCGGCATCTGTGATGGTCTACGGGACTTCCGAAGCTATCGGGCAGCGTCAGTCTTCAGCCGCTAAGCTGAGAAGGAGTCAGTCAGAGAGCCTTCGGCCAGAGTTCCAGGGGCTCTGGGAGTGGCTGCCAGGTGAGTTGAACAGTCTGATTTCCAGTGGGGTCCCGCACAGATGGGACACGGCTTAGGAGGAATCCTGGGCTGCAGGCATTCCTTGGCCTGGTGGTCAGATTTCTGGCACTTGTAGCAAGCTCCTCGGGGAGGAGGTTCTGGAGGAACGCCTGGACGCTGAGGTTTAGGCCTTTGGAAGTTCTTGTGTGCTGGAGATGTGGCTGGGGTTTGTCTCACAGTGAAGGCAAGGAATTGCAACTTTTTTCTATTATTGTACACCTTGAAGGCGAGGTTAATTAAATCCTGTTGTGGGGTTTGAGGGCCGGAATTTAATTTTTGGAGTTTTATTTAATGTCGGGAGCAGATTGGGTAATAAAATGTATTTTGAGAATAAGACGGCCTTTTGACCTTTTAGGGTCTAGGGCTGTAAAGTGTCTCAGGGTTGCTGCCGAACGAGCCATGAACTGGGCTGGGTTTTTTATATTTGATGAAAAAGAGCCTAAACGCTATCTGATTTGGGATAAAGAAAAAGGAGCATTAACTTTAATTTAGCTCCAGCCACCTTTTCAAGAGTAAATTGCTGGGCAGGAGGGGGAGGGCTAGTCATGGAACGAAACTGTAAGCCGGACCGGGTGTGAGGAGGGGAGGTGATAAAAGGATTATAGGGTGGAGGAGCAGAGGCTGAGGAAGAATTGCGACCTAGCTCGGCCTGGCGAGGAGGAGAGAGGTCAGATGGGTCTGTAGAAAAGGAAGATTAGAAAGACTCGGCGACGCTTGGGGTTGGGACTGAGGGGACAGGTGGGAGGGAAAGAAGGAAGATTTGTGATGAGTTGCATTGGGAACAGAGACTAGAGAGGGACGGATGTGTAAAAGAATGCCTGGACATCAGGCATCTCAGACCATTTGCCTATTTTACGACAAGCATTATTTAGATCTTGTAGGATGGAAAAATTGAAAGTGCTGTTTTCTGGCTATTTGGAACTACTGTGGAGTTTGTATTGGGGTCAAGCGGCATTGCAGAAGAAAATAAGACACTTAGATTTTAGGTCAGGTGAGAGTTGAAGAGGTTTTAAGTTCTTAAGAACACAGGCTAAGGAAGAAGAAGGAGGAATGGAAGGTGGAAGCTTGCCTATAGTGAAGGAGGCAAGCCCAGAGAAAAGAGTAGAGACACGGAGAAGGGGTAGGGGGTTCTTGCCCTCCAGAAAAGCAGAGAAGGGGTCAGGCACAGAGATAGGAGGTTGGGGCATGGAAATAAGGGATGGGGTGCAGAGATATAAGAGGTTGGGGCATGGAAATAAGGGATCGGGGAGCAGAGATATGAGGTTGGGGTGCAGAAATAAGGGATTGGGGCACAGAGATATGAGGTCAGGGTGCAGAAATAAGGGATTGGGGTGCAGAGATATGAGGTTGGGGTACTTGCCTCTCCTCCAGAAAAGCCGGACTTGCCGCTAAGGGTGAAGGATAAGGGGTTGGGGGTTTCTTGCACCCCAGAAAGGTGGAGAAGGGGTAGAGACACGGAGAGAAGGGGTTGGGGTACTTGCCCCTCCCCCAGAAAAGCGGGACTTGCCGCTAAGGGTGAAGGACCAAGGCAGGCGTCCCTGTGTGGTCTGACACCTCTGAAACGTGGGGGAATAATCAGAGAGGTGTCCTTGCAATGATTAAACACTAAGGGAAGGCTGCATTCCCAGTCCGTGACCGGCACCGGAGTTTTGGGTCTACGGATAAAACGTGTCTCCTTTGTCTCTACCAGAAAATGAAAGGAACTGAAATTAAAAGAAGGGAGAGATTGAAGTGTGGCGCCAAGATTGAAAGGAGAAAGAGGCTGAGGGTTAGGGAGGTTGGAGAAGAGAGTAAAAAGAGGCCGCTTACTGGATTTGAAATTGGTGAGATGTTTCTTGGGCTGCTTGGTCTGAGAACCTGAGGTCATAGGTGGATCTTTCTCACGGAGCAAAGAGTGGGAGGACAGGGGATTGATCTCCCAAGGGAGGTCCCCCATCTGAGTCATGGCACCAAATTTCATGCGCGTCGGTGTGAAGAGACCACCAAACAGGCTTTGTGTGAGCAACATGGCTGTTTATTTCACCTGGGTGCAGGCGGGCTGAGTCCGAAAAGAGAGTCAGTGAAGGGAGATGGGGTGGGGCTGTTTTATAGGATTTGGGTAGGTAAAGGAAAAAGGGGGGTTCTCTGGCGGGCAGGAGTGGGGGTCACAAGGTACTCAGTGGGGGAGCTTTTGAGCCAGGATGAGCCAGGAGAAGGAATTTCACAAGACAATGTCATCAGTTAAGGCAGGAACAGGCCATTTTCACTTCTTTTGTGGTAGAATGTTACAGAACAGCCTGGCCAACCCCGTCTGAAACCCCGTCTCTACTAAATATACAAAATTAGCCAAGTGTGGTGGCACATGACTGTAATCCCAGCTACTCGGGAGGCTGAGGCAGGAGAATCGCTTGAACCCGGGAAGCGGAGGTTGCAGTGAGCCGACATCATGCCACTGCACTCTAGCCTGGGCAACAGAGACTCCGTCTCAAAAAAAAGAAAAAAAAAAGAGTCTGGGCACAATGACTCACGCCTGTAATCCCAGCACTTTGGGAGGCCGAGGCGGGCAGATCACCTGAGGTCAAGAGTTGGAGAACAGCCTGGCCAACATGGTGAAACCTCGTCGCTACTAAAAACACAAAAAAATTTAGCTGGGCGTGGTGGCACACACCTGTAGTCCCAGCTACTCGGGGAGGCCGAGGCAAAAGAATTGCTTGAACACAGGAGGGGGAGGTTGCAGTGAGCCAAGATGGAGCCACTGTACTCCTCCAGCCTGGGCAACAGAGACTCCATCTCAAAAAAAAAAAAAAAAAAAGACAAACACACAAAAGACTTAAGTAAAATTTCCCAGGGTCACACGAGCACATGAGGCAAAGCTGGAATTTGAGGGAGCCCAGGCACTGTCTTTAAGGCCCATGACGCTAACCACTAAACCTGACCATCTTCTTCACATGGTTCAGATGCAGCCCAGTTTGTTGATGTTCTTCACTTCTTTTTTTTTTTTTTTAATGGAGTTTTGCTCTTATTGCCCAGGCTGGAGTGCAGTGGTGCGATCTCGGCTCACTGCAACATCCGCCTCCCAGGTTCAAGCAATTCTTCTGCCTCAGCCTCCCTAGTAGCTGGGATTACAGGCATGTGTCACCACACCCAGCTAATTTTGTATTTTTAGTAGAGAAGGGGTTTCTCCATGTTGGTCAGGCTGGTCTCGAACTCCCGACCTCAGGTGATCCACCCGCCTCGGCCTCCCAAAGTGCTGGGATTACAGGCGTGAGCCACCGAGCCCGGCTCTCTTCACCTCTTTTCTGGAGTTGCTATTACTGCTTTTTGACTTTGGCGTAGGGAAAAATGGAAAGATTTGCAATGGGCAAAGAGATTACTGGATATCCTTTCAATGGAATGTTAGAGCCTTTGGGGATTATCTGATTTTATAGAGATATGCTTATTTATTTGCTTTTGATTATGCTATTTTACAACTCCTTAGAAAGAAGTTAACATATAGAAAACTGATCGTAATGCAAATAATTCCTTGCATATTATAATGCAAATAGTCTCCCGTGGAATGCCTTTGTTTATTGTCCTGTAGATATTAACCAGTTTTTCCAGTTTTGCCTGTTTGTAAATTTATTTCGGTATTTCTTATCTGACTATAAATGTGTGGTAGTTGGAGTTTTCTCCTTTGAGCTGGTTTTAATATTTTGCTGGCTCCAGTTAAATTAGTTAAATAAAATATTTGCCACATGTTCTTTTATATCATGTGAGAGTCATGATTTTCCCCTTAAGAAATAATCTTTAACGTTGGTTAAATCACTTAAATTATCTGGACCTCAGGTCCCCTTCAGTCTCTTTGATTGCATGCTTAATTGATTGAGATGCATCTAGCTAGAGATCTCTAGGTTCTGTTATTGATTGTGTTTTGTTTTTGTTTTGAGATGGAGTTTCGCTCTTGTCGTCCAGGCTGGAGTGCAGTGGCGCAATCTCGGCTCACTGCAACCTCCGAGGCCTTCCAGGTTTAAGCGATTTTCCTGCCTCAGCCTCCTGAGTAGCTGGGATTACAGGCGCCTACCACCACGCCCAGCTAACTTTTGTATTTTAGTAGAGATGGGGTTTCACCATGTTGGTCAGGCTGGTCTCGAACTCCTGACCTCAGTTGATCCGCCCACCTTGGCCTCCCAAAGTGCTGGGATTACGAGTGAGCGTGAGCCACCGTGCCCAGCCTATTAACTGTGTTTTAATCAATGGCTCAGTTATTTACAGATAACACAGGTAACAATAGAGCACAGTATTTAGGGCTCAGGCTCCTCAGGCACAGTCTTGGAGTCAAATTCTGATTCTGCTTCTTACTATAGATGAGGGGTTTAGGGAGTGATCGGGAGAAAGAAGCAAAAAGGATACTTGATTGCCAGGCTAAAAAGGAAGCTCTTGGATAAGCTCTCACTTTAAATGTATACAAATAGTGCCCACAGGAGATGTTAAGGAAAAATTTACTCTTGACCCTTGTTAAAAGGGTAAGGCAGATTTTATCCGGGACTATCGCAGTTGGTGTAGGGACGGACCACTGCAATAGGGTCTTGTGGTCAGGGAGAGAAACTGGGCTCAACTCTGAATGCAGCAGAGGCAAATGGGGATTTGTAACCAAGGAATAAGGTGGGGTCAGTGGGTGGAAAATTACTAAGGGGAAACATTGGGAGTCAGGGGATTCTGGCTAAGTTGACCTAGTGTGATTTTTGCTGAAGACCAGGCAGGGTGATCAGACATCGCCTCGGGGATGATGAGGGATGAGGAATTTGATCAGATTTTGAGGGTGATCAGACATTGGGGGTGGGGGCATGCCCAAGGATGGGGCCTGATTGGGCTCAGAGGAACCTGACTAAAGTTTGGTCAAGGACACAGTCTTTGTCAGTGGCTATGAAAACACAAATATGAAAGGGTGTGATAGGCCTGAAATAAGAGCACTGGACTGAACGGAGCTTCTTGAAAATGTTAATGACAGAAGAAGGGATTTTTCTGGTTTATTCTCAACAACAGAAGGCAGAGACAAGGCAGAACCACTCTGAGTCCATTTGACTTCTGTATTCTCTACCAGAGAAAACAGTCTCAGTTGGAAATGACTGAGAAGTGAAAGCGTTCTGCCTATGAGGAGAGTGCACAGGTGTGTTTTGCAGCTGTAAGTGAATCTCAGGCCCAGAGTAGGGAGACCTAGGGCCATCACTGAGTGGTATCCGAGGACTGCAGGTGGCTTGCACTGTTTCAGCAAGTTGGCGGGTCTCAAAAACCGTGCATTGATGTTAATTCCTGCAAAATCTGAAACTGGGGTATTAAATGGATGATTTATGAACCGTTAGAATGGTGAGTTTCTTGTGTTCCTGGAGAGTAGATCAGCACAAACGAATCCCATCTCCCACGGATCAGGGGTGTGTTTGATGAAGTGCACGTTCACTCTAGCAAGGCTTCTGACAACGATGTCATGAGATGCATGTGAATGAGTTGGAGAATTGCTGGCTAGATGAAATTGTAATTACAAAACTTTTCAGATGGTTTCCCACGTATGTGTACTTGAATTGTGCATTGATGGAATGAGGGCCTTGACCTTTCTGGATTGTTTACTTTTCCATCTCCTCTCTTTCCTAGATGTGTGAGTGGGAGCAAATTGTTCAACCTCTCCAGCCCTCAATATTTTGTGAAAAATGCCTCATTCTCTAACTGTTTATGACTCTATGAGTAATTGGTTCATACACACCTGGAGGGATGTCATTTTCCTCTGAATTCTCTCCCTGATTCTGTTTCATCATTTTTCTTTATTCTTTTTTTTTTTTTTGAGATGGAGTCTCGCTCTGTCGCCCAGGCTGGAGTCCAGTGGTGTGATCTCAGGTCACTGCAACCTTTGCCTCCTGGGTTCAAGCGATTCTCCTGCCTCAGCCTCCCGAGTAGCTGGGACTACAGGCACATGCCACCACGCCTGGCTCATTTTGTATTTTTAGTAGAGATGGGGTTTCACCCTGTTGGCCAGGCTGGTCTCGATCTCCTGACCTCATGATCTGCCCGCCTCGGCCTCCCAAAGTGCTGGGATTACAGGTGTGAGCCAACACGCCTGGCCTGTTTCATCATTTTTCATGATTGACTTAGATAATAACAAGTGTGTAGAAGATGTGAGGACGCTGCAGAGAACATAGATAAAAGTTCAGGCCCTGGAGTCAGATAATCCTAGGTATGACTCTTGGGTCAGTCCCTTCCTAATTGGATTTTATTTTTTTTTTTTTTCGAGATGGAGTCTTGCTCTGTTGCCCAGGTTGGAGTGCAGTGGCATGATCTCGGCTCACTGCAACCTCCACCTCCTGGGTTCAAGCAATTCTCCTGCCTCAGCCTCCCAAGTAACTGGGATTACAGGCACCTGCCACCACGCCTGGCTAATTTTTTGTATTTTTAGTAGATATGGGGTTTCTCCATGTTGGCCTGGCTGGTCTCGAACTCCTGACTTCAGGTGATCCACCTGCCTTGGCCTTCCAAAGAGCTGGGATTACAGGCATGAGCTACTGCGCCCAGCCCCTAATTGGATTTTGAGCAAGCTTCTTAACTTCACTAGACTTGGTTTCCTATCCTATTAAGTGAGAATAATAATAATATTTAACTTTGTGTAAAGACTAAATGATTATATAAGGTATTACATTAAACAAACAAATACGTAGCAGGGTGTCTGGCACAAAGTCAGGGCCCCCATAACTGTCAACTGTTTTTGTTTATGTTATTACTAAACCGGGAGAGGTAACATTAGGTAACATATCATGTTTCAAAATTATAGTAGGGTGAAACTATAAGCTAAAACCTAGAATTGTATAGGGTTCAACGTAAAACCCAACATTTAGTTTGAACTGATCAGCCACACGTGAACAGAATGGGAGAGACCTGGCTTAAGAGTGGCTCATGTCAAAGGCATTTAGGGGTTTTTAGGTGATTGTCAGCTCCACTTCAATCATCAGTATGCAGTGGCTTCCAAGGAAGCCAGTGTCGTCTGAGGCTGAGTTAATGAGAATGCAAAAGAAGTTATATTGCCGGCTGGGCATGGTGGCTCACGCCTGTAATCCCAGCACTTTGGGAGGCCAAGGCGGGTACCTGAGGTTGGAAGTTCGAGACCAGCCTAACCAACATGGAGAAACCCCATCTCTACTAAAAATACAAAATTAGCCGGGTGTGGTGGCACATGCCTGTAACCCCAGCTACTCGGGAGGCTGAGGCAGGAGAATTGCTTGAACCCGGGAGGTGGAGGTTGCAGTGAGCTGAGATTGCGCCATTGCACTCCAGCCTGGGCAACAAGAGTGAAACTTCGTCTCAAAAAAAAAAAAAAGAAGAAGAAGAAGTTATAGGGCCATTGTAACCTTGTCCTGGTATAGATTGTGTCCCCTGAGCTGAGTTCAGCCCTGCCCTTGTGTTTTTCGAGGAAGAAAAGCAGGGAGTGAGACTACTTGCCTTCAAATCCCAGCTCTGCTATTAGATTAGCCCTATGGACTTGGGCAAGTTATTTAACCTTTCTGTGCCTCAGCTTTCTAATTTGTAAAATGAGAATAATAAAAATTCTATCTATCTCACAGGGCTGTTATGAGGATTCAGTAGGATGTAAATGTAAATATGTAAGGTGTTTCCAAAGGTGTTTGGCTCACCCACATGCTAGAGAAATGGTGGTGGTGGTGCTGGTGGTACCATCATCATTGTCATTCTAAGGACACTGTCCATGTCCCCAAGGGACCTGATCAGAATGGTGATGGGTGCTGCATCAGTGAAACAAGAATACTGAATTCATGAACCGTCTTGCTCTTCTACTACCCCTGCCCCAAACACACACCTCACTCCCTTGATATGGGCAGGCTTCTCACTTTTAGGCTTTGGCCTAAGTTGGAATGCTCAGACGTATACTCCTTTTGGTCTCTATCACTAAACTTTAGAAATTATCTCGTTCAGGGCTCTTATTTTAGGTATGCTCAAGGTCAGACAGAAGCTAAGAAACCAAGGTCCTGATACAGCAATCCCACTTCTGGGTATTTATCCAAAGGCATTGAAATCAGTATGTTGAAGAGACACCTGAACTCCCATGTTCATTGCAACACGATTTACCATAGCCAAGATATGGAATCAATCTAGGTGTCCATCAACAGATGAATGAATAAAGAAAATGTGGTATATATGCACAATAGAATACTACTCAGCCTTAAACAGGGGTGAAATCCTGTGATTTGGGACAACATGGATGAATCTGGAGGACACTACGCTAAGTGAAATAAGCCAGGCACAGAAAGACAAATATTGCACGATCTCACTCATAGGTAGGATCTGAGAAAGTTGATCTCATAGAAGTAGAGAGTACAATGGTGGTTACCAGGGACTGGGGGTGGAGCGGTGGTTGGGAAAAGGCTACACAGTTTCAGTTAGACAAGAGGAATAAGCTTTACTAATCAATTGCACAGCATGGTAACTATAATAAGTAATAATGCATTGTATATTTCAAAATTGCTAAAAGTAGATCTTAAATGTTTTTACTGCAAAAAATTGGTAAGTTTGTGAGGTGATGGATTTACTAATTAGCCTGATTTAATCATTCCACATTGTAAACCTATATCAAAACATCAAATTGTACTCCATAAACATGTATTATTACTACTTGTTAATGAAAAATAAAAATAAAACGAAAAACAAAGGAAGAAGAAAAAAACCTCAAAAAAGAAAAAGAAAACAAGGTCCTCAGCCGTGTCCTATTTTCTTTGCACTCACCACCCACGTCCTTCTCACATCTGATTGTTGAAGTCTTTCCAACTCCAACTCAATTCCACTTCTTCTTAGAACCTTTCCAGATCCTCCAAGGTAAGCTGGGCTACTCTTTCCCCATGCCTATATGATTGTAAGTTGTGTGTAGCTATTACAGTACTTACGGTCTTTGTTTTAGTGTCCATCACCTATGCCTCTTGTCTTCACCCTGTTTGCCTAAAGAGCAAGGAGATAATATTCGCTTTAGGGTCCCACTTGGCACAAGCATGGTGCTTTGCATATATTAGACTATCATGAAGTGCTCATTGAATTGGGTATTAAGATTGTATAATGTGGACTATTTATCTTAGAAGAGAGAAGATTTAGGAGGAATGGAATTGACTCTCATGGAAAGATTCGATTCAGCTACCTAGTGCTAAAGAGCAGAATGGGGACCAGGGGCTGAAAGTTACCAGGGGGTAAATTTGATCTGGCTGTGTGGGGCGGATTCTTCCCAGTGACAATCATTTAATGAGGAGATGGGTGCCTCATGAGAGGCGAGTTAAGGTATTCAAGCAGAGGCAGGATGGCCACTGTCAGGAGTGGAGTAGAGGGGAACCCTCGGGATTCCCTGTTTATTAGCTGAGTTTCAACATCACTAGAAACCTCGGTGATGTTTTAGGTTCCCATGTAGCTACAGACTACAGCAGACGCATGGGGTACCTGATGTGCAAACAGGGTTGAGACAGGCCTAGCACTGCCCAGTAGACCTGAGTCTGGCTTAGGTTCATTCTTGACTCTTGCTAGTCTAGTCTGCAAGAAGCTGAACTCACGAAAAGCCAGCTCCTTTTCCCACCATCTCTATTTATTAACCCCTCCCTCACTCTTATACACCCTGCTCACTGCTGTCTGGTGCCCCTACAAGGTCAATTTCACGCTGAACTTTACTACAGTGAAAAGTCCTGAGTTTCATCTAAAAGCATTTGAGGTGTCTTAAGTTAAATTCTAAAACCTTTCAGTTTAGCTTCAGTTTATGGTGCTATTCAATCCTTATCGAGCACTTCCGCCAAAAGGTCCTAAATCTCTCTCTTATGCAAGCTTCCACGGGCTGCATGAGGCCCAGGATGGCTTTGAATGTGGCTCAACACAAATTTGTAAACTTTCTTAAAACATTATGAGATTTATGCACGGCCATTCTTTTTTCTTTTCTTTTCTTTTCTTTTTTTTTTTTTTTTTTTTAGCTCATCAGCTATTAGTGTTAGTGTGTTTTATGTGTGGCCCAAGACAATTCTTCTTCCAGTGTGGCCCAGGGAAGCCAAAAGATTGGACACCCCTGTAAATAGGCTCTTAGACTCGAAGCTATAGTTTCTGTAGTTCTTCTGCCTATTCTATTTCCTTCTCAAATTACGGGTCGCACTGTTCCTTTTCAATTTGGGTTCCAGGTCTACTCCTATAAGCTTCTGGCTAAAACCTTTCTGTTTTTGCAGACTCCTCACTAATAAGTGTCCCCCTTGGCATTTTGCTCTTAGGATCTGGTTTTCCATATTTTTGAGGCTCTTTGTTTCTTCTTTTCTTTTCTTTTCTTTTTTTTTTTTTTTTTGAGATGGTGTCTCCCTCTGTCGCCCAGGTTGGAGTGCAGTGGCGCAATCTAGGCTCACTGCAAGCTCCGCCTCTCGGGTTCACGCCATTCTCCTGCCTCAGCCTCCCGAGTAGCTGGGACTACATGCGCCCGCCACCACGCCCAGCTAATTGAGGCTCTTTCAAGACTCCTGTCCAGCCTTTGCATGCCAGGGCATTAGTCGTGGCCTCCTATTGAACCCCACCTCCTCCCAAGTCCATCTAGGTCTCTTTACATCACAGTTTTGCTCCCTACCCTTGGCCCTGAGTGTTTCTGCCACCTGGCCTCATTCCTAAGGTTCTTGCTCAGGGAGGTCAGTAGACTATCTGCCATATATCAGCCTGATAAACGGATTGTCTCCCAAGCATCTTCCTTCACACATTAAATTTTAGGAAATATCAAACTTAAGAGTGGACTCTATTTCAAAAGCACATTTATAAGAAACTTATGTAGCACTCACATTTCCCCCTTACAATAACGTTCTTCTAGGTGGTTAGTTCTGCCAGGCGAGTCCAGGGGAGCCCATTTAGCCTCTAGGATGAAGCGAAAGCACTGGGACCTTAGAATCTTTGGGAGTAATAATAGTGGGATAGAATAAGACTGCAGTGTAGAACGGTGTTTCTACGGGAAACTATTTCTAGAATTCCGCCTTGGATTGCTGGGATTCCTTTTTTTTTTTTTTTTTTTTTTTTTAGATGGAGTCTCGCTCTGTCGCCCAGGCTGGAGTGCATTGGCGCGGTCTCGGCTCACTACAACCTCTGCCTCCCGGGTTCAAGCGATTCTCTTGCTTCAGCCTCCTGAGTAGCTGGGGCTACAGGCGCTCGCCACCAGGTCCGGCTAATTTTTGTATTTTTAGTAGAGATGGGTTTTCACCATGTTGCCAGGTTGGTCTCAAAACTCCTGACCTCGTGATGCACCCGCCTCGGCCTCCCAAAGTGTTGGGATTACAGGCGTGAGCCATCGCGCCTGGTGCTGCGATTCCTTTAGCTGTCTGCAGTGAGACTGGGCAGCCCCTACCCCCATATTAAAAGAAAAGAAAAAACACATCCTGCAATTTATTGAGGAATCACCGCATACCGGGCAGTGTAAACTCATTATCAGTCATGTCGCTTCATCCTCACATCAACGCTGTGAGGTGGGCACTGCTGATACCCATGTTTTACTAATGAAGATACGGAGGCAAAGAGACTGCTCTCAGTGGCTTTGGACAGGGATTCTCATAACATAAAGTCTGGGTGCGTGCTAGGAAAGGAACAAGGACTCTAGAAAACTGTAAAGGTGAGAAGAGAGTCAGAGATGGGGCAGAAGATGGAATAAAGATTGGGGCAGAGGCAGCCTGGCGCAGGGTAGGACATTTGTAGACGTTATAGAGAGTTGACCCTTGAACAAGACGGATTTGAACTGCACAGGTTCACTTATACACAGGTTTTTTCCAGTACAAGCTACACTGAGTGTGTCTGCCTCTCCTGCCTTCCCTTTTACTTCCTCCGCCTCTTCTGCCTCTGCCACCCAGAGACAGCAAGAATAACCCCTCCGCTTCCTCCTCCGCACCCTACTCAGTGTGAAGACAATAAGGATGAAAACCTTCATGAAACTCCACTTGCACTTAACGAAGAGGAAATATTTTTCTTCCTCATGATTTTCTTAATAGTATTTTCTTTTCTTTGGCTTACTTTATTGTAAGAATACATTATATAATTCATACACGAAATATGAGTTAACTGACTATGTTATCAGCAAGGTTTCCCAGTCAACTGTAGGCTCTTGGTAGTTAAGTTCAGTAGAATATTGGGCAGACATCAGCCTGACTCCTTTTTTGGGAATCAAAAGTTATACGCGGATTTTTGACGACGTGGGGGTCAGCATCCCTAACCCCACATTGTTCAAGGGTCAGCTGTGTTCCCTTCCCTGTGACCTGTCTTTTGGCAAAGGGAAACTCAGATCCTGTTGTAGGGTCTTTGAAACAATGGACAATGGCCACAGTGGCCCATGAGAGGGAAAAATATTTACATGGCAGTGCTGGGGATTCAGTTCCCACAAATAGGAGATTTCCAAGGATTTCCACAACATACCCACAGACACACACAAAGAGACACACAGATACACAGAGACACATACACAGGGACACATACACAGACATACAGATACACACACAGAGGCACACATGCAGACACACACAGACACACACACACATACACAGACATACACACAGATACACAGACACACACAGAAACACAGACACACACACAGAGACACACACAGCCACACACAGAGACAGACACACAGATACACAGACACACACAGGCACACACACAGACACACACAGAGACACACACACAGATACACAGATACAGGTACACACACACACAGAGACACACACAGCCACACACAGAGACACACAGACACACAGATACACAGACACACACAGGCACACACACAGACACACACAGATACACAGACACACAGATACACAAACAGACACACAGACACTGATACACAGACACACACACTGATAGACACACACACACTGATACACAGACACACAGATACACAGACACAGAGACAAACACATACATATACGGACACGCAGGCACACACAGGCACACACATAGACACACAGAGATACACAGACATACACACAGACACACATACACAGACACAGACACACAGAGAGACACAGATAGACACAAACGCAGACACACACAGACACACAGACACACACAGAGGCACACATTTTCAATGCTCTGTTTCCTCTTCTTCCTTTCATTTCCCCCTCACTTGGATGAGGCAGGTAGAGTGGGGGAGTGGGTAAGAGTTACTGCAGTAAGAAGAGAAAGCCGCAATAGGTATTTTTAGTCCTGGAGGTGTTCAAGGATGGTGGTAGAGTCCTTGACCCCAGCTTTTCACCTCCTCTGCCCCATATTCATGCCTGTTGCCACGTAACTTCACAGTGCCCTCCCACCATGCATGAATGACCTGCCCTGTCCCCTGGTTCTGGGCTCAATCATGTGACTTGCTTTTGTCATTAGTGTGTAAAAGCCGTGACTCAAATTTGGGCTGTAGAGAGGTTTGTCCACGAGAACTTGTTTTCTTCTTCCCTTTCCCCTTTTCTTTCCTTTCCTTTCCCTGTCCTGTCCTGTCCTGTCCTGTCGTGTCCTGTCCTGTCCTGTCCTGTCTTGTCTCGTCTTGTCTCACTCTGTTACCCAGAGTGGAGTGCAGGAGTGCAGTGGTGTGATTTTTTTTTGTTTGTTTGTTTTTTGAGATGGAGTTTTGCTTTGTTGCCCAGGCTAGAGTGCAGTGGCACGATCTTGGCTCACTGCAACCTCTGCCTCCCGGGTTCAAGCAATTCTCCTGTCTCAGCCTTCTAAGTAGCTGGGACTACAGGCGCACGTCACCATGTCTGGCTAATTTTTGTATTTTTAGTAGAGATAGGGTTTCACCATATTGGTCAGGCTGGTCTCAAACTCCTGACTTCAGGTGATCCACCAGCCTCAGTCTCCCAAAGTGCTGGGATCACAGGCGTGAGCCACTGCACCCAGCCAGTGGTGCCATCTTGGCTCACTGCAACATTTGCCTCCTGGGCTCAAGCGATTCTCGTGCCTCAGCCTCACGAATAGCTGGGATTACAGCCGTGCACCACCACGCCTGGCTAAGTTTTTGTATTTTTAGTAAAGATGGGTTTTCACCAAGTTGACCAGACTGGTCTCGAACTCCTGACGTCAAGTGATCCACCTGCTTTGGCCTCCCAAAGTGTTGAGATTACAGGCGTGAGCCACTGCGCCCAAGCTAGAGCTTGTTTTCTCATGCACCTCAGCTATGGCCATAAGAACATGCCCAGGCCAGCCTGCTGAGGATGACAGATACATGAAACAGAATCAAATTCTCCAGTTGACCTGGAGGAACCCAGCCTAGATCAGCAGCACACACGAGTGAGGCCAGCTAAGTTCAGCAGAGCCACCTGGTCTATATCAGCAGAACCCTGCCAACTTATAAAAGATAAATTTAGTTTTGTATGTGTATGCCCTGAATTTGTTTTTAAAAATTAACTTTTAATTTTGAGATAATTGTAGATTCATATGTAGTTGTAAGAAATAATCAAGATCCTGTGTACCGTTTACCCATTTTTTTTCCAATGGTAACAGCATATAATAGCACAATGTTATAATCAGGATATAGACATTGATACTGTCAAGATACAGAACATTTTCGTTACCATAAAGTTCCCTCATCTTGCCATTTTATAGCCACAACCCGTGACTTCCTGCTCCCACCCCCTCCATAACTCCTGACAACCACTAATCAACTCTTCATTTCTAGAATTTTGTCATTTCAAAAACGTTATGGAAATGAAATCATACATAGGCAACCTTTTGAGATTGGCTTTTTTTTTTGTTTTTTGTTTTTTGTTTTTTTTTGAGACGGAGTCTCGCTCTGTTGCCCAGGCTGGAGTGCAGTGGCGCGATCTCGGCTCACTGCAAGCTCCGCCTCCCGGGTTCACGCCATTCTCCTGCCTCAGCCACCCGAGTAGCTGGGACTACAGGCACCCGCCACCACGCCCAGCTAATTTTTTTGTATTTTTAGTAGAGACGGGGTTTCACTGTGTTAGCCAGGATGGTCTCGATCTCCTGACCTCGTGATCTGCCTGCCTCGGCCTCCCAAAGTGCTGGGATTACAGGTGTGAGCCACCGCGCCCGGCCAAGATTGGCTTTTTTCCCCACTCAGCCTAATCCTCTGGAGATTCATCTAGGTTGTTGTGTTTATCAAAAGTTTGTTCCTTTTTACTGTTGAATAACATCGCATAGAATGTACCATATTTTGTCTAAGCAGTCACCTATTGAAGGACATCTAGATTGCTTCTAGTTTTGAGCTCTTATGAATATAGCTGCTATAAACATTTGTGCACAAACTTTTGTGTGACTACAAGTCTTCATTTCTCTGAGATAAATACCCAGGAGCTCAATTGCTGGGTCATATGGCAGTTGCATGTTTACTTTTCTAAGAAACTTCCAAACACCACCATTTCACATTCTCACCAGCATCATATGAGTGATCTAGTTTCTCTGCATCCTTGTCAGAATTTGGTGGTGTCACTATTTTTCATCTTAGCCATCCTGATAGATATGTAGTAATACTGCATAGTGGTTTCAACTTGAATTTCACGAATGGCTTATGCTGTTGAACATATTTTCACGTGCTTATTTGTCGTCTGTATATTTTCTGTGTTAAAATGTCTCTTCACATGTTTTGTCCATTTCCTAATTGGATTGTTTGCTTTCTTATTGTTTAATTTTTGAGAGTTCTTTATATATTCCAGATACTAGTCCTATGTCAGATATATGGTTTGCAAATATTTTCTTCCCACTCTGTAGCTTGTCTTTTCATTCTCTTAACAAGATTTTTTACAGAACAAAAATTTAAAATCTTGATGAAGTCCAGTTTATACATCTTTCCTTTTATGAACTGTGCTTTTGGTGTCAAGTCTAAGAACCCTATCACAGGGCATTCTCCATATGTGAAAAAAACACAACACTTTACGTCATTCTAGATCTTGACTATTTTATCCTATGTTTTTTTCCTAAGTGTTTTATGGCTTTACATTTAAGTTCATGATCCATTTTGAGTTAATTTTTGCTTGAGGTGTGAGGCTTAGGTTGAGGTTCATTATTTCTGGTAATAGATGTGCAATCACTCCAGCATCTTATGTTGAAAGCCTGTTTCTCCTTTGTTGAGTTGCTTTTGCACCTTGTCAAAAATCAGTTGGGCATATTTATGTGGATCTGCTTCTGGATTCTTTATTCTGTTCCATTGACCTATGTGTCTATCTCTCCACCAATATCACATAGTCTCGATTACTGACCTATATAATATGTCTTGAAATCAGATAGACTGAGTCACCTCCCACTTTTTTTCTTCTTTTTCAAAATTGTTTTGAAGTCCAGTTCCTTTGCCTTTTCATTTAAATTTTAGGATAAGCTTGTTTATATCTATTTTTAAAACTTTCTGGGATTTTGATAGGAATTATATTAAGACTTCATATCAATTTGGGAGAATTTACACCTTTATTATGTTGAATCTTCTAGTCATAAACACAGTATGTCTCTCCCTTTATTTAGATATTTTTATTTCTTTCATCGGCATAGCATAGTCTTCAGCATAAAATCCCTGGATATGTTTTATTAGACTGACACCTAAGTATTCCATTCTTTTTGAGTGATTGCAAATGATATTATATTTTAAATTTTGATGTCTGCATGTCCATTGCTAGTATATAGAAATACAATTGATTTTTGTATGTTTATCTTATATCCTGCAAGTTTACTGAACTCAGTACTAAGAGTTTGTTTTTCTTGTATACTCCTTGGAATTTTCTATATATAGATAATAATGTCTTCCTTTTTATTCTCCCTCACCCCATCCTTTTGTCTTACTGCACTGGCTAAAACTTTCAGTACTATGTTGAATAAGAATGTAAGTGTGAATACGCTTGTCTTATTCTTGATTTTAAGGGAAAAATATTCAGACTTTCACCATCAGGTATAATGTTGCTGTAGGTTTTTTATAGGTGCTTTTTACTAAGTGGATGCATTTCTTTTCTATTGATAATTTTCTGAGAGTTTTTTTTAAATCATGAATGAGTGTTGAATTTTGTCAAATACTTTTTCCACATCAATTGATATGATCATGTGATTTTTCTTCTGTAGCTTGTTAATATGGTTGATTACATTTATTGATTTTCCAATATTGGACTAGCTCTGCCTCCCTATAATAAGCCCCACTTGGTCGAGATGTATAATTCTTTTTACATACTGCTGAATTTTATTTACTAATTTTTTTTTTCAGGATTTTCATGTCTGTTTTCAAGATAGTATTGATCTGTGGTTTTCTGACTTTTTTGTTTTGTTTTTTTTTTTTTTTTTGGTAGTTTTCTGCCTTCATCTGGTCTTGGTAGAAATAAAACCAATTATGAAGATACCATGGGTTGAGTGTTTGTGTTCTTTCTAAAGTTCATGTTGAAACTTAATCCCCATTATGGTAGTGTTAACAGATGAGGCCTTTTAAGAAGTTATTAAGTCATGAGGGAGAGCCCTCATGAATGGATTAGTGCCATATGAAAGGTCTGGAGGAAACTAGCTAGGCCCTTTTTGTCCTTCTATCCTTCTGCCATGTAAGGATACAGCATTTATTCTCCCAGGAGGATGCAACAAGGTGCCATGTTGAAGCAGAGATAGCAGCCCTCACCAGACTCCAGAACTGCTGGTGCTCTGGTCTTGGACTTCCCAGCTTCCAGAACTGTGAGAAAAAATTTATATTGCTTATAAATGATGCAGTCTCAGGTATTTTGTTATAGCAGCATAAATGAACTAAGAATTCCCTCCTTACCTATATTCTGGAAGAGATTACGTAGAATTGGTGTTAATTCTTTAAACATTTGGTAGAGTTATCTAGTGAAAGCATTTAGGTCTGGATATTTTTCTGGGAGGGAATTTCAAAATTATGAATTAAATTTTCTTAATAGTTATAGGGCTATTCAAATTATCTATTTCATATTGGGCTGGGCACTTTGGCTCATGCTTGTAATCCCAGCACTTTGGGAGGCCACGTGTGCATTCTGATGTGTATTAGAACGTACATGGTCTATCTTGGTGTGTGTTGAGTGTGCATTCTGATGTATATTAGAATGTATATGGTCTATCTTGGTGTATGTTTAGTGTGTATTCTGATGTGTATTAGAATGTATATTCTGCTATTGTGTCAGCTGTTCTACAAATGTCAATTAGGTCCTGTTGGTTGATGGTGTTGTTGAGTTTTTCTACAGCCTTGCTGATTTTTGGTCTACTCGTTCTATCAATTGTTTAGAGAGGAGTGTTGGAGTCTCCAACTATAATTGTGGATTTGTCTATTTCTACTATCAGTTCTATCAGTTTTTGCATCATATAGTTTGCAGATCTGTTGTTTGGCATACAGACAGTTAGTATTGTTAATACTTCCTGGTGGATTGACCCTTTGATCATTATGTAGTCTCCCTCCCTGTCTCTAGCAATTTTCTTTGCTCTGAAGTCTACTTTAGCTTGATACTAATATAACCATTTCTGTTTTCCATTTTTTTGAGACAGAGTCTCACTCTGTTGTCCAGGCTGGAGTACAATGGTGCGATCTCTGCTCACTGCAACCTCTGCCTCCAGGATTCAAGCAATTGTCTTGCCTCAGTCTCCTGAGTAGCTGGGATTACAGGTGCCCACAACCAAGCCCAGCTGATTTTTGTATTTTTAGTAGAGACGGGGGTTTCACCGTGTTGGCCAGGCTGGTATCGAACTCCTGACCTCAAGTGATCCACCCTCCTCAGCCTCCCAAAGTGCTGGGATTACACGTGTGAGCCATAGTGCTCGATCTCTGCTTTCCTTTTATGAATGCTTGCATGCTATGTCTTTTTCTATCCTTTTTTTTTCAATCTGAATATATATATTTTAGAGAAGGGTCTTGCTCTATCACTCAGGCTGGAGTGTAGTGGTGTGATCATGGCTTACTGTGGCCTCAGCCTCGAACTCCTGGGCTCAAGTGATCCTCCCACCTCAGACTCTCGAGTAGCTAGGACTACAGGTGCAAGCTGCCATTTCCAGCTATTTTTTTTTTTTCTTTAGAGATGAGGGTCTTGCTATGTTGCCTAGGCTGGTCTTGAGCTCCTAGCCTCGAGCAATCCTCCCACCTCAGCCTACCAAGTAGCTGGTATTACAGGTGCAAGCCACCAGGCCTCACTCAGGTGGGTCATATTTGTAAATCCAATCTGTCAATCTGTCTTTTAATTGATTATTTTGGCTACTTGCATTTAATGTACTTATTGATATGCTATAACTTAAGCCTGACATTTTATTTCTTGTTTTGTTTGTTCTGCTTTCTGTTTCTCTGTTCACTTTCTCTGTCTTCTGGGTTAATTGAACATTTTTCCATTTTGATTTATCTGTGGTGTTTTGTTTTATTTTGAGATGGAGTCTTGCTCTGTCACTCAGGCTGGAGTGCAGTGGTGCCATCTCTGCTCATCGCAACCTCTGCCTCCTGGGTTCAAATGATTCTCGTGCCTCAGCCTCCCGAGTAGCTGGGATTACAGGTGTCTGCCACCATGCCTGGCTAATTTTTGTATTTTTAGTAGAGACAGGGTTTCACAGTGTTGGCCAGGCTGGTCTCAAACTCCTGACCTCAAAAGATCCGCATACCTCAGCCTCCCAAAGTGCTGGGATTATAAGTGTGAGACATCACCCAGCCTATCTATAGTGTTTTGAATGTATTTCTTTTTTAGCATTTGTATTTCTTTGTATAGCACTTTTAGTGATTGCTCTAAGTATTCCATTGTGTATCCATAACCTATTTCAGTCAACTGATGTTCTTTTTTATCCTTTGAGTGAAGTATAGAACTCTTTCCCCCCATAACACCCTTTTATCTTCCCCTGTTTATAGTATAATTGTCTTAAATATTTCTTCTACATACATTGAGAACCACATCAGATAGTGTTATAAGTTTTGCTTCAACCATCAAATACAATTTGGAAAACTCTTGAGGAGAAATAAAGCCTATTGTGTTTGCCAATATTTTTGCTTACCATGTACTCTCTTCCTTGCTTCATGGTGTTCCATCCTCCTTGTATCATTTCTTTTCTGTTTAGACAACTTCCTTTAGCTATTCTTCTAGGGCGGTTCTCCTGATGACAAATTATCTTAGTTTTTCTTCATCTGAGAATATTGTGATTTCCCCTTAATTCTCACAGGATATTTTTACTGGGTATAGGACTCTGGATTGACAGTTCTTTTCTTTCAGCATTTGAAAAATATTTGTGTCACTTTTCTTTTGGAATACATGGTTTATGATGAGAAATCTATTTCGATTTTAATTGTTTCTGCCATGTTTTCCTCTGGCTGATTTCAAGATTTTTTTCTTTGTATTTAGTTTTCAGAAATTTGATTATGATGTCTCTTGGTGTGGATTTCTTTGGGTTTATTATGTTTGGAGGTTTGCTCAGCCTGTTGAAACTGTACATTTACATCTCTTGGCAAATTTGGGAAGTTTTCAACTATATTTCTGTGAGAATACTTTTTCGGTTATGTCTTTTTGCTTCTCTCCTTTTGGAAGTCTGAGGACATAAATGTTAGATCTTTTGTTATAGATTCACGGGTCCTTGAGCCTCTCCAGGTAGTCTCCAATGACATCATGGTGGGGGTGGCCTTGTGACCTTTGGATAATAATGAAAATCTCGAGTCTCTACTAAGCTCCTCTGATACCATTCCAGAAGAGAGGGGAGAGGCTCCTCTTTACTGCCACAAGGAGGACGAAGTCCAGGCTCCTCTCGTGGCCTGCACCAGAGAATTATTCACTGTAAGGAGATCAGCCTTATTTCTAAATACCAGGCAGAGAAGTGAAGAGATGGTGAGCACCAGCAACTCTGGAGTATAGCTGCTGGAAATGGTGCACAGACCAATGAATCTTTGCTAGCCGCTGTGTCAAAGACCGTGCTGGCGTTGAACCCTGACCTTCTCTTGGATGCCCATGTTTTTAATCCTTTGGTTTTCACTCACAGCTTAGATATCATTCCCATGGCTACTGGATATATGGGTCTGGCAGACCTTATTGAAATATTTATAGAATATTCCCATTTTGTGTTATGATTTAAAATACTCCAAAATAAATATCCTTGAATGTATGCAATTCAGCACTTGGGTAACTGTGTCTGTAGAACAAATACCTAGAAGACTTGTTAGATTGAATGTATGCTTCAGGCTGGGCATGGTGACTCATGCCTGTAATCCCAGCACTTTGGGAGGCTGAGGTGGGTGGATCACTTGAGGTGAGGAGTTTGAGACCAGCCTGGCCAACATGGTGAAATCCCATCTCCACTAAAAATACAAAAATTAGCTGGGTGGGGTGGCACGTGCCTGTAATTCCAGCTACTCAGGAGGCTAAGGCACGAGAATCACTTGAACCTAAGAGGCAGAGGTTGCAGTTAGCCAAGATCATGCCACTGCACTCCAGCCTGGGTGAAAGAGTGAGACTCTCAAAAAAAAAAAAAACCAAAAAAAAACACCTTATGCTTCAGAAGCCATTCTTAGGAGATAAGCTCCAGTATATTAATTTTCTCTATATAGAGTCGCTCTTTTTCCCTCTGCAGCCCTTAACATCTGAAAATATATTTTCTTTTGTTTAATTATCTCAAGATTGTTTATACAATTTTGCAACTTGATTTCACCTGGAAACATTTTTGGTAGTTGCCTAGCTATTTCTTTGATGTGCAAGCCTAACTCACTTTGTCCTGACCCTCTAGATCTTGTAATATTGGATTACTTGAGTTTACTTTTTAAAACTGTATCTTTGACTTATAGAGCTCAAACGCAATGTGGATTTGTTTCATCTTATTCCTTTTTAACAAATTATTTCCTTGATTATTGACCAAATGTGGGTTTCTCAGAATACCGTTTGTCAAATCTTTTCAGTCTGGTATGTGCCTATATCGTTGCTAAGATAGATTATGACTGAATGTCAGTGACACATTCATAATAAAAAGCTCCATAAGTTTTTTTTGGAGGAATTGTGTTGTGAAATTGGAAATATTAAAAAAATATGTGTAGACTTCCCGTTTAGCATGGCAGATTCAATACTTACATATATCTGAGCTTCATTTCCACCCTCTCCTCCCTGTCCAAAATTACAATGAAGGACTAAAAAGGCATAAACTCATAAGGACAGAGAGAATTGGAGGGAGAGAAGAGTAGAGAAGCTGAAAAGTGGTTTGAGGAATGGTAACTCACTTAGCAGCGGAGGCTGAAACCCACGTATCTCAGGAAGGGAAGAGTAATGAGAAACAAAAGATTTGTTCAACAGAACACCTGAAACCTTTTGAAATTGGGGACACCAGTACAGTGGAAGGGGCAAAGGAGGACAAGATCATGGAGATGAAGACAGAGAGATTATTTGATGGTTTCTCAAAGGATCTTTTAGACCTCTAATCCACACCATCAGAGTATGACCTTTCTCTAACCTCTGTAGAACACGAAGTTCCTTCTCTGGAGAAATTGACCAGAGTCTTCGGCTCAGAGTACTCCCACCATCCTCCCTGCTCCCACTATGGCAGTGGAATTACTGCTTGGACCCTGGTCTCCAACTCCATTATATTGAAGACCAGAGTGGAAAATCAATGGAAAAACTCAGTAAATCCAGAGAAAATACTCACACATAATGACACTGGTTGTGGGGGTCTGCCCCATGAAAGAGCTGGCTCAACACCTGATCACTCTGCACGCTGCCAGGGGACAATTCTAATTTAATCACACAGCTCCTCCAAACAACTTCTTGGTGTCTCATATTTATGTATGAATCAACAGCCCAGATCATCAGACTTTTGAGGGACGCTACCCAAATAGAAGACAGAGGCTAAAATGTCTATGTGTGGGGAGAGCTATCAATTTTGAAGAAAAAGAAAATATTATGAGGAAAAGGCAAAAAACAAAATGGACTTAAAGAGAAGTTATAAATATCTTTAGAGAGATGAGAAGGTATTACAGCTATGAAACAAGATAGGAAGCTATTAAAACAACACAACAAAAAATATCAGAAGAAAACACTCTTAGAAATTAAAATAATTAGGGCAGAAACAAAAAAAAATCAACAGAAAGTTTAGAAGATAAAATTGAGGAATTCTTGCATGAAGTAAAAAAAAAAAAAAAAAAAAAAAAAGGACAAAAATAGGACACTGGCCCAGTGCGGTGGCTTACACCTGTAATCCCAGCACTTTGGGAGGCCGAGGCAGGTGGATCACATGAGGTCAGGAGTTAAAGACCAGCCTGACCAACATGGCGAAACCCTGTCTCTACTAAAAATACAAAAAAATTAGTTTGGCGTGGTGGTGGGCACCTGTAATCCCAGCTACTCGGGAAGCTGAGGCAGGAGAATCGCTTGAACCTGGGAGGCGAAGGTTAAAGTAAGCTGAGATGGCACCATTGCACTCCAGCCTGAGGGACAGAGCAAGACTCTGTCTCAGAGAAGAAAAAAAAGAAAAAAGAAAATAGGGCACTGGATTGTCTCATTCCTTCATTACAACCCTCCTTTCTCTTGTCTTCCTGCACTTTCATGGTGGGATACTAAAACTTCCTTTCTTAGACTTTCCTGTAATTAAATTTGCCTTTTGATACATTTCTGGTCAAGGAGTCATAAGTTTAAGTCTGTAGAAAATTTCTGGAAAGGCTTTATTCTTCTGATACAAATACAAACCTTTCTGCTTCCTTCTGCTGCTCATTTAGTTCTGCCTTGAATGTGGATGGGATGGATGGAGCTGCAGCAGCTATCTTGTAGCCATGGGTAAGAGACCAAGAGAGTTCCAGATATTTTTGCCCTGACATTCCTGAGCCTCTGAAATAACACTGGTCCAATGACTTCTTGACTTCTTGTGTGAAAACAAAAACAAAAACAAAAAAAACCCCTAATTTGTTTAAGCTACTGTTTAATTAGATATTTTTTTGATCCTAGTTGAATCATAATATACACAAGAAAGGTTAAGAAACCAGAGTTGTTTAATATTTAACTAGTAGAAGTTTCAGAAAGAGAAAACAGATGATGGGTAGAAGAAAATTATCAAAGGAATAAGAGAAGAAAATATTACAGAACTGAGCTTTCATGTCTTGAAATGACACATTACCCTGAATGTCTTAGTCTGTTCCTGCTGCTATAGCAAAACACCACAGACTGGGTAATTCATAAGCAGTTGAGATTTATTTCTCACAGTTCTGGAGGCTGGGAAGTCCCAGATCACAGTGTCAGCAGATTTGGTGTCTAGTGAAGGCCTGTCCCACAGATGGTATTTTCTTGCTTGCTTTTTTTTTGAGATAGAGTCTCGCTCTGTTGCCAGAGTGGAGTGCAGTGGTGCAATCTTGGCTCACTGCAACCTCCGCCTCCCGGGTTCAAGCGATTCTCCTGCCTCAGCCTCCTGAGTAGCTGGGACTACAGGAGCGCACTAGCATGCCCAGCTAATTTTTGCATTTTTAGTAGAGATGGGGTTTCACCATGTTGACCAGGATGGTCTCGATCTCCTGACCTAGTGATCCGCCCACCTCAGCCTCCCAAAGTGCTGGGATTACAGGCGTGAGCCACCACGCCTGGCCACAGATTGGTATTTTCTCTGGTGTTCTCACATGGTGGAAAAGGTGGAAGAGCAGAAGGGATAAATACTGCGCCCTCATGTGGCAGAAGAGATGGAAGGGCAATGGGCCTAGCTAGTTCCTTCCAGCCCTTTTATAAAGGCACTAAACCCATTCACATGAGGGTGGCGGCCTCATGACCTAATCACCTTCCAAATGCCCCACCTTCTAATACCATTGCTTTGGGGTTTAAGTTTCAACATACGAATTTTGGAGGACACATACGTTCAAATGGCACCAGGTCACTAAAAATCACCAGGAAGTAGAATGGAAGTACTTCACAGTTTGCTTTCAGATAAATGTCAGAAAATTGGCTTTACTACAATAAAATAATGTGTAGGGTAAAGAACTAACAGTGCATAGATATGCAAAAGGTTTATCAGTAACTACTGAACCCCAAATGCTATGTTTTAAGACAGTGGGGACTTGGAGAAACATAGTAGAATCCAGGATATTCATTCAACAAAATATGTTTAGTTTGGATTACTGGTTCATACCTGGAAATTACTATAATTTCTTTCTTTTTGTTTGTTTGTTTTTTTGGCCTGTTCTCTGTGAACCTAAAAGTTGCTGTGATTTTGTTAGGTTACTTTGAAAGATTATGTGCTCTGAAATTATACAGACCTGGTTCTGGTCTCAGCTGTAAGGTGCAGACAATTTCTTTAACTTCTCTGCAGCTCTTTCCCCATCTGCATGGGTATTTTAGAGATTATTGTCAGGACTAACTGTGATTCTGTATCTAAAACTTCTGCACTAATTATCAGAGAAATACATGTTAAAACCACAATGAGATATCACCTCATACCTGTTGGAATGCTGTTATCAAAAAGATGAAAGATAACAAATGCTAGCGAGGTTGTGGAGAGCAGGGAAGCCTTGTGCACTGCTGGTGGGAATGTAAATTAACACAGCCATTGCAGAAAACAGTATGGAGGTTCCTTAAAAAATTAAAAATAGTACTACCATATGATCTAGCAATCCCACTCCTGGGTATATATATCCAAAGGAAATAAAATTGGTATGTTGAAGAGGTATCTGTACTGCCATGTTCATTGCAGCACTATTCACAATAGCCAAGATTTGAAACCAACTAAGTGTTTAAGTGTTCATCAACGGATGGATGGATAAAGAAAATGGGGTTGGATAAAGAAAACACACCATGGAATACTATTCAGTCTTTTAAAAAGGAGGACATCCTGTTGCTTGTGACATAGATGAACCCAAAGGACATTGTGCTAAGTGAAATAAGTCAGGCACAGAAAGACAAATACTGCATGATCTCATATGTGGACTCTTAAAAAGTTGAACTCAAAGAAGTAGAGAGTAGAATAGGGGTTACCAGGGCTTTCAGGCTTGTTGGGGGGCAGTTGGGGAGATGGTCAAAGAACATAAAATTTCAGTTAGACAAGAGGAATATATGTTCAAGAGATCTATTGTACAACATTGCAACTATGATTAATAACATATATTTTTGAAAATCACTGAGAGATTTTAAGTCACCCCTAAAATGATAACTTTGTGAGCACATGCATATGTAATTAGCTTTATTTAACCATTCCACAATGTATACATATTCCAAAACATGTTGTCCATGACAAATATACATAATAAAATAAAAAAATCCTGGCACAGAGCTGGCATTTCTGAAGTGTTAATTCCTTGTAACGCCATTTCTCAAATCGAGATTCTACCTGCACGCACATACCACAGGCTTCCATCTTTGCTCTGTTTTAGTTCATGACAGCCAGAGTTGCCCTCAAGATTTTCTAGTTTTTTGGTTCCCAAACTGGGATTCCCCAGCTCTCAGGCCCTGAGAAAGTTGTAACTAGGGTCTGTGGGTTAGTTTCAACATGCTGAAATCCTAACAAAAATCATTCATGGGTGGGAGACCAGGTTAAGAAGGGATCAAGTGTCTTCGCCTTTGTCTGTGATATGGACTCACTGTGGTAACTCTGGTTGCATCATGATCATCAGAAGGCCTGCCTGACATTTATACGTCTGATCCCTCAAGACAGAAAGCTTATTAAGCTCCTATTTTAGAGATGCATTCTGGTGGGCAACATCTTTCAGAAACACTGAATTTATGGGAAAAAATAGTAAAGAAGTTAACGAGTCTGGGGCATTGAGATCCACAAAGCTTAAGTAACTTCCCAAGGTCACACAGCAAGTTGGTAGCAGTGCCAGGACCAGAACTGATTTCTGCTGACACCTCATAGCCTGCGTGTTCCACTCCTTGCCGTGCCGTCCAGACTACCTTCTTTTCCACCTGGGTCCTTCATGTCTATCAAATATCACCTTGGAAACAGGCTTTTAGTCAGGATGTTGTAGTGTCAAGGGCAACTGAAGTCTCCTCTACACTAGGACCCCAGGAATCTAAGGGAGAAGGTATTTCCGACCATTTATTATGATTTATAATTTCAGCCAGAAATTTTTCTTCTGCTTCCTTTCTCAATTAGGGAAATGTGTGCTTTAGAAGATTTTAAATGCTTGGTTACTTAAGAGAGAAAGAAAACTCTGTTGCTTGTTCATATTATTTGTGTTTTTTTCCATGCAAAGACAGGAGGTTTTCAGCCAAGGCAAATCAGAGTGGCTGACATTCCCACGGGAAAGTGGGCCGGGCGTGAGAACAGGATGTGTACCTGTCTGGAAGCTGGAGCCTTTGATGTACATCCACAAGAGCCCCAGAAGGAAGCTGTTTTGATAAGCTGTGGTCACCAGGTGGCGCTACACACACGCTGTCAAGTCCAACAGTTTTTCAGACCTGCAGGATTTTTCCAGATTTACCGAAGCAGGAAAAAACAGGAAAAACAAAACGGGTCCAGTACTTCAGCTCAGAATAGTTGAGTTGAAAAGAGGTGGAAAACCCCCCAGACAGCTTGCCCTCTTCAATCGTGTGGCAGAGCATCCACTTGGTGCCCTTCGGATTCTTTGAGTAAATGTGGAGCTGGCTGGCTCCTCAAGGGAGTGTGGAATCAGGACGTGGCTGGTTCCGGCTGCAAGAAAGTCCCGGTTATTCTGCGAGGGCGAAAGAGCTCCAGCGTTAGGGCTTCAGCAGAGGCGGTTGCTAAGGCGCACCAGTCCTTTACTTCGGACCAGTCTGACCTTAACGGGAAAGGCAATTTCCCTTTCTGTATGGGGAACTCATTTCCTTTGTTGCTTTCCTTATTTTCCTCCCAGGGTCTTTTAATTCCATCCTGATTGGGGCCTGAGAGGAGGGCATGGGTGAGGTGTGAACCAGCAGCGCCCTTTCTTCCTTCTCGCTCCGCCCCCAGGCAACACCCTCCAGCACCCAAGCCTACCCTCTTCCTCCAACGGAAAAATGCACACGGCATATCCGTGTCTGTCCACATGCCGGATTTCCCGGCCAGTTCTGATGTGAAATATCTTGAAAGTTTGCTAAGGGGCCACTTTATATTAAAAGAGGATTAAAAAATAAAGAAAATCCCATACCTCCAATCTGAAAGTCTTTTCTTGGTGCCATAAAAAAACTGAGCTATCAGCCCTCTGGTACCTTCGATTCCAGGCCAAAGGCCACTGCCTGGTGGTGACGGCCAACGTGGAGGCACCCAGGCCAGCTCCCACGGCATCTCTGCCGACAAGCAGTGACTCCAGCAGATTGTAGTAGCACCTACACAGCCAGAGCTACACCCAGGTGCTTGCTTTGCTGCAGTTTGGGAGGGATCAATGTTCCAGAGCAGCGGCTCACCAACCTTAGCATGGCTCAGTTGCTGGGCTCCACTCCCAGAGTTTTTGGGTGAATGCGTCCAGGGTGCGGCTGGGAAATTTGCATTTTTAAGAATTTCCCCCTGAGGCTGATGCTACAGTCTGGAGACCACACTTTGAGAACCACTATTTCAGAGTAAAATGCTGGTGGGAGGAAAGGAGCAGCAGGAAACAGCCGATGACTGTGGTGTGGCCGGTCTTTCTCCCAGGCGGGGTGGGGTGTGTGTGCCAGGATTGCAGGGTCACCAGGAGGGCCGGTTCTGTGGGGGCTGCTGAAAATCCTTATCCCTCCTTTCTAGACTAGTGGTTCTGAGACTTGGCAGCACATTGGAATCACTTTGGGAGCTTAAAAAAAGATACTGATGACTGGCTTCTAGCCCCAGACGTCCTGATTTAATTGGTTCACAATGTGGTTTGGGCCCTGGAAGATTTAAAAGCTCGCTAGGTGTTTCTGATGTGTAGCCCAGGTCGAAAAATCACGGTGCTAGGTCCACGTCTTACTGCATTCTTATATCCAGTCCCCAGTAAGTGTAAGTTCTCACCACCCATTCTCAAACCCTTCCAGCTGTCTCTCATACCTCCCTGCCTCAGGCTGAAAAACACTGGCACCTGTCTGAGTACTGACTTCCTATTTATCCTTCAAGACGCAGGCCAAATATTTTTTCCGTGGTGGAGATTTTTCTGGCTTTCCCTAACAGTTCATCTCCTAAAGCACTGTGGATACACTAGAACTATAACCTTTATCTTTCACTTCATCGCAATTACATTCACGTGCTGAATGTAATGATGTTTCAGTCAAAAACCGACTGTATGTATGAAGGTGGTCCCATAAGATTATAATGGGGCTGAAAAATTCCTATCACCTAGTGACGCTGTAGCCATTGTCATGTTGTAGCTCAATTACTTTATTTTAAAAATAAACAGTGTAGCCTAAGTGTACTGTGTTTATAAAGTCTACAGTAGTGGACAATAATATCCCAGTCCTTCACATTCACTCACCACTCACTCACTGACTCACCGAGAGTAACTTCGAGTTCTGCAACAGCCATTTTGGTAAGTGCCCTATACAGGTGTACCATTTTTAATCTTTTTTTTTTTTTTTTTTTTGAGATGGAGTCTCGCTCTGTCGCCCAGGCTGGAGTACAGTGGCCCAGTCTTGGCTCACTGCAAGCTCCGCCTCCCGGGTTCATGCCATTCTCCTGCCTTAGCCTCTTGAGTAGCTGGGACTACAGGCGCCTGCCACCATGCCCGGCTAATTTTTTGTATTTTCAGTAGAGACGGGGTTTCACTGTGTTAGCCAGGATGGTCTCGATCTCCTGACCTCGTGATCCGCCCACCTTGGCCTCCCAAAGTGCTGGGATTACAGGCATGAGCCACCACGCCCAGCCCATTTTTAATCTTTTATACTGTACCTTTTTCACGTGAGGTTTGTTTAGATACCCAAATACCATTGTGTTACAAGTGGCTATGATATTCAGTACAGTTACTTGCTGTACAGGTTTGTAGCCAAGGAGCAATGGGCTATACACCGTAGCCTGTTTGTGTTGTAGGCTGTAGGCTGTACCATCTAGGATTCTGTGAGTGCACTCTATCATGTTCACACAACAAAACTGCCTAATGATGCATTTCCCAGATGTATCCCTGTCGTAAAGCCCTGACTGTATTTCTGTTCATATCTTCCCTCCCTGCTTGATGGTTAATAAAAGTTGGTGATTGAATGAATTCCATAGTTGGAGATAATGTTAAAATGCACAGGTTCTCTTTTTTGTTTTGTTTTTTTTTTTATTGGAGACAGGGTCTCACTCTTTTGCCCAGGCTGGAGTGCAGTGTTGCAATCATGGCTCACTGCAGCCTCGACTTCCTAGACTGAAGAGATCCTCCCACCTCAGCCTCCTTAGTAGCTGGGACCACAGGCGTGCACCACCACTCCTGGCTAATTTTTGTAGTTCTGTAGAGATGGGCCTTCACCATGTTGCCCAGGCTGGTCTCGAACTCCTGGGCTCAAGCAATCTGCCTGCCGTGGCCTCCCAAAGTGTTGGAATTACAGGCCTGAGCCACTATGCTCGGCTATTGCACAAGTTCTGGATAAGGAAGTTTATTAATATCAGTTCTGTACAATGAACCTAGTGCCTCCAGTGGGGTCAGACTTGGGTGGGTGCTGGAGAAGCAAAGTTGAGTGAGCAGTGCACACTGCCCCTGAGGAATGAATTCCTCTGCAGGCTGAGCTCTCTGAGGCTCCTTGTGCTTTCATCATGACATTTAGCTTGGGAACTGCTTTCAGAGATACTGACCTGGAGCACAGAGGAGCCTGGGTCTCCTTTTCATCATGCTCTTCTGTGGCTCTCACCACCCACAGGATTAAGTAGGTTTCTTTGCATGTCTTTCATAAACTTGCGCTTGTCTGCCTCTCCCAAATATTTAATTCCTTGACCCTGTTTGATGCTTGGATCCTAGTTCCTTGCACACACCATGCTATTGCCAACTTATACCTTTCTATTCCCCTGAGATGATCTTCTCACCTTTGCTAGTCCGGGTAACTGCCAAGGCTTGTGGGCCTTCCTGACCCCCCAGGCTGAGTGCCTTCTCCTGTATTATATTCTCTTAGGATTTTATACATACCTCTATCATTATGTGGAAATAATCCAAACTAGTTTTTTTATGAGCCTGGCACACAGTAGGTGCTTTATAAGTGTTGAACTGAGATGAATGCTTACAGAGTGATTCTCAAACTTTATTCTACCTATGCATCATTCACATGCAAAACACACTCCCACACTTTATATCGTGCATGAGACATAGTGTTTCTTCATCCAGGGTAATGGGTTTAGAATAGGTAGGCACATCCTTCCAGGGGAATCAGGATATGAGTGGGAGGTAGGCTGGGACTAGTTAGAAATACCCTCCTTTTGCCACCTAGATTCTAATGTGTGTCTTGTTCTCAAGTTGAGAGCTGCTGAATTACTATAGGCCAGGTGGTGAGCTAGGCACTTTTAAAATTATTTCTAGAATGTTCACATTAGTCTTGCTAGGTGGTTATTATTATCCTCATTTTATGGATGATGAAACTGAGGTTAAAGGATTTGTGCAAAGCCACATAGCTGGTGTGCTAGGCCATTCTTGCACTGCTACAAAGAAATACCGGAGACTGAGTAATTTATAAGAAAAGAGGTATTATTGGTTCATGGTTCTGCAGGCTATACAGGAAGCATAGCAGCATCTGCTTCTGGGGAGGCCTAAGGAAGCTTCCAATCGTGGTGGAGTGCAAAGTCGAAGCAGGCATATCACGTGGCAAAACAGGAGCAAGGGAGGGGGAGGTGCCAGACACTTTGAAACGACCAGATCTCATGAGAATGAACTCACTTTCGTAAGGACAGCATCCTGGGGTTGGGGCTAAACCATTAATGAGAAATCCACTCCCGTGGGTCAGTCACCTCCCACCAGGCCCCACCTTCAACACGGGGGATTACAATCCAACATGAGATTTGGGCAGGGCACATATCCAGACTCTCTCAGCTGGTAAGTGACAGGTGGATGCTTGGACACACTACTTTCTGATGTGTTGCCATGCCTGTTTCCCCCAGTAGAACTGGGTTTCCCCTTAAAGGCATGGACTTGGTCTTAGTAATTTTTATATCCTCTGTACCTGACACAGAGCCTGGTGTCAGAAGGTCCCCAGTAAACGAGTGCCGAACTGAACTGAATCATTCTTGGTCATTTCTCTCTGCCACTTAGCTACAAATGTTTGGGATGACACATTTAGACCTGGTGTTGCAGTGCCTTCATCTCCAGAACCTTCATGGGTCAAATAACTGAGTCTGTCCAGACGTATCATGACAGCCCTGTTTTAATTGATCGTTGCCTATTGCCTATTAAAACCTTGTCAGATTCTAATTTTACAGTTCCCTCCTCCCTATGTCAGCGTTGGATTATACTTCTTCTTTCTAGATCCTCTGTTTCTGCTCTCTTCTGCCATTCTGTTTACACTGTCCCTTCTGTAGACAGAGCCTTTTTCTAGTTTTCCTGGTGGAATTCCATCTGTATCGCCTCTGGAACTCTTTCTGTTGACTGCTTTTGTTTCCTCCTTGTTACATATTGAGTAATTTTTTTTTTTTTTTTTGAGTTGGAGTCTTGCTCTTGTTGCCCAGGCTGGAGCGCAGTGGCGCGATCTCAGCTCACTGCCACCTTCGCCTCCCGGTTTCAAGCGATTCTCCTGCCTCAGCCTCCTGAGTAGCTGGGATTACAGGCACATGCCACCACACCCAAGTAATTTTTTGTATTTTTAGTAGAGACGGGGTTTTTCCATGTTGGCCAGGCTGGTCTCGAACTCCTGACCTCAGGTGATCCACCTGCTTCAGCCTCCCAAAGTGCTGGGATTACAGGTGTGAGCCACTGCGCCAGGCCGAGTAATTTTTTATTACATGCTAAACATTATGGGCTTTATTGTCTTCCTTTAAAGAGCATTGCATTTGTTTTGGCAGGTGGTTAGTTTATTGGTGGGTCTGCTTGACGTCATCCACCCTGGTGGAAAGGGTGTCATCTTTCCACCAGGTATTCACAGTGAGTAGTTGGACTTAGAAGCATGTCTCTAGGCTTGAGCACCTAGAACCTATTTTATTAGAATTTCTATGTCCCATAAGTTTGCTTTTCTACTTCCTTCCTCGTCACCTTCCTCCCCTTCACCCAGAAACGCACAGCCAGAGCCTCACGTGTGATGAGGGCAGCTATACCAGAGTTCCATTGCCATGGTTTCATTTCATTCACCATAGCATTGAGTTAGGTTGCATCTAATTCTACCATCTTGCTATTTGTTCTAGATTTTCCCATCTATTCTTTGTTCCTTCTCCCCGACTCTCCTGCCTCTTTTTGGGTTAATGAAGTGCTTGTGAGTATTCTCTTTCCTCTATTGACTTCTGACCTACAACTCTTTTATTTCAGTTCCTTAGCTGAGCACAGTCTGACTTGAATTAGTGAGACTTCATTTTTGCTTTAAGCAGACAATGTAGTTTAAAGAAATTAAAAAATAAAAGTGTTCTATAGTGACCCCATAGATTTACCATTTCTGGCACATTCCTGTGTGTATTATAGTTCTGTTTCTATCTGGTATCATTTCCCTTTGGCTTGAGGAACTTTCTTTAATATTTTTCATTGTGCAGTTGTGCTGGTGATAAGTTATCTCAGCTTTTATTTATTCATTTTGCCTTCATTTTTGAAGGATATTTCCACTGGATGTAGAATTCTAAGTTAGCAGTTTTTTTTCTTTTAGAACTTCAAAGATGGGATTCTGTTATCTTCAGGATTGCAACATTTCTGGTGAGATGTCAGTGATAATTCTCATTATTGCACCACTGTAGTCAGGTGGGATTTTTTTTTTTGTCCCCTGAATTCTTTTGAGATCTTTTCTTCATCATTGTTTTACAACGTTTGGCTATGATGTGCTTAAATGTGGTTTTCTTTGTGTTTATCTTGTTTAAGATACATTGAGATTCTTGGATCAGTGGATTGGTACTTTTTTGTCACATTAGGAGGTCATTATTTTTTGAAATATTTCTTCTGCCCCAATTCCTCTTTGCTTTCCTACTGAGACTACAGTTATGTATCTGTTAGACTGGTTAATAATATCCCATATGTGTAACTCAAGCTCTATTCTTTTATTCTAGTCCTTTTTTGCTCTGTGTGCATCAGCTTGGATAATTTTTATTATTCTGTCTTCATGTCTACTAATCTTTTCTTTTGCAGTGTCTAATCTTCTGTTAAGCCCATCTTGTGACTTATTTCAGTTATTTTAGATACATATATAAACATATTTTTTAGACAGAATCTTGCTCTGCTGCCCAGGCTGGAGTGCAGTGGTGCAATCTCGGCTCACTGCAACCTCTGCCTCCCGGATTCAAACGATTCTCCTGCCTCAGCCTCCCTAGTAGCTGGGATTACGGGCTTCCACCACCACGCCCAGTTCTTTTTTTTTTTTCTTGATTTTCAGTAGAGACACAGTTTCACCATGTTGGCCAGGCTGGTCTTGAACTCCTGGCCTCAATGATCTGCCCGGCTGGGCCTCCCAAAGTGTTGGGATTACAGGTGTGAGCCACCGTGCCCAGGCAGTTATTGTAGATTTTTGAGTCCCATGATTTTCATCTTGTTTCTTTTCATAATGTCTATTTTCCAATGAGTAACTGTTTTTCATTCCTTATGTCCACTTTTTCCCTTTAAATTCTTCAATATATTTAGTCATTTTAAAGTTTTTCTTTGCTAATTCCATCTGTATCACCTCTGGGATTCTTTCTATTGGCTGCTTTCTATACTACTTGTTTCCTCCTTGTTACACATTGAGTAATTTTTTATTACATGTCAAACATTATGGTTTTATTATCTTCCTGTAAGGATCATTGCATTTGTTTTGGCAGGTGGTTAATTTATTGGTGGATCCGCTTGGATCCATTATTGAGTGTTGTAATTTGGCTTTGTTTTGATGGGTCCAGTGCAGCCTCTCTCTAGTGCTGGGGTGGCCCAGCTCCACAGGTGTGGCCTTTCCCGGGCCTCTGTTGAAAGCCCAGGCTGTTCATCAAGCTCTTTCCACCATGGACACTGAGAACACAGTGTCTCTTCCCACCATGTGACCTCTGGAATCTCTGTTCAGTGCACAGCTCCTACTACCTATTCTCTCTCTCTCTCTCTTTTTTTTCTTTTTTTAAGAAACAGGGTCTCACTCTGTCACCCAGGCTGGAGTGCAGCAGCACAATCTTAGCTCACTGTAGCCTGAAGCTCCTGGGCTCAAGGGATCCTCCTGCCACAGCCTCCCAAGTAGCTGGAACTATAGGTGCATGCCACCACACCTAGCTAATTTTTAAAATTTTTTGTAGAGATGAGGTCTTGCTATATTGCCCAGGCTGGTTTTGAACTCCTGGGCTCAAGCGATCCTCTTGCCTCAGCCTCTCCTAAGATGCTGGGATTACAGGCATGAGCTACTGCACCTTGCCCCTGCTACCTATTCTCTACTAGGCTTTGTGAAAACATTACCCTGTACATGTGCAGTTTTGTTTTCAACTAGATTCAGGTGGTCTCCTCTGCAGATTTTTGGATTTCTGCTCTGTGCAGCTCCTGCCTCTCTCGTACCCTGTCCCACACACTCAATCCCTGCAGCAGCCCTAACCTTCGGTCTCTTTCCTCCATCCTCAGTTTGGGCTCCACTTCCGCGTGCTGTGGTTGGAAAGCCCCAGGCAGGAGGCCAGAGTAAATGTGGGTTTCACCTCTTGTGTTTCTTCTCTCAAGCATCACATCCCTGCACCATCTGTAGCGTTGCACCTGAAAACAGTTTCATATAATTCGTCCAGTTTTATTGTTGTTTATGGCAGGAGGGCACAACCAATACCCCTTACTGTGTCGTGGTGACAACCACAAGTTAGACCAGACATCATTAGTTTATTTTATAGTTAAGGGAACTGAGGCTCAGAGCACAGAAGCACTTTGCTCAAGATCATCTGGGAACCAGCTGAGTAAGGGCTAGGACTCAGGTTAGAGCCTATTAGAGCCCCATTAGGGGCTCTTGACGTTACTTCCACTTTTTGTTTCCCACTTTCCTTTCCTATCTTGTTCCCCTTCGAGGAGAATATACGGTCATCTTGTGTCCACCTTGGTGTCCCCATTTCTGTCATATTTCACATTGACTCTCATTTTCACGGCTTTGAACTTTGCTCTGTCTTATCTGGAAAATTCTATATTTTAGACCTCCTCCCCTTTTTGCTTCCATTTTTGTCAGAATATCTATGTTGCTTATCAATTATTGTATTTTCTCAGTATCAAGCACCGTGCTTGGCACGTAGACATCTCTTGATAAATGTTTGTCGATGGGACCAAGGAAGAAATGAGTATCATTTTATCCTTTTTTTTTTTTTTTTTGAGACAGAGTCTCACTTCTTTCACCCAGGCTGGAGTGCAGTGGTGCGATCTCAGCTCACTGCAACCTCTGCCTCCCAGGTTCAAGTGATTCTCGTGCCTCAGCCTCAGTAGCTGGTATTATACAGGTGTGTGCCACGATACCTGGCTAATTTTGTGTATCTTTAGCAGAGACAGGGTTTTGCTATTTTGGCCAGGCTGGTCTCAAACTTCTGGCCACAAGTGATTCACTCGCCTTGGCCTCCCAAAGTGTTGGGATTACAGGCGTGAGCCACTGCGCCTGGCCTTATTCATCTTTTGACCCTTTTCCGCCATGTGTCATTGAAAACAGGTGCGCTGTGAGGTCCAGGTGAGGAGCAAAAGTCTGCAGGCGTTGGCAGGGAGAGCCCCTGGCATGGTGTGCCCTTCACACACAGCCAGAACATGCTTGTCTCTTGATACGGGCTGTTGGCTGAGAATTCATGCATTTCTTTGTTATTCTTGTCATACTGGAATTAACCTACAGCCTTTTTTTCGCTTTCTATATCTTTCCTTCTCCTGGCAACAGTTTCATAAAGATCCCTTTCATTATCCATTTCAATCATGCCACTAAGATCTATCCACTTCTTTCTTTTAATTTTATCATCACTCTTTCCTCCCTACATTTCTAGCACACACTAGAATCTCGTATGCAATTTATTTCTGCTGTATCTTTCTCTTTTCCCCATTTCCATCTCTGGATGCTTTTCTAGAAACCTCTCTGTGGTACTTTACATTTCATCATTTCGATTCCAATGTATTCATCCTGGTTTCTCTGTTTATTGCTTTGCTTGAGGGACTCTGCTTATCTCTTCAAAGCCTTTGATTTCAGGGCCACTTTCCTTGAGCATCTGCTCACATCATTTTCCTACTTGTCCACCACTGCCAGCCAGGGAAGATCAGAGGCCTGCCCTCCCGCTGATCTCCCCTCTTTTGTTTTTAATCCCTTCTTGTTCCATCAGGAATTTCCTCCCTTCTTTATACCACTGCCAAACTTAGGTTTTCAGAGGTGAATTTTGGCTGTTAACTTCATAAAATACAAATGGAAACATCATTCCTGTTGCGTCACAACCTCTGTTCTTTCTTGTACCTAGAAACTGGGCCACCCTCCTGGCTCAGTTTCCATTTGGTAGCCATGTGGCAGCAGCTGGTATGTGTGTTTAAATAAACCCCATTCAGTTCTGTGCTCTTGAAACCTGCATTATTTGGTTTGTTGGGCACTCGTCTTAGATTTCCCATTTCATTTTTTTCTCAAGAATCCGTGGAAATCTTCCTCTACTCCTTCCACCTGTACCTTTCTTGTGGCGTTTAGGAAGCGGATCATATGTTTGTACATAGCTTTTCTCTTGAAAATTTCATTAGGGGGCTCTATGGATTTCTTTCGGGGAACATGCATTTCCATGAAGTGAATCGTTTTGCTTTTTTAGGTCATAAGCATTGTTATGTATCATCAGATCCAGATCCCATAAGTCTTTGGAAGGTTCTTATAATAAACTGTAAACAAAAATCTCACTCTGAAAATTGTCTGGTAAGGAAATCCACAGAGCCAGTTCCTTTCCTAGTTCCTGGTGAATAAACTGCTTCAAACAGGTAATACCTAGATTTCTTACACAAATGTACACCCAGTTTTTCCTTCCCTAGGGTCCTCTTGTCTTCTTTTTAGTGTTTCTTTTCTCACATTGCTTCTTTGAATTACTCTTTATCCTCTTTATATGACTTTAATTAGGCTTTGAAGCCTTCTTTTACATTTCTTTTTCTTTGCTTTCTGTTTTCTGCCCATTCCTCCAGGACTTGGGATCCATCCATTCACAATGAGAATTTCAACAGCGATTCCTCCCTACTTCCTCTTTCATGGACCTCACAGAACTTTCCTCCTGGAGCCAGTCTTGCTGGCCCCGGTTCCTCTTCTCATTAGAAGCTATCTCTCCTAGAGTCCTTCTTGCAGCACTGACCACCACAACGTGGCTTCTGTTTTCCCTTTTCCTTTGTTTCTATCACCGGGTGAAATCAGTCTTCTCCTCTGCGTTTCCCTGAAGCTCTACTAACCCCCTTTTCCTTCCCTCCCCATCTCAGGTGGCTTCCTTGAGTTCACCAGAGCAGCTGTCCCCAGTTTCCCTTTGTTGTTTCTCCTCTCACTCCGCACCCTTGAACCCTTGAGTCCAGCCCCGCTGGTTCAGCTCATGGCATTAAGGCCTGCTCTTGGGCAGTGTGCAGAGCCTTTCTCCAGGAAAGGCCACACACTAGGTAATTACGGTTTTATTTTATTATTAATTTTATTTTATTAGTATTATTTTTCTCTCTGTCTCGCTCTGTCGCCCAGGCTGGAGTGCAGTGGTGTAATCTTGGCTCACTGCAACATCCACCTCCCAGGTTCAAGCGATTCTCCTGCCTCAGCCTCCCAAGTAGCTGGGACTACAGGCACATGCCACCACGCCCGGCTAATTTTTGTATTTTTAGTAGAGACAGGGTTTCACCATGTTGCCCAGGATGGTCTCAAACTCCTAACCTCAGGTGATCTACCTGCCTCGGCCTCCCAAAGTGCTAGGATTCAAGACGTGAGCCACCTCGCCCAGCAGATAATTATGTTTTTATTCTCAACACCTGCATGTTTCACTTCCTGATATGCTCAGATGATTTATGGAAGCTCATCTTTTTCCATTTCCCCCAACTCTTATTGGAGTATAATTGACAAATAGAAATTGTATGTAGTTAAGGTGTACAACCGATGTTTTGAGATATGTATACATGATTAAATGATCACACAGTCAAGCTATTAACATCTCTATCACCTCACATAGTAGTCATTTTCTCTTATTTTGTGATGGGAGTACTTAAGATCTTACCTCTTAGCAAGTTTCAAGTGTACAATACAGTATTATTAACTATAGTCACCGTGCTGTACGATAGACCTCCAGAAATTATTCATCTTGCATAACTAAAACTTTTTACCTTTTGACCAACATCTCCCCATTTTCCCTCCCTATTACCCCCTGGCAACCACTGTTCTGCTCTCTGCTTCTGTGAGTTTGATTATTTTAGATTTTTTGCATAAGTCAGATCATGCAGTATTTGTCTTTCTGAATCAGGCTTATTTCACTTAGCATAATGTCCTCCAGGTTCATCCATGTTGCAAATGACAGGATCCTGCCCCCGGCCCTTTAACGCTGAATAATACTCCATTGTATATATGTGTGTGTGTGTGTGTATATATATATATATATATATATATATTTTACATTTTCTTTATCCATTCATCCATTGATGGACATTTAGGTTGTCTCCATATCTTTTGAGCCTCATCTTTTGCAGGCTTTCATCTTATACAAAAAGTATAGGAAAGTATCTCAAACTTTTCTGATAACAGTTCAGTTTTCTATTTCCCAGTCTAAACTCCATAGCAGCCAACCATTATTGGTCTACCAAGATGGTTAATACCTTGCCAAATCTCATTAACTGAATCATAATGTCTTTATGAACAAAGCTCCTAGATTTCACCAGACAGCTATTCTAGTGTTCTGACCCCTTTTTACTGCTAAAGTCTCTGAAATACATCAGGTTTCTGAATATTCTGATGGTCTGAACTTACTACTCATTTCTAGGAAGGTCTGCAAGTCTGTACTTTGGGTTCATGCATAATGAATGAAAACCAGGGTCTCCACCACACGTCTCAGACTGCAAGGGATTTTAGAAGGTGCTGCGTGGTTGCTATTTCCATTGTCTGGGCAATAATGGAGAACTCTTGTGACGTACAGTTTCCTATAGCATCTGGAGCAAAGCCAAAATTTTGATATGTTCTTTTCCAGAACTTCTCTAAGTTTGGGGACACTTTTAGTGTCCAGACCCGTGGGATCAGGAATTCTTTGTTTACATTTATGGTTGGTTTTATGGTTGGTAGAACTGATGACTATTTAATTGGTGCAGTAAGAGATCACCCCGCTTCAAACCCATTGGGTCCATATGATTGCATCAGCAGGTATTGGGTATGACCGCTTCGAGCTCTGTTGCCTGGTTTGTGAGACCCTGGCTTCAAGACACTCCTGTTAAAAGGCAAATATCCTTGAAGAGTCCTATTAGATAATTTCCTAGGGAGGGGCCTGGCCATTCCATTGCCTTTGGAGTCAGATGAACATGGATTCCCATTCTGGCTCTTCTACTTACGAGGTGAATGACCTACAAAGTCTTTGAGCCTCAGTGTCCTTTTCTGTAAAAACAGACATAACAAAACCTACTTCATTGGATTGTTCTCACCGTTCAGTGAGGGCTTTGGAAGGGTATTGTTATGACAAAGTGCTATGTAAAGGGCAGTAAATTGTCCCTCTTTTTGTTTCTTCCTCTTGCCTTAACCTTCTTGAGTGTGTGTGTAGAGGGGGGCCTCGCTGGCATCCAGGACATACAATAAATAAAGAGACAGGATGGTTATAAGAATACAGCGCTTGGGGCAGATGGAAAAATTCTGCCCCAAGGTAGACAGGGCAGCATAGGACTAAGGGCGAGAACTATGTGAAATAGGCCAGGCGCGGTGACTCATACCTATAATCCCAGCACTTTGGGAGGCTGAGGCGAGTGGATTGCTTGAATCCAGGAGTTTGAGTTCAGCCTGAGCAACATAATGAGACCATATCTCTATAAAAAATAAAAAAATTAGTCAGGCAGGGCCGCTAATGAATGGTGGTGGTGTGCTCCTGCAGTCCTGGCTACTCAGGAGGCCGAGGCTCAGGGAGGATCGCTTGACCCAGAAGGTTGAGGCTACAGTGAGCTGTGATTTTACCACTGCACTCCAGCCTGGGCGACAGAGTGAGAGCCTGTCACCCCACCAAAAAAAAAAAAAAAGAAAGAAAAAAGTGAAAGAAACCCTCATGTCGGGTGAAAGGGTCCCTTTCTCCTCTTTTGTGGAAGGTGGGTGTCAGCACTTGTTTTATTGCAGGAGGTGGGGAGGCAGTATTGTATGTTTCTTTGATTGAAATGTTGTTGCTGTTGTTGTTGTTGTTTTGGATGGACTAGAACAGTATTAAGACAAGAAAGGTGCCAGATGCAGTGGCTCATGCCTGTAGTCCTCAACTTGGGAGGCTGAGGCAAGAGGATCGCTTGAGCCCAGGAGTATGAGGCTGCAGTAAGCCATGATTGTGCCACTGCACTCCAGCCTTGGTGACGGAACAAGAGACCCTGACTCTAACAGAAAAAAAAAAAAAAAAAAAAAAAAAGACAAGGAAGAATGTTAGATTGCAAAGGCAAAGGTATAGGACATAGAATTGTGCACAGAAGGTTGGGGGGCTCAGGGAAGGTAAATGGCGCTCACTCACCAACTTTGCTCAGGACAGACCCTAGTTTTCTCCTGGACATTGAGCGTATTCACGTTAGTCTCTCAGCCTAGAATGAACGGAATTTATTGTGTTAAACTGGTGAATCAAAGGGACATGAATGCTAACTGAGGAACAGCTGTGGGACTCTGCTGTGGGATCCCAGTTGTAGCAACTTGCTCAGGTGTCTGTGTGCAGTGTTGGCTGTCAGAGGAATGAGATCGAGTTTGGGTGGGCTACCTCTTATCCAGGTAATCTGGAATGCATTTCCCAGGCTCTCTGAGCCTCAGTTCCTAATATTATCTAATATTACTACTTATATCACATACTTTTTGTAATAATTAAGTGAAAATACTTGATCGCTTTAAAGTTCCAAACAAATCTTATTTTTCTATAAAACTTGTATGGAATATTATTGAAGTCCAACCATTTGTGTGTTCCAGATAAGGAAACCATAGTCAGAAGAGATTAAATGAGTGTTCGAGGCAATTAGCGGCAGAGGTAGGAATGGAATCCAGGGCTCTAGGAAAGGGAGTGGAGGCAGGACACTGTGGGCCTCTCGGGCCAGGTGAGTAGGTTCTGACCAGCCAGGGCCACTAAAATGGCAGCGAGGGGGGTCCATGTGTGTCAGCTGTTGGGTGAGGAGAGCAGGCACAGAATGAAGTCTTTCATAAGTGAGTTACTGCTTGGCTGTCTTCCCAGAACGCCTGCTAAGCCGAAACTGCCCAAGGGAAGGGGCCTGTGTCGATCCAAGAATCCTTACTCTTGTAAGTGAGTTTGGATGGACTGTAGGGACATCAGAGGAGTTGGAGGAGGTGCGATTTTCCTCCCTTAGCCAAGCAGGAGTGTGTTAGATGGGACTTAGTAGGGAGAGGACCAGGGAGCAGGGTGAGGGGAGTTCATCCCAGGTGCTACCTGGGCCTGGCTGGCAGAGTGGTCCTATGTGTGTAGGGGACAGATTCCTCCATGTCAGCCACCACCTTGTGTTTAGTACGTTGCAGGGGCAGGGCACCCCTTCTCAGGGATATGGGATGGACAGCTGCTTCCTAACATCCTTTAGGAAGATTTTCTCTGGAAAATGATGGACTGAGACAGGAACACACTCAGGAAATAAGAAGGAGAGGTGGTTAAATACCTCACAGTTTTTGTTTTGTGGACCACACAGAGGTTTGAATGCTTGAGTTCCTAGCATTTACTCCCAATCCCTTTTTCTCTCTTACTTGCATTCTCTGGGGGCTTTTTAGGGTCTCTAATTAGCCAACTTCCGTTCCTTCCTCCTGCCCCCACCAGGGTCCCTCCACTGTGAGGTGCTGCAGACTCATAAAACTTGCGGCTTCACCGGGAGCTCGTGGTTCATTCTGGCACCTGGAAAGCCTGGGACCAAATGATTCCTGATTTCTGAGTTCTCCTTTGGTTCCAGAGGGCTCAGGGCTGTGGTGTAGAAGAGGGGCTCATTCTGGCTTGAGAAAACTCAATGTTAATTTTCAGGATTTTTGTGATCTAGTTAACATAACACTGGCCACTTGAAATTGGCCAAGGTAGGAGAGTATTTACACCATGGGAGTTAGCAAATGCTATGAATCAGGGCATTTTTTCGCCAGATACTTGGTTGTTAACCTTTTACCAGCATACTGCTTGCTAAGGGAGGGGTGCAGGATTCAGAGAAGTTTTTGGAGCAGCTCTTATTCAAGTTCCCAGAGACCCCCTAGAGCTCCCCAAGAAGGTCCAGTGGCCTAATACCCTAATTCCAGGCACCAACCTGTTTGGGTGTCAGATACCCTGGAAGAGACTGGCAGGGGAGCCAACACTGAGCGATACTCTGGGCTGGACAGTGACCAGGCTCCTTCTATCCCATGCTCCTGGCTCCCATCACCTGGTGTGACTAGGGAACCGCTCCAGGGCACAGCAGCCACATTCTTTAATGTGATGGAAAGGCAGGCCCGGGGCTCTGAGCCTGCTTGGAACTCCATGCCAGGACTCTCCTCTTTCCCTTCCTTATCTTTGGATGGCAATCACACAAGACCCAGATGTCAAACTGTCACTAATTTCCTAACCAAGGCATGTGGTGTTTGGCAGGCCCCCAGGCATCTGACTATGACTTTGAACCACCTTGACCTTGTTTGTGTGATCAGCCCCTGTAGACATTGTACATAGGCTCTGCTTCCTCCTACCCCTCCAAAACTTTCTCTCCCAACCGCCATCTCCAACTCCTCATGAACACAAATCACAACACAGCAAAACAAAAAAATTGATAAACCAACAAAGCAACAACAAAAACAAATGTAACTCCCCTCTAAAAGGGAAAACCACAAACAACATCCTCTCCCACCACCTCGGGGGGAAACTAACTTGCTGTCTTCCAGAAATGATAGAAACATGCTATTGAAAAAGCACTCAACACATGAATCATACGTCCTCCCACGACTTCATCTGCATGAAAACAGACAACTCATTTGCTTCCATCCCTAGTTTTCCTGCCCAGAAGTCACTATACTTTGGTGGCCTCAGAACTGGTTGCTCCGAGAGATGGCTGCTGGAGAAGATGCCAGGGGCCTGCTGGTACTGATCCCAGGAGAGGGGAAGGCAGGACAATGACTGAAGACCCACTCTCAGAGATGACCCGTGTGGTTCCCATGTCTGCAGTTTCTGATGGGATCAAGAGAGGGTGATGGACCTGCCCAAGGTCATCCTGGGAGTGAGTGCAGAAATGGGACAGAGTCAGAGTCTGTCAAGTCCTGAAGTTCCATTCCAGATGTTACAGTTGGCAGGGCTTAGACCAGGCTGCTGCCCTCACAGTACAGGCACATCATGCCCAAGGGAAATGAGGGCAGCTGAAATATCACTTTGCATGGGCAAGAGCCCAGCACAAGAATGGAATACTGTGTGTGGATGGGAATCCTACACTGAACCACCAGTCGCTGCCTTTCCTAGGAGTCAGATTTCTCCTCTGTCTCAGGAAGGGCTTGGACTAGATCAGGAATTGACAAACTGTGGCCCACACGCTAAATTGAGCCCACTGCCTGTTTTCGTCCGGCCAGTGGACTGAGAATGCCTTTTACCTTTTTAAATAATTGAGAAGGAGAGTAATGTTTTCATAATGTATGAAAATTATATGAAATTCACATTTTGATAACCATAAGTCAAGTTTGATTAGAACACAGCCATGGCCATTGTATTATGTATTGTCTATGGCTGCTTTTGTTGAGTGGTTGTGACGGAGACCGCATATGGCCCGCAGTTGAATATATTTACAGTCAGACTAGATGACTCTGCAGGCCCTTGCAGCTCTCACATTCTAGACAGGGTACTTTTAGGGGTCTTTCCATGGACCCTGTCAACCTTGACTATCCTTGTGAATTCTCCAGTGGTTTCTCAGTGCTTCTTCTGACCCCTTGTCTTGGTTGGTTTCTCGGCAGGGGGCACAGAAAAATGGGAAGAAGGTGATTCTGGACAGGGAAGAGAGAACTATTATGATTCTATTTTGATCAACCAAGAGCGAGATGGCTGCTGGTGTGTATTCTATTTTCCCCAGTGTCTCTAAAACTCACACTCATGGCAGAATTTCTAGTGGGCTTGAGACAAGGACCAGCCTCTGGGAAGGGTCTTTATCAGAGCAGACACTCAAGAGGGAAAAGACCATTTTTTTTTTCCTGAGTTTCCTGTTCTGCTCTATGCCTTTGTGTGTTACAACAGATCAGGAGACACGAATCTGGGCAGTTACGCAGCCAGGGAAGGGCCCTGGATGAAGTGCTGCCCTGCGGGGAGTGGGGTCCTGTGGTCAGCTCCTCCCAGCCCTGCTGCGTCCTGGACCCGGGCCTTGCTCTTGGACTCCCATGTCCTGTGCCCACTTGCTGTGTTCTGTGGCTGGGGCCTGTTTACTACACTCCACCAGCAGTCGTTTCTTTAACCATAGAGCTCGAGCCATTCTGAAAATTATTCCAACTACAACTTGTGGGCAGTTATTATGATGCCGCTGCTGCTGCTGCTGCTTGGTCCCTCTCGTCACAGGAAAATAAACAGGCAGACAGCTCGGGAGAGCCTGTGGCACAGAAGATGTGGTGATAGAGGATGGTGTGGGTGTGTGGTGGGCACAGGGAATTGTCTCCACCCACAAATGTGCAGCAAGGCCAAAACACAGCCCAGAGTTTCTTGGGCCACTTTCCTACCGATCTGGGAATCTCCTCTACACCTCACCTGACAAGGGGCCTTGAGTCTCAGCACTTTCCCTCCTCAAAAAGTGCTCTTCTTTCTTCAGTGACTGCTGTCATGGTCTCCTCACTCCCCACCCAGCCTGTCATGTATGTCTGATTCTCTCCAGGCTAAATGTCTCATTTGTCGTGATTTCTTTCTCTCGCTCTCTTTTTTTTTTTTTTGAGACATGATCTTGCTCTGTCACCCAGGCTGGAGTGCAGTGGCATGATCATGGCTCACTGCAGCCTCCAACTCTTGAGCTCAAGCGATCCTCCCACCTCAGCCTCCTGAAGAGCTGGAACTACAGGCACATGCCACCACACCTGGCGAATTAAAATTTTTTTTTGCAGAGACAGAGTCTTCCTATGTTGCTTAGGTTGGTCTCAAACTCTTGGGCTCAAAGGGATCCTTGCACCTTGGCCTCCCAGAGTGCTGGGATTACAAGCATGAGCCACCATATCTGGCCTCACTGGTCATGATTTCTAGATCCTCCATACTCTTCTTGCCCTTTTGGGGGCCCCTCCAAGAGACACCTCGGTGTGGTGGATAGAACCCAAGCTTTGCCAGGGGTTTGAATCCTAGGCCTTTGGAGAAATTACTGAAACGTGCTGAGCCTCTGTTTCCCCAGATTCAAAAGGAGGATAATAATTACTTTACAGCATAATTGTCATGACTAGATGAGATGAATGTACAGTATGTCTGGCACAAAGTCATCCCTCAATAATATTATTTATATGCCACTTCTGCCACATTTGTTTCCTTTAATGTAGCTGCTAGAATCTAACACACTATTCCAGACAAGGCTTGAACCATGATGAGTACGGTGGGCCCATTTGATCTCCTAATGCAGCCTAATGTGATCTTGGCTTTGGTTGTTGTTGGGGACAGTTACACTACTGGGAGGGCAAGTTGGGTGGGTGTCAAGATACCTGGGTTCCTTTCCAGTTCATTCATTCCTTTCCCATTAAATCTTCCTCCCACTGTGTTCCGTGCAGCAGGGATGCACTGGTGGAAAAAAGACAGCAGGACTCCAGTGAGACAGCCAGGCGGTGCACAGAGTGAAGTGCAGCATACAGTGCCATGGAGGGCCAAAAACTATAAAGAAAAATGAAATGCAACACAAAATAAAGCCGGCTGAGGGATTAGAGGGTTCGGGGGAATTCTGACACTCACCAGATGGGCAGCTGTGTAGAGCAAGGGGATTGACTCAGGTCTGTGTTTTCAAACAGTGTTCACTCAGAAGAGCCCCAGGAGTTTGGGAGGGTGCCTCAGGGGTCTTCATAAGATAGCAGGGAGGGGCGAATTGGTTGGAGGCTGACTTGTTAGACCCCTTTCCCTTACTCCTAACCAGAGCAGCACCTTTAAAAAATTTCTTTTACCGGCTGGCCACGGTGGCTCATGCCTGTAATCCCAGCACTTTGGGAGGCCGAAGCAGGCGGATCACAAGGTCAGGAGCTCGAGACCAGCCAGCTGGAGACCAGCCCGGCCAACATGGTGAAACCCCGTCTCTACTAAAAATACAAAAATTGGCCAGGCATGGTGGCATGCACCTGTAATCCCAGCTACTGGGGAGACTGAGACATGAGAATCGCTTGAACCTGGGAGGCAGAAGTTGCAGTGAGCTGAGATCATGCCACTGCACTCCAGCCTGGGCGACAGAACAAGACTTCATCCCCAAAAAAAAAAAAATTCTTTTACCTACAGGGCCTCTGCATGAAATTCCACTTGATGAATGTTATTGTTTGAAAAGAGCTTGAGACTCTCTGTATTGGATAGTCCTCTACGTTCTCTTCTAGCTCAAAGACTAGGAATTGCTAGGAGTTTTTCACCCGAACTGCTGCTGAACCACATCTTCCTCATTGTGCTAGTGATGGTGCTACTACGAGTGTAGCCTTTACACTAATTGGGTGTGTATTTTTACCTTCTTAGTTTTGGTCTATCCATCTCATAAGCCAAGACAATTTTGGAACATGAATTCTAGCATTCTACATATTAGTGATACTTCCCAGCTTTGGTTTTATCTGTAAATCTGTTTTGGGTACCTTTTTAATCTTTATCCAGGAAGTTTGTAAAAACATTAGGATAGGGCCCAGGGCTGAGACCTTTGGTTCTCTAATAGGGATCATCTTCCAGGTTGATCCAACCATAATCAATAGCCTTTGAAATGTATATGTTCAAATGGCTACAGACCCATTGAAGTATAATAGCATCCACCCAATATTTCCCCCTTTCATCTCCAGACCATCTTCTTTTCTACATGTATTTAATGGCCACTATCTGTCAAGGTCTGGGATTGACCTGGGAAAACAGGGTAAATAAGACACTGGGGTTCGCAGCTGGTAGACAAGATGGAAACAGAAAGTAGTCGTCATAGCAATGTAATGAGGGCTAAGTGGCAATTTGCACCAGGAAGCAAGGGAGGCCATGCCCAGCTTTGCTGGCAGTGTCCAGGAGGTTTTCTCAGTCAGTAAGATGTTACAGATGGTGTCATTCAAAAAGGCATCCATGAGAAATGTCCAATGCCATATGAAATCCGGGTGCGACCTCTCTGGCATCCTTCTGATCTAGGTATTCAATAAACACTTCTCGAATATAATTTGAAAAAGTAGGGAGCATCTAACATGCCAGGGAGCAGATGAAATTGAGGTTGGAGAGGATGGAGGCCAGTCTTTGAGGGCAGAGACAGCGGAAGGATAGTCATAGAAGTGGAAGTGGAGAGGAGAGATCCTAGGTGGCAGGAAATCAGGTCTAGGTATAATAATAAAATGAAGTGGGAGCGAGGCAGAGTAAAGAGCAATGCATCTCTCGAATCTTTGTGTCCTGGGCACCAGGGGGGCTGATGGTGTTGGTACTCAAGGGCGCGAGGAAGGAAAAAGAAGTTTCAGTTTCAGAGGCCTACAAGAGATTTAGTGGAATGTACGTTTTCCCATGCTCTTTTCCCTTCTGATTCTGACTTTGATTTCAGATCTCCTCTAGTAACTATTGAATTGAGAGAGGATGACTTCTAGGTATGCGCCAGGTGCAGTGGGAGATCTGTGATGCGCTCCGTCCTATCTCCCCAGGGAACTCTTATACCATGCAATGCCGTCTGCAGTTCTCAGTACCCTGGCTAGATCTGTTCTCAAGTTTGGCCAGTTTCTTTTTTTTTTTAATTTTATTAAAAAAATTATCTTATGTTTATTAAATTTTTTAAAAATTATTTTCTGGTTTTTAAATCATATTTATTATTTTTTATTTCTTGGCCACCGTTCTGACATAGAACGTGCAAGTGCCTATGCAAACCATTGTATCTGTTGCGGGGGTGACCAATTCATTTCGGTTTGCCTGGGACTTTCCCAGTTTTAGAAACAAAAGTCCTCCCTCCCCCGCCCCGGCCGCCCCATGAATCCCTTCGGTCCCAGGTAAAGCAGGACTGTCAGTGATCCCAGAGGTAGGTGAGGAGCTAGGGGCACTTGGTGTGCACAGCACATCCCAACTGGCACTGGGAAGGAAATGGAATTGCTAGAACAAAGTGCAGCTCCTAAGTCTTATATGTCCAGACTGAGGGGAGTGCCTGGGAGGCCGCAGGGAGGAGCCCAGGGCAGCTGTATGTGGGGAGTTGACCTCAGGTCAGAAGCGCATGGCTGGGCTTGGAGTACAGCTGTGGGCAGGCTGCAGTCGGTCCAGTCACCTCTCCTTGGGGGCTAAGCCAGGCCTTCCCTTTTCTGAGCTCTTGATTAATTTAATGGAGCAACTGAAAGAAGAAGAGGACACAACAAAGGATTGAGCTGGGCTCTCCACCTCTCAGGAGTTTCCTGGGAGCATGTTTTCCCCCAGGAAGCCTTCTTGTCACTGGAGGACATTGATTGTTGCAGGAAGCTGAGGGAATCGAATAGTCAGGGCAACTGTCCTCTGCAAAAACCCTGGGTCAATAAAACCAAAATGACTGCAAGATATCCTGAGAGAGGTGGGCAAAGAAGGCACGTGGATGATTTTTCCTCCTGCTTTTCCCAGCGTTTCTACACACACACACACACACACACACACACACACACACACACACACACGCGCACTTGGGGACAGGTATAGGATGGTTACATTTTGTCTCTCTTCACTTCCTATATGAAGCATAAGAAAGCATTTGGTAAATCTAGTCCTAAGTGTGTTGCCCAAGTCAAATCCAGCGACCCCCTCGCAGCCCCCTCCCCAGAGGTTACATAGTTCCCACAGGGTGCAAGAAAGGGTTATTGAAAACAGCAGGTTTATTTATTTTTTTTCCATAACTTCAGCACTTCTGGTAAATCTCTGATCCAGCATCTAGTGGTTAACCACTGATACAGGAAATGACATTTAACGTTTTTATCACTCAGCCAGAAATGGAAGAACAAGGCGAGTGTGTGTTTAGGGAAGATGGATGGCTGCCCACCACCTTCGTCTTAAAGGCACCCGGCTCTTTTTCTGATTGCAGGGGCTGATAGGCAGCTCACTTCCCCTCTGCCTGCTCGCTCCACTGACGACAATGAGTGGGAATGTCAGGAGAGCAGGAACCCAGGCGTTGTCAGCTATTGATGGGGGTGAAATGGGCAGCATTTGGTTCCCCTTTTTCAGGAGCCGTTGCATGGGGGGACAGGCAGGCCGGAAATGAGTTCGGATGCTCGTGTTCAGGCACATGGAACCACAGCATCAGCCTAGGGTGTCTGAACCCGGGAGGCCACGTGGCCGGGATGAGACTGTGAACAGAGCCCCACTGCCCATTGCTAAGCTGAGGACACTCAGCAGAGACCTCATTAACCCTCCAAGACAACCAGCCAAGCAAGAGTGTTGAGCACCGCAAACCACAGCGAGAGAAATTACAGCTGCTTTCACTTGCAGTTTTCCTTAGTCACCCGGTTGTTCCCCATTTCTTGCCTTTTGGGGATGAGGGGCTTTCAGTGCAGTTACTAAGTGGATTTCTTGTAACAACGGCAACAGTTATAGATAGTCACTCACTTTGTTAAGTGGTAAGTAGTTTAGATTCATGATGTTAACCTGCTCTAGGTCTAGAGCTGGTAAGTGGTATGGCCAGCCAGGATTTGAACCGAGGTCCATCTATGGCCAAAGCCAACCCTGCCCTCCAGACATCTGATAGCAAGTGCCGCCCTAGGCCCCACTGCCCTGCCCAGCCTTTTGCTGATTAAACAATCTCTTGGCTGGGTGCGGTAGCTCACACCTGTAATCCCAGCACTCTGAAAGGCCAAGGCGGGCAGATCACTTGAGGTCAGGAGTTCAAGACTAGCCTGGCCAACATGGTGAAATCCTGTCTCTACTAAAAATACAAAAAATTAGCCAGGCATGGTGGTGTGTGCCTGTAATCCTAGCTATTTGGGAGGCTGAGGTGGGAGGAGTCCTTGAACCTGGGAGGCAGAGGTTGTAGTGAGCTGAGATGACACCACTGCACTCCAGCCTGGGTGACAGAGCAAGACTCTGTCTCAAAAAACAAACAAAACAAAACAAAACCCTTGAGGTGGGTCTGGGCATCAGAGTTTTATGTTTCTTCAAATAGTTCTAGTGGGCAGCCAGCAATGAGCACCGCTGAGCCATGCTGTGATTTCTTGAGCTCAGAGAGCCAGCCGGGTTGGCCTTTGTTGCCAGTGCCCAGGGAACAACCCTTAATGTTTGTTACACAAATGAGTCTCTGATCGCTCTACTTTGGTCTGCAGGGCAAAACCTCTACAGAGAGGGAATAGAGGAAGAGATGAGTCACACCCATTGAGAGCCTGAGGGTTCTCAGCAGATTCTAGCTGTGAGTGCCCCTGGTGAAGTGGGGTAGGTAAGATCAGGCCAGGCATTGTTGGCAGAGACATTCTCATATCCGAGAATGAGAGCCCCACATTCTCGGATAACATTTCCCTTCTCTTAGTAGGAAGTAACGTGATCCCATTTTTATGAAAAGGATCACTCAGGTGCGAAATTGTCCTCCTCCTCCCACTCTCTGCATCCTGCCTGCAGATTCTTCACCCTGCAGATGTGCCTCTGTCAGCACTAGGAGGCAGGGTGGTTCGGGGCGAGCCCTGCCTGCTCTAGGAGGCAGGAGAGTTAGGGTGGGCGCAGAGGCCACCCAGGACGAGGCCAATTGCTCCTGGGGAGTCACGTATTGATTTCTGCTCTGCCTTGCTCTAGAGATTTGAGGCGAGGGCCACTCACAGTCTCTTGGAGCCTCAGTTTATTCATTCATGTACTTGTTCTGAAGAGGTGATAAAATTTAAAGTGTTTTGAAAAGAAAATTTATCCTTGCCTCCATGAAGAGGAGTAGATTGCTGTTTGACTTCCAAGCCTTTCCAACAGCGCAGAGTTGCATGTGGGTGGGGCTGGGCCCACAGCTCAGCTTTGGGGTTTTGTACCAGAGGGAGCTGGAGTCAGGGGGGAGGTGTGGGTCCTCCCTAGTGCAAGTTTCTTCTTCAAGACCCATCTCTTCCTCTCCATGCCCTCTCTGTAGAGTTTTTGCCCTGCAGACCAAAGTGGAATGATCAGAGACTCATTTGTGTAACAGACACTGAGGATTGTTCCCTGTGCACTGGCAACAAAGACCGTCTGGCTCAGTGGCGCCCACCGCTGGCTGCCCACTAGAATTATTTGGGGGAAACTTAAAAAACTCTGATGCCCAGATCCACCTCAAGAGATTTTTGTTTAATAGGCATTAGCATTTTTTTTAAAAAACAATGACTCTAATTTATTTTACAGGGAGTAGAGAACCACAGATCTAGATGGAGAGACAGATAAGTGGGAAAAAAAAAACCCACTATGATGCAGAGGATGATATGCTCTGGTTTTGGCAAATGCAAGTGGCTACGGCAGCACAAAGTTAGGGCCGCTCACCCAGCCCCGAAAGAGCTGTGAAGTAGGAAACATCACAGCCGAAGTCTCAAGAACAGGAATTAACCCAGGGAATCTGGCCTGATGGGGCCAAGGGTAAGGGGCGTGAGGTTAAGATGATTTCCAGAGAAAGCAAGATGAATTTTCTGAGTCCAGGAGTGAAAGGGAGACAGGCACTTGTATGGGACTGGAAGTAGTTTGGTATGGCGGGACAAAGCTGGCAGGGAAGCCTGGTGAGAGCCGGAGAGGAGACCAGAGGCCAGCTCATGCGGATATCGAAGCAACGTTAGGAAGTTCGGGCCTTATTCTAATGGTGGAAGGGAGCTGATGAAGAGGTATAAGCAGAGGAAGGACTGCCATCAGTTTTTCAGTGACAGGAAGGAAGACAGACGGGAGGAAGTTAGAACACGCTTCAGTGGTGGGTTCCAGAACTATGTTAGTGGTTATGGGGATAGCAAGAGGTGAGTGGATTTGGGAGATATAAGGACCTAGAGCCTATTAGACTTGGGGAGTAAAGTGGGAGAAAAGTCAAGGAGAATTTCCAGGTTTTTGTCCTGGGCAGCAGGATGGAGGATGATGCTCCTTCTCTGAGGCTCTGCATGTGTGTGAGGAGGATTGGCTCATGCTGCTCACAGAGCCCCAGAAGCTGGACAGGACTTGGTGGGGGGCTCTGCCAGCAGCTTGGGGTCCCCGGAACCTGTGCAAGTCTCCTGTGGGTGGCCCAGCCCTCCCAGAGCAACATGAGGGGACACGGGCTTTGGTGAGGTGATGAGGGCATTTCTGTATTCTTGGCTACTTTGCTAGTCTATTTGGATTTCCTGGGCATCCTTCCCACTCAAGATGCTCCTTTCCCCAATGAGACCAACCAGCCCCAGACACTGATGGAATCTCAAACAAACAGTAATGACCGATTTCCATTTTCTGTGACCTGTTACCTACTCCCCATTTTACTGCTCTTAGTCAAACCTTACGGCCCACGCCCACCCATAGAAGTCCTTTAATGACACAGACACCTAAAAATATCTTTTATTTTCCTGTTGACAAGTTCAGGTCTCTATAGACTCCTATGTCATCCCTGCCTCAGGGACTTACTGCCTCTAAACATTCTCACGAATTTCCTACCCCACACATTATGTGTCTCCCTCCCCACAATCTGTGATACCAACCTCAAAGACCACCACTGAGGGCTGGGCATGGTGACTCACGCCTGTAGTCCCAGCATTTTGGGAGGCTGAGGAGGGTGAATCACTTGAGGTCAGGAGTTTGAGAACAGCCTGGCCAACATAGTGAAACCCCGTCTCTACTAAAAATACAAAAATTAGCCGGGCCTGGGCAGGGCGCGGTGGCTCACGCCTGTAATCCCAGCACTTTGGGAGGCCGAGGTGGGCGGATCACGAGATCAGGAGATCGAGACCATCCTGGCTAACACGGTGAAACCCCGTCTCTACTAAAAATACAAAAAATTAGCCGGGCGAGGTGGCGGGCGCCTGTAGTCCCAGCTACTCGGAGGGCTGAGGCAGGAGAATGGCGTGAACCCCCTGGGGGACGGAGCCTGCAGTGAGCCGAGATCGCGCCACTGCACTCCAGCCTGGGCGACAGAGCAAGACTCTGTCTCAAAAAAAAAAAAAAAAAAAAAAAAAAAAAAGACCACCATCGAGGCCAACTTCAAAGACCGCCGCCCTCTTCCCTGCTTCAGAGCCCATCCCCACATTACTTTTGGACGATACTCTTCCTCTTGTGACCCCTCCTTTTGGTTCCATGTCTCTCCATCTCCTTCTCTGTGCCTCTGCCATCTACTCTTCTTGCCTGTTTGGGAGGCTTCTTTTCCGCCTTACCTGCCATCTCGTTATTTCACAAATATATCAAAAATTATTCTGTGAAGATGTCAGAGTTAGAGCCTATGACCTACTTTTAATCTTGATTATAAGGGTTGTTTAGTGTTTAATATGATAGCATAAGGAAAATGCTTTGTAAATAGTAAATCAAATACATTTTAGATAATGATAATGGCAACTGGCTTAGAAGAATCTCCGCTTGTTTAAAAATTAGGTGTGGCCGGGCGCGGTGGCTCATGCCTGTAATCCCAGCACTTTGGGAGGCCAAGGCGGGTGGATCACGAGGTCAGGAGATCGAGACCACGGTGAAACCCCGTCTCTACTAAAAATACAAAAAAAATTAGCCGGGCACGGTGGCGGGCACCTGTAGTCGCAGCTACTCGGGAGGCTGAGGCAGGAGAATGGCGTGAACGCAGGAGGCGGAGCTTGCAGTGAGCCGAGATCGCGCCACTGCACTCCAGCCTGGGCGACAGAGCAAGACTCCATCTCAAAAAAAAAAAAAAAAAAAAAATTAGGTGTAAATTACACCTAGAAACAAAGGTTGAAAAATAATGAGATTATATCTCTAAACTCCTGGAATGTGGTATCTACTGAGTCGATCTTTCATAATTCAGATTCTACACTGAGATGAAGTACTGGAAGATTTATGTAAAATTTCATTTGCCTCCTGTGCTTCTCTTGTCATTCATAAAAAAAATTTGCCCTGCAGACCAGACAAACTTTTGTACCTTTTTTTTTTTTTAACTGTTGTCTTCTCTACTTGAAATTCTTCAATCCAAGACACATACATTGGGTATCTTATTATATTCATTCATTCACTCATTTACTCGTCCATATCTACCGAGTCCTACTATGTGACAGACAATATACTAAGAACTAGGGATCCAATAGTGGGCAAAAATGGATAGGATTCATGCCCTTGTGAACTTGTAGTTTAAGGTTGAGTGTGGGGAGAACACAGTAAAATAGTCATACAAAACCCACAGAATACTTGCTGTGCTGAGGGCTACGCAGAAGTCCACAGTGCTATGAGAACAGACAAGCGGAGATTTGACCAGGGCGGGGGGGGGTGGGTGACAGGAACACTCCCCTGGAAGTGATGCTTCCCTGCTCAGATCTGAAGGATGAGGAGAGATTAATGAGGTGAGGGAGAGGGGAGGATGGGGGGTTTCAGGCAGATGCAAAGACGTGGAGAGAGAAGGTATACAGGTTTGAGAGACTGAAGTGGGACTTGAAAGCAGAAGGATCATGGCACCAACTGAGGCTGGAGATGGTCAGTCTGTGTGCGCTTTGAAGGTTGTGGCAATGATTTGTTGTTGTTGTTTTTTAATCGAGTAGAAAACCTCTGAAATATTTTAATCAAAATGGTGCTAGGTTTGCCTAAAGGAGGTTAAAAAATCATGGGCCCACTCCTTATCATCCATTCTCAAGGGATCTTGATTTATGGCAGGCATCAAATTCATGACCCAGTATGAAGCAATGGGTTAGTACTTTGATATAGAGAGTGTTACAGAATCTTAGGGAAGTGAGGTGTTTTTCTGGGTGAGGGATGGTCAGAGAAAGTTTTCAAAAAGGAGGTAATATTTGAGTTGGATGTTGAAAAATAGTAGGGGTTATCCATGTAATAAGAGGTGTGGGAAGGGCTAAACGTTCAGGGAGAAGAAGCGTGTTTTGGGAAGAAGGAATTACACAGGCATGAACGAGCACAGCAGGTTTGTATAAAGACCAAGCATGTGGTGTGGATGGAGACCAGGTTGTTCTGGGAGTCATTAGGGATGTTTGGCAATATTCCAACTCTCCTTCTTTCTGTGCATGTGGTAGCTTTGCACTTTTCAATAGACCTGAATTTAGATGTGGCCAATCAAAGTAAGCAGGAGGATGTCTCTCATTTCCAGGTGGGAGATTTAAAAGTGGGCACATTCTTTGCCACATTCTCTTTTTCTTTGACCCCTAACAATGTTCCAGAGAGTGGATGCTTTGTCAGATTGTGCCCTAGAGTGAGGACAATGGTGATGGAAGCAGGGCCACCAGATGACCTGCAAAGGACATGAAGAATGAGCAAGAAACTTGCCTGTGTTGTAAACCACTGAGATTTGGGGGCTGTTACTGCAGCACACTTAGTTTATCCTGACCAATACAGGGACCTGTCAAGAACTGTGAAGGAGACCAAGTGTGGTGGCTCATGCCTACAATCCTAGCCCTTTGGGAGGCCGAGGCAAGTGGATCACTTGAAGCCCAGAAGTTGGAGACCAGCCTGGGCAAAAGGACAAAACCCTGTCTCTACCAAAAAATACAAAAAATTAGCTGGGCATGGTGGCACGTGCCTGTAGTCACAGCTACTTGGGAGGCTGAGGCGGGAGGATCACTTGAGTGCAGGAGGTAGGGGTTGCAGCGAGCTGAGATCGCGCCACTGCCCTCCAGCCTGGGCAACAGTGAAACCCTGTCTCAAAAAAAAAAAAAAAAAAAGAACTGTGTGAAGATGAAGGGTCTGGGATTTCTCATTGTATGTAAGCTAACAAGCTAGCCTGCGGCAGTTACTTGCATGCATGAGATCCCTGAGTTAGAGACAAAGGATTTTTATTACTCACACAAAAAAGCAGGATGAGATTCCTTTTTGCATTGGGTTTCTAGCCTTCTAAGTCCACTGTAGCAATGCAGCGGCCCAGATGGATGCTGTACCCAGTGGGTTTGTGTTACAGCTAAGAAACCCCACACGTAGGAAACCCCAGTGTTGTATAATGGGCGGCAAGCAAATCCACTGAACCTTTTCCTGGAGGGAGATACTATCTTTACTAGAAAGCGAATAAACCTTCCCTCTGCTCTGGAGAGAATCACTGTCTCTATTTTCCAAAGCTGTTCACTACACAAACATTCTTGAAAAGATAGCCTGGAATAAAATTTTTCAGTGCTTCTTTTTGCAAGAAGTACAGAAATGAGAGACCCATGGAGAATTGTCTCTCAGCAGCATCTTTGGGTAAGTGGAGGACAATAAATGGTAAAAGACATTTGGAGCCAGATTGGGAGGGATTTTATAGACTATGACAGGGAGCTTGGATTTTTATCCACTACTCAATGGGAGCCATCAATCTTCTAAAACATGTCCTGTGGAGAGAAAAGGATGGATTGAGGATGGGGGATACTGGTGCTAGGAGAACAGTTGGGGCTAAAGATGTAGGTTTGGGAATTTTAACATAGAGAAGGGAGTTGAAGGCACTGGATTTCATCTCGCTTTGGATAAATTCTATAACCTTAAAGCTCACACCAAAGGACATCTCATTTAGTAGTTTCAAAATATTGTAGCCAGGCATGGTGGCTCACATCTGTAATCCCAGCTACTTGGGAGGCTGAGGTGGGAGGATCACTTGATTCCAGGAGGTTGAGGCTGCAGTGAGATTACTGCACCACTGCACTCCAGCTGCCTGGGCAAGAGTGAGGCCTCATCTCTAAAAAATTATTTTTCAAAAGCAGTGGCTTTTTGTCAGAGAAGTCTAATGCCACCTTCCAACAAATAAAACAGATGGAAGCAGCTGTGCTTTGGGTGAACAATAATTGGAGATCTGAAGCCCTGCCTCTCAGCTCCCCACTTCCCCAGCAGACACCTGGAGACTCCTCTCTGGAGCCCTTGGGGTCCACAAAACACACTTTGAATCTACTTTTTATTTTCACCCCCGATTGGAGCAGGCAGGATTAACTGCTCCCTCCTCTCTGTTTCTTTCAACACTTTGATCTAATCATCGAAGCAGCATTTATCACCTTGACCCACGTTTGCAGAAAGCATCCTGAATGTCATCTCTGCATTCCCCAGGGCCCAGTTCAGTGCCTGTCATACTTCGAGAAGATTCTCAACCAGTGTCTGCTGAATTGATACAAAAAAACTCATCAATGAAATAATTTCTAGAATTACAGTTTTTGTAAAGCTTTGCAATTTACATTTCATTAAATATAATAGACAATCTTTGAGACCTCATGAAGGACAAATAAGAATCAAGGAAATAATGAAATAAAACAACTTCTATATGAAACAGTTATATGGAAATGGCTTTAGCTTGTCTAATGTATCAACAAATGCTTATTCAAGCAATAAAGAGCTTTTTTTTTTTTTAAGAAATGTGACCACAGTCCACATAAATACCATCCTGCAAATTGGTGTGAGAGGATTGCCAGGTCTTCCTCAGGTGTGTAAATCCATTTCGATACCTGTGCTTCATTAGGCAAGGAAGGAGAGCTCCATGTTTACTCTGCTACCTTATGTCAGCAAAATATTTACTTTTGAGAAGACAGAATAAATAAAACAGCTAGGCAGGGTGGCTCATGCCTGTAGTCCCAGCACTTTGGGAGGTCAAGGCGGGCGGATCACTTGAGCCTAGGAGGTTGAGAGCAGCCTGGGCAATATAGTGAGACCCCATCTTTACAAATACTTTTTAAAAAGTCAGCTGGGTGTGGTGGCACACACCTGTGGTCCAGCTAGTTGGGAGGTTGAGGTAGGAGGATTGCTTGAGCCCGGAAGGTTGAAGCTGCAGTGAGTTGTGATTGCGCTACTGCACTCCAGCCTGGGTGACAGAATGAGACTCTCCCCCTACCACCACCAACAAAAAAGAGAATAATTAAAACAAAAACAACGATAAAGTTGAACATGTTCATCCAGCTGTTATGTCTGTTTGGAGTTAATATGATTTGGTAAAAACAACAGTTCTTGAGTCCCCGAGTACCTGGCGTTTTCATGGGCTTTATACTTGCTAGTGAATCAATCCTACAGACATTTTTTTTTCTTTTTTTTTGAGACGGAGTCTCGCTCTGTCGCCCAGGCTGGAGTGCAGTGGCACGATCTCAGCTCACTGCAAGCTCCGCCTCCCGTGTTCCCGCCATTCTCCTGCCTCAGCCTCCCGAGTAGCTGGGACCACAGGCCCCCGCCACCACGCCTGGCTAATTTTTTTTTTTTTTTTTTTTTTTTTTTGGGATGGGGACAGAGTTTTGCTCTGTTGCCCAGGCTGGAGTGCAGTGGCGTGATCTCAGCTCACTGCAACCTCCGCCTTCTGGGTTCAAGCAATTGTCTGCCTCAGCCTCCCGAGTAGCTGGGATTACAGGAGCCCGCCACCACGCCCGGCTAATTTTTTGTATTTTCAGTAGAGACGGGGTTTCACTGTGTTAGCTAGGATGGTCTCGTCTAGTCTCTCCTGTCTCGTGATCCACCTGCCTTGGCCTCCCAAAGTGCTGGGATTACAGGCCTGAGCGACTGCGCCCAGCCAATCCTACTGACTTTTAAGGTAAAAAACACAGTGGGTAGGATTTCCGCTTATCTTGTTCTGGTTCTGTTCTGGCCACTGTCTGTCTGTCTGAAAGAGGGTCAGCCCTGAGTTTGCGTGAGGAGAGGGGGAGGGAGAAACGCAATATCCCATTGAAGATGAGTTCAGGGTTTGTAGGGCTGAAATTTAGACAATTTTTGGAGGCCTCTATAAGTAAAAGCATGCAAAATTAGTTATGAAAAGTGAGTATTTAGAATAAGAACAGAAATTGTAACAATATACAAATCATCGGACACCTATATTTAAAAAATATTTTTTACTTTATTTTAGCTATATACTTTTTGATTATGTTTTTCTATGACAGCAATTTTGTGTGATTTTCTGTGTAGAGAATGGAAAGATTATTCAATCTTATCAAGCATGATTGATAAAAAATTTATTTTTATTATTGATAGCTTATAAAAATTTTTTCCAGCTTCACAACTTATGATTGGTAATGCCAAGAAAATATTTAGCATTTGTCAAATTTTGGCAAACCACTATCTACTTTCTTTCTGAGGAGACCTGTTAAGATCTCAGGGCATTTGAGATTTTCTCGTGAATTTCTATCTTAAATACTCTTTGAACTGATGATATTCATGTCCTCATTTTCGTGGTATAGTATGAATTTTATGTTAGCTTCATTGATGCCAGTATTTGGTGTCATCAGCAAGAAATTTAAATCTTTTCCTATGTATTTTTATGATTCACTCATTGGATTATCAAATAATCCAATAATTTATTACTTAACATGATTTCTATTTGAAATGTGTCCCTTCTCTTTCTCTTAATGAATCACTTCTTGCCTTTGGTATAATCTAATTTTCTTATTGTAATTTGCTTCTTGATGTTAGAATAATATCTATTGATTTTATTATTCGTCTTTATTGCTTTTATTTTACATTTCATTATTTTTTAATCTGAATGTTCTCATAGTTCTTTGATAAATTTATTAAACTTTAATCAGAAGGTCATAACTCCTCATTTGATTTATTAAAACATCCAAAACATTTTTGGGTATTGGAAGGAGGGAAGGAACAGGTCGGATTAGGATCTTAACCCAGCACAAAGGTTGAGCCAGAGAAAGCTTGCTGCATTGGAGCCAGGATGGCCTGGGGAGACCAGGCAAGGGTAGGCAGAAGCCGGGGGTGTTACTTTATGAAGATTTGAAGAAGGGGAGAGACAGCTAATTTGGTTGGAATTGCTGTAACTTCATCAAACCCACCCAAGGAAAAGGAGTATCAGGATGGGAAACTCAAGAAGAGGATGGTCAGGCCAGAACTGGAGCAAGGTAGAGTCTCCTTAGAAAATAACAAGGAAGACCAGCCTGGGCGACACGGCAAAACCTCATCTCTACAAAAAAATACAAAAATTGGCCGGGCATGGTGGCTCATGCCTGTAATCCTAGCACTTTGGAAGGCTGAGGCTGGCAGATCACTTGAGGCCAGGAGTTTGAGACCAGCCTGGCCAACATGGTAAAACCCCATCTCTCCTAAAAAAAAAAAAAAAAAAAAAATACAAAAAATTAGCCAGGTGTGGTGGCATGTGCCTGTAGTCCCAGCTTCTTGGGAGGCTGAGGCATGAGGATCGCTTGAACTCGGGAGGCAGAGGTTGCAGTGAGCCAAGATAGCACCACTGTACTCCAGCCTGGGCAACAGAGTGAGACTCTGTCTCAAAAAAACCCCTACAAAAATTAGCTGGACATGATGGTGCAGGCCTGTAGTCCCAGCTACATGAGAGGCTGAGGCAGGAGGATCACTTCAGCCTGGGAGGTCGAGGCTACAGTGAGCTGTGATTGAGCCACTGCACTCCAGCCTGTGCAATACAGCAAGACCCTGTCTAAAAACAAAAAAAGTAACAAGGATACTTTAGAGAAGAAAAGAAGCAAATCATGGAAAAGGCCTGGCTGGTCGGGAAGCCATGCAGGAACACTAGTGCCCCAGGCAGACAGTTAGGCTAGAGCATATTCAAGGTGGGAAGAAGCACCAGGATTCCTCCAAAAGTCAGGGGGCTGGCTGCATTGCAGTCAGTGTGTCTTGGTGGTGACTGGTGAGTTCTCCTCAGGCAGCCCCAGGTTGGAGAAGATGCCTTCCTTCCCCAGGGGACCATGACTAATAGGGGATCCTAAATTCTCCCCTAAGGCAAATCAGCTGGAATTTTCCCAAGCAGATAGAAATATTTTGAAAAGAGGCAACATTGATTGAATTTTGGAGCCAGAAGGACCTGGGTTTGCATTTATCAGAGGCATTCAAACCAGAACGACTCCATCTTGAATAGGAGCTGGGTATAATAAGGCTGAGACGTACTGGGCTGCAATCCCAGAAGGTTAGGCATTCTTAGTCACAGGATGAGACAGGAGGTTGGCACAAGACACAGGTTACAAACACCTTGCTGATAAAAACAGGATGTGGTAAAGAAGCCAGCCAAACCCCACCAAAACCAAGATGGCGATGAGAGTGATCTCTGGTCGCCCTCACTGCTCATTATACACTAATTATGATGCATTAGCATGCTAAAAGACACTCCCACCAGTGCCATGACTATTTACACATGCCATGGCAATGTCGGGAAGTTGCCATATATGGTCTAAAAAGGGGAGAAAGCCTCAGTTCTAGGAATCACCCACCCCTTTTCCAGAAAACTTATGAATAATCCACCCCTTGTTTAGCATATAATCAAGAAATAGTTATACGTATAATCAGTTGGGCAGCCCACACTGCTGCTCTGCCTATGGAGTAGTCATTCTTTTATTCCTTTACTTTCTTTTTTTTTTGAGATGGAGTCTTGCTCTGACTCCCAGGCTGGAGTGCAATGGTGCGATCTCAGCTCACTGCAACCTCCACCTCCTAAGTTCAAGCAATTCTCCTGCCTCAGCCTCCTGAGTAGCTGGGATTACAGGACTGTGTCACCATGCCTGGCTAATTTTTGTATTTTTAGCAGAGGCGGGGTTTCACCATGTTGGCCAGGCTGGTCTCAAACTCCTGACCTCAGGTGATCCACCCACCTCGGCCTCCCAAAGTGCTGGGATTATAGGCGTGAGCCAGTATTCCTTTACTTTCTTAATAAACTTGCTTTCACTTTACTTTATGGATTCACTTAGAATTCTTGTGCGAGATACAAGAACATTCTCTTGGGGTCTGGATCTAGACCCCTTTCTGGTAACACTTTTTAACTATGCAACCTCTTACCAGCTGTTGTCCTTAGCTAAGATCCTCAATGTCTAGATATCTAACTCCCACCTCTGCAAAAATGGGGATAATAGTGTACACTTTTTTGGGCAGACAGTACATAAATCTTACAAAATAATATGAAGAACATAAGAAATTCCATAGTTATGTAATTCAGAATAGATGTGGATGTTAAAAGTGTTATGGATTTTTTAAATGTCAGATTTATTTGTCATAATTTTGCTGTATTTTTGTTACTTTTGTTCTTATTTTCCAAATAAAGAAAATAAAGGTTGACTTAGACAGATCTCAGAATTCTCAATTTCTACCTTGGCCTGTTTGCTTGACTGCCAATGCTGTGTGTGTTTTACACACACACACACACACACACACACACACACGATGGATATCATCAAGAAATAGCACCAGAATCTTTGAACTAATTTCAGAGTTTAAAGCAGAAAATATCAGAGTTCTGATCCTCCCAACGTTTTTTTGTTCAGTACTTTAAAATAGATATATTTTTGTGATATTGTGAAATATGTGTATATATATAATATCCTTTATAACGAAAAAAAAAATATATATATATTTTGAGACAGGGTCTGGCTCTGTTGCTCAGGCTAGAGTGCGGTGGCATGATCTCAGCTCACTGCAACCTCCACCTCCTGGGCTCAAGCGATTCTCCTACCTCAGCCTTCTGAATAGTTGGGACTACAGACGCATGCCACCACAACTGCCTAATTGTTGTATTTTTTATAGAGATAGGGTTTTGCCATGTTGCCCAGGCTAGTCTCTTGCTGGGATTACAGGCGTAAGCCACTGCACTCGGCCTATATTTGGTTTTATACCAGATTCCTGGCGTACAACTTCTAAAATCCTTAGAATTTTTATTTTTATTTTTATTTTTTTTAATTTTGAGATGGAGTCTTGCTAGGTCACCAGGCTGGAGTACAGTGGCGCAATCTCGGCTCACTGCAACCTCTGCGTCCCAGGTTCAAGTGATTCTCCTGCCTCAGCCTTCCAAGTAGCTGCGACTACAGGCATGTGCCACCACACCCAGCTAATTTTTGTATTTTTAGTAGAGATAGGGTTTCACCATGTTGGTCAGAATGGTTTCGATCTCTTGACCTCGTGATCCACCCACATTGGCCTCCCAAAGTGCTGGGATTACAGGCGTGAGCCACCACGCCTGGCCCAAATCCTTAGAATTTTTAAAGTGATGTCTTTTTGTATGCTACCGATTGACTGGTGGCTGGCAGCTCCAGGATGAAGGCTGGTCACCACAAAGACTGAGGCAGCATTAGCATTAGAGGGTGGGACTTTCCTTCCCATGCCCCAACCTCAGGGAGGGGGAGTGGCTGAAGGTTAAGTTGATCACCAATGGCCAGTGGTTTAATCAATCATGCCGACCTAATTAAGCTTCCATAAAAACCCAAAATTCCTGGTTTGGAGAGTTCTGGATAGCTGAACACATGGAGGTTGCTGGAGGGTGGCATGCTGGGGAGGGCATGGAAGCTCCGTGCCTCTTCCCATACTTCTCCCTGTGCATCTCTTCATCTGTATCCTCTGTAATATCCTTTATAACGAACCAGCAAATGTAAGTAGGTTTCCCTGAGTTCTGCGAGCTGCTCTAGCAAGTTAATGGAACCCAAAGAGAGGGTTGTGGAAACTCCAACTTGAAGCTGTCAGAAGTCCGGGGGACCCGAACTTGTGACTGGTGTCTGAAGTGGGGGGACAGTCTGTGGGACTGAGTTCTCATTTTGTGGGATTGTCAGAGGTGTTTGAACTAGAGCAACTCCATCTTGAATAGGGGCTGGGTAAAATAAGGCTGAGACCTCCTGGGCTGCATTCCCAGTAAATTAGGCATTCTCAGTCACAGGATGAGCTAGGAGGTCGCCACAAGACACAGGTGATGAAGACTTGCTCATAAAACAGGTTGCAATAAAAAAGGCCAAAAACCACCAAAACCAAGATGGCAAAGAGATTGACCTCTGGTTGTCCTCACTGCTACACTCCCGCCAGAGCCATGGCAGTTTAGGAATGCCATGGCAACGTCAGGAACTTATCCTATATGGTCTAAAAAGGGGAGGCATGAATAATCCACCCCGTGTTTAGCATATCATCAAGAACTAACAGTAAAAATGGGCAGCCAGCAGCCCTTGGGGCTGCTCTGCCTATGGAGTAGCCATTGTTTCATTCTTTTACCTTTTTTTTTTGAGACGGAGTCTCGCTCTGTCCCCAGCCTGGAGTGCAGTGGCGCGATCTCGGCTCACTGCAAGCTCCGCCTCCCGGGTTCACTCCATTCTCCTGCCTCAGCCGCCCGGAGTAGCTGGGACTACAGGCACCCACCACCACGCCCGGCTAATTTTTTGTATTTTTAGTAGAGATGGGGTTTCACCGTGTTAGCCAGGATGGTCTGGATCTTCTGACCTTGTGATCCGCCCGCCTCGGCCTCCCAAAGTGCTGGGATTACAGGCGTGAGCCACCGCGCCCGGCCGCTTTCACTTTTTAGATTTGCCTCGATTCTTTCTTGCGCGAGCTCCAAGAACCCTCTCTTGGGGTCTGGATCGGGGCCCCTTTCCGGTAACAGGATGGGATGCTATCTTCAGATAGATAGCATTGGCATTGAATTGAAGGACATGCAGCTTGTGTCCGTGTTGTTTGTTGCGTGAAAGCAGAGGAAAAGCAGTTTGTGTGTTTTCTCTTCTGAATTTTACTGACACAATGATTCTTTGATTTTGGAAAGGATTCTGAGTTCTCTGTGCACTGACGCTCCCTGGCTATGATTTCTTGGATTACTTCTTGAATTTCTTTGATTATTTTCCCTTATGTCATTATTTGGATTTGTTCTTTTGATGTGTTCTGCTGCAATGTAATCGTAAGTTCAGCTGCAAGACGTCAGGTGCCCCATCCTTCACGAGGAAGAGGCGAACACAGGCTCTTGGAGTTAAAGCTGATAAGATGCGTGGGGCCAGGTGGGAAGGAGCCTTGTTCTCTTTCCTTGGCTCCGTTGTGCATTCTTACTCTCCACCTTGCCAGCATGTGTGAGGTTTCTTTAAATCCTGTTTGTGATTATCTCACCTTGAGAAAGTAAAGGAAAAGGAATACAAGTGCCAATTTGGAAGGATTTGGATGTATCAGACCAGGAATTTCCCACAGAATATTGTTATTGTTACTCAACTTTTGCCCTTGGAGAAAGGTGAAGGAAAAGCCACGTTGATCATGTTAGGTGTATATGTGTATGTATATATATAATTTTTTTTTTGTAACTTTTGCGACAGTCTCCCTCTGTTGCCCAGACTGGAGTGCAGTGGTGCTGTCGGCTCACTGCAACCTTTGCCTCACAGGTTCAAGTGATTCTCATGTCTCAGCCTCCCGAGTAGCTGGGATTACAGGCGTGCACCACAACACCTGGCTAATTTTTCTATTTCTAGTAGAGACGGGGTTTCACCATGTTGACAGCCTGGTCTTAAACTCCTGACCTCAGGTGATCCTCCTGCCTCGGCCTCCCAAAGTGCTGGGATTACAGGCAGGAGCCAACATGCCCAGCCAGGTGTAGATATTTTTTCTTCTTTTTCAAAAAAATTTGGAATTAGAGACGGGTCTCACTAGGTTGCCCAGGCTAATCTTGAACTCCTGGCCTCAAGCAATCCTCGCACCTCGACCTTCTAAAGTACTGGGATTACAGGTATGAGCCAATGTGCCTGGCCAGGCATAGTCATTAAGTATGATTTGGTTTGGAAATCAACAGTGTTCATTTAGCAGTTATTTTGTCTGACTTTCTAAGACCTCAGCCCCTCCAAAAATTCTCTTCTGAAGGCACAGGAATCTCAGGACAATACACTAGCACAGCCAATAACAATTAGTTCTCAACTCCTCTGCCTGGATCTTAAAAAGAAACTAGCCAATGAAGGGCAGGTCCCCATTCTGATCTCATGGCCATGGAGAGGGGGATCAGCTGTTTCCTAGCCATCTGGATGAGTGGGAGCACCCTGAGAGTTGTAAGTCCTCCTCAGAGTGAGTGCTTTGGTGCATGTCTTGTTTAGCTGGATGATAATTTGAGACCTAACCTGATATTTACAATTTCCATCATAAAAGAAAGGCAAGAAAAAAAAAAAAAGAGGGGACTGTCTTTCAATTGCCAAGTTATACGTTAAGGGAGGTAATGAACATCCTCATGCTTCATTCATCCTGAGCAAGAAATATCAGATTGGAGGAATACGCTGCATTGGGACCTAGAGTGGGAGAATAGAGTGATGGCTTCTCTATCTTTTCCTTTGCTGTGTACAGTCCCCAATAACCCTATCTTTCTTAAGTGGCTAGTGTAGAGTGGCCAACTTAATTAAAACACACAGGAGGACTAGGGAGGATTTGGATAAGCCATTGTCACCATGGGGGCCATATGAGAATGTGGATGACTAATAGCAAAACTGTCTCCACAAATGTGGAGAACACACCTCCTGCCAATGTTGGATTAACTGAATGATCTCTGGATATTGAGAGATGCATCGTAATTACTATTAATAAGAATAAAATTAAAATGACAGTAAGCAATACATTGGCCTCCCATCAGGATTTCTTGTTCTGAAAATAGATGTCTCCTACAGAAGGCTGAAACAAACTGGAAGGAGCCCCTCCTCAGGTGATAATGTGACACCTTCCTTGGCCATGTGAATAGTGAGCACATGCTTGGAAATTTAAAATGGAAAACAGAGAACATGTGACTGGTCTCATTCTGACCTGTGGTTTTTTTTTTTGCCATATCATGTCTTATCAGACAGGATGCTTTCTTTAGCACTCGACAAAAGCAGTCCTACCCCAAATAGCTTAGGCAAAAAGGGAATTTATTATTCATGTGATGCTCTGGGCCTGGGGGGCTGCTTGTTTTCACATTGCTGCCATCATGCCCCCTTTCTATGTATGTCATGACCCTAGCCACCTTCATCTTGGCCTTATTCTCAGAGTCTCTTCCTTTGGGGTCACGGTGGCTGCACAACTCCACGCTCACCTCTTCTCACCTTCAAGTCTCAGGGGAAAACATATCAGGTCACTTTTCCAGAAGTCCCAGCAAAAGTTCCATTTCATCTCATTGGTGCTATTGCATATTATGGGTGCTATTGGATTATTGCAGAGAATGCAGCGCTTTGACTGAGAGAAGGAGAGGTAGATTCTTGTGAGGGCTGATTTTAGGTGTTAACTTGACTGAGCTAAGGGATGCCCAGATAGCTTGCAACACATTATTTCTGGGTGTGTCTGGGAGGGTGTCTCCAAAAGAGATTAGTGCTTGAATCAGTAGGCTGAGTAAAGAAGATAATCTTCATCAGTGTGGGCAGGCATCATCTCATCTGTTTGAGCGTTCTAATAAAACAAAAAGGAAGAGGAAGGGCAAATTCACTCTCTCTCCTTGAGCTGGGACATCTGTTTTCTCCCGCCTTTGGACACTGGAGCTCCTGGTTCTCAGTCCTTTGGACTCTAGGAGTTACACCAGCAGTCCCCACACCATTCTCAGGCCTCTGGCCTCAGACTGAATTACCATTGGCTTTCCTGCTTCTCTAGCTTGCAGACAGCAGATGGTGGGACTTCTCAGTTTCATAATCATGTGCGCTAATTCCCATAATAAGTCTCTCTCTCTCTCTGTGTGTGTGTGTGTGAGTGTGTGTGTGTGTGCCCACTCAGTTTTCCTGGACAACTCTGACTGATATATTCCTGAAACAAAAGTCTTTAGCTGTAGGCAAAAAAAGGTAGAATGGATGTTAAGGAGGCAAATGTCAGTTGTCCACTCTATCTGTAACCTCAGTAGTCACTAGTTTTAGGCTCTTGTTCTCTGAGATCCTCCCGCTGTCTTGTCTGTAATAAGTTCGGAACACGTGGGTAGAAGAGAATATACCGGGCTCCTTCCTGAAAATTTGTTGGAAGCTGATGAACTCCAAAGTCCTGCCTCTCTCTTGGGTAAACAGCTGCCTGGAGGAGAGAGTTGGTATAAACAGCAATTTTATATGTGCAGTTGAAGCATGGGGAGAAATATAGGCTCATGGGTCTTCCTGAACTATCAGGCACATAAGAATAATTAGTGTTCAAATAATCTTGCCTCTCAGCGGATGCTTGCTGGATCATCACAGATCCCGATTTTATCATCTGACCGTTCCCAGACCAGTAAAAGCCTGTGCCTTTTTTCCCTTCCAATCTGTGTCCCCAGATGAAAGCCTAGGAGCCACAATACGGTGTCTGGTGATGACTTTATCAACTAGGAATCTGGCAAGGGATCTGCTTTCTGGTTAGATAGTAAGAAAGCTTCAGGCCATTTGATTTGGTAATTACTGAAAAGCAGAGGAAAGTAATTTTTTGTTCCCTATTCTTGGGAAAAGAACAAATAGAAGAATGTCACTGCTTTCTCCCAGGGTCTCATAGTTTTGAGAGAGGTTTGACCACTGTTATAACAGAGCCACATATTTTTCATGTAAAGATGGGGCAGACTTCAACTAGAGTTTCTCTTGACAAGTTATCTTTTAATTAGGTTCTTGATTGCCAAGCCCCACTGGATGGTTATTGTGGCTGTGAGGGCCTTTCTCACTAAGGGACCCCTGTGCTGGCATGGATGCATGGCACCTGTTGGCATCTTCAGCAGAACTCTGGGTGCTGTGCAGGAGGCAAACTTGGGGGACAGTTTAAATCCCTCTCAATTGTACAGCTGTTCGGCCCGACTGAACTGCAGTGGTGGCTGATGGAAGCAAGGAGACTGGGCTAGAATGGAAGGAACCAAAGAGATCTCATTGGAACAGCTTTCAAATCTTCATCTTACATTCACTTTTGGGAACATTACCCCCCTTCTTGCCAAGGATTGACAACTCTTTCTCACTTAACCACACAACATCCTTCCTGGAATTATTGGGGTGCGTATGATGGCATGGCATAGTTTGGTTAGAGATGCTGTATCCAGTTAGCCTTATGATAGAATGACTACACTAGAACTTTTTTCAAGAAATAAAAACATAAAAATATTCATACATCATGGCCGGGCATGGTGGCTCACATCTGTAATCCCAGCACTTTGGGAGGCCAAGGTGGGCAGATCACCTGAGGTCAGGAGTTCGAGACCAGCCTGGCCAAAATGCTAAAATCCTATCTCTACTAAAAATACAAAAAAATTAGCTGGGTGTGGTGGCACGTGCTTGTAATCCCAGCTACTGGGGAGGCTGAGGCAGGAGAATCGCTTGAACCTGGGAGGCAGAGGTTGCAGTGAGCCAAGATTACACCACTGTTTTCCAGCCTGGGTGATAGGGCGAGACTCTGTCTCAAAAAAAAAAAAAAAAAAAAGTTAATATATCAAAAGATCAGGCAAAGAATCAGGTTGCCTAAGGAAACTTATTGGCTTAACTCAGCTAAGCAGAAGATGGATTCATTCTGTCACCTGGAGGAAGACCAAATCTTGAATCTGCACCACTCCAGAAAGATAGGATGCACGGCATATATTCTTCAGTTTAAAAAAATCTTCTATTAAATTACGTTTCCAAAATTGGAGAATTCACAGATGTTCTTTATCACTAGTAAAATAATATGAAGAAAGAAGTAAAAAAATTAAGCATTGTTCTCATCATTTCAGCAATTCTCAGCTCACTGCAAGCTCTGTGCCCCGGGTTCACGCCATTCTCCTGCCCCAGCCTCCCAAGTAGCTGGGACTACGGGTGCCTGCCATCACGCCCGGCTAATTTTTTGTAGTTTTAGTAGAGACGGGGTTTCAGTGTGTTAGCCAGGTTGGTCTCAATCTCCTGACCTCATGATCCACCCACCTCGGCCTCCCAAAGTGCTGGGATTACAGGCGTGAGCCACCGCGCCCGGCCTCATTTCAGCAATTCTACCCCTGGTTCCCTAAGGTAACCAATGACAATGACCTATTCTGCATCTTTTCATGACTTTTCCCAAGCTAATAAAAATATATAAATTTACTTCGAAAAATTAGGATCAAAGTGTATTTAGTTCTATGTGACTTGTTTTTCTCATATAACATTTTGCTATGGATCTCTCTCCAGATCAAAATAGCTAAATCATTCTTTTTAATAGCTTTAGAGTTATCTGAAGGGTATGGGTGTTCCCAAATTTATTTAATCTTCATTTAATGGATTTTAAGAAGTTTCTAGTTTTTACCTCTAGATGTAATGCTGCAGTAAATATTCTTGTAAATATATCATTCAAAATGAGTGCTTACTAGGCAATAAAACCAAAAAATAAATAAATAGGATTATATCAAACTGCTAAGCCTCTGCACAGCAACAGAAACAATCAACAGAGTGAAAAGACAGCCTACAGAATAGGACAAAATTTTTGCAAAGTACTCATCCAATGGGGGACTAATATCCAGAATATACAAGGAGCTCAAACTTCTCAACAGCAGAAGAGCACACAATTCAGTTGAAAAATGGGTAAATGGCCTAAACAGATATTTCTCAAAAGAAGACATACAAATGCCAACAAATATACGAAAAAATGCTCAACATCGCTAATCATCAGGGAAGTGCAAATCAAAACCACAATAAGGTATCGTCGCATCTCACTTAGGATGGCTACTATCAAAAAGACAAAAAAATAACATGCTGGTGAGGATGCAGAGAAAAGGGAACTCCTATCCACAGTTGGTAGGAATGTAAACTGGCATAGTTACTTTGGAAAACAGTATGGAGGTTCCTCAAAGAACTACAAATAGAACTGCCGTATGATCCAGCAATCCCACTGCTGGGCATTTATCCAAAGGAAGGGAAATCATTATATTGAAGAGACATCTGCAGCCCCATATTTATTGCAGCACTATTCACAATAGCCAATATATAGAATCAACCTAGATGAATGGATAAAGAAAATGTGGTATATATACATAATGGAATACTATTCAGCCATTGAAATGAATGAAATCCTGTCATTCATGGTAACATGGGTGGCACTGGAGGACATGATGTTAAGTGAAATATACCAGGAACAGAGTTAAACACTGCATTTCTCAGTCTTACATGAAAGCTAAAATAAATGGATCTTGTAGAAGTAAAAAGTAGAACAGAGAATGCTAGAGGCTGGGAAGGCTAAGGGGAAGGGGAGGATATGGAGAGATTTGTTACAAAATTACAGCTAAATAGAGGGATTAAGTTTTAGTGTTCTACACCACTGTAACATGACTGTAGTTAATATATAGTTTCAAATAGGAGGAGGATATTAATGTTCCCAGCCCAAAGAAGTGATAAATATTTGAGATGATGGATTTGCTAATTACCCTGATCTGATCACTATACATTATGTATATCAAGACATCACTACGAACCCCATGAATAGGTACAATTATTATTTGTCAATTAGATAAACACTAAACAAGGAAAGTCTGAGAAACTGTCACAGTGTAGAAGAGCCTTAGAACAGGGGCCCCTGGCTGGGCATGGTGACCCACACCTGTAATCCCAGGACTTTGTGTGGCCCAGGTGAGTGGATTGCTTGAGCCCAGGAAGCTGAGGCTGTAGTGAGCTGTGAATGCACCACTGCACTCCATCCAGCCTGGGTCACAGAGTGAGACCCTGTCTCAAAAAAAAAAAAAAAAAAGAAAGAAAAGAAAAAAAGGTCAGGGTTCCCCAACCCCCAAGCGGTGGACTGGTACTGGTCTGTGGCCTATTAGGAACCCGGCCGCACAGCAGGAGGTGTGAGGTGGGCCAGAGCATTAGCACCCGAGCTCTGCCTCCTGCCAGATCAGTGGCGGCACTAGATTCTCATAGGAGGCAAGCTCTAACGTGAACTATGGTTATGGATACGAGGGATCTAGGTTGTGGGCTCCTTATGAGAATCTAACTAATGCCTGATGATCTGAGGTGGAATGATTTCATCTGGAAACCATCTCATTCCTCTGCCTGCCCCTCATGTCTGTGGAAAAACTGTCTTCCAAGAAACTGGTTCCTGGTGCCAGAAACGTTGGGGACTGCTGCCTTAGAAGGCAGGATGATCAAATACTATGTGGTACCTTGGATGGGATCCTGAAATAGTAAAAGGATGTAGGTGAAAACTAAGGACATCTGTACAAAATATGGACTTTAGTTAATAATATATCAATATTGGTTCATTAGTTGTGACAAATATACCATACTAATGTAAGATGTTTGTAGGAAAAACTGGGTGTAGGGTGTATGCAAATTCCCTGTACTATTTTTATAAGTTGTCTGTAAATTTAAAACTATTCTAAAACTAAAAATTCACTTACAAATATATAGCACTTTCATTTCCATAGCATAGAGTCCTAGAGGTGGGGTTGCTGGGTTAAAGGCTATGTGTTTTTCAATTTTTAGTAGCTGTTACCATCCGGATTTCCAAAAAAGGATGTAGCGATTCCCATTCCATTAGCAGTGTGTGAGAGTGGTTGCTTCTTCTCATGCTTGCTAGCACAGAATGCTATAGGTTTTTAATTTAAACAATGTTTTCTTGCCAACCTGAGGAGTGAAAAAAAAATGGCATCTCTTTGTTGCTTTAATTCAGATGAGCAACTTTTCATACATTTATTGGCCCTGTGTATTCCTTCTTGAGTGAGTTGCCTGTTCTATTGTATTGAGTTGGATATTGGTTATTTTGTGTTGTATGTATTTATCCCAGCTATCATTTGTATTTTGATTTTGTTTACCCTTTTTTCAAATGATATTTTAAAACATTTTGCATTAGGCTTATTTCTTTTAAATGTTTAGAAATTACCCAAGTAATAATAGTTTTTATGGAAAATTATAAAATATAATAAACCAAGAGAAGAAAATAAAAATCACCCGTTATCCTACCACTCATAGATAACCACCCACAGGTAATATTTGTATTTTGGGGATATCCCTCCTGACTATCTTCTACACACACTTCATTCCTTATTTTAAAATATCACCTCTGATGCTAAGAGAGTAGATGTTAGGTGTTCTCACCACAAAAGTAATGACTATGTAAGGAATATGAGGAGATGCTTTTTTTTTTTTTTTCTTTAGGGAGGGGGGTCTCACTCTGTTGCCCAGGCTGGAGTATGCAGTGGTGCTATCATGGCTCACTGCAGCCTTGATCTCCTGGGCTCAAGCAATCCTCCCACCTCAGCCTCCTGAGTAGCTGGGACTACAGGTGCATGCCACCATGCTCAGCTAATTTTCAAAATTTTTTGTAGAGATGAGTTCTCACTATGTTGCCAAGGCTGGTCTCAAACTCCTGGCCTCAAGCAAATTCCTGTCTCAGCCTCTCAAAGTGCTGGGATTATAGGCATAAGCCACCATGCTTAGCTTGAAATACATGTACATCAGACTATCATGTACATGATAAATAACATACAACTTTATCTGTCAATTAAAAAAATCTAGTATCACCACTGAAGGAGAGAACTCTGAATAGACATAATGATGAGAAGAGAAAGGAAAATGCAAATGTGGGGTCCTTTCTATAGATACATAAGACATTTAGAAATACACAAGTAACAGAAGAGTCATAGATAGTACTGATCGGGAGGAAAATTTTTTGTTCATATTGTGATGATCCTAAAGTGCACATTTTGGGCTCATATTAACCTCTGAAATTGGGAAGTCTCTTACCAGCAGCGGTGTCTCACAAACATTGTGGGCCAGGCAGCAGTCAGACGTAGTCATTGTTTACTTATGTGTGAGCTTCTTCAAAGATTGGCACAATGTCTGCACTTCACTTGGGTTATGTTCATTGTCAGAAGTACAAATGTTGAATTTAAGTGGGATCAGAAATGTCTTCAGAAAGATTACATTATGACACTGCACTGTTGCATTTGAAACGCTGCAACCTAAGGCAGGAGAAATAAGCAAATCTCAGATTTCTAGGTAACGAGAGGACAGTGTGAGTCATTCATGTGTTGCACATTACTATCCTTAATACATTAGTTATATGTAGTGGTCCTAAAATAATGGTGCATCTTATAATTGATAGTGTCTTGAATATGATGAAATACGGCACAAAATTACTTGATTAAGTGATATGTATGGAAAATGCATTTTTTCCAGAGGTTTCAAGGTGTGTGCGGCACTCTCTTAGGTCTCTTGCTTTGCCTTCAGACTTCTGTCTAGTAGTCCCATGCACTAGTGAAGGCCTATGGAGAAGAGGTGGGTAGGTGCCGACTTGCTCTGAGGCTGGAGCTGCTTGGTGTTCTATTAATAGTAGGTCATGGTCTAAGATAGAAGCATTCTAGGAAAAAGTTTCTAATAAACTTGCTTTTTTTTGAGAGAAGTTCTGGCTCTGTGAACCAGGCTGGAGTGCAGTGGTGTAATCTTAGCTCACCGCAGCCTCAACCTCCCGGACTCAAGCAATCTTCCCACCTGAGCCTCCTGAGTAGCTGAGACTACAGGTGCCTGCCACCACGCCCGGGTAACTTTTGTATTTTTAGTAGAGATGGAGTTTCACCATGTTGCCCAGGCTGGTCTTGAATTCCTGAGCTCGAGCGATCTGCCCACCTTGGCCTCCCAAGTTGCTGGAATTACAAGTGTGAGCCACCGTGCCCAGCTTCACGCTTGCAATAATTAACTTTTATTAAAAGTTTGGCTGGTTTCTCCTTATCTCTGTCTCTGGCTGATTTCTCCTCTTTACTCTGTCAGGGATGAAAGCAGCCATAGGTCTCTCCTCTCCTAGAAAGTGCTTATCACTTTCTGGAATTTACTTTGTTTTCATTTCTTTGTGTCCTCAGCTCTTTGTGATGAGTTTTAGAACATGATTAGTAGCTTATTTAGCTTGTTCTTAATGTAAGGGGAGAACCATGGTCTCCTGTGACTTTCTACATTCTAAGCAGAAACATAATGCCTGGGAATATTTGAAAATACGGAGCTACTACAACCTGCCTCTTCTTAGTACTTTGACCATTTCTAAGTTTTTTGTAATAGAAGTTTGATTTTAACAAGAACTGGCAAATGACTGACATTAAATCAGGAAATGGCACATGGGAGCTGAAATTCCAGTCTTTGGGAAGCCTGTCACCCCTACCTGTGAAGGTGGAGTCTTCTAGACTTGCCTTTCCCCGGCCTCAGGCGTGCTCCGCCATTTGGTGTTCCTGCCACTCACCTCCATGTGAGCGTCTCTGCAGGTTCCCTAGGGTCCATGGATTGTCCTACTCTATCTGAGGGCTGTGCTTTTGACCCATTAAGCAATTTTGAAATTAGCCATTAAATCTCAAAAATGTAATGAAGGGAGAAGAAAAATAGTATATCCTCTTTTGCAAAATAATACCTATGCCTTCCTCTTGTATGGTGGCATCACCTCCCTTTTCTCTTCGTATTTTTTTCTTTTTTTTTTTTTTACTGGGAAGAGAGTCAGCTCTTGGAAGCTCTTTTCAGTTAGAGCTGCAGACACCCTCTCTGATGCCAGACCCTAAGCTTGCCACCCTCATCCTTGGCAGGGTAGGCGACACTGGGAAAGTTATCAGCTTGCAGGTTCGTGTTTAATTACACCATGTGCTGCTTCAGTTACAAAACTACTTGAATAAGGTTGAAGACATAGCAATAGACTATCAGGATTAGTTTTGGCTGTGACAACAGCAACAACAACAAAAACAACAACAAAAACCCAGGGTAACAATGGTTTGAACATGATAGCAGTTTATTTCTTTTTCAGACCAAAAAAAAAAGTATTGTAGACAGACACTCCTTGATTTGTGTGTGACTTTGGGCTCATAGTCTCAGATGCTGGCATTTGAGGGAAAAGAATGGAAGAAATATAGAGCAGCTGTGCCAAGAGTGCAGGTGTGCCATCTCTTAGGGAAGGTTCTCAAAGTCTGCTCATTCCATTCCTAACTCATTCCATTAACAAAAACTTTTTCACAGGGCCACACTAAGCTACAAGACAGGTTGGGAAACACTGCCTTTACTGTAGACAGCTACATGTCCAGCTAAAAATTAGGGGTTGTATTGCCATAGAGGAAGGGGAGAATGTATTTTAGCGGACAACTAGCAGTCTTGGTCACCAGTCACTCCTCTATCTGTTCCTTGTGTCTTTCTAAATGCCTTATGTAACTGTAGAAGGTGACTTGGTCACCAATCAGTTTGTGGCAAAGAGCATTACAGGGTTCTGGTTTAGTCCCAGACTTTGGAACCATTTTTGGGGGAGATCGCTTAATATGTCAATAACCTTCCATTCCAGAAACTGCTCCCCTTCCATGTTAGCCGTGTGGGTTTATAGAACCAGAGCAGTGATGTCTTCCGAGAAGGGCATCCAAGGTAATGAAGGAACTGAAAAATCACACCACATGTGGGACAGCTGAGGATATTTAGCCTAGAGGAGAAGCTGAAGAAACAGGATATTTAGCCTAGAGGAGAGAAGAGTGGAGGATGACATGTTTCATATATTTGAAGGGCTGTCTTGTGAAAGATCTAGATGGACAAGAAGGGCAGAATCCACTCAGTACATAGAAGTTATAGGGAAAGTAATATAAGTTCAATACACAGAGAGAAATTGTAATATTAAGAGCTATCTCAGAAGATATGAGCATAGATTTACTGCTCTGTTCCCATTGCTGGTAGACATTCAGGACAAAATAGTCAGCAGAGAAGGTTTGCTTCTTGCCCTGATGGCAGCTGCAGTCTAGTGAGGAAGACAGAAATGGCTCAGATCATCACACATTCATAAATGTATATGGTAAAGCATGACAATTAGGCCTTAGACCATTGACTGTGGAGAAGCAAGGGATAGTTGACCATTTGTAGACCTCGTATAGACAGGATTTGTGCTCATGTAGGGTCTAAATTAAATGACTTATGACCTCTCCCAGTTCATTTCTAGAAATGGACTTTAAGTAGTGCTACAGTGGGAAGAACAGAAAAGATTTACCTTGGAGGGCAAAGTGAATTTCAAATTTGTGGGACTTCTACAGTGGACTTTTGAAAGTTCCACAATAGGTCACCATTACTAAACCCGGTTGTGCTATTATCTTGATAAGTAGAGGACGCTGGTTGAACACATTAGAGTTCAATGACTTGAGAACCTGATGACTTAGTCATTTTGGGAAAAGTAAAAATCCTCTAAAATCTGTAAATTTTCTCAAAATTCTGAAAAGTTTTTCCACTGAGGACTTTTTTTTTTTAAAAACCTCCCTTTTGCCCGAGAAAATAACCAGGAAAGAAATCATAAAAATGCTTTTTTCAGATCTCCCAATGTCTAAATATATCAATATACAAAACATGGTAATTTTATGAGTGAAACAAGTTATACATAATGCATTTTTTTGTTCCTAAACGAACAGCATGACTTTATATCTGTAAAGGGCACTAAAAATAAGTTTTGCATGTATTTCAATCCCCTGCCCCTAAATTTTCTTTGAAGAATTTTTTTTTGTTCTTCCATGGCTTAAAATTTCTGAAAAATAAATGTATCTAGTCTGTTCCTTTGTTCTTGCTGCCTGGTAGCTTGTGTTCTATTCCTGTGAAGTTTAGGGGTATGAAATAAACTGTTCTTTTAGCTTAACTGATACAGAAGGCTTAACTCTCTCAAACGCCTCACATTTACCTGCGGTTGTCTAGAGAGCAAAAGATGGGGGATGAGTGTTCTGTCAATGGTTTTAACCAAGTTGAGCTCCTTCATTTCTTTCCAGCTTAGTTTCCATGAGGGCCTGCCAGGTACAATAACATACAGCAAGGACTAAAGAACCATACAGCTAGACAGTAATTTGTCTTCATGACATCACTGAGAGACATTCAGGCAAAAAGGCTGTTACTAGTGTGGGGGCATTGGCAAGAGGATCAGCTTTTGAAGTCTGGACAGTGTGGTTGGGGGCCAACAGTCTTGGGCTCTGCCACCAATTCTGTGGGGCCATGGGCAGGTTGCTCATCCTCTCTGAGGCCTCCATCTATTCACTGAAGGATAAAGATATTGACACAATCTCCATGGTCCTCCTAGGCTTTAACATGCCATGCATCTATTTATCTTGGGAAGATACATTATGAAGTCAGAAGGTCAGAGGATGGATAGAAGGTTATATGTATGGTAGAGTTGGAATTTCTTGTTTCTGAATGGCACTGTGGTCTTTTGGGTAAGCATGTTCTTTGCTGGGCGGTCTTGATTTTCTATGGGGAGGATTGAAAATCCAAGGGAAAGGAAAAGAGGGTTGACAGAAGAGAATGACTTCTTCCGGTGCCAAAAAAGCTCTGTTCCATAGCAGTAATAATTTCAACAACTGCTGTATCCTGTGTGACCTTGGTATCTCTTGGGGGGTAGAGTTGGAGAAGGAATGGTTCCTCAGTTTCTGATGCTGTTTTGTTGGCTTATTTCCTTCAAAAGCCTTCCCTTGAAAGCCTGGCTTAGTTTACAGTCAGCCAGCCTGACACTGGCTCTGAGCTAGTCCTGACCCATTCTGATAATGCCTAGGCCCCTCCCCACTGCCATGGTGATGGAGATGGGCTGAGGAGCTGGGTGGCATTTCTATCCTAGTGATACAAGAGTCCGTAGGGTTCTTTTGCCCTTCCAGAAATGACGCCAAGGGCAGGATTCCCAGGCGGCCACCAGGGAGCCAGATCTTGTTTTGTCTCCAGCTTGGTTGGCAGACTTAAGAGGCTGAGATGAGCATCTGAAGTTCGGAGTGCTTCAGGCTGATTCAAAACTTAAGCTGGGTTCTTTAAAATTTTGAGTGAATTGTCACCAACGTGCAAAATGTACATACGTGCTCTTTCAAAAATGACTAATCTCCACCCAACCACACTATTTCCTTTCTTGCTGCCCACATTTTAACACCACAAGGGTGGTTCTATTTATTGTCAATAAGGCACTGCTTAGATTTCTTAGATCTGAAAATGAAAATAAATGCCTCAGTTTGTATATGAAGTGACGTGAGTTATTATGCATGCAGAAAGTAATTGTGAAAAACTGGAAATAACCTAAACTTCCATCAATGGGGTGTTGGTTAAGTAATTTATGGTAATTTATAAATGAAATATAAGGCAGAATTTAAAATGATGATATAGACATATCTTTGTTGATGAGGAAAATTGTTCTAATGTGAAAAGTGGTATGTAATAGATGACCCCATTTTTGCAAAAATAAATAAATAAATAAATTGCATATACTGTAAATTTGAAAAAAATCTGTAAGCGAGAACTCACCTAGGCATTTGTAGTTGAGAGATGAGAACAAGAATTTCTGGTGTTCAAATGGCCTTAACATTTTCTCAGAGCCTTAAAATTTTCACGACACTGTTTAGGTAGCAGCACCTTGATTTCCAATGCCCAAAGTAGTCCATGTATAAAGGATTTGAATGGCAGCTAATTAGGGGTGATGGGGTTTTAGATGGTTGTGTTTTCTACTCACTAGATTGATTCCCCCCACACACAATAAGCATGTATTGCCTTTGAAATATAATAGTAAACATAAGATAATCAGGAGAACATCCTTTGCTTGTTATGTTTTGGTTGAAATTAATTTAAACCTCGTATAGTTCAAACTGCTACATCTCCTTCCTCCCCTCACTCCCCTTTTGTCTCTAAGTTCTTTATACTCAGTTATTTTGCATAATCGTGTCCCCTTCCAATTAATGGTGATGTCTTGACACATCGCAGGTTGGGAGGAACTTTCCAAAAAGAAAACTTGTTCTTTCTCTATTTAGCCTTATAATGCTGACTTCTTGGCATTCTGGCTCACCTGCAGGGGTTGTGCATGTGGTCTGGGAAGCCAAAGGAGAAAATCAGAAGTAGTCAGAAGAGGAACTGGTCAAGATTTAACCAGTGGAGATTTAACCATCACAGTGGATAATAGAATTGCTATTCTCAATTCATCACAGCACTTAAAGAGAATTATTCATCAACACCCTTGCTGTGACCTCATGGTGGGAGGAGTGTCCTTCTTGCCCCTTAACTTTGGGTTTGGCCAAAAAGAATACTTGTTAGATGTGATGGCAGAGGCTTGAAAAGAGCTTGCGCATTAAAGCTTGATCTTTTTGTATCTCAGTGACCATGATGGGAAGAACTTTCCCCAGGCAGCTGTTATCCACTCAGCTTAGGCCCAGAATGAACACGCTTGCCTACAGCTCAACCTATAGGCTGGAGCTAAGGACAGGTTGGCGTTAAGCACAGCCGAACTGTAGCCTTGCTCAGCCTAGAGCCGCTGAACCACAGTCAGTCTTGCAGACCTGTAGACGTGAGACTAAATTCTTGTGTTGTTGTTGTTGTTGTTTTTGAGACAGAGTTTCGCTCTTGTTGCCCAGGCTGGAGTGCAATGGCGTGATCTTGGCACACTGCAATGTCTGCCTCCCAGGTTCAAGTGATTCTCCTGCCTCAGCTCCCGAGTAGCTGGTACTACAGCCATGCACCACCATGCCCAGCTAATTTGTATTTTCAGTAGAGATGGAGTTTCTCCATGTTGGTCAGGCTGGTCTTGAACTACTGACCTCAGGTGATCTGCCCACCTTGACCTCCCAAAGTGCTGGGATTACAGGCATGAGCCACCATACCCAGCGAAATCCTTGTTGTTTTAAGCCATTGGATTTTTAGGTGGTTTCTTATACAGTATTAATGAGGATAGATTATTGGGATAAATCTGCTAAACAGAACCTTGTGGGTCCCTGCTGGCTAGAAAGGGATTTCTGGCCACTTGTGCATATGGGTATATAAAATTATACAGAGATGTTATGACAATAACCTGGGAAATAAAAGAATATGGTTAACCATATTCCCATCCTTGGTAACCAACTGACACTAATTTTTGATCCAGGGCAAGTGTTTCTTTACCTGATTAATGCCTCCCAGAATTATTTGAGCTCTTCAAATTAAAGATAACATTGCCAATATTGTAGCTCTAGGTCCACAGTCATTCAGCTTGTTGTCAATGCCTGACTATTGAGTGAGTCATTATGAATAGTTTACAAGCTGGGGAGTCTAGACTGTCCTATTGACTCTGGGTTTTCTGTCAATCTAATTTTTTTTTCATATGCCCTCTTTCCTCCCATTTTAGCTTTGCTCGTGTGAAATCCAGCAGGCTGCTAGACAGATCAGAGGTCATGGTGGAGAATGGTGGCAGAAAACTCACAGAGATGGTGGCAGAAATATTAGATATATTTTGCTTTCTGTCCAAGAATTTTGCAATCTGGGGGTTTCCTTGAAGCTGAAATTGTGTTTAGCTTCCCAAGTGCAAGCATTATCCAGGTTCACCTTCTCCCATGCTTGGCAGGAAATGTAGAATCCTTTCTTGGATGCTTGCCTCATGTGCATCAACTGTTAATGCACATTAGACGGCTGCAGCCCAGCCCTGGGATGGCACTCTTGAGGAACATGGGCTCAGGATCATTAGTGCATACAGGTAGCCTGCCATTTCCCTGTAACAATGAGGAATGAGGTCCAGTCAAGGCCTTGACACAAAGCACACCCAGAAGGCAGCATGGATGGAGCTAGAAGCCAGAGCTGCAAGACTCCGGATCCCCCACTGCCTGCCTTTCTTGCCTTCTTCCTTCCTTCCTTCCTTCCTTCCTCTCTCTCTCCCTCCCTCCCCCCCCCTCTGTCTCTCTTTCTTTCTTTCTTTCTTTCTTTCTTTCTTTCTTTCTTTCTTTCTTTCTTTCTTTCTTTCTTTTCTTTCTTTCTTTCTGATGGAGCCTTGCTCTGTCGCCCACTGGCTCACTGCAATCTTTGTTTCATGGGTTCAAGTGATTCTCCTGCCTCAACCTTCCAAGTAGCTGGGATTACAGGCACACACCATCACACCTGGCTAATTTTTGTATTTTTAGTATAGACGGGGTTTCGCCATGTTGGCCAGGCTGGTCTTGAACTCCTGACCCCAGGTGATCCGCCCACCTTGGCCTCCCAAAGTGCTTGGATTACAGGCTTGAGACACTGCGCCTGGCCCCCTGACCATGTTTCAATTGCACCTGTGGATTTCCACCTTCCACCTTTTCTATGCAGGATAGTCTCTGAAAGCAAATTTACTTATGGGCTAATTTATAAAATCAAAGATTTTTAAAAACTATGAAAGTAGTAAGTTGTCAGTATAGGCAGATTGGAATATAGAGAAAAGTGCAAATAAGTAAACAAAATCACTCATGATCCCACAACCCAGACTTAATCACTGCTGGTGTTTTTGTTTTTGTTTTTTTTTTTTTTTTTTGAGATGGAGTCTCACTCTGTCGCCCAGGCTGGAGTGCAGTGGCGCGATCTCGGCTCACTGCAAGCTCCACCTCCTGAGTTCATGCCATTCTCCTGCCTCAGCCTCCTGAGTAGCTGGGACTACAGGCGCCCGCCACCACGCCCGGCTAATTTTTTGTATTTTTAGTAGAGATGGGGTTTCACCGTGTTAGCCAGGATACTCTCGATGTCCTGACCTTGTGATCTGCCCGCCTCGGCCTCCCAAAGTGCTGGGATTACAGGAGTGAGCCACCGCGCTCGGCCTACACTGCTGGTGTGTTTTTATATTACCCGAGCTCACAAAGAATTTGGTGTTTGACATACAAGCCATTTCTTTTGAGAATTTGTGAATTTTTTTTTTTCTTTTCAGCTTGTGTCACCCAGGCTGGAGTGCTGCGGCTCGATTGTAGCTCACTGCAGCCTCGACCTCCCAAGCTCAAGCGATCCTCCCAGTAGCCTCCGAAGTAGCTGGGACTACAGGTGTGCACCATCACACCTGGACAATTTTTAATTTTTATTTTTAGTAGAGATGAGGTCTCACTACATTGCTTAGGCTGAAAATCTTTTTTTTCATATTCTTTGAAACCACTTATCTTTAATCACTGAAAAATAACTCACCAGGATCTATTTTACTTTTCCAATATTGATGGCTATTTATTTTTCCTTCAATTTTTGCTATCTTAAATCATGCTGCAGTGAGAATTCTTTCCTTAGGATTCCTTCTGGAAGGGGAACAGGAGTCCTCATGTTTGATAGTGAATGGGCGTATCACCTACTGCTGTTAATGTATAAGTTAGTATTAGGTTGGTGCAAAAGTAATTGCCATACTGGCAAAAACCGTAATAACTTTTGCACCAACTTAATAAAACATTTTTGATTAGCACTATGAAGACCACTAGTTTCACACCTTTTAGTATAAAATTATTTATATGTTAAGAAATAATTGAATCTGATAAGACAAATCTGTGCTCGAAAGTTTCTTTTTTCTTTTTTCTTTTTTTTCGAGACAGAATCTTGCTCTGTCACACAGGCTGGAGTGCAGTGGGATGATCTTGGCTCACTGTAACCTCTGCCTCCCAGGCTGAAGGGATCCTTTCACCTTAGCCTCCCAAGTAGCTGGGACCACAGGTGTGCACCACCACGCCCGACTATTTTTTTCTATTTTTAGTAGAGACAGGGTCTCGCTGTGTTGCCCAGGCTGGTCTCAAATGCATGAGCTCAAGCGATCTGCCAGCCTCCCAAAGTGCAGAGATTACAGGCATGTGTCACCATGCCTGGCCTCTATGCTCAAAATTTGCTTTGCAACATTTAAAAAAAAGTGAAAGATTGAAAAGATAAAAGCCCTGGCTTAGGAAAATTCTTAAATAAATTATGGTTTATTCTTCTGATTGAAAGTAATATTTATGAGAGTTTGAAATGATAATGAAAAATGTTGATTTTAAGTGTAAAATATAGATACAAAAGTGTATGTATTGCATGAGCTTGAATATATGGAACAATGTGCTGAGGAGGGACCTCTGACAAATATTAGTACTTATCTTTGCATGGCAAGATTAAATGATTCCTGCCCGCGCCATTCTCTGCATTTTTATACTATCTTAAATATGTTATTTTTATAATTGGGGGAAGAGTTGTGTTATTCACGTATCACAGATGGGGTCACTTCCAGGGAAGGAGATGTGGCTGGTCTGTGTGGGTTCCTTTTCCTTCCTATCAGGAAGCATTCTAAGCATGGTCAAAGTCATATGCTAGTGCTCTGTCCTCTTTAAACAAGATAGTGCCTTATTATTTTGTTCAGCTTAACACAATCTACACTCCAGCTTGGTTTTCCTGAGTATATTTTCCCTTAATTCCATTTTTCTAGCTTTCAGACACTTTGACGCTTTCTCCCAAGTGAATGAAAGCCCAAATGTTGGGTCTAACTCCCAACGTTTTCTCTTAATTTTGCTTCTGTTTCAAATCTCGGGGAATGTTATTTTTTCAGTTGTGCATATATGCATACACACATCTATCAACATTGATGAGTTGTAATTCACATACCATACAATTCACCCACTTAAAATGTACAACGCAATTGTTTTTAGTATTTTCCCAGAGCCATATAGCCGTCATGGCAATCATTTTTAGGACATTTTCATCACCCCCCGAAGACATCCTGCACCCATTAGCAGTGACTCCCTGTTTCTTCCCACCCCACCCTACGCAAGCCAACTCGCTAATCTACTTTCTTGTCTCTATAATTTGCCTACTCTGATATCATAGAAATTGAGTCATACAATATGCAGCTTTTGTGACTGGCGTCTTTGACTTAGCAAAGTGTTTTCTAGGTTCATCTTTGTTGTAGCTTGTATCAGTATTTCATTCCTTTTTATGGCCAAATCATATTCTACTGTATAGATTTACCATTTTGTCTGTTCATCAGTTGACAGACATTTGGATTGCTTTTGGTCTTTGGCTGTTATGAATAATGCTGCTATAAACATTGTATAGAAGTTTTTGTGTGGATATATGTTTTCATTTCTCCTGAGTATATACCCAGGAATAGAATTGCTGGTTCATATGATAACTTTAGGTTTAACCTTTTAAGAAATTGCCAGACTGTTTTCCAAAGTGGCTGTACTATTTCATATTCCGCCAGCGGCATATTGAAGATTTGAATTTCTCCACATTTTTACCAACATTTGTTATTATCTTTCTTTCTGATTATAGTTGTCTAGTGGGTATGAAGTGATATCTCATTGTGGTTTTGAGTTACATTTTTCTGATAGTTAATAATGATGAACACCTCTTCACGTGTTTACTGGCCATTTTTATATGTTTTTTGGAGAAAGGTCTATTCAGATTCTTTGCCTATGTTTTAATTCTTTGTCTCTATTATTGAGTTGTAGGAGTTCTTTGTATATTCCAGATACAAGTCCCTTATCGGGTATATGATTTGCAAATATTCTTTCTCATTGTACGAGGTGTCTTTTCACTTTCTTGATGGTGTCCATTAAAGCACAATAGTTTTTAATTAGAAGTCTGATTTATCTATCTTTTTTCCTTTTCTCATTTGTATTTTTGGTATCTTTTCTAAGAAGGCCTTTTCTAACCCAAGGTGGTGAAGATTTACTCCTATATTTTCTTCTGAAAAGTGTTACAGTTTTTGCTCTCACAGTTAGGTCTCTGATCTATTTTGACTTAGTTTTTGTGTGTAGTGTGAGGATGGGACTGCTATGGACTTAATTGTATCTCCCCCAAATTCACATGTTGAAGTCCTAACAACTCCCAGTGTGACTGTATCAGGAGATAGGGTCTTTAGGAGGTAATTATGGCTAGATGAGCTCCCAAGGGTGGAGCCTATTCAGATAGGACTGTGGCTTTGTATGAAGGGGAAGATCTTTCTCTCTCTGCCTCTCTCTCTCCCTCCCTCTCTGCCATGTGCGCACATAGTGAGAAGGCGGCCATCTGCAAGCCAGGAACCCTACAATGCTGGCCCCCTGATTTTGGACTTCCAGCCTCCAGAACTGTTAGACAATAAAGTCTATGCTTTAAGCCCCAGAGTCTATGGTATTTTGTGATGGCAGCCCAAGCTGACTGACACAGGGACCCAACTCCATTCTCTTGCATGTGGCTATCCAGTTGTTCCAGCATCATTTGCTGAAAAAAACAGTTCTTTCCTATTGAGCTGTTTTGGCTCCAGTTACAGTTAAACTAGTCCAGAACTGAGAACAGACTCTGTTGAAATCACCTGTGAGCAGAGGAGAAACAGGGAAAAAATAGTGCCACTCCTTTCCCCAATTTGTAAGTAGATTAGGACATTGTAGAATTTTGATCTGAAATTTTGTTCATGGTAAGCATGAACTTTTCAATCTCCCTTTCTTTGCCAGTATTTGAGATAGTACCTCAGGACCTTGCATCTGTTTTCCTGGCAAGATAATCAAGCAATGTCAGGCACAAATAGTTTAGCCCCTTATTAAAGTTGTCCTAGTGTTCTGGAGTGTAGCTGGCGCTACTGTGAGGAGGAAAGGAGCAGGGTGAAGGGGTGTTTGAAAGAGGACATGTGTATCAGTAGGTACATATTTAGTAACAATTTCACTTATAAACCTATGGATTTTTACAGAAATCTGAATCCCAACCAAAGAAAGAAAGAGTTGTCTATCCAGTTCTTTTCCCTCTTAGCCCATGGCCAAGTTTAATTTCTGCTCCAAACCAACATCGAAAGAGAGAAAAAAAGCAACAACAACAAAACACCCTTTTGCTCCCTGAAGCACACAATGGACTCGTTGATCTGAGAACAAGTTAGTTCAATTGCTTGCTTTACCTTGCTGCTGGGAAAAAAAGCAAAAAGCTCCTATGAAAACACGGCTTGTGGGAAAAGTTGCGATTACTCTAAAAAGCTTTTCTTTGTTTCTGCAGACACGCTACTCCACAGAGCTTGAGTTGTATAGTGAGCAGGACACAGAGCTAAAAGTCAGGCCTCACAGATTGTTCCTGGCTAAGCTACTGAGCCAACCTGTGGCCTGGGAATGCCCAGCAGTCTTCTCGAGGTACCCATAGGAAAAACGGAGGTGAACACAGTGATTCCTCTGTGTGGTCGTATTCTTGGATTTCTGCCCTTCAGCTTCGAAGGATACCACCGTGAACCCCCTGAAGACACAGAGAAGAGCATCTTCCTTCTCTACCTTTTGGATTGGGTGAAAGACTGAGAACTGCAACCAGCGAGGCTGATGTTTCTGTGCACACCTTAGTTAGCTGTGCAGCCAGGTTTTCCCATATAGAAGGGGCAATACTAGGATAGACTTCCTGTTCACATGTTCAAAGCTGAGCTAAAACTTGTACAGAGCTTTTTTTCCAGGGTATGAGTGCCATAAACCTGAATCAGACTTTCAGATGCCACATCCATTGGCATCTTGAAGAAGAAATTCAAGAAAATGGGCTGAGGCAGACCTGGTGGCATCTGTCCCCTCTTTATGGTGAGGGAAATTCTGGCTAAGGCTGCACTTGCTCAGCTACTTTCCTGCAGGGTCAACATTGCATTTCTGGAATCTGCTGTAGCTTTGGGTCATGCACTGAGACAGGAATCATCTTCTTTTCAGGATTTAGTAGACCAGGAGGGTTTTTTCCCCTTCTTCTTTATTAAATCATACATAATTAGATATTAAATTCAATTCACTCTTCCTGTTGTTTCGGAGATGGGCAGAATCCTTTTTTTTTTTTAATTATACTTTAAGTTTTAGGGTACATGTGCACAACGTGCAGGTTAGTTACATATGTATACATGTGCCATGTTGGTGTGCTGCACCCATTAACTCATCATTTACATTAGGTATATCTCCTAATGCTATCCCTCCCCCCTCCCCCCACCCCACAACAGGCCCCGGTATGTGATGTTCCCTTCCCGTGTCCATGTGTTCTCATTGTTCAATTCCCACCTATGAGGGAGAACATGCGGTGTTTTGTTTTTTGTCCTTGCGATAGTTTGCTGAGAATGATGGTTTCCAGCTTCATGTCCCTACAAAGGACATGAACTCATCATTTTTTATGGCTGCATAGTATTCCATGGTGTATATGTGCCACATTTTCTTAGTCCAGTCTATCATTGTTGGACATTTGGGTTGGTTCCAAGTCTTTGCTATTGTGAATAGTGCCGCTATAAACATACGTGTGTATGTGTCTTTATAGCAGCATGATTTATAATCCTTTGGGTATATACCCAGTAATGGGATGGCTGGGTCAAATGGTATTTCTAGTTCTAGATCCCTGAGGGATCGCCACACTGACTTCCACAATGGTTGAACTAGTTTACATTCCCACCAACAGTGTACAAGTGTTCCTATTTCTCCACATACTCTCCAGCACCTGTTGTTTCCTGACTTTTTATTGATCGCCATTCTAACTGGTGTGAGATGGTGTCTCATTGTGGTTTTGATTTGCATTTCTCTGACGGCCAGTGATGATGAGCATTTTTTCATGTGTCTTTTGGCTGCATAAATGTCTTCTTTGAGAAGTGTCTGTTCATATCCTTCACCCACTTGTTGATGGGGTTGTTTGTTTTTTTCTTGTAAATTTGTTTGAGTTCATTGTAGATTCTGGATATTAGCCCTTTGTCAGATGAGTAGATTGCAAAAATTTTCTCCCACTCTGTAGGTTGCCTGTTCACTCTGATGGTAGTTTCTTTTGCTGTGCAGAAGCTCTTTAGTTTAATGAGATCCCATTTGTCAATTTTGGCTTTTGTTGCCATTGCTTTTGGTGCTTTAGACATGAAGTCCTTGCCCAAGCCTATGTCCTGAATGGTATTGCCTAGGTTTTCTTCTAGGGTTTTTATGGTTTAAGTCTAACATTTAAGTCTTTAATCCATCGTGAACTAATTTTTGTATAAGGTGTAAGGAAGGGATCCAGTTTCAGCTTTCTACATATGGCTAGCCAATTTTCCCAGCACCATTTATTAAATGGGGAATCATTTCCCCATTTCTTGTTTTTGTCAGGTTTGTCAAAGATCAGATGGTTGTAGATATGCGGCATTATTTCTGAGGGCTCTGTTCTGTTCCATTGGTCTATATCTCTGTTTTGGTACCAGTACCATGCTGTTTTGGTTACTGTAGCCTTGTAGTATAGTTTGAAGTCAGGTAGCGTGATGCCTCCAGCTTTGTTCTTTCAGCTTAGGATTGACTTGGCAATGCAGCCTCTTTTTTGGTTCTGTGAAGAAAGTCATTGGTAGCTTGATGGGGATGGCACTGAATCTATAAATTACCTTGGGCAGTATGGCCATTTTCACGATACTGATTCTTCCTACCCAGGAGCAGGGAATGTTCTTCCATTTGTTTGTATCCTCTTTTATTTCGTTGAGCAGTGCTTTGTAGTTCTCCTTGAAGAGGTCCTTCACGTGATGGGCAGAATCCTTAAACTCAGAAAATATTACAATAGGTATTAACTGACACCACATTATAAAGAATATGAAGAGGAACTGTTATTCATGACATGCTAAGAAATGATAAAACCAGGCCTGCTAAGACTAATAGTCACCCACCTCCAACCTTTAAAGAGAGTTGAGACTGGGCGTGGCCACTCATGCCTGTAATCCCAGCAGTTTGGGAGGCTAAGGTGGGAGGATCACCTGCACCTAGGAGTTCAAGACTAGCCAGGGTAACACAGTGGGACACTTGTCTGCATAAATAAAAAATTAGTCCCAGCTATTTGGGAGGCTTTGGTGGGAGGATTGCTTGAGCCCAGGAGGTTGAGGCTGCAGTGAGCTATGATTGTGCCACTGCACTCTAGCCTGGGAAACAGAACAAGAGACACTGTCTCAAAAAAAACAAAAACAAAAACAAAAAACAGCCAAGAGTGCAGATTCCTTTGGAGGCACGTGTTAGAAGGCTCGTAGAGCAGAGGAGTGAGGGACACTTCCCCTCACTGTAAGCCAAGTGAGAGGGGCTTTAGGGGGCTTCCGTATACTACTGGGAGTGGGAGGAATATGAAGACTGAGAAGTGACAGTAAGATAGGCCTGAGAAGGAAGAACTGCAAAAAGAGAGGGAGGGAGAGTGAGTTGCAGTAGGTGTGAGCTGCAGTTTCCTAGACAATGGTGAGGAAAGGCATCCATTATCCATGGATATAGATTGAGCCATGCGGGAGGCAGACAGCCCGGAGCCTTCCTGAAGGGACTCTGTCCATAGACCCCCCTGGACAGATGCGGTGACCAGTGTGAGGAGATCTCTGGGGGGAAGCTGAACTTTGTGCCTCCAGAGAAGCCTCATCTGTTTTAAGTAGGATGCTCTATAACTTATCACCTAACTGGAGATACTTTTGAGAAAGAATCCTTTCTCAAATAGCTGCCTACTAACAGATAGCTGAGGCAACAGAATTCCACTGGAACTGTCCCTGCAAAGTGGACATACGGTCACGTTTGTGTTATGTTAACTGAGTTGGAGGTTCCCAGGACAACCTGCAGTGTCTTTCACAAAAGGGTCAGCTTTGCATATCTGCCAGGCTCAGCGGGCACCAGCACCAGGTTCTGAGCGTCCCCATCATGTAAGACTGCTGCTCTTTTCCTCTAATACCCACTGCCCTGAGTCTGATCCTGAATGGCTCAGAAGCGGCAGCTGGGGAGTGTGCGAGGAGGGTCAGTGGGGGAGATGGGGAGGACATTGGCCACACAGCCCTGCCTGGCTACTGGCAAACAATCACCATCTGCAGTCTTGCCCTACTGTAAGAGGGGAGACTCTCCAATATAAATAAAAGCTCAGGGTTTGTATTATTACCATAGCCTGGCTACTTAAAATACTCAAATGAGGTGGTGCCTGCGACTGAAAATGACCCTTGTGTCCGGGAATGACTCAGAAAGCCACCTGCCTTGTCTGAAATCTCAACTAGGGGCAGAGAAAGAACCTCTTAAAGAGAAGGTTTGAAGGGACAACAGAAGAAAGAAAGTTGTTTTATGATTGTAAACTATAGAATATATTTCATTTATTAAAATATGACTAAGAGGAAATATGAGCACCTCACCTGAATTGTGCACAACTACTACACAAATTGAGTTGAAGTTTTGAGAACTTCCCCAAGAGGCTGACTCTCAGCATTCCTCATGCCCTGAAACGAAGCAGGAGTGTAAAATCGATCTAATCTGGTTGAATTCAATTCAGGAGATTTATGTCTAGGGCCTAGCACATACTTAGCCCTTGATAAACATCAATGAATATGAGCTAGTGTAATGATTTACTGAGCATCTACTATGTGCCAGAGACGCATATTATCTCATTACTTATAATCACCTTATGAGGTTCAAGGTCCCAGCTCCCCTTCTTCAATCATAGAGTTAGGATTCCAACCCAGTTTTCTTTCTGCTATCCTCTTTTACCATCCCAAGAGTTGCCAAACTTCTTAAAGAACAGAGCGAAGAAGATACACTTGAGTTAGTCTGTTTTTGCATTGCTATAAAGGAATATCTGAGATTGGGGGATTTATAAAGAAAAGAGGTTTTATTTTGGCTCACAGTTCTGCAGTTCGTACGCGAAGCATAGTGCTGGGATCTGCTGCTGGTGAGGCCTCAGGAAGCTTTCGATTATGGAGGAAGGTGAAGAGGGAGCCAGTACCTCCTATGATGAGAGAGGGCTAGGAAGGTGCCACACTCTTTGAAACAACCAGATTGCCTGTGACCGCAGAGCAAGAACTCATTACCACGAGGAGGGCACCAGGCCATTCATGGGAGGTCTGTCCTTACCACCGGGCCCCACCTCCACCACCATGGGAGGTCACATTTCAGCATGAGATTTGGAGGAAACAAAGCATCCAAACCATATCACACTTCGTTAATTTTAGAGACTGCTTTGCAGTCAGGTATGGTGGTTAAGAGGAGTGACGTTAGTACCAGATGGCCTGCGTTCAAATCCTGCTTTTGAGCCTTACAAACTGTGTGACCTTGAACAAGGTGCTTAACCTTTCTGTGCTCCTATAAAGGGAAGTGATAATATTGGTTATGTATTTCATAGGGTTGTTGTGAGGTTTAAATTAGTTAATATGTGCAAAGGGCTCAAGAAGATTTTAATATGTGTTTAAAAATACTGACCGTTTTTTAAAAAAGTTGACTGGTATTATTTATATGCTTTGATTATCTCATTTCCCAGATGCTTAGAGCACAGAATTCTCCATGGCCCATGAGATTATAAACACTGCATCCTGATACTAAAGGACTCTAACCTGCCCTGGAAAGCCTTATTTCGTCCTGTTCTCTGGTCAGCCAGGGCCCTCGCTGCCCCTGTGGGAGGTCAGCCTCGTCTTGTCTGTTGTTTCTGCTCATGTCACCCCCCCACCGCCTGCCACTCTCACCTCCCAGGGTTCTAGGTTCTTCCAGTTTATATTATGGCAGAGATTAGATCTGCATCTGTGATGACCAATCTTTCATCTTGTTGCTTTTCTCCCCTTTCATGTTATTTGCTTTTCTCAACAAAGGAAACTTGCAACTTCAGGTCAAATTTCCTTTAGTAAAACTTTCCCCCAAGATAAAGTCCTTCCCAGAAGGCTGCTTGGAACAGGAATCTGAGAGCTTCCTTTTTCCTTTGCTGGCAGAGTTTCCTGTTTGCCTTTATGGTTGAGCCAGCCTGTGCCCCAATCACTGTGGATGGAAGGGACCCTCCAGGAGGCCGCTGCAAGACTCTTGTTGGAGATGCCTTACTATGAACTCACGAGCCAAGTCTGAGAAGCTGCCTTCGCTCTTCACCTTGCCTTCCCCACTTTTGCATTTTTCAGTTTATATCACCAGACTGAGTATTGGTTCCACCACCAGGCAATGAAATAGCCTCCTCCCTGATTCCGATCTATCTTCTCAGTACACGCTGATCTGTGGTAGACAGAGTCTATATTAAGGGCGCTAAATGTGAGGGCAGGCTTCAAGAAGGCTGGCTTCGAAGCGGGCCAAGAGCTCCTTGTTAGGCAGCCAAACCACAGGCGACAATGTTTGAAGTTGTACCAAGTGTCTGGTCAAAGCAGAGATGGTAAGATTAAAAAAAAAAAAAAACCTGCCTTAGAAATTGGGAATTGGAAAAAGATAGAATTTATTCCATGCTGAGCAGCACATAGAGGAGATGAAGCTGGTCTAAAGGAAGGAAAAGTGTCTGGGAGGTGAGAGCCCAGCTAGTAGGAAACAGCTCCAGAGGGAAATGGCCAGGTGCGGGGGGATGGAAGAAAGCTGGGCAGAGGTGTCCTAGAGGATTAACGAGAGGAAGACACTGGATTCACATGGCTGCAAAGAGGACTCTCAAGCTGGAACACAGAAAGTTGGCCTGGAGTGCACCAAGAGAGAAGACTTGTTTGACAAAGGCCCGTAACAGGCAATAGGGCATACTGGATAAGACCATGGGGTTCTTGAGACAAACTGAGTTTAAGTCTCATCTCAGTAATTTATTAGCTAGTGAAGTTAGGCAAATAATCTGTGCCTCAGTTTTCTTGTTTTTGAAATGGGCTAATAATCATGTCTACCTCTTGGGTTGTTGTAAGGATTAATTGAGATAACATGTCTCAAACGGCCTAGCAGAGGACCTGACACAGTACTTGATCAATAATTGTCGACTGGCGGCAGTAGTCAAGTGGTATCTCGAGGGCAGGTGTCTCAATGAGCTGCTGGTCTGGAAGAGGGTAGGGGTGTCCTGAACAAATAGCCAAGTTATGATTTCCCTCTTCATAGACGGTGTCCTGGAATTCCTTACAGGGTGGGAAAGGAGATTTCTACTCAAAACAGTTGGCTGATTGGTGTGATAATGAACCTGGGGTGGCCGCCTGAAAGGGGGTCAAATTTAGAGTCTGGAGTGAAGAGTCACCTTTAACTCCCTGGGAGCATCTGCAGGGAGAAGTGAAAATCAACTTTATTTCTGGATGATTCCCTCATGGTGAGTTTTGCCTTTGGAGAGCAGGAAGTTGGAGACGCAGCATGGCGTGGAGATGAAGGGAACGTGCTGGAACAGTGGTTCTTGGTTGGGAGTGTCCAGTAGAATCACCTTGAGGCTTGCCAGGACACAGATGGCTCCACCTGACCCCCCAAATTTCTGACTCATTAGGTCTCTGATGAGTTCCCAGGAGGTGCTGATACAGCTGGTCCAGGGACCAGACAGTGAGAACCATGGCTACAGAGTCAGACAGACTTGGTTTTAAATTTTCATCATTAAGTAGTTTTATGACCTTAGGCAAGTTATACAACCTCTCTGATCTTCAGTTTTTTCATCTGTAAATAGGACAATAATTAAAGACAAGTTAAAAAATATATACAAAGTATCTAGTACTCAAAAAACAGGAACTATGATGAGTAGAGGGTAGAGACTGAGCAGGAATGGGAGACTTCAGGATCTGGAAAAAACTGTAATTCAAAAAGTCACTGGCCTGGAGTGGTGGCTCACGCCTGTAATCCCAGCACTTTGAGAGGCCGAGGCGGGCGGATCACTTGAGGTGAGGAGTTCAAGACCAGCCTGGCCAACATGGTGAAACCCCGTCTCTCCTAAAAATACAAAAATTAGCCAGGCGTGGTGGTGCGTGCCTGTAATCCCAGCTACTTGGGAGGCTCAGGCATGAGAATCACTTGAACCCGGGAGGTAGAAGTTGCAGTGAGTTGAGATCACACCACTGTACTCCAGCCTGGGTGACGGAGTGAGGCTCTGTCTCAAAAACACAAAACAAAAGAGCACAGAGAGGCCAGGCAGAGAAGCCAAGCTGCTGCTTCCCATTCTGCTCCCCTCTGCCCACATCATCAGTCACCAAGGTGGGCGGTGCTGGGAGTTTGTGTGGGGCAGAGGCACCCAAGGCAGCTTCCGAGAACCTGGCATAAGGGAGGACTGGGCTATTTTGAGCAAAATAGGTATTTCTGGCTTGTTTTTTCAGCTTAGTAACTCAAGGCAAAAAATCACATCCCAGAACTATTTTAAAGGCAGAGGAAACCTCCACTGAGCCGTAGCCCCCTCCTACACAGGGCTCTCAGGGCTGGATTTGGACTCCCAGAAGAACACAGTGTATCTGGGCCTCTGTGCTGGGCTCAGAATATTCTCCTGCGGCCCCATCTGTGGAAATGGAATCATGCTTCGAGGTTCTTTGCCTCAGTGAAGCTAGTGGCCCCTCACCGGCTGGTTTAATTTTTAACTCATCATCCGTTTTTTTTTTCCCCCTAAGGTTGTAAGCACTGCAAAATCATGATCTAGAACATATCTTTATATGCATTCTGTGATCTTTGGCAAAGGGCTGACCGGCTCAATAAATGGTAAACAATAGAGGGAGAAAGTGAGGAAGGAAGGAATAAAAGATGGAAGAAAGGAAAAAAGAAAGGGAGGAAAGGAGGAAGGGTGGGAGAGAAGGAAAGATAGAAGAAGAATGGAAGGAAGAAAAGATAAAGAAAGAAGGGACGGAGGCTGGGTGTGGTGGCTCATGCCTGTAATCCCAGCACTTTGGGAGGCCGAGGCAGGAGGATCACTTGGGGCCAGGAATGCAAGACCAGCCTGGGCAACATGGCAAAACCCCATCTCTACTAAAAATACAAAGATTAGTCAGGCATGGTGGCGCACACTTGTAATCCCAGCTACTTGGGAGGCTAAGGTGGGAGGATCCCTTGCGCTCAGAAGTTCAAGACCAGCCTGGGTAACAAAGTGAGACCTTGTGTCTGTACAATATTTTATTTTAAAATTAGCTAGGTGTGGTGGCACATGCCTATAGTCCTAGCTACTTGCGAGGCTGAGGTTGGAGGATTCTTTGAGCCTGGGAGGTCAAGGCTGCAGTTAGCCATGATGGTGCCACTGTTTTCCAGCCCTGGTGACAGAGCAAGACCCTGTCTCAAAAAAAAAAAAAAAAAAAAAAAAAAAAAAGATGGAGGGAAGGAAGAGAGGGAGGAAGGATGGGAGGAAGGAAGGAAGAACACGTTTCCTCAGCTTTCCTTTGGTAAGGCTTTCATTTCTCACATTCGGAAGAGCTGACTAGAGGGCATTTCCTGCTTCTGCAGAGGTTACTCCCGGGGAACAAGCTCAAGGCCTGTGAGATTGCACAGGACACAGAGGAGCATCCTAGTCACCAAGCTCTGGAACAGGAGGATGAAGGAGAATCAGAGGGAGTTTGACAGAGGTGGTTTGAGCTTTCTTGTTGCGTAACCTGAGACCTGCCTGATCCCTTTCTCTACCCGACGCCTGCTCCCAGAAGGAAGTGATATCTTTCTCCTCTGAACCCAAAAACCACTCCCTTTCTATGGACATGGTGTAAGGGCGGGTTGTGGGTGCTCTTGGGTGGCCCATGTGGGCAGAGCAGCTGACCACCACTCTGAGCATCTTCTCCTTTTTCCCATCAGTAAAATCCACAGGTCAAATGAGATTCCCAAGTGCTTCCACCCAGTCTCCAAGCCTCAGCTCATTTTGGTTTATGTGGCGTCAAAGGCCTCAGCAGGTCCACAAGCGGCAGGAGGCCCGACTGAATACATTCACCCGTTACCCGTGTTCCGGGCCCTTCGGCTCTGTGGGTTTGGGCCCAGATGATCTCTCTGAAATTTCATCCCCCCTGTCAACACAGTGCTGATGGGTGCCCCTCTTTGTTTCTGGCCCCCAACCCCTGCTCAGGAGCACCCACCTGTTTTCCATTTTCAGCTGTGTGCTTAGAAACACCTTGACTCTTCTCACACCTGCCAGGTAAATGGGTTCTCTCCTGCTCCATCTTGCTGTTAGCCCCTTTGGTCTTCTGTTGAGCTCCCTAACCTTTGCAGGGCGGCTAGTGCCTCTGGAGATAAGGGATAGTCTCTAAATTCTCAGCGGGTATTATTAGTATTTGCATTCTAAAATAGAAGTTTCTAAAGGCACGATCAATATTACCTTTTATTTTATTAATAGCTTCCACACTTAGTTCAGCCCCCTGAATACGTCCAGTAAAGGACTTTACAAATGGCGTCCAGTAAATACTTTACAAATGTTCCTGCCTTCAATGAGGATTTACACATCTGAATTCATGTAAATAATTTAAAGAATACTGGTACTTAACAACTTCCAACTTCATTTACTTTTTCCATTTTCTTCCATGCAGATTTATTTCTTTACTGTTTCCTCTGTTCAAGGCTTTATTTCATTTCTTTCTTTTCCAAGAATAAGATAATATATTGAACTCATAGCTAGAGGTAAATAAGTAACTTCCTGTTTAAATTTAGTTTTAGCCTACATTCTTATCTGTTATAATTACAGCATTGAATTATTTTAAGAATCTACCTACAATGGGGAACTCTTCTCTCCCCATGTTCTGCTTCAACCCATAAAGGAAGAAACTTCCACTAACATTGCCACTTTTTTGAGGAACTGCTATGCTATGTGTTTGAGTTGGTTTGGGCTGTTGTAACAAAATAGCACACTGGGTGGCTTAAACAACAGAAATGCATTTTCTCACAGTTCTGGAGGCTGGAAGTCCAGGGTCACGGTGTGGGCAGGGCTGGTTTCTCCTGTGGCTTGCAGATGATCACCTTCTGACGGTTTCCTCGCTTGGTCCTTTCTTCTGCGGCAGGTGGGAAGCGAGCTCTGGTGTCTTTTCCTCTTCTTACAAGGGCTCAAGTGATCTGCCCTGGTTCTATCACATTAGGGTCCCATCATCATGGCTTCATTTAACCTTAAGTCCCTCCATAAAGTCCCTATCTTCGAACACAGTCACACTGGAATTTAGGACTTCAACATACTAACTTTTTTTTTTTGAGATGGAGTTTGGCTCCTGTTGCCCAGGCTGGAGTCAATGGCGTGATCTCGGCTCACTGCAACCTCTGCGTCCTGGGTTCAAGCGATTCTCCTACCTCAGCCTCCCGAGTAGCTGGGATTACAGACATGCGCCACCACGACCAGCTAATTTTGTATTTTTGGTAGAGATGGGGTTTCTCCATGTTGGTCAGGATGGTCTCGAACTCCCGACCTCAGGTGATCCACCCACCTTGGCCTCCCAAAGTGCTGGGATTACAGGCATGAGCCACAGTGCCTGGCCCAACATATGAACTTCTGAGGGACACAGTTCAGTTCCTAACACTTGGTTGCTGCTTTTTTTTTTTTTTTTTTTTTTTGAGACAAGGTCTCCCTCTGTCGCCCAGGCTGGAGTGCAGTGGCATGATCTTGGCTCACTGCAACCTCCGCCTCCTGGGTTCAAGTGATTCTCCTGCCTCAGCCTCCCAAGTACCTGGGGTTACAGATATGTGTCACCACGCCTGGCTAATTTTTGTATTTTTAGTAGAGACAGGGTTTCGCTATGTAGGTCAGGCTGATCTCAAACTCCTGGGCTCAAGTGATCTTCCTGCCTTAGCCTCCCAAAATGCTGGGATTACAGGCATGAGCCATCATGCCGGGCCTTGGTTGCTCTTCTCTATAAGAGAAGGAGGAATTAATTGGATGGATGAGAGCTTGATACATGCATTGGGCCATATTTTTAGGGGTTGGAGCATGATGTAAAGACAGGGTCTCCTGGTGCCCCACCTCCTGCTTCCTGGCCCTCTCTGTGGAGGCCACAGGATGATGCTGTGCTTCTGGCCACCCAGTGAGCAGACTTGGGCTGCCCTCGCCAAGCCCCTCCTCGGGTCTTCCTGCTTTTCAGCCTGGGTGGCCAGTGCTGCACGGCAGATCTGTCTGCCTGCAACTCTGAGAAGGAGTGGAGTGCCCCATTTTGGTCCAGGCCAGGGTCTCCAATCAAACTTCATAAGAAAGCCCAGTTCTTTGAATGTGAGCTACTCGACTCCTGTATTTTAAACTGCACCCGCCCCCTGCATTCTAGCCTTTTCCATCCCTTTCCTCTGCTCCCTTTGTTTTCTCCGTGGCACTTTTTGTCTTCTGACATTTCTCCAGTTCATTCCTAAGAATTTTTAACATGCTTTCAAACAGCTTTCTGAAAAACATACACTGAAAGGTTTCGAGGTTAATTCTATCAAGGAAGGTGGGGGCATATTTAACTTAGGAACAAAAGCTTTTTAGGTGCAGCCAGGGGAGAGTATATTAACTGTTTTCAAATATGTAAAGCATGGTGTTGCAGAAGCATTACAAACAGGCTCTAGAATTTTAGCTTATGGAAGCTGTGGAAGGGAATGGTGATGATAGGGAACATTTATTGAATCCTTCAACATGCCAGGCAGAATGCTAAGGGCTTTTTGTCCATTTTTTGTTCCTCGTGATATAGCTAACACCATTCACCCCATTTTACAGCATTTTCCTGCCTCAGCCTCCCGAGTAGCTGGGATTACAGGTGCCTGCCTCCAAGCCCGGTTAATTTTTGTATTTTTAGTAGAGACGGCGTTTCGCCATGTTGGCCAGGCTGGTCTCGAACTACCGACCTCAGATGATCCGCCTGCCTTGGCCTCCCAAAGTGCTGGGATTACAGGAAACTGAGCCCCGGTGAGGTGAAGCGGCTGGTTCAAGAGTCCACCTCAGGTCTGCCACATTCCAGGGCCCCTGTGCATGGCGCTAGGCTTAAGAAAAGAACATTCTAACAATCAGAGCTGGCCAGCGATGCAATGGCAATGATTACCATGTGGTCTCTTCTCCGCTCTGAGCCTGATCCAGCGGAGGCTGGGTGACCATCTGTTAGGATTGCTGCAGAAGGGAGATCGATTTAGACAACTTCTAAGTCTCTTTCCAACTGTAAGATCTTAGGAAAACTTGATGGGCAGCCCCATGGGAAAGGAATTACATTTGTTCTTTGTAGCTCTGTTCAACAGAGTAGCATTTCTCAGCCTTCTCCATCTAGAAATCCTCAGTGTCAGAGGCAAGTGAATAGATACTCACTCCTTGGAGGTCTGGATAGAGCTGGCAATGGTTGCCCGAAGCAAACTTTTTTGTGCCAAATCTGAAAAAGAAATGATTTGAATTTTATATTATATACTAAAATATGCTTGTTTGTTTTAATAAAAAATATCTTAAATTGAAATGTAATTTTTTTTTTTTTTGAGACAGAGTCTCGCTCTGTTGCCTGGGCTGGAGTGCAGTGGCGTGATCTTGGCTCACTGCAACCTCCACCTCCTGGGTTCAAGCGATTCACCTGCCTCAGCCTCCCCAGTAGCTGGGATTACTGGCGCCCACCACCAAGCCCGGCTCATTTTTGTATTTTTTAGTAGAGACGGGGTTTCGCCATGTTGGCCAGACTGGCCTCGAACTCCTGACCTCAGGTGATCTGCCCGCCTCGGCCTCCCAGTGCTGGGATTACAGGCGTGAGCCACCATGCCCAGCCTGAAACATATTTTAAAAAGCATAACCATTCAATGCAAAGCTTAAATTCTGTTTCCCTAAGAAATCTTCATTTTAATTTGATTCATAAGGAAAACATGCCTTATTTATTTTATGGGTTTACTGATCCCCAATACATCACCTAGAGTCTCTGGGGGAGCATTTCTCCAAGTATGGGAAGCAAAGCAGTAGTGTTAAGACCAGTGGGGAGAAATTATAGAGAGGGAGATCAGATTTTATCCCAATTCAAGAGGGATCTTTCTAAGAGCTGCCATTGTGCAACAGTGGAATGAGTTCTCCTTAAAAGTAGCCAGTACTACTACTAAAAAATTTCCAAGCAGAGATGGGTCATGGGTGGGGGGAAGCTGCCAGTAAATTCTACTTTGGGAACAATGGTGCCGGAGCAAATTCACAGCCATGATTAAAGGAACAGGCAAAACCCGTGCTAACCACCACTTGAAGAAGACTCTGCACTTATAGGGAAGCCATCATTGGAGTATTAAGAGCTGACGTGGTCCTCACGATGTGCCAACCCCTTTAACCAAAGCTTTGATGTGCCATTTAGTTGTTGGAGGGACGCATATTGTCATCAATCCCATTTTCCAGGTGAAGAAATAGAGGCTCAAGGACATTAAATGCACCAAAGTCTCACAGCTGCCAGGAGTGGAGCTGGGCTTTGACCCTAGGCTGTTGGAGTTGGGTTGGGATTGCCTCTCCCTCCCAGTGCCTTCCCTGACCCTTCTGTCCTCACCCCCTCCCCATGATGCCGCTGCCTTTATTCTCAGCGCTGGCCTAGAAGGGATCTTGTATGAGGGAGGAGGACAGGCGGTGGTGGGTGGTCAGGACACCTGGACTCTGGTTCACACCCTGCCACTACCCAGGTGACCTTGGGAGGGCCGCTTACCTTCCTGTTTGTTTAGGTGCTGATTCATTGTTTCTGAATCTGCCACATGGGCCGTTTCTTCCTAAAACTCAAGGAAACTGTGCCACATCATGAAGGAGTCCCACTCCGCCACCAGTAGGACAGAACTGTAGTAAAAACAAAGTAGAACAAAGTAAACAACCAAGAAAAGAAAACAACCAAAAAGCAAAGCACCTACTGGGAAATGCCTCTCTCTCCTGGGGATTTACTTTCCTGGAAGGTCTCCCAGGCGCGGGACTCAGTACAAAGTATGTCTTTCACTGGACCAGGGAATGTCTATTAAGGGGTGCTCTCTTTGTGGTGCCCACCACCAACATTATAATAGGTTTTATTGGACTCTTCCTACTCACTGTGTATTTACACCTTCACAAAAATACAGATAATCATGCCCAGATGGCTGTTTGGTTTCCAGTTGAAACAACCATGTGATGTGATGTGTCGATGTGGGCCAGAGGTTTCAGCTGTGAATCATTTCTGGGTTTCCTGCTGTTATGGTGAGGTGGTGAGGCATCCTCGGGTTTCCCAGGGAGTCTCTGTGCTAACACTTCCCCCTCCAGAAACAATGAGGATAAAAGAAGTCTCCCTACCAGGGAGCCACGTTTACCACCGAGAGCTTTACCTTATAGCTCAGGGTGGGCGAGGCGAGTGTCAAGGATTTCTTTCCAAGATGCTTCTAAATCACAAGAGGATCTTAGGGGAGTTGAACCACTGTAAGAGTCTCACCCTTCATCTCTGTTTCATTTTTAGAAGAGACTCCTCCACGTGAGAGGCAAATGCACTAAGGCTTGGTATTGTCACATATGCTGGAAAACTTGCCTGAGTGTCCTGAGGGTCTCACAGGCTTTTCAATTTGTAGATTGCAAGAGAAGGCATTCTTTCAATTGGCTTAGCCAGACTGCAAACAGCTCAGAAGAAATGATCTGTTCCCTTATTCATTCCACAAGCATGCCTTGAGCATCTGCTAGGTGGGGCTATACAGATAAAGACACAGTTCCTTCAAGGAGCTCACAAGATGGCTAGGAAGTGTCTTCCATAAACCTGTCAATATGCAGACACAAGTGCAATATCAGAGGCGAATTCAAGGAGCGATAGAGGGAGAAACTGATTGTCTTGGGTAGGATGACAAGAGAAGGACATTCCAGGAAAAGAGCACAAAGAAAGGAAGGATAGAGAGATCCAAAGAGCTGCCACCTGGGAGGAGTTCATTGTGGCCAATGCAGAAAGCGAATTTATAGGTCAGGAGAGTATTGGGGGCTGGAAAACTAGATTGGGCGGATTATGAAGGGGTTTGCCAACCTGACTCAAAGAAGTGCGAATGAAGGCAGTAAAGAGGCAGGAGGCTGAAGGCAGGTCCAGTGGATTGAGGGGCCCAGAAGGGTTAAGATGGGAGAAAATGAATATTAATAAATTTATGAAGGAAATATTAATATTAATAGCAGTAAACATTATTGAATACTTTCTATGTGCATAGTAATGTGGCTAGGTGCTGCATTCACATTTAATACAGTTACTCAAAGAGATGGGTCCTGTAATTTTTTTTTTTTTTTTTTTTTTTGAGACGGAGTCTCACTCTATCTCTAGGCTGGTGTGCAGTGGTGCGATCTTGGCTCACTGCAGTCTCCGCCTCCCAGGTTCAAGCAATCAAGCAATTCTCTGCCTCAGCCTGCTGAGTAGCTGGGATTATAGGCACACACCACCATGCCCAGCTAATTTTTGTATTTTTAGTAGAGACGGGGTTTCACCATGTTGGCCAGGATGGTCTCGATCTCTTGATCTTGTGAACCGCCTGCCTCAGCCTCCCAAAGTGCTGGGATTACAGGCATGAGCCACCATGCCCAGCCAATTATGTGTGTTTTTTTTTTTTTGTTTTTTTGTTTTTTTTTTTTTTTTTTGAGATGGAGTCTCACTGTCACCCAGGCTGGAGTGCAGTGGCGCAGTCTCGGCTCACTGCAAGCTCCGCCTTCCGGGTTCACGCCATTCTCCTGCCTCAGCCTCCAATTATCTTTTATTTAACAGATGAAGAGACTGAGGCTTATGGAGGTAACAGAAATAAACTTCTCAAAGTCCCATAGATAGGAAGAAGACAGCAGCTGGCTCAAACCTTGGTTGTCTTATGCAAGGGAGAAATAAGAAATGTAAAAAAAGGAAAAGAAAGTCAATTTACTTGCCTTCAGTTATTTCTCTGACCATTTAATTATACACCACTCATTTAAAAATATTTTATTTATCCTGGCCAACGCTTTTTCCTCCAAAATCTTTGGTAGAAAGTTTAGTCTTTGCTTTTATCCTTTATTATTTCCCTCTTTTTGCAATCTTTACTACATGTACACAGTTCATTGTGAAAATCTTTTTAGGATGCACTCGTATGAAAAGCATAATGCAAAATGAAAATTCATCTATAAACAAACAGGGCAAACAGCATCTATTTGCGGTTTTCTTTGCACAGGTAGTTTGTTTCTCAGTGCTGAGCTTTGGAGAGGATATTCAGAGTGTCTGTTTTTCCATATTTTCTGAGCAGTACACTGAAGTTTTTAGAATGTGTGCATATCCACTGATATTTTGGCATCAACTGAGATGCAAAGTAATTGAATAGGACAAAAAAATAAAAATAAAAGGAGAGAAATGGTTTACAAAACCACCGTAAGCCTGACTTGTGTATTCATGGGATTTATAAATAGAGTTAGCTATAGTTAGGCTTTTCGTATGAGTGGGGCAGGGAGCAAGGCTGGGATCAGCATATGGATGAACAATAAAGGTATCCTCTCGCAGGTGATGAGCTCTGAGAACCACGTATCCTTGATCCCTGAGCCCTGATCTCTTTCCCTAATGGGGATCTAAACATTCATTCACAGACCCTTACAGTAACTCCAACAGAGGTGTGTTTTTAGGGGCGGAGCGGATGGAGTGAAAAGCTCTTCTTGGCCACACTGTGGATCTCTGTCAGCCTAGCAGCTGGTGAGATGAGTGGATGCTGAGAGTGATCCACAGGTGGGGAGACCTGGATAGTGGCTCTTCCCCTTCTCCCACATGATGGTGTTCGCAAGGGAAGGAAAGGCTCAATGTGATGTTCATGCATGTCCTTAGGACTTGTCAGAAAGGACTTCTAGACGGGGCATCTGTGTATGTACAGTATTCTTCAGAGTCTCGTGGTGGCAGAGGCAGCAGAATTGCCAGCAGCTTCCAAGGTGGGCCAGTTCACCAGGTGCTTGGTCCCATGTGCTAACGTGGAGGACAGACAAACTGAGGAAGGTGCTGTCAAGCTACCAGGGCACACAGAAACCACCACCGGGAACTGAGACATGACGCTTCTCTTGGCCACTCATGAAGCAAAGTCCTAATTCTAGGCTGGAAGGATTTTTAGCTACGATACCCAAGTTTCTTGCTAGTGAAGTCTAACTGGAGTGAGTTGAGAGAGTTTGGGAGAAAACTAGGAGATCGGGAGTGTGGACAACACTTGCAGGGAGTTGTATTGCAAGAAAGGTGAAGAGTACAACAGAGAGGGGGGCAGTACATGGTTGGCAAAGTTCATGGAAGGTTTTTGTTTTTAAGATGGGAGAAATACTAGCCATTGGGATGTATGAGTTAGGCAGCATGGGTCATTATGGCTCTATCGAAAAGGAGGATGTCAAGTGAAAAGAGCAAGTGCAGATTAGAACATACAATATGATAGAATTTATGTAGAAAGAAAAATTCCATTTCTTTATGCGTACATATGTAGTGAGTATCTTTTAAAGATCTTCATGGCATGGTTACCATTAGCCTCAGGCCAGTGGCTGCCTGCTGGAGTGGAGGGAAGTGACTGGGATCAGGGAGGGATGCTCCAACAGAAGTACATGCATCTCAATGCTTTTTGTTTTTTGTTTGTTTGTTTGTTTTTTTACAAAAAAATTGGAACAAAATATGGTAAATTATTGTGTTAGCTAGATTGTGGCTACATAGATATTTATTATTGCCTACGCTTCTCTCTTTACGTTGAAATACTTATAATGTAAAACAAACAACACACAAAAATGTCACCATCATCATCATCAACATCAACCATAAAAAAATTCTCTACTGCTTTGGAGATTTCAAATATAGATCTACCAGAACGTATGAGGCATTGGCTATGATTTTTCAAGGTCTTTTTTTTCCAGCCCGATGCTGTGAAAACAAAATTGCTTCAAGGCAAGCGTGTTGAGTGAAAGGACGTGTTAATTAGTTAATGCCCTGCTTTTTGCCACCTCTCTTCCCACCACCAGGGAGTGTTCTGGCAGGTGGGGGTGACTGTGAGAGGAAGATAGGTAAGTTTTGGATGATGGTTCATGTCAGTAGTGTATACTTGCACCTTGTATTTGGAGCAATGTTGACACATTGGCTCAGATACTTTTGGAGAGAAGTTAAGGTTGTGGGCAATGCCTGGATGGAGACACATGACTGGAAATTAGCAAAATGTGAAGTTTATCATTGTAGGTTTTATTTTCCCTTAATAATCACTGAGAAGCAGGCATAACTGTCTTTTTCTTGATGTGCACAGCCACTTATGTTGGTCTTTGCCGGGTGTTCTCTGCTATCTGTTTATGTTGAAAACTGCAATGACTAGAAGGTCTTATGCTGTAAGGAAGGACAGAGGAGTGGGGCAGGAAAAGGGGCAACTGGAGAAAGCCATTTATAATTTGTCAAGATATGAGTCTAAATGTCTTACTTTAAAAAGTGTCACAAAACAAGCTAAAGGACCTCTCAGAGAGGAAGGTCTAGAAGAGATAGAGCAGACACCCGTTCCTTTTATTTTGGCTGCCCATATTTTTTGAAGATAGAATGCAAGTGCATTATAGCTGATGGATCAATGGAAGGAAGTGCTAAAGAAGCTGGTTTCATTTCAGTATAAGGCAGTTTTTTTTTTTTCCCAAATAATTGAGTGTGTGTCAGAGCCAGGGGCAGCCTCATGCAGCCAACTCTAAGGACGTTTGTACAGATCAAGCTGGGTGGCTTCCTGTCCATGAGGCCATGGGTGGTTTCAGGTTTGCATCAGGAAGGGAGGTTGCATGAGGTCTAATTTCAAGGGTAGACTGATTCTTTGAATGGCAGGGGCTCTTCCTACTGTTTTCATAGCATTATCTCCTCTCCCTGCCATTCTATAGGCACCAAGATAGGAGAGCCTTCTCCCTGAGGGTACAGACTACGAATATCCCAGTCTCCCCACCATGATACTTAGGGATATTGTGCAGATGCAGACGGATCGGCTACAAATGTACTTGAATTTTAGGATAACACTGCAGATTCAGGGAGATGTTACTGGGTGTTCGTTCCTGGATATTGTGGGAAAATTCCCTGCAGTTCTCCTCTAAACAACTTGAGAAAACTGAGAAAGAAGGAAAAAGTCTCGGTGAGGATAATGACACAGCATCTGAAATTGACCTTTCAGGGTTTGGCTTGATTCTTTCTGATAGGCACAAGAGTTTAGAGCTGGGCAAATAAATCCGATTGCTTACCTGTTACGTCTGATCTGGTTGTTTGAAGAACTGAGATAAAAGCCCAACTCTTCATGACCCGTGTCATCTGGAGCTCAGCAGCTGCCACCGACAGTCAAGCACATAGTCTTGGCCTGAGTTCACCACAGGAGGTTCGAGTGTTTGCTTGAGGACTGCTCAGGATGGAGACCTTTGGAAAGACACCAGCCAGATGTCCAGGCGTGCTCAGAGGGGTGGACAGCTGCTGCCTTGTTATCCTGTGATGTGAAGTGGCATTCCAGACCCTTGGAGCTCAGTAGTCAGGGCACAGTCATTCAGATATGGTGTTCAGCCAGCAGAGACGGGGCAGGGTCACAGAGAGGACCTGGGGTAGCAGCACCTGGGGTAGCTCCAGTGTAGCTAAACACTTGAGGATTTCTAGCAAAGGGTTTAGAAATTCTTCCTTTCCTCCCTGGCTCTTTGTTAATGTGCTATATAAATCCATGCCCAAGAAGGAATGGAAAGAAGGAGCTGGTATGGAAAGATGCCTGGCAGCCATTCTCCTCTGTGGCCCTTCACCTTCTGTAACTCCACTCAGCACTCAAGGCAGGAGCATGTGAGAGAATTACTCCTTCCTGCAAAGGAGTAGTTTGGAATATTCAAATACAGTATATAATGGAGCCTCTCACAGATTGCTGTAGAAAACTATCCTGGGTTTGATTAGCAGAAACATAGGGATAATAAAAGCTAACTGTTACTTAGCATCCTTTTCAAAGCATTTTTGGACAATCTCTCACCTGCACCTCTCTGCTCAACAGTATTCTTATTTACAAACGATGAAACTGACTGAGCAGGCGAGGGTCTTACAGAGGTCGTGGGCCTAGTGATGGTGAGACCAGGACTGGACCCAGGTTCCTGCCTTCAAGTCCCATCTGTCCATTTCCATGCCAGCCTGCCTGCTGTTCACTTGTTTTTGGACACTCCAGTCTGGGAGGGGCTGCTTGGGTGGTAGCAGCATCTCTGGACATCCCGAGAGGTCGTGATTGGCCCTGCAAGGCCTCCAGCGCTGGGCACCACACACGTGATGCTCACCTCATAGTCACTCCCAGGAACGCGGCTTCATCTCTCATTTACACCTGGTTTCTCCATACCTTGAACAAATGCACTCAACAAATACTTGCTGAATTAATTTGTTGTGCTATTATTTCTCCTAGTAGATTGTAAGGCAAATGGACTGCACTGTGGTCAATGCTGCACCTGCCATATGAACTATGGAGGGATTTTTGTTTTGTTTCGTTTTTTGAGACAGAGTCTCACTCTGTTGTTTAGGCTGGAGTGCAGTGGCATGATCTCGGCTCACTGCAACCTCTGCCTCCCAGGTTCAAGTGATTCTCCTGCCTCAGCCTCCCAAGTAGCTGGGATTACAGGTGCCCACCACCACACCCAGTTAATTTTGTATTTTTAGTAGAGGCAGGTTTTCACCATGTTAGCCAGGCTGGTCTCAAACTCCTGACCCCAGGTGATCCGTCCACCTTGGCCTCCCAAAGTGCTGGGATTACAGGCATGAGCCACCGCGTCTGGCCTGGAAGGAATTATTATAGTGAATTTGATTGTTCTTAAGAGATAAATAAGCTTCAGATCCTGGCTCTATGCATTAGAAGTCTTGGGACCTTGAGCTAGTTACTTAAATCCCTCTGAACCTCAGTTTCTCTTTTCTTTCTTTTTTTTTTTTTTTTTGAGACGGGGTTTTGCTCTGTCACTGAGGCTGGATTGCAGTGGCCTTGACCTCCTGGGCTCAATGATCCTCCTGCCTCAGTCTCCCGAGTAGCAGGGACTACAGGTGCACAACACCACGCCTGGCTAATTTTGAAATATTTTTAGAGATGGATTCATGCTATGTTACCCAGGCTAGCCTTGAACTCCTGGCCTTAAGTGATCCTCCCACCTAGGTCTTCCAAAAACACTGAGATTATAAATATGAGCCACCGTGCCTGGCCTGAACCTTATTTTTATTCTGTGTAAAATGAGGAACACAGGAGTGTTGTATGGATTAAAAAAGATTATGTACCTTGAGTGCTTAGCTCAAGGTACTTTAATATTATTAACTTTTAATAATAATATTAAAGGTTAAATTTAAATAACAACAATTTAAAGTGAATCACTATGAAATAGAAATATGGTATCAGTTGTTCAAAATAAAGGCAGTAAAAAGGAGGATGCTAACCCCAATCAATTACAAGGAAGGTAAGATGGAAAAAAGAGAAAAAGCAGGGTTAAGGACAGCAGGAAAAATGGATGGAAGTAACAAATAAAAAATGTTTTACATTGAAGATTTTTGGTTCCCATCATAAACTCGAATCACATGGACTGCATGGCCGATCACTACAGAGGAAGAGCAGGGGAAGAGCAAGCCACAGCCTCCTCCTTATATGTTTGGGGAGCCAGGGCATTCTTGCCATTTATCTCTCGGGTGTGTCCAGGTTCTCTTGCACATGACATGCTCTCAAAAGGTTGGGCATAATAGTCTTTCCTGTGCATGGTCACACCTCACAGTATAATTTCGTGGGTGTATGAATTCCATAGACACTCTCCCATCAAAATAATTATCATTTAGTGGTCCATTTTTTGAGTGGACTGTCTTATTAACACACCCGGGAAGTATCAAATGGTATTTGATAACTAAAGGAATTTGTTTACCTTGCACAATGTATTTAAGTTAGTGAAATTCCACTGTTGATTTCATTTGGTCCAACCCCAACACCACTGATTTTCTTCTCCACTGTTTCTGTATCCTCATTCACTCAACCCGTCCCAACTCTTAAGCTGTTTGAACCCAGTTACCTTTAATTCTGACTTCTGAGTTATAATTACTTGCATTTGCTGTCTGCCTTCATAATTATTAAATATTCTCAACATTATCTTGTTTAATCCTCAGAAGATGAGCCAATGATTAAACAGTATCATCCCCATTTTATAGAGGCAGAAAGGGAAGCTTGTGCAGGTTAAGTGAGTTTGCACAAGATTACAGCCAAAAAGGAGCCAAGCCATTTGACAAGGGTGTTCTCATTTCTGACTTTTTCCATTATGCTCCAGCTGTCCCCTCTTATCTCATCAAAGTCATCCTCATCAGCTACTATATAAGGGCATTTGCCTAGTAAGTCTTCATCTATTTCTCTTTATTTCTGTTCCTCCTGGTTTTCACTCCTAGCTTTCCCTGACTGTTCCAGCCATTTGCACTCCCAAGACCAGCTTTAGCCGATTTACCTTATTACATCCCAAAAAGGAAGAAGCCTTGGTGATTGGGTCTGGTTGTCCACCTATTTTCCCAGCTTTTAACCCAGACATCTTTGCCATGATCATGACTATTATTTCAGAACTTGGAGGACACTCTTCAATTACCTGCATTTCCTCTGGCAGAGCTGACAGACCATCCGTATGGGTAGAGTGCTCTTTGCCTCAATTGTAATAAAAATTTTAATTATTCATCAGTACAGTAGCTGTTAGACAAATGCCCAATTATTATTCATCCATAGCTAAGTAACCTTCTGCTCTTTTTTGGAACAGTGACAAGCGCAGCCCTGCCAGAACTGGCAGAGGGCACAGATCAAAGAGTGCTTTGTGCCTTGCTTTTACCAGGAAAGAGAAGGAGAGCCAGAGCTTCCTGCTGGTGCCCCGGCCTCCTCCCTCACCTGTCCCCCAATGCAGCTCCCTCCAAGCCCAACAGCCCCGAGTCAGGAAAGCTGGGAGCAGGGGAGACTTGGAGTCCCCGCCAGCAGGCTGCAGCTGTGGGGCACTGGGCACGGCCAGGTCACCTGGCAGAGGCTCTGGGTGGAACAGCTGCAGGGGGCTTGTTGCCAAAGAAGTGACAAAATTGCAAACGAGGGTTTGGAGAGTGGCTTTTGCTTAGACATACACTGTGGCTGATTTTCCTTCACAATAGGTGGCACCTCCCTGCCCTTCCCCTGCAGGCCCAGGTGACCAGGCCAGCAAAGTCGTGAAGGAGGACGTCTCCTCAGGTGGCAGCCCTTCCCTCCCTGCTTCTGGTTTCTCCTTCCAGTGACTCTTCCTTGTGAAGCTCCTCCTCCGGCTCACCAAAGCATCAGAACCTTTAGGCTGACCCAGATCTCAGGGATGGGGGCTTTTCCTGGCTGGACAGCTTTCCTAGTTTCCACTGTGCTACCTTTTCCTCTCAAAACGTAGCAGGAGGCAGCTCTTGGCCAGAGAGACTCATGCCCTCTGCCTACTCTCCAGAAAGCCTTTCTGCACATTCTAAGAGGCACCCAGGCTTTGCCATATCCCCTCTCATCTTCCATCCTGAGACCTTGTGGAACTTGCTGCCGGCGGCTTCCACATGGAACCTCAGCCCTTCCCCAGAATGGGTCTCCCACAGGGCAGCCCCTTCTGGCTGCTGCAGACCCCAGGGGTCTGTGCCTGTGGGACCCTCACACCACTACACTCAGCCTATCCAAACCACTCTGCTGCCACCTCCTTGTCCTTTCTGCAACACACCTTTCTCCCGAGGAGCACCCCCGTGTCACTTTCTCACCTCAGGGTTCCCATCCTCCCTTTCTCGGTCATGTCACCTCCCTCCCCTTTAACCTGCCATGGCTTTCCACCTTCAGCTGTAAAAGCTGAAGTCTTTACAATGCGCCTACGTGGTTGGCCCCCCAGTTACACTCCAACGAATACAAATTCTACTTTCCTCCTCCTCCCTCTCTCTTCGGCAGCTCCACAGGTAAAACCTGATCCTGCCTCAGGGTGTTTGCACTTGCTGCTCTCAGACTTGAAAACTCTTCACACAGATATTCACTGTCTTACTCCTTCATCTTCCATGTTCATTCTATACAGAGTAATGCCCAGCCGCTCCTCACCCCACCAACCTAATCTTTTTATGGCCTTGTTACCTCAATATATCATTTATTTATTTTTTGTTTATTGTCCACCTCCCTCTAGTAGAAGCTAAGTAAGCTTCATGAGAATAGAGACTTTGTTTTTGTTCACAGATAGTGGAGTGCTGTGGACTGAGTTGTGTCCCTCCCCTCCCCAATCATGCATTGAAGCCCACTGAGGAGCTCCTCAGCTGGCACCACCATTTCTGACAATTCCAGAGCTGACTGCCTGGGAAGAAACAGAGGCACCCAGGGCCTCTTGGCCTCTCGGTGTCTCTTCAAAGTCAAAGAATATTTGTGGTGGGAACGAGATGACGGGGAGTCAGAAGGATGGGAGCTGTGGTCACAGCATGAAGCACAGGGGTCCAAGAGTTCTGGGGGGAGGCTCAGGCTGGAGATAACAAGTTGGGTTGCCCAATGTGATGGTGTTTGGAGAGGGGGTCTTTAGGAGGTGATTAGGTTCAGATGAGGTCGTAAGAGTAGGACCCTCATGGTGGGATTAGTGTCCTTATAAGAAGAGACACCAGAGAGCTCATATGTGCTCTCTCTCTCTGCCCCGACCTCAGGCGAGGACACAGTGAGAAGGTGGCCATCACCAGACCCCAGCCATGCTGGCTGACACCCTGATCTCCGACTTCCAGACTCCAGAACTGATATGGTTTGGGTCTGTCTCCCCACCCAAATCTCATGTAGAATTGCAATTCCCAGTGTTGGAGGTGGGCCTGGTGGGAGGTGACTAGATCATAGGGGCGGGTTCTCATGAATGGTTTAACACCACCACCCCCCCCACTTGGTACTCTCTTTGGGATAGTGAGGGAGTTCTCGTCAGATCTGGTTGTTTAAAAGTGTGCAGCACCTCCTCCTCCCTCTCTCTCTTGCTCCTGCTCCCTCCATGTGGGACCTGTCGCTCCTGCTTTGCCTTCCAGCATGGTTGGAAGCTTCCTAAAGCCTCCCCAGAAGCAGAAGCCGCTATGCTTCCTGTACAGCCTGCAGAACTGTGAGCCAATTAAACCTCTTTCCTTTATAAATTACCCAGTCTCAGGTATTCCTTTAAAGCAGTGCGAGAATGGACTCTTACAAGAACTATGAAAAATAAATTCCTATTGTTTAAGCCATGGTATTTCGTTCTGGCAGCCTGAGCCAACTAAGACATGGAGGTTCATTATTGGTTTAAATAAATAAATATTTGCTTAAATGAACAAATTGATGTTCCAGGTAGCAAGGGGCCAGGAGAGGAAAGCTAGACTGTTGTGGTTGTCGCTTGTTTGCTCCCATGGCTACTCTGCCCCTGTGTGAAGTCGTCCGAGGCTATTACCACCTGGCTCTACCTCCTCTCATTGTCACCTACTGTTTCCTTGTGATTCTCTCACTGAGGCTTCATTCTTCATTTTCTTCCACTCAATTTTTAATACCCCTATAGATGATCTGCCTCTCAAACTGCTTCCTCAGTTTCAAGATCTTATCACCACTGCACTCCACCCTCCCACAGGACTTGCTATCCCACGCTGAGGATCCCCCCAGAAGTCTTACACCCCGTGCTTCATGCTGTGACCACAGCACCCATCCTTCTGACTCCCCGTCATCTTGTTCCCACCACACAAGCTGTTTGACTTTGAAGAGACTCCGAGAGGCCGAGAGGCCCTGGTTCCTTCTGTTTCCTCCCAGGCAGTCAGCTCTGGAGTTGTCACAAATGGTGGTGCCAGTTGAGGAGTCAGGGAGGGGCTGAAATCTAAGCTGCACTTTGCTCAGCAAGCTGTGCACTGGGGCAGGGTAATGTCCCCCAAAGAAGGAGCATGTTTCTCTTCGTATAAAGAACAGACCTTGCCAAGTCATGTGCCTGCAGGATTGCATATGCCTAGCAGGATATTTTAACAGAGAAGCAGCACGTACCCAAGCAGCAGCCTTGCTATCCCCCATAGTGCAGTGGGCCCCAACCAGGCACCAGAAACTGGTTTCCTGGAAGATAATTTTTCCATGAACCAATGGCAGGTGGAAGGGGCATGACTTCGGGATGAAACTGTTCCACCTCAGATCATCAGGCATTAGCTTCTCCTAAGGAGCTCACAGCCTAGATCCCTCACATGTGCAGTTCACAATAAGGTTCATGCTCCTATGAGAATCTGATGCCCCCCGCTGATCTGACAGGAGGCAGAGCTCAGGTGGTAATGCTTACTCACCTGCCACTCACCTCCTGCTGTGCAGCCTGGTTCCTAACAGGCCATGGTCTGGTACCAGTCCACAGCCCAGGGATTGGGGACCCGTGCTATAGTGACTGGCTGCCCAAAACCTCCTGAACTCTTTCCACACTTTGATGGTTTTTCATAGTGTAAATACCAACCTCTCAACAGGGGTGCAAGGGGGAAGGGAGATGAAACACACACACACACACACACACACGCAGGTCCCCCTTGCCCCCTTGCTGCCAGGGGCAGATGTGTGATTTAGGTGTCACCAACCATAATGCTTCTACGTCAGGCTTTGACTCAAAACCGAGTTCTCCAGGGAAGGCAGAGCAGAGGCCTCTGTTTTCCAGGAGGATGGTGGTGGCATTGGGGGTTTGGTTCTCTCGCGGGCAGCTGTGGTGGCCGGTCCCCAAGTGAAAGCTTCGTGATGATGGCGGAGGCTCAGCTCCTTTGATGGGCCGGCTCCACCGTGTGTGGTGGGGAGTCATTCCTGGAAGCTCAGCCAAGAGTCTGTTTCTTTGCACCTCTCAGGGATTTTTTTGAGCTATCTATATCACTTTCTGCTAAACTAGCTGGAGCGGATCCTGCTCCCTCTAACGAGAACGCTGGCTAACAGAAGCACCCTCCTCGCCTCCCTCCCTTCCCTTCCCAGTCCAAGTCCTGTGATCATCTGAGCTACTCTCCCCTCAACACCCTTGATATCTTTGCCTCCCCGCACCCATCCTTCCTCTGTACCCACTCAGCAAAACACCTCCCCCTACTCTCCTATCCTTTCACACCTGGTCAGCTGAGCAGTGTTTTGGGGGAAAGGCCATGCACACTGCCACCATTTGTGTCTCAGCCTCAACTGGGTCTTTCGATGCCCAGTACCAGCAACCTTTTATCTTCTTGCTACATCCCTTTCCTATTCTCTTCAACAACTTAGAAACCTTTGCCATTCCCCATACATGGCCTTCTGCACTCTGAGCAGACAGCCCTTTGACTCCCTGCTCTGCTCACCCCATGCCCCTGGAACCCCCTCACCCATTTCCCCTGCCAATCAATATGCATCCTTTGTGCACTTCCTCCAGGGTCAGAGCCCAGAGCGCCCCCTCTCCTACTTAAAGGCAACCTCATCATGCTGCCTCTGGTGCTGTCATCTCCCAACCTGTTTGGATCCTATGTCCGGCATTGCCATTTGCTCATGCATCTTCTGCGATTTTTTCTCTCGTCAAAAAATAACTGAAAAACATCTAGTTAGTTTGCATGTTGGTTAATTATTTTGTATGCAAATTGTTTCCTCATATGTGAGGGAATCAGCTCTGAAGCCTAGTTAAGGATTTATAAAAATAAGTGGAGGTTGAGGAAAAACTGCAGTGTATACACAATAAATCTTATCTATGCTCTCTGGGGGTGGGTAGGGGGTGGCAGGTAAACTGTTTAGTGGCAGCTAGCAAAGACGGCCAGTCTGGGCCTCCTGTCCTTGAGTAGGTTAAAAAAGGATATCAAAGAATGATTTCAGTGGTTTACAGATTTTCAAGAAAACTTTGGGAGTTTGATTGAGGGGCTCATATTCCAGGCTCTCCCTCTAATGTCTACCAATGTTCTTCCATCAGTGCCTTCACTTCCATTAGGATTTCTCAATGTTGAGCCTCTCATCATGCTCAAATAATTACCATCCTCAATAAATTATTCTCGGCCATGTGAGGTGTCATCTGACTGTAATCTCAGCACTTTGGGAGGCCGAGCTCGTTGGATCGCTTGAGCCCAGGAGTTCCAGACTAGCCTGGGAGACATGGCAAAACTCCAGCTCTGCAAAAAATACAAAAATTAGCCAGTCGTAGTAGTGCATACCTGTAGTCCCAGCTACTCGGGAGGCTGAGGTGGGAGGATCAATTGAGCCTGGGGAGATAGAGGCTACAGCGAGTCAGGATTGTGCCACTGCACTCCAGCCTGGGCAACAAAGTGAGACCCTATCTCAAAAAAAAAAAAAAAAAATTATCCCCTGACTCTTCCCTGCCAGCAACCCTCCAATTTCTTATTCAAACATCTCTGAAAACTCTTCTCCTTCCCCTCTGCTTCCTCACCTCCCTTTTGCTCCTTATTCCATGTGGGGCTGTCTTCTGAACCCCATCATTCTACCAAAGCTCTCATGAGAATGTCATTCATGACCTATGTACCAAACCCAGGGGATATTTTTTAGCTCTCTTCTTCCTGGATTTTTCTGCTGCCTTTGACACTTTGGGGCTCCTGAGATACCCCTCAGTCCTAGTTCTTCCTCTTCATGTACATCTGCGATCATTGAAAAGCTACCTCATCCGTGGGCTTCCTTTCTTCACACCACAGCCTTAGATGTTGGCATTCCCCAGGGTTTTTCTTGGCCAGTTCTCTTCTCTCTGGACTCCCAGAATCATCAACTGTCGTTTTTACAGCTAATGACTATGTGCTAGTGATTCCCAAACCTGCCAACTATTGCTAGAAAATTACACAGAAGAAAATTACAGTCAAGTGATGGGGAGAGGATTTGTTTTTTGCTGAGACAGAAATACAAACGCTTCACTGAACCCTTGCCATTTCTTATTCACCTTTTGCTGGGAGTTACCTGGATGTTTATGAGGAGGCGATAAGGTTTGCTAAGGTGACAGTGGAGCACGACTTCGCCCGGATCACTCCTCCTGCACAATGAAGACTGAGAAGTGGCTGTCTTTTGGTTCACTCCATCCATCTGTTCTCCCATGAGCTCCTCTGTCAATATTGACACTAGTTAGGCACATTGCAGGCGGGGGGTAATACACTCTGCCCCAGGAGCACCACCGTTACTCAGATAGGCTGACTGGGCTTGGGAATGAATGCTAGTGGCCTCTTATGTCCGTAATCTACCCCATCCAGCCACCTAGGAGCCATTTTTCTGCTATTTAAGTATAATTAGCATGCCCTGTTGCGTAGCATCAGGTAAAAAGACCTCCTGAGGGGCTGCTGTTGCAGTTTGCAATTTTTGTATCCAGAATTTGTCCTGGGAGCACTGGTAGAATTCCATGGAGGTAGCTAGAGGGATGTGATGCTTTCAGAATGGTGGCCTCTTCCTAAGGCACAACCCCTTCCTGAGAGACATCCCTGCAAACCACGTCCCCTGCAGCATGATTTGCCTCTACCATACATCTGGGCTTTCAATCACCCTTTGGCTTAACATTTTTTTTTTTTTTTGAGACGGAGTCTTGCTCTGTCATCCAGGCTAGAGTGCAGTGGCGCAATCTCGGCTCACTGCACGCTCCGCCTCCTGGGTTCACGCCATTCTTCCTGCCTCAGCCTCCCGAGTAGCTGGGACTACAGGCGCCTGCCACCATGCCCGGCTAATTTTATTTTTTTGTATTTTTAGTAGAGATGAGGTTTCACCGTGTTAGCCGGGATGATCTCGATCTCCTGACCTCGTGATCCACCCGCCTCGGCCTCCCAAAGTGCTGGGATTACAGGCGTGAGCCACCGCACCCAGCCTGGCTCAACATTTTCTTGTCCCCCACCACCGTCTTGCGTACATGACTTGCTCCTTGAAGGCAGAGGCCATGGGGGTTACACATGGCACATATGACGCATTTCTAGTGAGAAAGGAAACAAAGCAAAGAGCCCAGGCCTAGACATAGAAAGAACATCAACTCTGAGTCGGAAAAACCTGTTTATGAGTTGTGCTTAGTTATTTACAGATTGTGTGACTTGGGGTAATTACTTATCTGAAACCTCACTTTGTTAATTTAAAATATGAGATTAATAATTCATTTTATCACATGATGGTTGCAAAACTTCAATGAGAAATCACAGGTAAAGCACTCGGCATTCAGTAAATGCCTCCAAATGGTAGTTGTTAGTAGCATCATTAATAGATGCTTAATAACTATGTTCCTTGCTCCTACTGCTTTCTCATTTCTTTCTAGAGAATTCCGTCAGTCCTGTGATTTGCCTATTGCATTACATGGTGGATAATTTCTCTTCCAAACTCTCTCCTGTCTGTTCAGCACGCTCAGGCATTTATCATTGCAGGTGGGTATTGATGCAATAATTTTTGTGTCTATGGTTTGCGTCTTAAACCCAAGTTAAGGTTTCTGAAGTTGGGATTCTATTTTATAGCTTTTGAATCCCTACTGGCTTACACAGTGTTGCAATCACAGTAGATGCTCAGTAAATATGGAGTGGCACAGATGAATAACATTTCACCTTAGAATATAATCAGGCCTATGCTGGGATGAAAATAATACCCCCTTAATCGTCACTCTATATTCTACTCCCAATCACCACCACCCCTGCACTCCACATCCTTTTTTTTTTTTTTTTTTTTTTTTTAAAGACAGGGTCTGGTTCTGCTGCCCAGAGTGGAATGCAGTGGTGCAATCTCCACTCAGTGCCATCTCCTCCTCCTGGGCTCAAGCAATCCTCTCATCTCAGCCCCTCGAGCAGCTGGGACTACAGGCACATGCCGCCATGGCTGGCTAATTTTTGTATTTTTTGTAGAGACAGGGTTTTGCCATGTTGTCCAGGCTGGTCTTGAACTCCTGAACTCAAGTGATCCACCTGCCTCCACCTCCCAAAGTGCTGGGTTTACAGGCATGAGCTACCATGCCTGGCCTCTCCACATTCCTTTATACAGGGCTGACCCCACCCAAGCTGGGGCCTACTGTGGTAGCCCAAGCTGGAACAGATTGCTGTGCAAATACTTGGCAAAGTAATCATCTATTTGTGGATAAGCAGAAATTGGCTGTATCCCCAGTAGAGTTTTGAATTGTCACTATTAACACCCATGAGTCACTAACATGGTGGGCCGAGTGATTTTTCTGCTAAGCTTATAGGGCATATTATACTAAAAATGCCACTGGCTTAGTCTGTTTTCTGTTGCTATAACAGAATACCACAGAATGGGTAATTTATAAAGAAAAGAAACTTCTTTCTCACAGTTCTGGAAGCTGGGGTGTCCAAGAGCACAGCACTGGCATCTGGTGAGGGTTGTCCCATGGTGGAAGGGCAGAAGGCAGAAGCAATTGCAGGAGATGAAGAGAGGAAATCAGACCACACCTGTGGTTTTTATCAGGACTCAGCTCCTGTGATGACTAACTGCTCCTGGGATAAGGGCATTAATCCATTCATGAGGATGGAGCTCTCATGGCCTAATCACTTCTTAAAGGCCTCACCTCTTCATACTGTAATGATGGCAATTAATTTCAACACATGAACTTTGGGGGACATAGCAGTTTACAGTCTTGTCCATCTGTCAGATCAGTGTCTGCTCCACTGATGTCACAAATATTTAAATGGGCTTCTTTATTTTTGACCAAGCACATAAGGCCTTTAAGTAATTCCTGGATCCCACATGTGGGTTGGGTTGGGGTTTAAATAAGAGGTGTTATTTTTCTCTTCATGGCTTCCAGGACAAGTTATGGTATGATGAGGGAAGTTAAGGGGGGAAATAAGAAAACTAATCCTGTACTTCTATTCCCTAAGCCAGAACTTTGATCTCACTTCCTAGAAATGGAAGCAGTAGGAACTAGATGGAAGAGCAGATGACTGGAATGACCCTTAACTCAGTGGAATTTAAGCCCCAGAAAACGTTACTTCATTGACCATGCTGTTTCATGTCCACCTTCCAGATCGCTCACAAATGCCTAATTTGACCAGCTCTACTCTGGGACATGCAGGGGAGTGAATTTTGGGAGGCATGGTTCCTGCTTAGTTAGACTGACACAGTGTAAAGTTACCACAGATAGCAGCTTAGTTAGCAGCCTAGGAAAAGAAAAGCCTGGAAGAGAGAAAGGAAAATATCAATTATATCTCTCAATTGTAAAAGTAATTTCTCCCTTCGTAGTTAGTATGCAATCCTTGAGTAATAGTTTCAGGTTGTATGAAAATCCTGATGCCCAACAAAGTTACCCAGTGGCTTCAGCATTTTCTCATGATCCTCGCTGAATCAATGTTTATAAATTGCCCGGACTGACCCTTCAAGCCAGGGCCTGTGAACCTTTACCGTGACCCTTGGACTCTGTGTCCTTCTTTATTTTGGAGAGGGAGGGAAGAGATCCCAGGCTCAACTTGCACTCCAGTCCTAGACCTGGAGCCCTTGTTCTTTTTAGTGGAGAATGATGTTTAGAAACCAACATCTGGTTGTTGGATGTGCTCATTGCTATTGGTGTGTCATTACACCTAAGCCCTTTCAATGAAAGTGATAAAAAATATATTTTTACAAATCATGAATTCATACCGATAATTATAATTCAGATTTATTCTTGGCCTTTAAAAAATTTTAAATTTTTATTTTTTCTTTCACAGTGAAAATCTTGGCTCCAATAATATTAATTGTTTTACTTATTTGTTTTATGTTACAATATATATAAAATAGTTTCAGAATATAATACCATTATTACTACTACTAATACACTACTAAGTAAAATTTATATTTATTTGCAGTTTGTCCATAGAATATATGTCCTACTAGTGATATATAGAATATGGTCTTTGAAAATTACTTGGTTTTCCTATGTGGATATGCTATTGAATTCAGATAAAGTTAGGTTAGTTTAAAAAATTAATAAACTTGATTTTTTAGAGAAGTTTTAGATTCACAGCAAAAGTAAATGAAGGGCACAGAAGGTTTCTATATACTTTTTTTCACACACAGTGTACAATTTCCTTCACAATCACCAGCCAGCACCAGAGTGGTACGTTTGTTATAATCCATCAATCTACGTGGACACATCATTATCATCCAAGGTCTAGAGTTTACATAAGGGTTCACTGTTGGTGATGTACATTCTATGAGTTTTGACAAATGTATAATGATACATATTCACTATTATGGGATCATACAGAATAGTTTCACTGCCCTAGAAATCTGTGCTCTGCCTATTTAACCCTAACCCTTGACAACCACTGATGTTTTTATTGTCTCTATAGTTTTGACAACCACTGATCTTTTTATTGGCTCTATAGTTTTGCCTTTCCCAGAATGTCATATAGTTGAAATCATGTAATCTGTAGCTTTTTCCAATTGGTATTTCTTACTTAGTAAAATGCATTTAAGTTTCCTCCATGTCTTTTATTGGCTTGATAGTTCATTTCTTTTTAGGGCTGAATAATATTCTATTGTCTGGATGCATCAGTTTACTTATATATTCATCTAGTGAAGGACATCTTTGTTGCTTCCAAGTTTTGGCAATTATGAATAAAGCAATTTCAAATTTAATTTTAAACTTCATAAGTTTATAGCAATATATATCCATGCGCAGGTTTTTGTGTAGGCATAAGTTTTTAATCTATTTGGATAAATACCAAGGAGCACACTTGCTCGATCATATGGTGAGAGTATGTTTAGTTGTATGTGAAACCATCAAACTATCTTCCAAAGTGGCTATACCACTTTGCAATTTTAGCAGCAATGAATGAGAGTTCCTGTTGCTCTACATCTTTGCCAGCATTTGGTGTTTTCGGTGTTTTGAATTTTGACTCCTTTAATGGGGGTGTAGTGCTATCTTATTGTTGTTTTAATTTGCGATTCCCTAATGATAAATGATGTGGAATATCTCTTCATATTTTTATTTTCCATCTGCATATCTTCTTTGGTGAGGTATCATTTAAGTCTTTTGCCCAGTTTTTAGATATATACATATTTATTTACTTGTGAAGATTTTAATATATTACTCTACTAATACATTATTTATTATATAAAACATGCAGAAATAAAAAATTGAAAAGTTTGGGATGAAGATGAAATTATATTTTAAAACTACATTATTAAATGATAGCAAATACTTTTTGCTCTCACAAAAATGTTATTAATAATTTAGAGGGTACAATATGGTGAAAACTGTCTCATTAATTTTTTCTTCTATTGATAAATAATGTTTTTACATATCGATGGGGTACCTGTGAATGTTTTTTACATGCACAGAATGTGGAATGATCAAGTCAAGGTGTTTCGAGTATCCATCGTCTTGGGTGTTTATCATTTCTGTGTGTTGGGAACATTTCAAGTCCTCTCTTCTACATAGCAGCAATTTAACATATCTTTGCTAACTACAGTCGCCCCAGTGTGCTGTCAAACATTAGAACTTATTTTTTGTTTGTATCCTCTTTTATTTCCTTGAGCAGTGGTTTGTAGTTCTCCTTGAAGAGGTCCTTCACATCCCTTGTAAGTTGGATTCCTAGGTATTTTATTCTCTTTGAAGCAATTGTGAATGGGAATTCACTCATGATTTGGCTCTCTGTTTGTCTGTTATTGGTGTATAAGAATGCTTGTGATTTTTGTACATTGATTTTGTATCCTGAGACTTTGCTGAAGTTGCTTATCAGCTTAAGGAGATTTTGGGCTGAGACAATGGGGTTTTCTAGATATACAATCATGTCGTCTGCAAACAGGGACAATTTGACTTCCTCTTTTCCTAATTGAATACCCTTTATTTCCTTCTCCTGCCTAATTGCCCTGGCCAGAACTTCCAACACTATGTTGAATAGGAGTGGTGAGAGAGGGCATCCCTGTCTTGTGCCAGTTTTCAAAGGGAATGCTTCCAGTTTTTGCCCATTCAGTATGATATTGGCTGTGGGTTTGTCATAGATAGCGCTTATTATTTTGAAATACATCCCATCAATACCTAATTTATTGAGAGTTTTTAGCATGAAGGGTTGTTGAATTTTGTCAAAGGCTTTTTCTGCATCTATTGAGATAATCATGTGGTTTTTGTCTTTGGCTCTGTTTATATGCTGGATTACATTTATTGATTTGCGTATATTGAACCAGCCTTGCATCCCAGGGATGAAGCCCACTTGATCATGGTGGATAAGCTTTTTGATGTGCTGCTGGATTCGTTTTGCCAGTATTTTATTGAGGATTTTTGCATCAATGTTCATCAAGGATATTGGTCTAAAATTCTCTTTTTTGGTTGTGTCTCTGCCTGGCTTTGGTATCAGAATGATGCTGGCCTCATAAAATGAGTTAGGGAGGATTCCCTCTTTTTCTATTGATTGGAATAGTTTCAGAAGGAATGGTACCAGTTCCTCCTTGTACCTCTGGTAGAATTCGGCTGTGAATCCATCTGGTCCTGGACTCTTTTTTGTTGGTAAATTATTGATTATTGCCACAATTTCAGCTCCTGTTATTGGTCTATTCAGAGATTCAACTTCTTCCTGGTTTAGTCTTGGGAGAGTGTATGTGTCGAGGAATTTATCCATTTCTTCTAGATTTTCTAGTTTATTTGCGTAGAGGTGTTTGTAGTATTCTCTGATGGTAGTTTGTATTTCTGTGGGATCGGTGGTGATATCCTCTTTATCATTTTTTATTGTGTCTATTTGATTCTTCTCTCTTTTTTTCTTTATTAGTCTTGCTAGCGGTCTATCAATTTTGTTGATCCTTTCAAAAAAAAACATTCCATGCTCATGGGTAGGAAGAATCAATATCGTGAAAATGGCCATACTGCCCAAGGTAATTTACAGATTCAATGCCATCCCCATAAAGCTACCAATGACTTTCTTCACAGAATTGGAAAAAACTACTTTAAAGTTCATATGGAACCAAAAAAGAGCCCGCATCGCCAAGGCAATCCTAAGCCAAAAGAACAAAGCTGGAGGCATCATGCTACCTGACTTCTAACTATACTACAAGGCTACAGTAACCAAAACAGCATGGTACTGGTGCCAAAACAGAGATATAGATCAATGGAACAGAACAGAGCCCTCAGAAATAACGCCGCATATCTACAACTATCTGATCTTTGACAAACCTGAGAAAAACAAGCAATGGGGAAAGGATTCCCTATTTAATAAATGGTGCTGGGAAAACTGGCTAGCCATATGTAGAAAGCTGAAACTGGTTCCCTTCCTTACACCTTATACAAAAATCAATTCAAGATGGATTAAAGACTTAAACGTTAGACCTAAAACCATAAAAACCCTAGAAGAAAACCTAGGCAATACCATTCAGGACATAGGCATGGGCAAGGACTTCATGTCAAAAACACCAAAAGCAATGGCAACAAAAGCCAAAATTGACAAATGGGATCTAATTAAACTCAAGAGCTTCTGCACAGCAAAAGAAACTACCATCAGAGTGAACAGGCAACCTACAAAATGGGAGAAAATTTTTGCAACCTACTCATCTGACAAAGGGCTAATATCCAGAATCTACAATGAACTCAAACAAATTTACAAGAAAAAAACAACCCCATCAACAAGTGGACGAAGGACATGAACAGACACTTCTCAAAAGAAGACATTTATGCAGCCAAAAACACATGAAAAAATGCTCATCATCACTGGCCATCAGAGAAATGCAAATCAAAACCACAATGAGATACCATCTCACACCAGTTAGAATGGCAATCATTAAAAAGTCAGGAAACAACAGGTGCTGGAGAGGATGTGGAGAAATAGGAACACTTGTACACTGTTGGTGGGACTGTAAACTAGTTCAACCATTGTGGAAGTCAGTGTGGCGATTCCTCAGGGATCTAGAACTAGAAATACCATTTGACCTAGCAATCCCATTACTGGGTATATACCCAAAGGACTATAAATCATGTTGCTATAAAGACACATGCACACGTATGTTTATTGCGGCATTATTCACAATAGCAAAGACTTGGAACCAACCCAAATGTCCAACAATGATAGACTGGATTAAGAAAATGTGGCACATATACACCATGGAATACTATGCAGCCATAAAAAATGATGAGTTCATGTCCTTTGTAGGGACATGGATGAAATTGGAAATCATCATTCTCAGTAAACTATCGCAAGAACAAAAAACCAAACACGGCATATTCTCACTCATAGGTGGGAATTGAACAATGAGATCACATGGACACAGGAAGGGGAATATCACACTCTGGGGACTGTGGTGGGGTGGGGGGAGGAGGGAGGGATAGCATTGGGAGGTATACCTAATGCTAGATGACGAGGTAGTGGGTGCAGTGCACCAGCATGGCACATGTATACATATGTAACTAACCTGCACAATGTGCACATGTACCCTAAATCTTAAAGTATAATAAAAAAAAAGAACTTATTTTTTGATCTAACTGTAAATTTCTACCCAATCACCCACCTCTCTTCATTTCCCCCTTCCACTTTGCCCATTTTAAAAATCATGTTGTTGAATTTTAAGAGGTTTTTCGGTGTATTTAGATAACAGTCCTTTATCAGACGTCTCCTTTGCAAATATATTCTCTGAGTCTATAGCTTGTCTTCTGATTGTCTTGACATTGTCCTTCACAGAGCAGAAAAGTCCAGCTTATTGATGAATTCTCTCATGGATTGTGCATTGGGTGACGTGTATAAAAAGGTGTTGACATACTCAAGGTTATTTAGGTTTTCTCCTACGTTATCTTCCAAGAATTTTATAGTTTTGTGTTTTACATTTTGGTCCATGATCCATTTTGAGTTAATTTTTGCAAAGGGTACAGAGTCTGTGTCTAGATTTTTTTTTTTTTTTTGGCATGTGGATATTCAGTTGTCCCAGCACCATTTGTTGAAAAGACTATCTTTGCTGTATCATATTATCATTGCTCCTTTGTAAAAAATGTCTCTCTATATGTCTGTTTCTGGGGTCTCTATTCTGTTCTATTCATCCACTTGTGTATTCTTTCACAATACCACACTGTCTTGATTCCTGTAGCTTCAGAGTAAGTCTCAAAGTCAGACAGCGGCAGGCCTCTGGCTTTGTTTTCCTCCTTCAGTATTGTATTATTGATTATTCTGGGATTTTTGCCTCTCTATGTAAACTTTAGAATCAGTTTGTCAATCCCTACAAAATAACTTACTGGGATTTTGTTTGGGATAGCACTGACTTCGTAGGTCAAATTTGGAAGAACTGATACCTTTACAATATTGAGTGTTCCTGTTCATCAACATGAAATATCTATCCTTTTATTTAGTTCTTCTTTTATATTTTTCCTGCATTTTGTAGTTTTCCTCATATAGATCTTTACATATTTTGTTAGATTTATACCTGTTTCACATTTTTGGATGCTAATGTAAATGTAAATGGTAATGTGTTTTTAATTTCTAATTTCACTTGTTTATTGTTGGTGTGTAGGAAAGCTATTGACATTTGTATATTACCCTTGTTTTGTGCAAACGTGCTATAATTGCTTATTAGTTCCAGGAGTTTTTGTTGTTGTTATTATTGCTCTTTCAGATTTTCTGCATAGATGATCATGTCATCTGGGAACCAAGACAGTTTCATTTCTTCCCTCTCAATCTATACATTTTACTTACTTTTTTTGTCTTATTTCATTAGCTAGGACTTTCGGTACAATGTTGAAAGCAGTGATGAGAGAGGGGACATGCTTACCTTATCTCTAAGTTCAATTAACTTTTTATATTTGTGTTCAACATTAGGCTTTGCTTAAAAAACTATATCCCCATTGCTCTTATCCTTATCCCTTCTGTCTCATTTTCACCCATCCTTTCTTGGTAACAATTTTTCACTTATTTCTGAAATGTATTTCCTGTGTTTCTTTTCTTTTTTTAAAAAAATAAGCAAATATGTGTGGTCACATTTTTAATTTCCTTTTCATTCCTAAACAAAAGTTGGTATATTCTATATTATCTTCTGCATCTTGCTTTATTCATTCAATAGTATATCCTGGAAATCATTTAATATTAATTTATAGAGATTTTTCACATTCTTTTTCATAGCTGCATAATATTCTATTGTGTGACTCTACCATCATCTATTCAATCAGACTCCTTTGAATAGGCATTTGGCAGTATTTCCATTATTTTGTTAATACAAATAATGCTGCAGTTGGATAATCTTATACATACATTGTTTGGTATTTGTAGAAGTATCTTCAGGGTAAATTCCTAAAAATCTGATAGTTAGATCAAAGGGTATGGGCATACATTGTTTCACAGGAAATTGCCAAATTCTCCTCTGTATGAGTTCTACTATTTTTTTTTTTTTTTTTTTTTGAGACAGAGTCTCGCTTTGTTGCCCAGGCTGGAGTGGAGTGATGTGACCTCAGCTCACTGCAACTTCCACCTCCTGAGTTCAAGTGATTCTCGTGCCTCAGCCTCCCAAGTAGCTGGGATTACAGGGGCCTGCCACCACGCCCAGATAATTTTTGTATTTTTAGTAGAGACGGGGTTTCACCATGTTGGTCAGGCTGGTCTCAAACTCCTGACCTCAAACAATCCACCCACCTCAGCCTCCCAAAGTGCTGAGATTACAGGCGTGAGCCACTGCGCCCAGCCCATATGAGTTGTACTATTTTGTACTCCAACCAGCAATATATAAGAAAGCCTGTTATCTAAATCCTCACCAACTGCATGTGTTCTCAAGAATTTGAATTTTTACTATCTTGATAGGTGAGAAATTGTATCTCAGTGTGGATTTAGCTTGAATTTCTCTCATTATACTGAAGTTGAACATCTTTTTATATGCTAAGGCGCACCCTCATTTCTTGGCTGGATTATTAATAGTAGCCTCGTGACTGGTTTCCTTGACTTTATCCCTTCCTAATTTTCGGCAATTCTACTAGAGAATTCTTTTTTAACAAAAGAAATCTGATCATGAAGTACACTTAGTAAAAGTCATTCAATTATGTCCATTGTTTACAGGAAAAAAATCTAAGGTTTCAGCAAGGCGTACAGTACACTTTAAATCAGTTCCTTGTCTGCCTTGATACCAGGGCAGACAGGGAAACTCAGCCTTGGTCCTCTCACTCCAAATATGTCTTTAAGCCTTTATGTATGCCATTCCTTCTTCTTGCAATCCCTTCTCCTAAATTACCAGGAAACTCCTATCCATACTTCAAAGTTCAACTCAAATGTCATCTCTTTGATAAAGTTTTTCTTTATTCTCTCAGTAGAGCTACTTACCTTTCTGGATTCCTACAGAACTTTGCAGTACTGACTCTCACAACAGCATTCATGAGACTGTGCATAATTATTTATTTTGAAGGCCATCTCCACTACTCTTTGAGCCCAGGGCCTTATTTTACATATCTGCCTCCAGTTTCAAGCACTGTGCCAGTTACATAGTGAGTGCTAAAAGAATATTTGCTTAATGAGCAAATAATGAGTGTGATTTCATCCTCCTGGTGTTTGCTGATATAAAATTTTATATTTTCTCTTTCTCTCTTCTGGGCTTTTCTTTTTGTAGGATGCTCATGTATAGCTTTGACTGCTTAGCAGGTATGATGAGGCTTATGACATTTCCACAGTTTACTACCATCCAATCTCCTAGGCTAAGTTCCTTCAGGAAATGATGGATCATCCAGTTATTGAATCTTACAGCTGGAAAGGATGTTGAGGAATCATTTGGTTCCTCCTTCTCCTCAAGGAAGGACTTGGGTTTCTGTTCCATTATAAGTGGGAGGGAAGAGAGGACTGTATGATTTCCGATCTCAACATCATCTCAGTGGACACCTTTCCTTTCAAATGTGTGTCCAATAGTCCTTAAGATAAGTCATCATGATTTTGGACAAGATGGGTTATAGAAGTGACAGGGATGGCTGGGCATGGTGGCTTATGCCTGTAATCCCAGCACTTTGGGAGGCCGATGCGGGTGGATCATCTGAGGTCAGGAGTTTGAGACCAGCCTGACCTATATGATGAAATCCCGTCTCTACTAAAAATATAAAAATTAGCCGGGCCTGGTGGCATGCATCTGTGATCCCAGCTACTTGGGAGGCTGAGATAGGAGAATTGCTTGAACCCGGGAGGCAGAGGTTGCAGTGAGCCTAGATTGTGCCATTGCACTCCAGCCTGGGCAACAAGAGCGAAACTACGTCTCAAAAAAAAAAAAGAAAGAAAGAAGAAGTGACAGGGATTAAAGTTTAAGGTAACAAAATAGATAGTTCTTTTCAGGTCAAAGAAAGTGCAAATGCCCCATCACCAGCATTACTCTAACATCCTGCAGATCTTTTTAATGATTATGGTGTAGCTATGACTAAAATGTCTGAAGAACACAGTGAGGTATTTAGCTGCCTATCCCTTTTCATCGTCTGGTTCCCTGCTCTCTTGCATTATTACCATTTTAATAGTCATCATAATGATGAAATGCTAGGCTGTTACGGCACCCATACTGCTGTGATTCAAGTAGAAATTGGCATTTGACCCTATCTCCCCAAAGCCTGTCAAGATAGGGGTTCCTCCCTACTATCTAAGGAAGATGTATTGATCACTTTTTAAAAACAGCATTCTTCCCCACCCCCGAATCAATTTGTCTGTGTACTTTTCCTATTCTCTACTCCCTCCAATATAAATAGATAAACTGTTGCATGAGCCCCACAAGGGAGACGTCTTAGCAGTTTGGAGAGTGGCTGATGCTGTGTCACACACTAAGAAGCAACTGTTGTCAGACATCTTTAATCCTTAAGCAAGTTTGTTGTGCTTATTCCGAAGAATAGTACAACCTGGAAAACTGCCTGGAGAGATGCAAATGATATTTGCATTCACTGTAGAAAGTAATTTATTCAAACAGGTGCTGTGCCAGATACTAGAGATAGGGCATGGTCCTTGCCTTTATGGTGCTAATTTTCTGCTGGAGGAGCAGAAAAATAAAGCAAATGAATAGATAATACAATGAAAAATGATATGAAGGAAGCAAGTAAGATGAAATAGGCGATCACAGGAGTGACTTACTTTTGATAGGTTGGTGGAGACGGTCTCCCTGGGGAGGTGATGTTTCTGTTGAGACTCGGATGGGATGGGACCTGTTGGATGAGGAGAAAGGCAACCACATCTCCATGCATGTAGATGACATAGGTAAAGGCCCGAAGCAGCAAAGATCTTGGCTTTTTTTTTTTTTTTTGGAATTGGAGGAAAGCAAAATAATGAGGCTGGAGCTTAATGAGCAAGGAAGAGAGTGGAGCAAATCAAGCTGGGATTGAACAGGTAGGTGGGGGTCAGATCCAGCAGGACCTTAGGGGTAACTATTGGAGTTTATGTTGCAGTTTGAGGGTGATAGACATTTTAGGGTTTTACATGATCTCATTTACCTTTCTTCTTCTTCTGTTTTAGAGGTGGGGTCTCACTAGGTTGCCCAGGCTGCTCTCAAACTCCTGGGCTCAAGTGATCCTCCCACTTCAGCTTCCCCAAATGTTGGATTATGGGAATGAGCCACTGTGCCCAGCCTGATTTACCTTTTATGCTGATCAGTTTTATTGCCTTGAGAAGAATAAGTGTATTACCTTGAGAAGGGGTAAGGTTGGAAGGAAAGAGACCAATACGGGGCTGTGTATAACCAGGAAGAGGTGCTGGTGGCATATTTGAGGACGGTGGTGGCAAAGACGGAAAGAAGTGGATGAATCAAGAAATATTTTGGATGTTAAATGGGTGAATCTTAGTGATAGACTAGTTTTGTAGGATGGGAAAAAAAGGAAGAATCAGAGAGAATTTCCAGATTTCTCCATTCTTGAGCAGATAGGTTGTTGGCGGTACTCATATTTTCTTTTTTTAAAATTATATTTACCTGGCCAGGTCCAGTGGCTCTTGCTTGTAATCCCAGCATTTTGGGAGGCTGAGATAGGAAGATCTCTTAAAGCCAGGAGTTAGCAACATAGTGAGACTGAAACTCTACAAATTTTTTTAAAAAAATTAGCCAGGTATGGTGGTACGTGCCTGTAGTCTCAGCTACTTGAGAGGCTGAGGTGGGATAATCGCTTGAGCCCAGGAGTTTGAGGTTACAGTGAGCTACAATAGCACTATTGCACTCCAACTTGGGTGACAGAGCAAGACCCTGTCTCTTAAAAAATTATTTTTACCTATATATGTGTATATATATACACAAACATATTTAAAAATCAAACAGCACTAAAAAATGCACAATTGAACATATTAGTTCTTTCCCATTCAACAACTTTGCTGCCCAGAGGCAAATATCTTCAACTCCTTTAGCTCTGCTCTTGGTATTTATTTCTCAGTTTCTAAATAATCTGCTTACCTTGCTGTTTTCCTTAAATGCCTGTTGATCCTTGGCTGTTTATTTACAGGTAAGAGTGAGGCCCTACTGCATGACTCAAAGCTTTGTAGGCATGGCTCGGCCTTGCCACTGGTTACCAGGAGGCTTCTCAAGAGGAAAAGTGGCCACACAGCCATGTCTGAAGGTCACTTTTGCGGACACCCTCAGTTTCTCCAGTGACGAAACTGCCTGGGGGTTCTTGCCTGGGGACTGGTCCTATTTTTCTGGTAGCAGTGCTGGATATGCTTCCTACCATAGAGTGTACAGACTTTCTATGAATTACCCTCTTTTCAGCTCTGAGTCTCCCTCTCATCCTTCTCTATGTGTGGTGTCTGGAGCTGGAGCAGCAAGCTTTAATTTCCCTGAAGATCAAACCTCTAGTCTCCTGTCAGACTTACAGAAAGGTTCTGATGACATTTATTCTGCAAGTGGATGGGTGGGAAAAATCAAGATTTCTGGGTTTGACCATGTGATGAGATAGTCGTAAGTGGTGCAATGAAATACCTGGTTGGGTGTGAGGTTTGGGACTCTGAGAAGTTGTCTTTGGAGAGAGAAGCCTGGCATCACCAGCCCTGGAGGGTACCAAAGGCCATAGAAATAGATGCCATTAATCAGGAAGAGGGTGGACAAAGGTCGGGGGAGGGTGGCTGGCCCCAATTCTGAGGAGCTCCCGCAGTGGAGAGCGGACCTGCCTGTGGGCTGGGATGAAGGAGCAGGGGGAGGGAACCCCTTCTTTGAGGTGAGGGAAGGGAAAAAGCCCATGTCACCTTGTTTGAGAAAAAATGGTACCTGAGAACCCAAGTATCCATTGACAGAAGAGTAAATAAACAAAATGTGGTACATCCATACAATAGATAAATAATAAAGTTTAGCCCTAAAAAGGAAGAAAATTCTGACACATGTTAGCACATGGATGGGCTTGAAGGATATTATTTTAGTGAAAGAAGCCAGTCACAAAAGGACAAATATCATGAGATTCCACTTATACGAGGTACCTAATGTAGCCAAATTTATGGACACAGAAAGTAGAATGGTGGCTGCCATGGGGTGGGTGTGTGGAGAGTGAGGGGCTGGTTATGTATTGGGCACAGAGCTTCTGTTTTGGAAGATGAAGAGTTCTGGAGACGGGTGGTGGTGATGTACAATGTGAATGTACTTAGTGCCCTGAACTGTGCAAATGTTTTGAACTTCAAAATGGTTAAAATGATTTATTTCATGCTGTGTATATTTTATTACAAGAAAAAAGAAGGAAATGAGACAGATAAAATGAAACAGATTGAGATGGAAAAACCAACCAACCAAAACTGGTAGCTGAGAAAAGGCAACAGAGCCATGTAAACCTGCTTTGTTAATTTCATCCAGTCCTTCCCTCACCTGTTTTTGTATCGTGCTTAGGGAGGTGGTATGATTGTTGCAGGGAGTAAATGAAAGGAGAGAGTACAGAGAGCTAGAGAGAAAATTGGGGAAAGAGGAAAAATGTAGAGAGGGTAAAGGGGGTGAGCAGAGAGCAAAGAATAAAAGTAGAAGGAGGAGAAAAGAGACAGAGAAAGAGAAGCTTCCAGTAAAGGCAGGACAGCCAGGCTCAAGGACAAAGACAGGCCGGCCACTCGTTCTCTTGGGCTTGCACTACCCTCATGTGACAAGGACAAGGACGCAGGGTGTGGGTCCCACAGAGCTCTGTGCACCGCTGGAGAAGGCCCAAGTGAAGAAAATGGAAGCAGTGCTTCTGGGCCTGCAAGACCCTGATTCTGCAGATAAATGAGATGTCCTTTCACTCATGCAGTCACAGGTAATCTTGATGCCTCTTAGGTCATGCATCGCTGTGTAGAAAGAGTTTATGGAAAATATACAGTGTATTTCTGAACTCTGTCGCTGTATCGAACTCACAAGGAAAATGCATGAGAAACATAGATTTGCTGTGTTGCACGGAAGAGAATCTTAAGCAAGATCTATGATTTTTCCAAAACACTTATAACACAGTTTGTACTTGCTCGTTTAGAGAAATTAGGCAATAAATGTAGGCCAATGGGGAAAATGAAAATCTCCCCAGATTCCACTCTGTAGGGATAACAACTGTTAGCAAGTTGATGACCTTCAATTTCTATGTCCCTGCTTCCTGAATCTGGGCAGGCTGGTGACTGCTTCAACCAACGGAGCAGGCTGGAAGGGAGGCTCTGTGACTTCTGAGGCTAGCCATAAAAGGCAGATGCTGATCTGCCCTTCTCGTTGGAACCCTTGCTCTCAGAGCCCACCACGGAAGGGGTCTGACTGCTCTGAGGCTGCCATGCTGTGAGGATGCCCCTGCTCCGTGTCGAGGTCGCATGTAGGCACGTTGGTTAAAAACGCCAGCTGAGTTATCGCAGCCCGAGCCCAGACGTGCGAGTGAGGAAACCTTCAGATTTTTCCAGCCGCAAGCCATTGGAGTCACACACTGCCAATCACTTCCTCTCAGCTGGAGCTCCAGACATCAATGGGCAGAGATAAGCCATCCCTGCTGCGTCTTGTCCAAATTCCTGACCCACAGAATCTGTGAGCATGAGAAAATGTATGTGGTTTTATGCCACTAAGCTTCAGGGTGGTTCATTATAGTTACAGATAATGGGAACACCAGCACTTCAGTTCTCCTTCTCAGAGACAGCCACCCTTACCAGCTTCTTGTGTGTTCTATTAAGGAAGTTTATAAATGTACAATAACATATTTTCCCTTTACATATATATATATATATATATATATATATATATATATATATTTTTTTTTTTTTTTTTTTTTTTTTTTTTTTGAGACGGAGCCTTGCTCTGCCGCCCAGGCTGGAGTGCAGTGGCGCAATCTCCGCTCACTCCCTTTTAATATATTTTTAGAAGAATTGGCTGCATGACAAACACATTCTGGACTTTGACTTTTGTTTTATTTAACAATGTATCTTGAAGATTGTTCTTCATCTATACGTATAGAACCTCTTCATTTTTTATAGCTGCATAATTATTATTATAATTTAAGTAACAAGCCCTATATTCACAGAAACTTAGATTATTGTCAGCCCTTTAATTGTATACACAGGTTGTGATTGCTGGGGTGGCATCTGTAATTTTGGTGACATTGACAAGTTGCTCTCCATGGAAGTTATTTCGGTTTTCTCTTCTAACAAAAATGCCTGAGAGTATCCGTTTCTCCACAAATACAGTATTTTGTTTTAAATCTCTATCAGACAAATTTATAGGAATGCTATATTCCTATAGTTTTAATTATTTTGTTATTATTTTATTATTTATTTTGAGTGAGGTTGAAAATCTTTTCATGTGATGAACAGCCATCTGCATTTCTTTTTTGATGAACACATAAGTTTAAATAGTTAATCCATCTTGAGTTAATTTTTTGCATATGATGAAAGGTAAGGGTCCAGTTTCATTCTTCTGCATATGGCTAGCCAGCTATCCCAGCACCATTTATTGAACAGGGAGCCCTTTCCCCATTGCTTATTTTTTGTTGACTTTCTCAAAAATCAGATGGCTACAGGTGTGCAGCTTTATTTCTGGATCCTTTATTCTTTTTTATTGGCCTATATGTCTATTTTTGTACCAGTACTATGCTGTTTTGGTTACTGTAGCCTTATAGTATAGTTTGAAGTTTAGTAAAGTGATTGCCTCCAGCTTTGTTCTTTTTTCTTAGGATTGCTTTGTCTACTCAGGCTCTTTATTTGTTCCATATGAATTTTAGAATAGTTTTTCTAATTCTGTGAAAAATGACATTGGTATGCTCGCTTCGGCAGCACATATACAAAAAAATGACATGGTAGTTTGGGAATGACATTGAACCTGAAGACTGCTTTGGGAAGTATAACTATTTTAATGATACTGATTCTTCCAATCCATGAGCATGTATTGTTCCATTTGTTTGTGTCATCTATGATTTCTTTCAGCAGTGTTTTGTAGTTCTCATTGTAGAGATCTTTCACCTTCTTGGTTAAATGTATCCCTAGGTATTTTATTTTTTTGAGTGTGTGGCTATTGTAAATGGGATTGCATTCTTGATTTGGCTCTCAGCGAAAATGTTTTTAGTGTATAAAAATGCTACTGATTTTCATGCATTGATTTTGTATCCTGAAACTTTACGGAAGTCGTTTATCAGTTCCAGGAGTCTTTTGGCAGAGTCTTTAGAATTTTCTAGGTATAGAGTTATATCATCAGCAAAGAGAGATAAATTGACTTCTTCTTTTCCTATTTGGATGCCTTTTATATCTTTCTGTTACCTGATTGCTCTGTTAGGACTTCCTGATGAACACTGTTTCTATCCCTTGCCCATTTTCCTGCTGGACTGTGGTCTTTTACTTTATATTTGGTGAGCTCTTTATATAGTAAAAATATTAGCTCTGGACTATAATGTAAATGAAAAAGATCTTATATTAGTTTTTTTTTTCTTTTTGGAATCCTTTTTATTTTCAAAGAATTAAAAAATTTTTCATGTTGTCAAATTGCTCAATCTTTTCCTTTAGGGTTTCTGAATTTTATGGCATTCATGGTGTGTCAGGTAGGATTCCAAGAATCACACAACTGCAAGAAACTAAAACTCTAAACACAGTGGCTTAAGTAAATAGGATTTTATTTTTAAAATTTCATAGTGAGAATTCCAGGAATAGGTGGTTGATAGCACTGGTTCAGCTGTTCAACAATGTCAGGGCTAATATCTTTTATTCTACTCTCTTGGCCTCTCTTATCTGATCCCTAGGTGATTTCTACAGAACTAACCTTTCAAAGGAGATGGGACACCAGCATGTCTATCCATCTTTATTGAGAAAGCAAGGATTTTCCCATCAGATTTCCAGTTATGTCTTATTGACCCAAACCAAGCCACACAGACACTGTAGCTGCAAGGGAGTGTGGGAAAGTGGAGAACATGACAGCCAGTATGACCCATCCTTTGGGGTTAGGCTTATTCTCACCCTGAACAGAATTGGGGTTCTGTTTCTCTGGAAAGAAGAGGAAAGTGGACAACTGGTATAATGAACAGACCACTCACAGTGTCTGGGACACTAGAAAGGGTTTTCCCCACTACAAGATTCATAAAAACAATTTTCCATGTTTTCTTCTAATATTTTTATGGTTAATTTTTCACATTTAAATCTTTGATGCACTTGGATTTTATTTTATTATTTAAGAATACAAATCCAACTTTTTCCTGAGATGAAGACCCAGTTGTCTAACACTGTTTATTGAGTGATCCATCTTGTCTGCACTGATTTAAAATTCCACCTTTATCTTAAAAAAACTCCTGTATGAATTAAGAAATTTTCTTGATTTTCTAGTCTATTCTGTTGACATCTTTATGAATGAGTGCCACACTGTTTTAATTAGCTAAATTTTAGTAGAATAGACTTCTTTCACTATCTTCCCCCCAGAATTCTCCTGGCAATTCTTGCATATTTATTTTTCAAATGAATTTTAGGATAATTTTGTGTAGTTCCAAATAATATTTAATATTTTATGAGGATGACATACATTTTAGATTAATTTAGGAACTATTAATGTCTTTATGATGTTGATCCTTCCTATCTGGGAACACATACTATTTTTCATATGCTAAAGATATTTTTTTTTTTTGGAGGGGTGGACCTTTAGTAGCATTTTACAATTCTCTTGTATGTATTTTTTCAGTTACTGTTAGGTGCTTTATCTTTTGTTACTATTGTAATTGGGATCTTTCCTTTCATTATAAATTCTAAGCAGATGTTATTTGTATACACAAATACTTGATTTTTGAATATTAATTTTGTACCTAGGCACCTTCAATTTCTTATTATTTATACATTTTCTAATGAATTTTTAGTATCACCAAGGGTTATACTTCTAATTTTTTCTTCCTATCTACTTGATTAGAATAATGCTTCCAAAATCATATTAAACAGAGTTAGAAATAGTGATAGTTGATGGCCTTGTTTTATTTAAGAATTTAACAGAGAAAATATATATGTTTTTGTTTTATATACAGGCAATATTGTTTCTACGTATATTCATATGTAACATTGTCAAGAAAGTATTCATCTATTCCTATGATGTTAAGAGGTTTTGACCTTTTTGAGCTTTTGAGCTTTTTTTTTTTTTTTTTTGAGGCGGAGTCCTGCTCTGTTGCCCAGGCTGGAGTGCAGTGGCGCAATCTCGGCTTACTGCAATCTCCGCCTCTCAGGTTCAAGCGATTGTCCTGCCCCAGCCTCCCAAGTAGCTGGGATTACAGGCCTGCGCCACCACGCCTGGCTAGTTTTTGTGTTTTTAGTAGAGATGGGGTTTCACCATGATGGTCAGGCTGGTTTTGAACTCCTGACCTCAAGTAATCCGCCCACCTCGGCCTCCCAAAGTGCTGGCATTACAGGCATGAGCGAAGTCTTATTTTGAAAAATGAAATTAAGATATAAGTCCCTGCATTTTAGACTCATTGGCCAGATGGGAGAGAATCCAAGCAGTACAGAGGAGAGGTGAGTGAGAAAAAGAAATCTTATGTAGAGAATGGTATGATTATTAAGTTGGTAAAAGGGGGAACGTTTTCAGAATGGAGCATATTGCAGTGAAACACATTTTTGTTTGCTTGTAAATGGGATCCATTTCCGTATTGCCCAGGTAATTATCAAACAGAATTGCTGCTCATAATTGGGAGTGAAGCTCAACATGATATATTTTGAAATGACCTCCTATTCTGCCACATGCCTGTACTGCTCAGCTCTTCCTGGAAGGAAATACATTTTTAAAAAGTAGTGTTTCCATTCATGTTTGCTTTCTTGTCAGCATCTTTCAAATCTGCAGATCCTTTTGTAAACCCTCCTTTCTGATTTGAAAAATAATGAAACTCTCGATTTGGAGTTAATGAAGAAGAATGTAGAAAACAGAGAGGAAAAAGTAGTGTTTTTGCTTGTGGGGAAGGTTAATGTGGGCACAATAATGCTGACTGAAGACCAAGGCATCTTTTGATGGTTTTAATTACAGAATCCGTTTGTACTATGATTACTTTAGTATTTGGAAAGAGGTTGACTTCATGCTAACTAACCACCCCCCATCCCTGGGTCAGGTGTGCTTTGGAGCTCAGGAGGCTGACACTGGTTTCTATGTTAGTTTCTGCTTCCTGGAATGAGCTTCTAATGGACTTGAAACAAACAGCAGCAGCAAAGAATGAATGACTGAACAAGGTTGAATGACTCTGCACAGGTGAAATTGATGGCAGAGGAAGACCCCAGAGAATTAGAGTTGATAAGGATCCCACATGCTTTACTGTAGCACAAGCTCTCCAGGGAGTTCAAAGGATGTTACAGTATGATCTGATTACCTCTCCCAGTGACTCTGGACTCTGGGTAATAAGTAGAAAGGAAGCTCTCATCTTTGGTAGTTAAGTGCTGGAAGTGAAACAATAAGAGCCCTGTTCTTCTAGCATTCCCCAGACACTGCACAATGGAAACCCCAGTCTTCTCTGGATCCTCTCTCCAGGTGAGGTGACACTGGCCAGGACTCCTTTTGCCCTCCTTTTAGTTGAGTCAGCTTCGGTTTCCCCCTTGTGTAGGAGAAAGTGAATCCCACACTCTTTTTAATCACAGTCAACAATACTGGCTTTGTGGATTCCGTTGTCCCTCCAGTGCCTGCTCTTGATGAAAGGTGAAAAGTGATAACATAGAAACTGGACTCATTGAAGTGGGCTTGGCTACAAATCAATGACCCAGGCAAATAAGTCTTATCAACTTTCATTAGATCAATTCTAAGCCCTCAACTGTGTAATTTTTCCCAAGCTACAGTCCTTCCCAGATTTCGAGATGCAAAGATGCATTGAAAAGTAACCTGCAGGTGTCTGGGTGGGGGATTTGAGGGGGAATGTGTCACTGATAGATGCAGGTTTGGGTGATGGTTAAGAGTGACATGTATTAAATAGTTTTAGAAGTTCAGAGGGAGCTCAAGTTGCTTATTTTTTTAAAAGTGAACTGGGGGGAAAACTGAAAGGAAGGGGAAAATTTCCCAGAAGCTGAATTTTTGAAGAGTGATGCATTTAATATTTAGCTGCTAATTACTGTTGACATTATTATAGTTGTATCAGAATAGTGCCTCACAACTTGACGTAAGGCTCTTGGGTATCATGGCTGCCTGGATTATGCCTCTGAATCTAGAACTTTTGAGGATAATTCATTCCACAGAAGAGACAAAAAATTCTCCTCAGGAACTCTTAGATCAGCTATCTTAAACTTAACTGTAAAATAAGGTTCCCCTGGAAACCTAGACTGATTCCCACTTAATTACATGGTATGAAGGAGAGAGGCTTGGAGGAACTGAAGGGGTGAGAACAAAAGGAATAGGTTATAGAAATAGTAAAACCACTAAAAGATAATACAATCTGGGGTCATTTTATGTGATGGCAAAGAATAATACACATTTCTCAGTCATTAAAAATTAAGATACATAAATATATGTTTCATAAGCCAAGGAATTATACCAGTGGCAAAGTTTCTATCCAAAAATGTTTTAATTAATTTTAAAAAGTCATTCAGCCAAGACAATATTGAAGGAAAAGAACAAAGTTAGAGGTCTGACACTGTCCAACCTCAAGACTTAATATAAAGCTATAGTAATCAAGACAGTGTGGTATCAGTGAAAGAACAGACAAATAGATCAGTGGAATAGACTAGAGAGCCCCAAAATAGACCTACACAGAAATACACAACTGATCTTTGACAAAACAACACAGGCAATACAGTAGAAAAAGAATAGTCTTTTCAGCAATTGACACCAGAACAACTGGAATCCACATGCAAAAAGTTGAACTTTGACATAGACCTTATACCCTCATCAAAAACTAATCAAAATGGATCACAGACCTCAGTGTAAAATTCAAAGATATAAAACTCTCAGAATATAACATAGGAGAATGTCTAGATGACTTTGGGTTAGTTGATGACATTATTATTTAAAAAATTTTAAAAGATTCTTTTTTGAGGGACCCGGGCACTAGCACGCAGCAGCACTGTCTGGAAGCACAACACCCCTCAGTGATGACTTTTTAGATAAAACGCTAAAGGCACTATTCATGAAAAAAATGGATAAGCTAAACTTCATTAAAATTAAAACCTTCTGCTTGGTAAAAGATAATGTTAAGAGAATCTGACAAGCCACAGACTGGGAGAAATGTGTGTAAAATACACATCTGATAAAGAACAGTTACCCAAAACATGCGAAGAACTCTTAAAACTCAACAATAAGAAAACAAACACCACAATTTAAAAATGGGCAAAAACTTGGACACCTCACCAAAGAAGATGCATAGTTGGCATAAAAGCATACAAAAAGATAGTCCACATCATATGTCACGAGGGAAATGCAAATCAAAGCAACGAGATACCACTACATACTTATTAGAATGACCAAAATCCAGAACACTGACAACACCAAATACTGGTGAGGATGTGGAGCATCAGGAATTCTCGTTCACTGCCGGTGGGAATGCAAAATGGTTCAGCCACTTTGGAAGATAGTTTGGTGGTTTCACACAAAAGTAAACATACTCTTACCATAAGATCCAGCAATTGCACTCCTTGGAATGTACTCAAAAGAGCTGAAAACTTATGTCTACACAAAAACCTGTGCACAGATGTTTATAGCAACTTTATTCAGAATTGCAAAAACTTGAAAGCAGCCAAGATGACCTCCAGTTAGTGAATGGATAAACTGGTACATCCAGGCAAGGGAATATTATGAAATGAGCTATCAAACCATGAAAAGACATGAAGGAAACTGAAATGCTTATTACTAACTGAAAGAAGCCAATATTAAAAGGCTACTTGTTGTATGATTCCAGCTGTATGCCATTCTGGAAAAGGTAAACTATAGAGGCAGTAAAAAGATCAGTGGTTGCCAGGGATTAGGGGGAAGGAGGCATGAATAGGTGGAGCGCAAGATTGTTAGGCCAGTGAAACTATTCTATATGATACTACATTGGCTGATGCATGCCATTATACATTTGTCAGAACTCACAGAGTGTACAATACCAAGAGTGAACCCTAATGTAAATGATAGACTTTAGGTGATAATGATGTATCAATATAGGTTCATTAATTGTAACAAGCACCACTCTGGTAGGGAGAGCTGACAGTAGGGGAGGCTGTGCGTGTGTGGGGTCAGGGGAGTATGTTGGAAGTCTCTGTACCTTCTTCCCAATTATTCTGTGAATCTAAATTGCTGTAAAAATAATTCTATTAACCTCCCTGTTAACTGATAATTTCAGTTTTCTGAATTTTATGTACATTTCATGTCATCAATGTACATGACAAATGAATTATTTCTTTATAAAACACAATTTTACATTCTAAAAATATTGAGTTCTGAAAATATTGAAAATAGGATACATTTGGGGATTTTGCTAAACATTCTAGTTTGGGTTTCACTAAGGCTACAGAAGTCCACTAAGAGAACCTTATGAATATAAGTTAGGAAAGAGCAAGTATTTTCTCCTGGATTTATTTTTTTAATTTGATCTGGGGAATATGTGTCTTCCTTTTTAGAAGAAAGAAGCACATTTTCGGACCCTCTGCTTCCTGGATTCTCACCCTGGTACAGATTTATATTAGGTAAAGGTGAGAATGGGCTGGCTGCCCAGAGAGCTAAGCATTTTTTTTTTTTTGAGACAGAGTCTCACTCTGTCGCCCAGGCTGGAGTGCAGTGTCACAGTCTCGGCTCACTGCAACCTCTGATTCGTGAGTTCAAGCAATTCTCCTACCTCAGCCACCCGAGTAGCTGGGATTACAGGCATGTGCCACCACGCCTGGCTAATTTTCTTTTTTTTTTTTTTTTTTTTTTTTTTTTGAGATAGAGTCTCGCTCTGTCGCCCAGGCTGGAGTGCAGTGGCACGATCTCGGCTCAGTGCAAGCTCTGCCTCCCGGGTTCACGCCATTCTCCTGCCTCAGCCTCCCGAGTAGCTGGGACTGCAGGTGCCCGCCACCACGCCTGGCTAATTTTTTGTATTTTTAGTAGAGACGGGATTTCACCATGTTGTCCAGCTTGTCTTTAACTCCTGACCTCATGATCCGCCCGCCTCGGCCTCCCAAAGTGCTAGGATTACAGGTGTGAGCCACCGCGCCCAGCTGAGAGCTTTTTATTAGCGATTGGTGTGAAGGATCAAAGCCCTCTCATGAGTATTGCAACATGAAGATGTTACTGAAATGAACGTCCTAGGGGCTGCATTTAGGTACAGTGCATTCTACCTTTTATATTTCCTGGGGAATGTCACGCTTAAGGACTTGGGTAGAATCTGAGCTGAGTCTACGTGTAGTTGGGGCTAAGAACGTTGGCTCATTGGCAAGAGTTGAGCTTGGCAGAGGCTGGAGGTCACCTCAGAGGAAGACTGTGGTCATAAGGACTCATACTCTGGAAGCCAGTAGAGGAGCAAGGTAGAATCTGAAGGAAGATTCCAGTAGGTGACATAATTAAAGCTGTAGGTGGGTTTCAGAACTAGAGACTGGTCCTAGTATGCACAGGTGTTGCCTTTACAAAACTGGACAGATCACTACCACTTGAGCTGGATTTCATCATAACATTTGCATCTGGTACTCTATCTCTGTTTCTAAGGGGAGGAAAAGGAGATATTTTATAACAGGGAGGAGTAAGGATGGCTGTGAGGATATAGGGTCTACTTAGGTAGCAGGGCTGATGAACAATTTTAGTCATTGCTGAACTAGTTTATCTAATGAGTGGCTGGACAACTGGACTGGATGGGGTACAACCAAGAAGAGGTCAAAATTATTTAGAATGCATTGTCAACTCTTTCTTTTTCTCAGTGAATCTTGCCAGTGGAAAGATCGACTTACATGGATCAAGGAAGGACAAAAGTGCCCTTTAAAAGCAATATGTTTACATTTGATCTATTCAGCCTGTTGAATATGAATTAAATCATTAACAGAAAGTCTTGGGTCTAACAGGATCTCTTTATCTGGGGGGTCTGATTTTGGTTTTTCATGTCCTCAAGTTATTGGCTGTTCTCTTCCTCCAACCAGACAGACCTGCCTTAGAAATAGGACCACAGAAGTCATCTGCGGTGATGTGGAAGAGCCCAAATCGTTAAGAACTCTACCCCCTACTTAATTAAGTCCCCCAGGCCACCAGGTGTGACTCTTGGCTGTTGATTTATGCATAGCTCAGATCCCAGGTTGCCATTCCCCGTCTAGACTTGGTGATTCAGATGATCAGATTAGCCTTACATCCTGGGTTCATTTCTCCAGAGCTCCCACAGGGACAGTTAAGTCTTGATCCTCTTCCCTGAGGGTCTTTCCCAGTGGCAAGGACAGTAAAGCATGGATGTCCTGAGTCAATCACAGTCCTGCCTTCCTGGAGCTTAAGATATTTGTTTTGGGATAGGAAGCAGGCAAGGAGTACGTTAATAATTAGGCATCATATCAGAATCCAAATAACTGTCATGGAGAACCAGTATCCATAGAAATAAGCAGTCAGTCATCCAGTCAAGCACTTGTTATCAGAGCTAATTTTGGGCTAGTTGTGGTTTGAAATTTAGTATCTAGGAATGTTAAAAAAAAAAAAAAAAAAAGGGATGGGTGCAGTGGCTCACACCTGTAATCCTAGCATTTTGGGAGACAAGGGTGGGAGGAGCACTTGAGCCCAGGAGTTTGAGACCAGTCTGCACAACATAGGGAGATCTTGTCTCTACAAATAATAGAAAAAAATAGCCAGGCATGGTGGCATGTGACTGTAGTCCCAGCTGCTCAGGAGGCTGAGGTGGGATCATTGCCTGAGCATGGGAGATTGAGACTGCAGTGAACCGTGATTGTGATCATTCCACTGCACTCCAGCCTGGGTGACAGAGTGACACCCTGTCTTAAAAAAAAAGAAGAAGATAGTCTTCCCTCTTTATGGCTGGAGTGCCCCACAGTGGAAAGAGCTATAGGAAAAAAACTGAGCAAAAGCTTCCTGTGATGTGATATACATCCTACCCAGTGATGGATCTATGATGAATGTCTTAGCCATGTCATATACTCCAAATCACTCTGTTACTTCCCCCTCTACTACAGAATTGAAAGTGGGAAACTAGGCATTGGGAGTTCACAAAGGCATCAATATGCTTTATTTAGTTGTGAAATAGACAAACAGAACTCTTTTTTTTTGAGATGGAGTCTCACTCTGTTGCCCAGGCTGGAGTGCAGTGGCGTGATCTCCACTCACTGCAAGCTCCACCTTCTGGGTTCATGCCATTCTCCTGCCTCAGCCTCCCGAGTGGCTGGGACTACAGGCACCCACCACCACGCCTGGCTAATTTTTTTGTATTTTTTTGGTAGAGATGGGGTTTCACTGTGTTAGCCAGGATGGTCTCGATCTCCTGACCTCGTGATCCGCCCTCCTCGGCCTCCCAAAATGCTGGGATTACAGGCGTGAGCCACCACACCGGGCCAGAACTCCTCTTTTTGAGTATGGAAATCTGGTTCTGCTTTTGCAGGCCACCTTTCTGACTGAATTATGCACTCCTATGATATCAAGTGTTAGATGGCTTGGGTATGGATTTAATGATACTCACTTGGATGGACCAAGGAATGACCTTGAAGATATGTTTTTTAAAAGTAATATGTTTACATTTAATAGGTTCAATGAATGAATATTTGTTGAGTCATCAAAGAGGGCTGAGGTTTAATGAGATGCTTTTATTTTGTTGGATATAAGCAGCTGAGACTTGTAAAAGAAAGAGATGGTTTTTATGATAGAAAAAGGACTGTCAAAGGCAATTCGAACTATCTGGGAACAAATAAAATTAAGCCTTTAACAGATACTTGCCCCTCAAAGTATGTTTTGGAATCTGGTTGATGGATTACTCTGTATGTAAGTCATTAAAATTTTATATTGAAGGCATTATTTTCTATCATACCTCTCTGCTCCTGAAAGGCCAGCAATCCCAGAACATAGAGCAACATCTTTCATTCTACAAACAGAAAAAAAATGACTTAGATCCTGCTACTTCCCAAGTGCTGTACTACACATCTACCATGTATTATTTTATTTTGTCATTATATAACAGCTGAAGGAATTATATATTGCCACTGTTTTAAGAGAGATTACACAGCTAGTAAATGGCCAACCCTGACCCCAAAGCCTTTCCCCAGAGGGAAAGGTAATAGGACCATTTAAGGTGAAGTTGTGGGCAGAGGGTAGGGAGAGGAGCAGACTAGGTTCTAAAGGCAAAATTTACCTATCCACGAATTTGCATAGGGCCAGTTCTCTTCTGCAATATACAATCTGAAATCTAGTGTTTCCAGGACCTAAGTGCAATCTATTAAAAGCTTGTTTGCATCTCAGTCAGGTACACATTTTCCAGTGAAAAACATTATGAAAGCATATTCCAGTATGAAAAGCGACAATGAATTGTTACACCAGTTTTCCAAGGTGCTTTGGGCTATTTCATAATAATTCCCAGGGCCTATGTAAATATTACTATTTGTTGGATTTGGAATTTTTATATCTATTTGATGAGCGAGATTGTCTCATAATTTTCCATTTCTTTTTGTATTATCCTCATGTGGTTTTGGCAACAAGGTTAGCCTTGTAAATGAGTAAGGAAAGTGTTACTTCTTTTTCTACTATATGGACATTTTTTAAAATTTTATTATTATTATACTTTAAGTTTTAGGGTACATGTGCACAACGTGCAGGTTTGTTACATATGTATACATGTGCCATGTTGGTGTGCTGCACCCATTAACTCGTCATTTACATTAAGTATATCTCCTAATGCTATCCCTCCCCTCTCCCCCTACCCCACAACAGTCCCCAGTGTGTGATGTTCCCCTTCCTGTGTCCATGTGTTCTCACTGTTCAATTCCCACCTATGAGTGAGAACATGCGGTGTTTGCTGTTTTGTCCTTGCAATAGTTTGCTGAGAATGATGGTTTCCAGTTTCATCCATGTCCCTATAGAGGACATGAATTCATCATTTTTTATGGCTTCATAGTATTCCATGGTGTATATGTGCCACATTTTCTTAATCCAGTCTATCGTTGTTGGACATTTGGGTTGGTTCCAAGTCTTTGCTGTTGTGAATAGTGCTGCTATAAACATACGTGTGTATGTGTCTTTATAGCAGCATGATTTATAATCCTTTGGGTATATACCCAGTGATGGGATGGCTGGGTCAAATGGTATTTCTAGTTCTAGATCCCTGAGGAATCTCCACACTGACTTCCACAGTGGTTGAACTAGTTTACAGTCCCACCAACAGTGTAAAAGTATTCCTATTTCTCCACATCCTCTCCAGCACCTGTTGTTTCCTGACTTTTTAATGATCACCATTCTAACTGGTGTGAGATGGTATCTCATTGTGGTTTTGATTTTTCATTTCTCTGATGGCCAGTGATGATGAGCATTTTTTCATGTGTTTTTTGGCTGCATAAATGTTTTCTTTTGAGAAGTGTCTGTTCATATCCTTCGCCCACTTGTTGATGGGGTTGTTTGTTTTTTTCTTGTAAATTTGTTTGAGTTCATTGTAGATTCTGGATATTAGCCCTTTGTCAGATGAGTAGATTGCAAAAATTTTCTCCCACTCTGTAGGTTGCCTGTTCACTCTGATGGTAGTTTCTTTTGCTGTGCAGAAGCTCTTGAGTTTAATTAGATCCCATTTGTCAATTTTGGCTTTTGTTGCCATTGCTTTTGGTGTTTTAGACATGAAGTCCTTGCCCATGCCTATGTCCTGAATGGTAATGCCTAGGTTTTCTTCTAGGGTTTTTATGGTTTTAGGTCTAACATTTAAGTCTTTAATGCATCTTGAATTAATTTTTGTATAAGGTGTAAGGAAGGGATCCAGTTTCAGCCTTCTACATATGGCTAGCCAGTTTTCCCAGCACCATTTATTAAATAGGGAATCCTTTCCCCATTGCTTGTTTTTCTCAGGTTTTTCAAAGATCAGATAGTTGTAGATAAGCGGCATTATTTCTGAAGGCTCTGTTCTGTTCCATTGGTCTATATCTCTGTTTTGGTACCAGTACCATGCTGTTTTGGTTACTGTAGCCTTGTAGTATAGTTTGAAGTCAGGTAGCGTGATGCCTCCAGCTTTGTTCTTTTGGCTTAGGATTGACTTGGCAATGTGGGCTCTTTTTTGGTTCCATATGAACTTTAAAGTAGTATTTTCCAATTCTGTGAAGAAAGTCATTGGTAGCTTGATAGGGATGGCATTGAATCTATAAATTACCTTGGGCAGTATGGCCATTTTCATGATATTGATTCTTCCTACTCATGAGCATGGAATGTTCTTCCATTTGTTTGTATCCTCTTCTATTTCATTGAGCAGTGGTTTGTAGTTCTCTTTGAAGAGGTCCTTCACATCCCTTGTAAGTTGGATTCCTAGGTATTTTATTCTCTTTGAAGCAATTGTGAATGGGAGTTCACTCATGATTTGGCTCTCTGTTTGTCTGTTATTGGTGTATAAGAATGCTTGTGATTTTTGTACATTGATTTTGTATCCTGAGACTTTGCTGAAGTTGTTTATCAGCTTGAGGAGATTTTGGGCTGAGATGATGGGGTTTTCTAGATATACAATCATGTCATCTGCAAACAGGGACAATTTGACTTCCTCTTTTCCTAATTGAATACCCTTTATTTCCTTCTCCTGCCTGATTACCCTGGCCAGAACTTCCAACACTATGTTGAATAGGAGTGGTGAGAGAGGGCATCCCTGTCTTGTGCCAGTTGTCAAAGGGAATGCTTCCAGTTTTTGCCCATTCAGTATGATATTGGCTGTGGGTTTGTCATAGATAGCTCCTATGATTTTGAGATACGTCCCATCAATACCTAATTTATTGAGAGTTTTTAGCATGAAGGTTGTTGAATTTTGTCAAAGGCCTTTTCTGCATCTATTGAGATAATCATGTGGTTTTTGTCTTTGGTTCTGTTTATATGTTGGATTACATTTATTGATTTGTATATGTTGAACCAGCCTTGCATCCCAGGGATGAAGCCCACTTGATTGTGGTGGATAGGCTTTTCAATGTGCTGCTGGATTCGGTTTGCCAGTATTTTATTGAGGATTTTTGCATCGATGTTCATCAAGAATATAGGTCTAAAATTCTCTTTTTTGGTTGTGTCTCTGCCTGGCTCTGGTATCAGGATGATGCTGGCCTCATAAAATGAGTTAGGGAGGATTCCCTCTTTTTCTATTGATTGGAATAGTTTCAGAAGGAATGGTACCAGCTCCTCTTTGTACCTCTGGTAGAATTCGGCTGTGAATCCATCTGGTGCTGGACTTTTTTTGGTTGGTAAGCTATTGATTATTGCCTCAATTTTGGAGCCTGTTCTTGGTCTATTCAGAGATTCAACTTCTTCCTGGTTTAGTCTTGGAAGGATGTATGTGTTGAGGAATTTATCCATTTCTTCTAGATTTTCTAGTTTATTTGCATAGAGGTGTTTATAGTATTCTCTGATGGTAGTTTGTATTTCTGTGGGATCGGTGGTGATATCCCCTTTATCATTTTTTATTGCATCTATTTGATTCTTCTCTCTTTTCTTCTTTATTAGTCTTGGTAGCGCTCTATCAATTTTGTTGATCTTTTCGAAAAAACCAGCTCCCGGATTGATTAATTCTTTGAAGGGTTTTTTATGTCTCTATGTCCTTCAGTTCTGCTCTGATCTTAGTTATTTCTTGCCTTCTGCTAGCTTTTGAATGTGTTTGCTCTTGCTTTTCTAGTTCTTTTAATTGTGATGTTAGGGTGTCAATTTTAGATCTTTCCTGCTTTCTCTTGTGGGCATTTAGTGCTATAAATTTCCCTCTACACACTGCTTTGAATGTGTCCTAGAGATTCTGGTATGTTGTGTCTTTGTTCTCATTGTTTCAAAGAACAGCTTTATTTCTGCCTTCATTTCATTATTTACCCAGTAGTCATTTAGGAGCAGGTTGTTCAGTTTCCATGTAGTTGAGTGGTTTTGAGTGAGTTTCTTAATCCTGAGTTCTAGTTTGATTGCACTGTGGTCTGAGAGATAGTTTGTTATAATTTCTATTCTTTTACATTTGCTGAGGAGTGCTTTACTTCCAACTGTGTGGTCAGTTTTGGAGTAGGTGTGGTGTGGTGCTGAAAGCAATGTATATTCTGTTGATTTGGGGTGGAGAGTTCTGTAGATGTCTGTTAGGTCCACTTGGTGCAGAGCTGAGTTCAATTCCTGGGTATCCTTTTTAACTTTGTGTCTCGTTGATCTGTCTAATGTTGACAGTGGGGTGTTAAAGTCTCCCATTATTATTGTGTGGGAGTCTAAGTCTCTTTGTAGGTCACTAAGGACTTTCTTTATGAATCTGGGTGCTCCTGTATTGGGTGCATATATATTTAGGATAGTTAGCTCTTCTTGTTGAATTGATCCCTTTACCATTATGTAATGGCCTTCTTTGTCTCTTTTGATCTTTGTTGGTTTAAAGTCTGTTTTATCAGAGACTAGGATTGCAAACCCTGCCTTTTTTTGTTTTCCATTTGCTTGGTAGATCTTCCTCCATCCCTTTATTTTGAGCCTATGTGTGTCTCTGCATGTGAGATGGGTTTCCTGAATACAGCACACTGATGGGTCTTGACTCTTTATCCAATTCGCCAGTCTGTATCTTTTAATTGGAGCATTTAGCCCATTTACATTTAAAGTTAATATTGTTATGTGTGAATTTGATCCTGTCATTATGATGTTAGCTGGTTATTTTGCTCGTTAGTTGATGCAGTTTCTTCTTAGCCTTGACGGTCTTTACAATTTGGCATGTTTTTGCAGTGGCTGGTACTGGTTGTTCCTTTCCATGTTTAGTGCTTCCTTCAGGAGCTCTTTTAGGGCAGGCCTGGTGTGACAAAATCTCTCAGCATTTGCTTGTCTGTAAAGGATTTTATTTCTCCTTCACTTATGAAGCTTAGTTTGGCTGGATATGAGATTCTGGGTTGAAAATTCTTTTCTTTAAGGATGTTGAATATTGGTCCCCACTCTCTTCTGGCTTGTAGAGTTTCTGCCGAGAGATCAGCTGTTAGTCTGATCGGCTTCCCTTTGTGGGTAACCCGACCTTTCTCTCTGGCTGCCCTTAACATTTTTTCCTTCATTTCAACTTTGGTGAATCTGACAATTATGTGTCTTGGAGTTGCTCTTCTCGAGGAGTATCTTTGTGGCGTTCTCTGTATTTCCTGAATATGAATGTTGGCCTGCCTTGCTATATTGGGGAAGTTCTCCTGGATAAAATCCTGCAGACTGTCCCTTCCAACTTGGTTCCATTCTCCCCGTCACTTTCAGGTACACCAATCAGATGTAGATTTGGTCTTTTCACATAGTCCCATATTTCTTGGAGGCTTTGTTCATTTCTTTTTATTCTTTTTTTCTCTAAACTTCTTTTCTCTCTTCATTTCATTCATTTCATCTTCCATCACTGATACCCTTTCTTCCAGTTGATTGCATTGGCTACTGAGGCTTCTGCAGTCGTCACGTAGCTCTCGTGCCTTGGTTTTCAGCTCCATCAGGTCCTTTAAGGACTTCTCTGCATTGATCATTCTAGTTATCCATTCGTCTAATTTTTTTTTCAAAGCTTTTAACTTCTTTTCCATTGGTTCGAATTTCCTCCTGTAGCTCGGAGTAGTTTGATCGTCTGAAGCCTTCTTCTCTCAACTCGTCAAAGTCATTCTCCGTCCAGCTTTGTTCCGTTGCTGGTGAGGAGCTGCGTTCCTTTGGAGGAGGAGAGGTGCTCTGATTTTAAGAGTTTCCAGTTTTTCTGCTCTGTTTTTTTCCCATCTTTGTGGTTTTATCTACCTTTGGTCTTTGATGCTGGTGACATACAGATAGGTTTTTGGTGTGGATGTCCTTTCTGTTTGTTAGTTTTCCTTCTAACAGACAGGAGCCTCAGCTGCAGGTCTGTTGGAGTTTGCTAGAGGTCCACTCCAGACCCTGTTTGCCTGTGTATCAGCCTGTGTTTGCCTGTGTATGCAGAGCAGCGGATATTGGTGAACTGCAGATGCTGCTGCCTGATCGTTCCTCTGAAAGTTTTGTCTCAGAGGAGTACCTGGCTGTGTGAGGTGTCAGTCCGCCCCTACTCGGGGGTGCCTCCCAGTTAGGCTACTCGGGAGACAGGGACCCACTTGAGGAGGCAGTCTGCCCGTTCTCAGATCTCAAGCTGCGTGCTGGGAGAACCACTACTCTCTTCAAAGCTGTCAGAGATGGACATTTAAGTCTGCAGAGGTTACTGCTGTCTTTTTGTTTGTCCATGCCCTGCCCCCAGAGGTGGAGCCTACAGAGGCAGGCAGGCCTCCTTGAGCTGTGGTGGGCTCCACCCAGTTTGAGCTTCCCGGCCGCTTTGTTTACCTAATCAAACAACTAACTCGGAAATGACGGGCACCCCTCCCTGAGCCTCGCTGCCACATTGAAGTTTGATCTTGGACTGCTGTGCTAGCAATGAGGGAGACTCCGTGGGCGTAGGACCCTCCGAGCCATGTGCGGGATATAATCTCCTGGTGTGTTCTATTTTTTAAGCCTGTTGGAAAAGTGCAGTATTAGGGTGGGAGTGACCTGATTTTCCAGGTGCCATCTGTCAGCTTTCTTTGACTAGGAAAGGGAATTCCCTGACCCCTTTCGCTTCCCAGGTGAGGCGATGCCTCGCCCTGCTTCGGCTCGCACATGGTGTGCTGCACCCACTGTCCTGCACCTACTGTCTGGCACTCCCCAGTGAGATGAACCTGGTACTTCAGTTGGAAATGCAGAAATCACCCGTCTTCTGCATTGCTCATGCTGGGAACTGTAGACCGGAGCTATTTCTATTCAGCCATCTTGTCTCCTCCCCTGGACAATTTTATATAAGGTTGGATTTTATGTCCCTTGGAGGTTTGGTAGAGCTCACCCACAAGATTTGGTCCTTGTTTGCCTTACTCTGAGCTCCAGCTATTCTGGCCATATGTCAGTTCCTTAGAAACTCCTTAGCTCTTTCCTCCCTGAATGCCTTTGTACACACTGTTCCCCTGACCTCACCCCTGTCTCTGTTTGCAGCCTCTTCCTAAATGTTACCTCCTCTGATCCCCTTCTCTGATCATGCTATCCTAGGCAGGTTTCCTTTTTCATTTGGTATTCTCTATCTCAGCATCATGAGTATTTTCTTGATAATATTTATCACCATTTGCAGCTGTAAAAAAGAAGGAAATCATGCCCTTTGCAGCATCATGGATGGAGCTGAAGGTCATTATGCTAAGTGAATTAACTCAGAAACAGAAAAGCAAATACTGCATGTTCTCACTTCTAAATGGGAGCTAAACAGTGGGTACACGTGTACATAAAGATGGAAATAATAGACACTGAGGACTCCAAAAGAGGGGAGGTTGGGAGGGGGTTGAGGGTTAAAAAATTACCCATCAGGTACAGTGTTCACTATTTAGGTAACAGGTACCCTAGGAGCCCAGTTCCCACTAGTATGGAATACACCCATGTAGCAAACCTGCACATGTACCCTTAGAATCAAAGGAAAACAAAATTTTAAGAAAAAGTAATTATCACTGTTTATAGCTGGTATAGTGACTTGTTGGCTTTTTTGTTTTATCAATATGAGGGAAGGGGCTAGGTGTGAATTGTTCACCAAATGCTTAACCCAGTGCCTAGCACATGATGAGAACTTAATAAATAATTGTTAAACAAATAGTTGGTCATCCCCGTTCATGTCAATTATACATAAAGCTGGAGAGTCCACACAGCTCAGTGTTTCCAGGTTTCCCTTCTTGTTGAAGAGCCTATTCTTCAAAAATTTTCCTTTTATCTTTCCTAGTGAGAACTCAGGAAGTTAAGTATGATTGAACCAAGTTGTCTTAAATTATTTTCAAAATAAACTACAGGGAATTTGGGAAAATTGCTGTACGTACTACATTTCCCCCCAGCCGCACTTTGGCTTTCTTTGATTATTTAGGTTCTGTAGTTAGAAAACTAATGCTTAATTCCAGAGGCTCCCATTTTGTTTATCTCCACTAATACTTTTTTTTTTGCCCTGAAGTCTACTTTATCCAACATTAATATAGCCACTTCAGTCTTCTTATGCTTACTGTTTGTATGGTATATTTTTTTTCTATTCCTATTTTTAACCTATCTGTGTCCCTATATTAAAACTGTGTCTTTTATAGGCAGCATATACTTGGGTCTTACTTCTTTACCCATTCTGACAATCTCTGTCTTTTATTTGGAATGTTTAGTCCTTTTACATTTAATGTAATTATTGATTTGATTGCATTTAGGTCTATATTTTTTCTTTGTTTTCTATTTGTCTCATCTGTTATTGTTCTCTGTACTGCTTTCCTGGCTCTTTTTGGGTTAATTTAATATTTTAAAAAATTTATCTGTTAGTCTTTTTGCATTTTAAGTGATTGCTTAGACATTATAATATATATTCCTAACTTTTTAGAGTCATAGAGTTAATATTTTATCACTTCATGTAAAATGTAGGAACCTGATAGTCTTACAGTTCAGTTTATCACCTACCCCTCTGTCATTTATATCTATTTGATATAGATGTCAAATTAGTTAGTTGTCATGTGCATTACATCTCTGTGTATTACAACGTTACAACTTTTGCTTTAATCTCATTTTGTTTAAAGTTTTGCAATTTTAGGTATTAGCACATGATGAGAACTTAATAAATACTTGTTAAACACGTATTTCATTTCTAACCATTTCTGGGGCAAGAGTGAAAACCAAGGACTAGTTTATAGCTCTAGTAGATACTTTGTTTCTGAAACTGTCCACGTGTATTTATAAATCACTGAGAAACCTACTGAAAGCTTCTTTTTTGGAGCACCCAACTGCAGGCTTTCACCTAACAAACTAGGCTTATTCATCTTCTTTTTTGATTTAAATTTCAGTGACCACCCAAACCTCCTTCCTCTCACACAAACCAGTTCCCTGTATTTCTTCACACAAAATCAAATATTTATGGCATGCACTTTATTATCACACTCTGGCATCAAGCTGTCCATAAAATTAATCTTTTTTGTTTTTTGCATTTCTTTCTGAGACAGTATTTTATGCCTTTTCTGCTTTGAGTGTCTGTTTTTCCTAAGACTAAATTGTCTTTTTGTGTGGTACTTTTCGTAACTGAACTTGTGCGTTCTGGAACATTTTCCTCTCTTCTTTCTGTCTTCTTGTTTGTGCTGTTGGTTGGTGGCTTTTGAAGAGTGTTTTTAATTCTTTTCCTCTGATTCCTTGCTGAAGTATTTTTCTGACTCTGTGTGCCAAAGACGATGAACTGTACAGAGGCATGCTAGCAATGCCACTGAGTAGCTGTGTGACTTTAGGCCAGTCACTCAATTCCTGAGAGTTCTAATTTATGTGAAATTATCTAAGGTTCCTTCTAGTTCTAACATTCTATGTTCCCATCACTTGAATGGTACCTTTAGTGACATACAAACACTCTTCAACAGGAAGTGGGGTTGAAGCTGCTGTGGTAATATTGTCATCTGTTCACACACACAAGTACACGTACACAAGTATACACAAACAGCCTCCTCCTCTCTTGTTATCCTCTGACACTTCTGATTTTGATTGTCCTCACTCTTAAATGCTGTTTCTGTTAATCTTTCGATTCTCACCCTGTATTTAGCTGCACACTCCTTCCTCTTCAAATACCCTCAGGGTTTATGTTCTTGAAATCTGGGGGCTGTACCCACTTCAGCTACCTGGTAGCCCTCTGCTCCTCCCCTAGCATTGTGCTAACCTGTGCCTACTCGGTCACCAGAGAGTTTTTTTCCTCCTTAATCCCTTCACCAGACTCTCTCTTTCCAGACGGCCTCACCTGGAACCATGGGCTTCCATTCTGCTGTGTCCCCAGCCATTTCCAGTCTATGAACAAAGTGGGCTACATTCTTGTGGGTGACAGGATTCCTGAGAAAAGGACATGAAAAGGTTGGAAAGGTTTAAGAAGTCAATATAGTAGAGAGATGGGACTGGCCTAAGGTGAAATTATAACTTTGGGAAAGTGTATTTTCCATACTCTTCCATATCTCTTTCAGATATGTTTCCTTTCTTTGGTACACCACATTTCATGACATGAGTGCTCTCATACTACCTCTTCCCTTCTTAGGAAACACCACTGGCACCCCTACCTACTTCTCAGGACTCCAAATTCCAGATCACTGCCATGTCTGACTCTTTCCTCCAATCAGACTTACTTGTCCTATGAACACTCTTTAAGAGCTCTGTTCTCTGCTAACCAATTCAAGAAACATCTGTATCAAAGGCTGACAATGGTTCAAAGAGTTTCCTTTCCTGAATAATATAACAGAACATGTAAAAAGGAATCAGAGGATCTTGATTTGAAACCAAGCTTTCCTGCTTTCTATCTATGTGAATTTGACCAAGTAATTTACCCTGTCCTGAGTATCAGTTTCTTTTTTCTTAAAATGAGAGAGAAAACATTTTTAATGGGGTTGTTATGAGGTTATAGATACAGTGTAAGCAAGCACTCTTTGTAAGTACTGTGCAAGGATAAAGGATTTTGAGGCCAGTTCATTTGGAAAAAGAGACATCTAGAATGATCACTGTGCTAAAGTTGCTTCTTTTTAAACTTTTTTTTCTGGTTTTTTTTTTTTTTTTTTTTTTTTTTTTAGGAGACAGGGTCTCACTCTGTCGCCCAGGCTGGAGTGCAGTGGTGTGATCATAGCTCACTGCAGCCTCCACCTCCTGGGCTCAAGCAATCCTCCTGCCTCAGCCTCCTGAGTAGCAGGGACCACAGGCATGGGCCATCACATCCAGCTATTTTATTTTTTATTTTTGTAGATACAGGGTTTCACTATATTGCCCCGGCTGGCCTCAGACTCCTAGGATCAAGCAACCCTCTTGCTTTGGTCTCCCAAAGTGCTGGGATTACAGGTGTGAGCCACTGTGCCCCGCCAATTTTTTTTCCTTGAATGATGAAGGGGAAAGAGAAGAAAATGTGAAGAGAGTAACTGGTAAGATTTGATGAGTGGGAAATAAGATTTTTGGATACAAGTTCCCCTATCCGGCTATCCATCCACTTTCCGGAGAAAGAACCCACCCAGATGAATATAATGAGTCCTGTTTATTGAATGTGTATTGTGTGCCAGGCAACTTACATACAGTGTCTCTGCTTTTCAAAGAAACCCTTCCAAATCCTAGAGAAGGAAATGGCTACTCAAGAATCATGGGCACTTTTTCCAAGATGGCATTGCTGTAGGTGGTAGAGCCAGGTTCCAAACTCAGCTTTGTCTGATTCCAAAGCTGGTGCTCTTTTTCCCATACCACCCTGATCTTACTTCCCTGAGAAAGCTTAATGATGTACCTTAGGAGCCTCACTCCACCCCGGGCATCTGGATCTCCTTCAAAATGTGCTCAAAAAACAAAGAGCAAGCATGTTCCAAAGTAATCTGAAGTTGACTAGCCTGAAGGCCTTTGGGCTAGACCTGTTAGAACTGCAATGAGGGCTGAGTGGTCTCCCAGTAACTGGGTCCTCTGTGGGGCACACAGAGGGAAAGGGAATGTGCCTTGGCAAGCTTGAGCTCATCCAATGGTTGGCACCGAAAATTATAAAGTGGGGGAGACTAAAGGAGCAGCTACATCATGACACTGCATGATTATTTTATATTGGCATAATTCCTGCTTGACTGTTGCGTAAGCCACATCACATGTCTGAAGTGGAAGAAGCCCTTATAGCTACGTGTAGAGGTGAACTAGGTATTCCTCATGGCAAATTTCTCAGCCAGGTGGCCTGGCCCAGAAGTCCCTAAGTGGCCACCTCTTCCCCTACTCATGTTGTATTTGAGTCCAAGTTTATACCCTTCACAGGGAAGGTCCTTAAGGTGACTTTCCTTCACACCTGGCCAGGTGCCATGTCGTCATCGGCACCGAGGTGATGTTTGAAGATAACTATGGTGATGAATCCTGGGAGCAGGGGCAGAGAATGAAGTATCTACTAGCAAGGGAGATTTATTTGATTGTTTAAAACCCTGATGACACTGAAACAGACCAAACCAGACCCCACATTTCCTTTAAATGGAAAATCTTTGGTCTGGGAATACAGCCATCTCCATGCCCTCCTAGGTTTTCCTCAGGTAGGGAACAAGTATTGGGGGCTGTTAAGGAAAGGAAACGAAAGAGATCCAAACTGAATTGCTCAAAGCAGATTTCAAATTTCTTGGAGAATTTGCGTTCATCTCCTGATTTGACTAACCAGCTACAAGCCGATGCAAACGGCACACACAGACTTTTACTAGGAGGAAGAGGTGGAGTGGGAAAAGAGCGTGTGGATTTCTAGTCTTGGGGGAGGCTCCTCTTTGCGGAGACTGGCGGAGGAAGGATGCTCTGACTTCCCAGGTTGTGTCAAAAGGTAATTACCTTATTTTGGCCAAGGTCTTGACTAAGGGCTATACATCGCTTGAAGAGGTGAAGTGGCAATTCAGTTGATTAGAAACAAAAGGTCTAAGATACCTCGGCAATTGTCATTGGGTGATTTTCCCATTCATAATTTTACAGAATTAGAAGACAGAAAATTAGTGCTGGAAGGGCAGTATGGATGTGTGTTGCAGGGAGGATTTAGCAGGCAGGAAAGAGGGAAGGGAACTATCATGTATGGGTTAGGATTGTTACCCATTTTCATCATTGAATTATTTCCATGGTGCTTTGAGGAAAATAATTCTACAAGAAACCGAGGCTCCAACCTTAGGTGATTTGCCTGAGATAGTGGTTAGATGGGACACAGTGTGGCTGCTGTTCTTCCTGTTGCAAAAGAGGATATTCTCAACCTGGTCATGTGCACCTTTTCCTTTTCTAGCAAAAGGCTGGGCGCAGTGGCTCATATCTGTAATTCTAGAACTTTGGGAGGCTGAGGTGGGCTGATCTCCTGAGTTCAGGAGTTTGAGACCAGCCAGGTTAACATGATGAAACCCCGTCTGTACTAAAAATATAAAAATTAGCCGGACGTGGTGGCGGGTGCCTGTAATCCCAGCTACTTGGGCGGCTGAGGCAGGAGAATCGCTTGAAACTGGGAGGCGGAGGTTGCAGTGAGCCAAGACTGTGCCATTGCACTCCAGCCTGGGCAACAAGAGTGAAACTCCGTCTCAAAAAAAAAAAAAAAAAGCAAGAGTCCAGCAGGGAGCAAGATGGTTGGGAGATTCTCACAGCTTGATCCCCTGGTTCCTCAAACGGCAAGACTTCTAGGGCCTAGTGATGTGGCTTCTCCACATTCAGGGCTCCTTTTTGAAGTGGTGTTCAAATTTCCTAGCCCCAAAACTGAACCCAAATAATATAGTTTTGTGCATAGGGTAGCTGAGTCAGGACTTTCTTAAAAAGAAAGAGAAAACAAAATCAAAGAGTTTGGCGTACTGATTTTAAATAGAACGAAACCTACACATTTCCTAAAGCTATTGAACTGGAACAAAACCAGATCAAAATATTCTCCGTAAACCTGAGTCAAGCCAATATTTCCCTTGGGTTGAGTCCATTGGCACAAATAAATATCACTGGGCACTCAGGTGCTCTTCGAGACTGAGAATGTGGCCCCATGAAGGGAGGTGAAGTGAGAATGCCAGGCGGGGGCCCAGGCTCAGACAACCCCAGGGTGTGGGAGGACTCGGGGTAGCCCCTCATCCCGCTGGGCCTCTGACCCTTCATTTGTAAAGTGAGGGGGTTGTAATCCTTCCATGATGTTCAAACTGAAACAAAACAAAACAAAAACCATGGAAACTTTTTTATGAGAAGGTGTCTTTTGGTGGAATCCCAATGTGTAGAAATGATAAAAGCAGAGCTGCTCTGAGTGAAGCAGTGGTTGGTGGCTCAGTAGATCCAGACTTAATTATAGAAGTCATAGCAGTTAATATGGAATGTGCTGTGCACTTTCCTAAGCACTTTCTCTGTAATACCTCCTTTAATCCCCACAACCTTCCTTCTGAGGTGGGCACTATCATTATCATCATCCCGATTTTGCATTTGAGGAAACTGAGGCACAGCGTGGTTAAGTTCATGGCCTGAGGTCACATAGCTAGTGACAGCAGGTGTGGGACTTGGATCCGGGCACTCTGACTGCAGACTGCACCTGTGTAAGTGTCCTGTGCTGTTGCTCTCAGGCCAGCCAGCCAGCTGTGTTGGGCACCAGCCTATGTCAGGCACACTAAATCAGAAGGGCATAAAGCAGAAACTTGGTACCAATGAACTTCTAGTCTCTGTCTAGAATTCCTGATGTGACTGGCAAAATGAAATTTGGACATTGACGTTCAGACATTGTCCATCAGACAGAATTCTCGGGTGGACAAAACCAACATCCTTTCTAGTACTGCCCTATCTCTGATGACAGCTTTGCTCCCCACATAGCAAAGCACGTGCTGAGATTGCAGGCTGTTCCCCTGGTCCTGAGACCATGGCCTCAAAAAGTTTTCCCTACAGTAGCAATAGGCTAAAGTTCTGAGACAAAATGATTGACTGTGTAATGCTATTTATCAGGAATGAGTGATTTATTTTATTATCTAATTTTAGAAGTCTTTCATACACTTCCCAAGAGGCTGCCTAGTTCAGATATTCATAAAAGGAAAGAGAAGAGGGAATATGAACTACAGAACAGTGAAAAACGTTTTACCAACATGACAGACAGAGGAAATCATTTTAAAACACATTTTGAAGATGTTTTGCATTATAGTAGACATGGAATATATCTCCATCTTTTATACATGACTGTTATGAATGGAAAGATACTATCTTTTGAGATAGTTTTAGATAAAGTAAAAATGTAATGATATTTTCAGTGCATATAATGCATTTCTTATTTTGTACATAAAAGTCTCATCATTTTTTGTTGTTGTGGTTGAGACAAGGTCTTGCTCTGTCACCCAGGCTGAAGTGCAGTGATGCAATCTCGGCTCACTGCAACCTCCGCCTCCCAGGTTCAAGCCATTCTCGTGCCTCAGCCTCCCAAATAGCTGGGACTACAGGCACGCACCACCATGTCCAGCTAATTTTTGTATTTTTAGGACAGATGGGGTTTCTCCATGTTGGCCAGGCTGGTCTCAAACTCCTAACTTGTGATCCACCTGCCTTGGCCTTCCAATGGGCTGGGATTACAGGCATGAGCCACCACACCTGGCTAAAAGTCTCATCATTTTTGTGAGTAAAAAATAATTTGCTCTTCACCCCAACTAAATAGATGTTAATTTCATAGTTGAAGAATAATAGCCCACAGGTGTGTTAAACCATCTCCCTGCTTGGTGTTCCCATCGTCTGATTTCAGTTGGGTCCTTCTCAGGCTCCCAGATTCATTCCTGAGGCATTTCTCCCCCATTGCTCCTTATCCCCTTTGGGAAGCCCTGGGGCCACACATAACACAAACAAACACCTACTGATTCAGATGGCCTTTATGTTGCTGTGTAGCTTTAAGAATCTATGACTTGGAGTCTCAGCATCAAATGGTCTTCCAATATCCTAGGCTACCAGTTCAAATTAGGGCCGCTGTCTATACAACTGCCTGGAGCCACCTGATGCTGGCAGGGGGTGGCCATCAAGGGCTGTGTGTTTCTGGGGTTCCTTCTGGGGTGTCCATAGTTTAAAGTATTTCTGAGAGAGCCGTGGTTTACTCAGACTTCCTGGACTGTTGAGAGGCCTAGCCCTGGGGAGGTTGGTTGATGAACAGAATGTAATTGATTTCTTGCTGTCATAATTTCTCTTAATGTTTCATTTTTATTAGTATATTACATTATTAGTATATTTTTCTATAATTCCTTTATTTGAGTCCTATGTGCAGCTCCTGAAGACAGTCCCACTTACCATACAACCAGCGTGAATTGATTTATGTAGATTGTTTTCTTTTCCTTTTTTTTTGTATTAACAGCTTTTTTGAAGTAAAATTATGTACCTTAAAACACATTCTTTATAAGGGTACAGTTCAATAAGTTCTAGTAAATGTATAGATTTATGCAACCATCATGACTATCCAATTTTAGAACATTTCCATTATCTCCAAAAGTTCCCTCTTGCTTGTTTCCATTCAATCCCCACTCCCACCTCCATCCCCAGGTAAACACTCATCTCCTCCTGTCTTTATAGATTTGCCTTTACTGGAAATTTTATATAACTGAATATGTTTTTGAGTTTCATTCATGTTATTGCATGTATCAATGGTTTGTTTCCTTTTTGTTGCTAAATAGTATTCCATTGCCTGGATCTACTACATTTTATTTATCTATTCACCAGTCAATGGATGTGTGGATTGTTTCTGGTTTTTGTCTTTTTTTTTTTTGAGACAGAGTCTTGCTCTGTGGCCCAGGCTGGAGTGCAGTGGCGTGATCTCGGCTCACTGCAACTTCCATTTCCCTGTTCAAGCGATTCTCCTGCCTCAGCCTCCCGAGTTGCTGGGATTACAGGTGTGAGCCACTGCGCCCAGCCTTTTTTTTTTTTTTTTTCCTGAGACAGGGTCTTCCTCTGTCACCCGGGCTGGAGTGTAGTGGTGTGACCACTTCTCACTGGAGCCTCAATCTCCTGGGCTCAAGAGATCCTCCCACCTCAGCTTCCCAAGTAGCTGGGACCACAGGTGTTTGCCAACACACCCTGCTAATTTTTAAATTTTTTTGTAGAGATGGGGTTTCACCATTTTGCCCACACTGAACTCCTAAGCTTAAATGATCATCCCACCTCAGCCTCTCGAAGTGATAGGATTACAGAAGCGATCTATTATGAATAATGCTGCTGGGCCGGGTGCAGTGGCGCATACCTGTAATCCCAGCACTTTGGGAAGCTGAGGCAGGTGGATCGCTTGAGCCCAGGAGTTCAAGACCAGCCTAGGCAACATAGCGAGACCCTGTTTCTACAAAAAATAAAAAAAAGTTGGCCAGCGCATGGCACACACCTGTAGTCCCAGCTACTCAGGGGGCTGAGATGGGAGGATCACTTGAGCCCAGAAGTTTCAGGCTGCAGTGAGGTGTGATTGCATCAGTGCATTCCAGCCTGGGCAACAGAGTGAGACCCCATCTCAAAATAAAGTAAAATAATGCTGCTCTAAATATTTGTGTATACGTCTTTGTGTGGACGTGTTTTCATTTCTTTGAGAAGATACTTCAGAGTGAAATTTTTTGGATATGACAAATTTATGCTTAACTTTTTAAGAAGCTGCCAAACTGTTGTCCAAAGTGGCTGTGCCATTTTACATCCCCACCAGCAATGTATGAGGGTTCCAGTTTTTCCACCTCCTAGCCAACACTTGGTATTGACAGTCTTTATTATAGCCTTTTGTGGATGAGTTGTTATCTCACTGTGGTTTTAATTTACCTTTCCTTAGTGACTAATAATGTTGAGCATCTTTTTGTGTGCTTAACAACCATTTCTATAAATTCTTTGGTGAAATGTCTGTTTAAATCTTTTGACCATTTTAAAATCGGGTTATTCATCTTATTGAGTTGTGGAAGTTTATCCTGGATACAAGTTCTTTATCAAATGACTTGCAAATATTTTCTCCCAGTCTGTAACTTATCTTTTCATTTTCTGAATATGGTGTGTTTTGAGGAGCAAGTTTTAATTTTGATGAAGTCCAATTTATCCATTTTTTTCTTTTATGGATTTTTTGGTGTCATATTCAAGAAATCTTTGCCTAAATTAAGGTCACAAAGAGTTTCTCTGACTTCACTCCCATTTAAAACACTTATTAACATATACCTTGTGCCAGCCCCATGCAAGGGGCTGGTAGTAAAAATGTGCATAAAATACTCTACCTTTAGAGAGCTTTAGTAGGGGACAGAGGCACATGAGCAATTCACTGCATGGAGGCATTTAGTTGCTTTTATAGAAGTGCTTGCAGCTGGGGCACCGAGATAGCACTTAGCTCTCCCAGAGGCACTGGAGGAAGCAAAGGTCAACTCAGGTGGATGGTCTGATATGGGATCTCATGACCAAAATTCTGGTTGAGGGAAAAGGCATGAACATCTCAGAGGACTCCAGAAGGCCACTGCTGAGAGGGTTTGGAGAGAGGAAATAGTCTTCTATTGTCTCAGAAGAGATTAAGCAGACGTTCCTCAGTGGTTTTTACTAACAGAAATCTATCATCTTAATCTGGCAGAGACTGAAGGCCTTAATTAAAAAAAATAAGAAAACAGTGAATCTGTTAAGTACTAACAAACAGGATTATCTGATTTTAATGTCAGCATCTTGGACTGTTTGCATGGAAGATCTGCTCATCCATCCTATCTATGCCATTTAGAACATCAAGAATGGCATTGTTAGTGTTCTGTCTGCTTTCAGTGACCAAGACTGGTCTTTCTAGAGGCTGAGAGGCAGTGATGCTTGGAATTCTCATTGCTTCCCATAAGAATGATGACCATGAGGCATCTGGTTATGAATGTCTGTATGAAGGTCCAGTACATGAATAGCTGTTCCTTCACTTGGTGAAGAGGCTTTTGATCATGTTGTTTACTCTTGATGCTGCCCTGAAAGGGAACAAGCAAACTTCTCACAGAGCAGGACTGGGCCCAGGGACCATTCTAGGGAGGAATTAGCAGAGGAAAACAACAAAGGGAGGGGTTCGGTCAGTTTTGCATCACAGTTAGCATTTCAGGGTCTGAAGGGAGACTGTCTTCTCACTACTCAGTGTGGTCCCTGGACCAGCACCATCAGCACTACCTGGAGCTTTTTAGACGTGCAGAACCTCAGCCAGGTGCGGTGGCTCACGCCTGTAATCTCAACACTTTGGGAGGCTGAGGCGGGCAGATCACGAGGCCAGGAGATCGAGACCATCCTGGCTAATACGGTGAAACCCCGTCTCTACTAAAAATAGAAAAAATTAGCCAGGCGTAGTGGCAGGCATCTGTAATCCCAGCTTCTTGGGAGGCTGAGGCAGAGAATTGCTTGAACCCGGGAGGCGGAGCTTGCAGTGAGCCGAGATCGTGCCACTGCACTCCAGCCTGCGCGATAGAGTGAGACTCTGTCTCAAAAAAAAAAAAAAAAAAAAAAAAAAAAAAAAAGTGCAGCACCTCAAGCCCCACCCAGAGAGTAGGGTAGAAGAACAGATCTTCTGTCCAGACTTCCCAAGATACTACTGAAGCAAAATCTGCTTTTTTCCCTGAGATCTGATGATTCATAAGCACTTTCAGGTTTGAGAAGCACTGGTCTAGTCCAGTGGTTCTAGAGTCCTCTGCAAATGCCCTGGCTAAATGCTCATCCAGGCTCTGTTTAATAATTCCGGGGACAGACAGCCAAGGTCAGTTAGCAGATGAGAATAATCCTTTTATTTTTCTTTTTAGATCAGGCTGGTTAGGCAGATAAGTGGGCATAAGTGGATAAATTGCTGTGCTCTAATTTGCAAGGGCAGGTCAGCTGTTAAGAGTTACCCTTTAAAACAGCTCATCTTTACAGCAAACTGATTGCTTAAAAGGTTTGGAGAAAACAAGACGATGACTTTGGTATGTGATTCTGTGTCCACTTAGCCTCATTCCACAGTATATCTACCATTAGGAAAATGCAGCGTTATTGTGTGTGAGTACTATTGATGCAAATTAGTTGTCATCAATTATTTTGAGTTTATTGTTTAAATTGCTACAAGCTCTCTTTCATACTAAGATGAAGAAATTGGTAGCAGTGACTCTCAGACTTTTGTGTGCATCAGAATCACCCAGAGTGCTTGTTAAAACATACTGCTGGGTCCCAGCTCCAAAGTTTCTGATTCAGTTTATGGGGTGGGAACTGATAATTTGCATTTCTAGCAAGTTCTCTAATGCTGCATTATAGAAATAGTAGCTTCGAATGCATTTTTAGCACCACAAAAAAAATATCTAGACCCTTATTTGATACTGTGCTCTGATCATACAGAATATAGGGCCAAATTTCAGCAATCATTCTCAGGGGATACAGAGTAACTGGGTTAACCTAAAGACAAAAGTAAACTAAGAACATTTTCTGAGACTGCTGATTTCTTAGACATTTTGAACCTCCGCCCAATTTGCTCAACAGCAATGCATTTGCTTCCTCTTCCATTCTTCCCCTTGTTTCCACCCACTTCTGATGGCAGATAGTTCTGGTCAAGTGCAGAATGTTTGATCTTGAACTCCCAAGTGCCCACTGGTTGGTGGGTGGCTCTGTTGGTCAGGTTGGCTGGGACATTCTGAGCATGTGGGCTGGCTCTGAGCTGTGTGATGACCTTCTAGGTCATTACAGTCCTGTATTTAGTCATAGGATCTATCCCAGCCCTTACGCCTTCATCACCTGGTAGGCTTAGACCTCTGATCTCAGCAGATTTAAGGGGCAATTCTATTGTGTGAGGACCTGGCATTGCTAAGTTCTCAGTGAGCTAATAAACCTTCACCACAGCATGGGACCCAAGCATCTCTGATCACGGTTCCTCTTGGTAATTCTTCCACCTGTGGCAGCTGCTCAGCTTGGAATGGTTCACTCTGACCTTTCCGGTACCACTTGTCTAAAGATCGCCTGCAGACTGCCCTGCAGCGGAGACTTGCTGCCAGAGAAAAACCATGATTGCCCTTTATACCATAATTGAGTGGAGACAGGATTTACCTCATCGGAGCACCTTGTCTGACTCCATTTCATATTATTAAAAACAGAGACTCTGGACTTCATGGTTTTTTTTTTTTTATAAAAAATTTATTGAGATGATGTAATTATAGGCTTTTCTTTAAAAATTATTTGCAACTCACTGGCCCTGAGAAAAGGCATTTTTTTTTGTTTTTTTTTTCTTTTTTGTTACATTCATTTGATTCAGTCCCTTATAAACCCCACACCTCATAAACAAGAGATTAGAAACTAAACAAAAAGGGGGGCGGGGAAGGAAATTCTAGAGTCGTTCTGGTTTGCAGGTGGTTGCGGTCACAAAGAGAAATCATCAAGAATGTTCACTTGGCATGTGTGAAAGATTCAGGGGGTCTGCAGCTGTTTAGTGTTGATGCAGTTGGGTCAAAAGAGTATCAGGTTAGTCTTCTGTGGGTTTTAGGGAGGGATTATGGTGCCTCCCTCCCACCCCACTGGCTTCCTTGTGTCACAGCCTTTATTTCTACTCCGAAGAGGAGCAGGAGAGAGTGAACAGCCTCTAACTAGCACCAAATGCTTGGGCAAAGAAAACTGCCCCTTTTTCTTGGTGTGTTTTCCCAAATCTTTTATCTTCAGTTTCCTGGGTGGGAATGAGCCACACAGGGTGAGCCCAGGCTGGATCCTGAGCCTAATTCCATTCTTGGCATGCTGTCTGCTCCTAGGGCAAGTCACTTCACCTCCCTGACACCCAGGTTTCTTTTTTGCAAAAGGGAGTTCCTATTTCAAAAATGTATTCAGACTTGGAGCCTAGGCAGTGAAAGGTGGGAATGGTGGTTACTTCATCATTTCGGTAAATTGTCACAGCCATTTGAATTTCAGCTAAAGCGACATTCTCATTTGGACAAGAGATCAGTATCAAAAGACATTGGATCAGAGGGTTCCAAACATACTGGTGAAAGGAGAAAATCCATTGGTCTATTATTCCTCTTTTTCTGTGGGGATACCCTCATCTCCCTAAAGGATTTGGAACATTGGTGATGCCACCTTAAGCAAAACCAAGTCGCCCTGGGTCAAGATCTTAGAGTTCATGTTACCTTCAACATAGCCAGTCTAGCCAATTACCAGTGCTTTCTTCTGATAGAGAGGAGACTGCCTGGCTAGCTTGAGATGTAGGAATGAGAACTTCAAGACCCAAGTGAGAATGCACATCCATCACACGGCAGGGCTCCTTTGCATTTTCCTCTCCTGACTTCAGATTTGTCTCCTGACAACACCCCTAGTACTTAGTGTTGAAATGAGTCACGCCGGGTGGATTAGGCAGGTACAATATAAACTCTGAAAGCAGGGATTATGGCTGATTGAGCTTTGGGTCCCTCAGTGTCCAGCAGGTGCTTCATCAAGGTTTGCTAACTGAATCTGAAATCTTTAGGGTCTGCAGGGTGTAAATACTGTATCCAGGTGCTGGCACTACCCGGGTTTTCTCATAAAGAACAAATGAAGAGGACATTTGCAGTTAGGGGAATTACGAAATCCTTATTGGTAGTACAGATTGATATCCCTTATCTGAAATGCTTGGGACCAGAAGTGTTCTGGGTCTCGGATTTTTAAATGTTTTTTTTTGTATCCTGGAATATTTGTGTATGTGTGTGTGTGTGTATATATATATATATATATATATATATATATATATATATATATATATAAAATGAGAGATCTTGGGGATGGACACAAAGTCTAAACACAAAATTCATTTATGGCTCATATATACTTTATACACATAGCCTGAAGGTAATTTTATGATATTTGAAATCATTTTCTATATAAAACAGTTTGTGTACATTGAACCATAAGAAAGCAAATGTGTTTGTTAGGTGTGGAATTTTCCACTCATGGTGTCATAGCGTTCAGGAAGGTTTGGATTTTGGGGCATTTGGGGGTTTTAACTGTTCAGATTAGGGATGCTCAACCTGTATCTGAATGGGAAATAAAGACTATATTGGAATGAGCGCCTTCTATTTCTTCTTCAAGTGGCTGAAGGTATCATCCTAAGTCTAACATATTCTCCTGGGATATTGCTTTAAATATAGAAATGCTTGGGGCAAAAGGGAATTTCCCTCCATAATTCAACTGTTAAGATTCTTTGAACAGTAAGAGACTGAGTTCTTGCACTTGGGTGAAGAGGCCAGACTGAGAGGCTCTAATCCTAGCAACATCATGCCCTGGTCTCTGATTTCATATTCATACAGAGGGATGCAGTAAAAAATCCCTTTCTCTCCATTCTTAAAATCAGTGGCTTTCACAATACATCAGGTATTTGGCTTAATCTCTGCATTTCAGATAGAATACCAGTCATCTTAGAGGCTGAAATAGGGATCACCATGTCCTACTGAATGCTCTCAAAAGACACCTGCAGCGTGCTGAGATCCAGCAGAATCTCATCACCATTCAAGCAGACTGAGACCCACTCGCCTCATATAGAAGGTCCCTGACCTCCCGGAAGGTTGAATGGTGGGGCGCCTGTGACAGTAGGAGTGGGCTGGCTATGCCCGTGTGTCTACCTGTGCTCTGATAAGAGGCAGGGACAGAGCAAGGCTGAAGAGAGCCTTGATCAGCTCCTCAATTCCAGTGTCCTTGAACCATAGTCCATCTGTTTGCACCCTAGGTTGGTGTCCTTGTCAGTAAGGCCGAGGGAAAATTCCTCTTGCCTGTGTGACCCAAACTCTACATGTCTGACTCAACTCAGAAAAAGCTGGGGAGAAGCCCAGGGGTCTGGTAACTTCACCTGGGAGCTGCTGCTGAGGGCACATATGTATCCCGGAGGAGCTGTGAGTTTCTCCCCCAACTGAGTAGAGGAAACAGAGGGGAACAAGGAGGGGGTGCTTTGTAAGGCAGGTGTAATCTGGATTAAAAGAAATTGTACTCCAAATATTGGATTTCTGAGACCTATATTGGAAGAGTCAATTTAGATGGCTAGAAAAGGAAAAAAAAAAAAAATCTAAAACAGCTTTCAAAAATACTAAGAAGTGGCACTACCCTCATTTTACAAGATACCATCGATCTTATTTTGAGGTGAAAAAGAGCCACAAATGGGTCCTTTCTGAGACACAGCTATGAAAGAAAGAAAAAATAATGTATCCGAGGAATTTCCTGTCTGCCCAGGCTGGGCACACACTGATTGCAACTGAGACTGCCCTCTGGGATCCTCCGTCTCCAAAGCTCTGTGTCCAGTGGAGACCAGGAAACTTTAAAAAAGGTTAGGAATTGAAAAAAAAAAAAAAAAAAAAAAATCAGGTGAGGGCATGAAACTGACCACAAGATGGCCTTTGGAATGGAGCAGAGAGGAGCTTTTCTTTCTCACTAGCCTCTGTTACCTGCTTTGGAAAAATAAATCCCCACTGCAGAATATTTTTGCCCAGTTTCTGGACTGCTGGGCCTGTGTGGTCTTTTCATATTTTCCACTTTGCAGCGCTGCGCTCCCAAGCTAATCCCAAGCTGCCGAGGCCTTCCAAATAACTTGGACAGCCTTCCATCCTTATCTTACGCCTTAGACACATGGTTCTCACAGCCATCTCAGGGGCGGCTCTCTGGACTAGCATGTATCTGTCTGCAGCACAGCAGCATCTGTGATGATTTTGGCCTCCCTCAGATGGGTGGCCCAATGCTGGGATGCGGGTTTGATTCTGTGCTGCTGGCCACAAAGCACCCGGGTCACTGATTCTGTTTAGGTGCCAACAATCCCCAAGACTCTCCAAGAGGCTGAACTCTGTCAGAAGGCATCTGAATCTCAACTGCAGGCAGGGCGGGAGGACAGAGGGGACCAAGGGAAGAACAGAGCAAGAGAGAGAAAAAGAGAGCTCTCCTTTTCATTTTATCTTTTTTAAAAGCATTTTTTTTTTTCAGCCAAGACCCAACAGTAACAGGAACAGACCTGATCCACGTGGCAGGAAAAAGAGGAACCTGAACCCCTCTGCAAGTATTCTCTTTCCTGACCAGCTGGGCTTGCCGCACTTTGTGAGATTTGCAAAAAATATATATATAATAGATATATATTTCCATAGGAAAACAACATCAGATGTCTTCCCCTAGATGAACGATGAAGAGTCAAACTGCAGGTTCTTAAAACAAAAACAAAAACAAAAACACCATGATACTAACAACGGTGGAAGGGTGAGGGTGAGGAATTACAGATGGAGAGATTCCAAATCAGAAGGAAACGTGACATGGAGTCCCAGGCTCATGCCCTCCGCCAGAATTCCAGCCCCGCCTGTGCTGGGTAGTTTGTCTAAGGTGCTCCAGGGTCCCTCTTGGTCTGCAAGAGAAGTGTCCCTGCCATTTCTGGGTCGCTTCCTTTTCCACTCTCCTCAGCCCGCCTGCTCCGTCACACTTCCAGCAATCCTGGTGGGCAGGGGTTCCCTGGGCTGCTGGCCCGCTGAGGTGGACTGTTGGTTCCTTCAGCATTCATCTTCTTGGTATATTTGTTCATCCAGCTCCTGGGACTCTAGGTGCTCCAGACGGTCTGTTCGGCCACTCATGATTTCATCTGGGGTTTTCATAAACCTTTGGAAGAAGAAGTGGAGGAGGTAAGAGATTCCATTTTCCTAAAGCTGTCTTCACTCTGAACTCTAGCCTGTATATAAAGAAAGACTCCATCATCTTATACAGCTGGAGAGCTACTGAACCCCGAGATTAATGTTAACTTAGTGCAAATTAGGAAAAGGTACTCCTTTCTCTGACTGTCTAAAAAGTGGTAAAATGCTTATTTAAAAAGACTAGGGCCAGGCATGGTAGCTCATGCATATAATCCTAGTGCTTTGGGAGGCCAAGTTGGGAAGATAACTTGAACCTAGGAGTTTGAGACCAGCTTGGGCAACATAGCGAGACCCCACCTCTACCAAAAAAAAAAAAATCTGGGTACGGTGGTGTGCACCTGTAGTCCTAGCTACTTGGGAGGCTGAGGTGGGAGAATCCCTTAAGCTCAGGAGGTTAAGGCTGCAGTCAGCTATGATCATGCTACTGCACTCTAACTTGGGTGACAAAGTGAAATCCTAATTATTGGAAAAAAAAAAAAAAGTCTAGGCTGTCTGTGACGTAGTGAGCACCCTTTGGGATCACGTGGTGCATTAATGCATGACCACACGAGAAAGCCTTGGTCCAGACCATGTATATATGTTCTTTCTTTTACAGAATTAGATTTTACAGACTCATGAGAGCTGTATATCCACTTCCATTCCAGACTGTGAGCCCAGGAAATGGTATTCAAAACTTACTTAAATTTCAAAGGATATAGTTAAATGTTAAGTGAAAAATGCTGACAATAGGACAACTTAGTGGAGCTTCTGGAAAATTGGAAGGGCAAAAAAAAAAAAAAAAAAATCTTTTACAATGTTATCACTGATTCACCCAAAATGCCAGCAATGAACCCTCTTTAGTCTGTCTACCTTTGCAACTGGGGTGTACAGCAAGCCTCATCTTCCTGTTCAATGGGTTAAACTGGAAGTGACATCAGTGACATGTTTTGACCATAATTTACATGGCTCAGGAAGGCAGCCTGGTTGCAGATGTTCCACCTACACTGTAGGAGCACCCGTTCCAGTCCCCTTCTGTGCCTGCACACCTTTCTCTCCCCATATACTCTGCCCTGCGCCACTATCTTAGAGCTTACATTTTCTCTCATTCCTCCACATGCAAAAGCCTAAAATGACCACTCATCAAGTCAAAGGTGCATCCTTTGCTCTGCTCATCGGGTCTTTCTGCCATCTTTACCTAGGAAGCTCTTATTTTCCACTGTTCATCAGTATGAACCCAATGCAGTCTAGCGGTCTTGGCTCTTGTATAAATCATGGCGCATGCTCTCCCATGTATCTTTAGCTTTTCCCTTATCTGGAGCCCTCCTGACTCTTCTCACGAGTTGAGTCCTACTCATTCTTTGTGTTCTGTCTCCTCATCAAAGAGCTGCTTAATGGCACTAGTCCATGATTTCAACACTTAAACCTCCATCTTCTTCAACACTCAAACATCTTGTAAAGAGTATCTACAATTCAACACCTCACTTGATTACATACTAGGTCTTATACCAAGAAACCTTCATTTTGTGGCAAGTCTGGCTTCTAACATTCATTTCCTCAAAATGGACTAATCTCTCCCTCACTAATAGCACTATTCCTTTCTCTTACTGAAAATCTTTTATTGGAAGCCTATCAATCTTCTGGCTACTACTGCTTTTCCTGCTCATTACTGGCAAACTTCTCCAGCAGTATGATCTGTAGCATCTGCAGTTTTTCTCCTCTTTTATCCCCTAACTAAAATTTCTCCCTCCACATCCGAAGTCAATAAAGAGCCCCTCTAAGCCAACTCCACAGATGTCCTATGCTTGGCCCCCCAAACCACCCCTTTCTTCTTTTGACGACTTTCCCATATTAAGCTTCTGATATTCCACACCAGGCTGTCAATAAGCATTAACTGAAAGGTTTAATATAGAATGATAAAAAATAGAATCCTCTACCTTCTAGGAGCTTATAATCTAGTTGTCGGGGAGAAGGACTTGACACATAAAACTACAGGCTGAGCATCCCTAATCCAAACACTGGAAACACTTCTGGTCCCAAGCATTCCAGATGAGGGATACTCAACCTGTATTCAAAATATAAATCCTGTAGTCGCTCTAGCTACTCCGGAGGCTGAGGCAGGAGGATGGCTTGAGCCCAGAGTTTGAGGCTTCAGTGAGCTATGACCACACCACTGCACTCTAGCCTGGGCAACAGAGTGAGACCCTGTCTCTAGAAAAACAAACAAGTTGGCCAGGCACAGTGGCTCACATCTGTAATTCAAGCACTTTGGGAGGCCAAGGTGGGCAGATCACTTGAAGCCAGGAGTTTGAGACAAGAGTGGCCAACATGGCGAAACCCTGTCTCCACTAAAAATACAAAAATTAGTCAGGTGTGGTGGCAGGCACCTGTAATTCCAGCTACTATTAGCTACGGCATGATAATTATGAGAATTGCTTAAATTCAGGAGGTGGAGGTTCCAGTGAGTCGAGATTGTGCCACTGCACTGTAGCCTGGGTGACAGAACAAGGCTCTGTCTAAAAAAAAAAAAAAAAGAAAAGAAAAGAAAAGAAAAAGCAAATTGTAGTGTAGTTAAGGGCTCCAGGAAACCCAGGTGATGATGGAAGACGACAGCTATGTGTGTTGGAGCAGCTGAAGAAGGCCTCATTCAGGGCAACAGACTTGAGGTTGAGCCTTGAGGGTGTAGGTATTAAAAAGGCAAAAGTTAGTCATATACATTTCTGGCATAGGGAACTGTATTAGTGTTGTAGGGCAGCTGGCAGTTTGTATTATGGTTTCAGGAGGCAGCAGAGTGGACTAGAGACAGAAAGACGTTGTTGAGTGAATCCCGATGTGAATCATGAAGTCCAGACATCAGCTTCCACTGCCAGGGAAGCCTTTACTTTTTTCTAGTCTCCCAGATCTCATGAAACTGCTTGTCACTGAAAGACTCCAACCTGGGAACTTCTGGCAACAGTCCCTTCTGGGAAATGTAGTTCCCAGGCTTCTAGCCCCTGCAACACAGAATAGAGTGGGAATGGTGCTGAAGAGCCAATGGTCCATCTAGCACAATGACTGGGATACAGGAGGAGTCAAAGGGAACTGTAGTTTCAAAGTTGGCTGCTTCAAACAGCAGTGATGCCCCTGATGAGTAAAGAATTCAATAATTCTGGGTGGAATTTCTTTTCTTTTTTTTTTTTTTTTCTTGAGATGGAGTCTCGCTCTGTCACCAGGCTGGAGTGCAGTGGCGCGATCTCAGCTCACTGCAACCTCTGCCTCCCGGGTTCAAGTGATTCTCCTGCCTCAGCCTCCCGAGTAGCTGGGACTACAGGTGCATGCCACTACGCTCAGCTAATTTTTGTACTTTTAGTAGAGATGGGGTTTCACCATGTTGGCCAGGATGGTCTCGATCTCTTGACCTCGTGATCTGCCCACCTCAGCCTCCCAAAGTGCTGGGATTACAGGTGTGAGCCATCATGCCCGGCCTCTGGGTGGAATTTCTAATCCGAGACAAGTGTCTGTTTTGAAGATGTCATGTCTGAAATACTTAAATGTGATATTTAAGGGGACACAGCCTACAGGAAACTCTTGGACATTCAAATTTGGAATTTCAGGGAGATTTTAGAGCTGGATATAGAGATTTAAGAGCCTAACCACTGAGGTGATAAATGAAGTTGTGTGTCGGGATCAGTTCATCCACGAAAAAGGTATAGAGTGGGAAGAAAGGGAGCCAAGGACTGCGTTTAGGTTGAAGGATGAAGAAAAGCCATACGGTAGAGCCAGAGAATGGAGGGTTCTTTTTTTATTCCTTCTATTCTGTTTCCCTTTCCTGAAGAGCCTTTCCCGTTTCTTTTGAAGATCTTAATTGCTTTTACTATTCCTAAGTTACCATTCCTTCCCAATGCTAAAGACCAGATTCTCTGCTCTTTCCAATAAATTAATCATATCAGTGAGCTCATCTGTTCATACATGGTATCACTTCCTACCTGTATATAGATAATTCACAATCTACATCTCTAGCCCCATCTGCCACTCTCTTCTGGCCCACCTGCCAAAACTCATCACCCAAGGTTGTGTTTGTTGATCTCACTTCTACCAACCTGCAGTTGGCCCCGCTAATGACTACCACCAGCACCAGAGGTCTACTTCTACATCTCCTGATTGGTCCTTCAGATCCCTCCTTCTTCTTCCAGTTCTTTCTCCTCTCTTGCATAGTACTTGGAATTACAATCTATGTGGTGGCAGGCTAACTTGGTTGGAACTCATTATCTATGAGGAATTCTGGAAAGAAAAATTCTAGTGCAGCAGCTTGTAGACTTATTCTGACTACGATGCATTATAAGAAATACATTTTACATCATGACTCATCACGTACATACACACCTGGAACAACATTTTCATGAATCAACTGTCATTCTTGCTACATGTCATGCAGTCTGGCATTTTCAACTCTATCCTATCCTATCCTTATTTCATTAAAAAAAAAAAGCTCTGATGGACCCATTCAATCTATTTCATGACTCACTGTGGGTCATTACCTGCATTTTGACAAATACTGGTTCAGAAAGTTGCCTTACAGCGATGGTAACCTGGAAGTCTAGGTTTAATTCCTTGTTTTGCCATTGACTTTGTGCTTTTAACTACACCGGACTTTAATGCCACATAATATTATTTGGTCACTGCGTTATTTTAAAGGTGAGTCAGATTCTGTTCATTTAGTTTTGGCTTTATTACAGGACAGACATAAGTTAAAAAAATATTTTCCTTAAATCCTAACAAACCAGTACCTGGTATCCAGTTTGTAGCAATGATTGGCTTTGGGTATCCGATAGGCAGGTAGAGATCTTAACAGTCTCCCCCCACTCCCCGTTATTTAAAGAAAACAGCATCCTCCCAAAAGAAGGAAAGGAGAAAAAGGAAGTGCTACCTGAACAAAAGCCTTTGTCCTGGCTCCTTCCTGATAATGTTTAGTTTGTAGTAGTGGCGCAGGGCTCTGGACATTTTCTCATAGGTCATGTTTGTTCTGTTCTGTTTGTTCAAAGGAGGAAGGGAGAAAAAAAGCACAAAGACACAATGAAATGAACCTCAGAAAAGGCACTGCGGGAGCTATTAAAATAAAAGCTCTTCAGCTGCTGCCTGTGGCCCTGCCAGTTTGGGAAGCTACCTGCTAATCGGCTGCCTTCCAGGCACATCTGTCCCCACCCTTTAGCTTTTTATATTCACTGTCACCAAGGTTTACTCCTAAGGTGAATCACCCTTTGTCCGAAGTCCTGGAGCCCTAGCTAATAAAGCAGATCCCATAGCAGCCTCGCTTATTTCCTTTTCCCAAGACCGCTCTCTGCTCCGCCTGAGGAATTTCCTGCAGGTTCCCCCTATCTCTGGGTCACCCTTCACCTTCTGACCCACACAGCATTTCTTTTTTTTTGTTGCAATGACCTTTTCTCAAACTTGTGTTTCTGGTCTGTCATTTTAAGGAAGACAATTCTTTTGTTTAAATTCCTGTTGTGGAAGCAAGAATACAGTGGTTCTGGGCCCGAGGCAATGGTACAGTGGGAGTAGCAGAGGGATTTTTCTCAGTGACTCACACATGGAAGTGTCTGTCAGTGGGGCCTTGCCATATTTGGTCATGGTCTGCATTACCCACTGCCTTCTTAGAAGGCTGCAGGTCTGGGCACACCTGGCTGGGCCTCCCTGCCTTTTCACTCACTCAGCGGATTGGGGTTGTGCCACCATGCCAACATCAGGCTTTGCTTCAGGTCCACCTATCGACTGGCCTGGATCACGGTTACCCGCTTTTTACAACTGCGCACTTGAGCAGTCTTCCTTACTGCAAAAGACTTTATTCAATTCCATTCCCTCCTCCCAGTTTGGGAAATTGTGGGGCAAACTTCTTGCATCGCTTGCTTATAAAGGGGATGTTTTACAGTCAGAATCTAAGTATTTTCTATAAAGAAATGGGCTTTGGGGAACATGGGAGTTTCTAACTGAGCAGAAAAGTAGTGGCACTTCCCAAAGGTCCCCTGTGAGTCAGAGAGTCTTGCTGTACTTCCCTTTTACCCAGTTCCTAACAACAGTGGAGGTGGCGGGATCAGGTCAAGGGGAGTGGAAACAAGAGTCACTCATGATGCAGCCCAGCAAACCAGGATATGTGAGTTAATGGGCACCTGGTCTCAGGAACAAATGGCAAGATGCATCTTTAATTATTTCCTTCCCTTTGCAACTGCCTAATTGCTTGCCCAGCAAGGAATAAACTAAATAAGTATGGGCAGACGTAAAAAGCAGAAGACAGACGATTATCCTCCAATCCAGGGATAAGGACTTCATTTTGGCACTAGTTTATGGAGCAGATATCTGCTGCCCTTTTACCTTATGGTTTCCCCACAGTCGAGCCAGTCCGTTGGGATCCACTATCCGGAATATTTTGGATTCTTTGTCCTCCCATCGGATGAAGTTTTCGTACCGGCTGTCAGAAAGCAACTGATAGACGTAATCCCAAAGCAGTCTACAGTCTACAGAGGAAAAGGGCAAGAAAACACTGTTGAAAATGTTTCTTGTTGAGGCACTAACCAGAAGAATCAAAAAAGAATCCAGCAACTGCTTCTGCCTAGCTTGGGTTGACTGATTGTCTAACTAACTTCCTTGTTTTACCGGGAAGAAACGGAGGCCCAGAAAGATGGAGGGAGGTCCTGTTGTGTGACCTTTGACCCACCGGAGGCCTCAGAGATGATCCAGGCGACAGCCTCCCTCCACAGATGATGATACAGTGACCCAGAAGTCCACGGTCGTGACCCAAACTTAAACCTGGGCAGAACCCATGTGAAAGACGGGAGGCAAGTTCTAACTGAATCAATGGGCTCTGAATGTGTGTTAAATGCAGGCTGGAAGGAAAAAAGGGTGGAAAGAGGGTCCTGATGGTTACAGAGAGAGCTGTGTGGTAAAAAATAGTGGAGTGAAAAGGTTATCCTGGTGTTGGTGGGAGATGGATGGATAAAGATGAGAAGGCTGGGGTAGGCTAAAACACAGCAAAAAGGAGTGAGGAGTGAAAAATGGTGGGAAAAGAAAAACTATGTGGCTTGGTGACTCTGACTGTGGGAACTGTGGCTAGCATGGTTTCAAAAAGAGATACAGATATTCTCATTCTATCACATTTTGGAGGTCTTTAAAAAATGTTTTGATATAGTGGATCATGGCAGAAAGGAACCCAGTGCAAAAGTCACTTTCTCCACTTGCAGAACTGATGTTTGAACATTTAGTCAGGCAATGGATATTTTATTAAGTGTTAGGTGATTTAATATGGACTAGGCATGGTGTTGGGCCTTGGTTTTTGGCTGTGGGCTAGTAAATTAAAAGAGAAGACATGGCCGGGCGTGGTGGCTCACGCCTGTAATCCCAGCACTTTGGGAAGCTGAGGCAGGTGGATCACTTGAGGCCAGGAGTTTGAGACCAGCCTGACCAACGTGGCGAAACCCCGTCTCTACTAAAAATACAAAAACTTAGCCAGGCATGGTGGCGTGTGCCTGTAATCCCAGCTACTCAGGACACTGAGGCAGGAGAATCGCCTGAACCCAGGAGGTGGAAGTTGCAGTAAGTCGAGATCGCACCACTGCCCTCCAGCCTCGGTGACAAAGTGAGACTCAGTCTCAAAAAAAAAAAAAAAAAAAAAAAAAAAAAAAAAAAGAAGAAGACATGATGTACACCTTCCCCTTGTTCTATGACTTTCTGGATGTGTGCTGTGAAGGTGTGTGGTTGCCCTCCAGCAGAACCTGGAGAGGCAGCTGGGGACAGATGTGTGCCTTCTAGGTTGAGTTAAAGGTTAACTGGCCTCCAGATGAGGAGCAGCACCAATTTCCAGGTGTTCACTGCATGGTTCTGGAAATGCCCACTTTTTATAGGCACTTGTCAGAATGGCTGGTGATGGAAGATCAACTACTGAATTACAAGTATGAACTCGGCACTTTACCTGTATTATTTCTGATCCTCAGAGAGGTTGAAATAACTTGCCTGAGGTCACAAGGATTTGCACTCTGGACTCCTGCACTACAATGTTCTTTCTTTTTTACTTTGGGCAAGGCCTAGGCCTGGCACATTTGAAAGGGGAGTGTCCAGTTGAGACTTGGAATATATTACAGCCAACACATCCGCATTGCAGAGAAACATACACCCTTCTCTGGGGGTATATTTACAAGGGGAATTCAGTTGGGCCACCCTGGACACGCTTCTTAATCTTCCTGAGGTTCTGTTGCCTCACTTATGAAGTGGGAATAACAGCACTTACTTTACAGGATTATTATATTAGTGATAATGGGAGGGAAGAGAAAGTAATAAAAATAACAACGGTATTTAGTGGGTGCTATTTGTAGGTACTGTGCTGTGGCTTCGACAAGCCTGGTTACATCTGACCCTTACGCCGCCTTATGAGGCAGGTGCTGTTGCTATTCCTATTTTATAGATCAGGAAGCTGGGGCTGAGAGGGTTTGATGATTTACTCAGGAGGACACAGCTTATGAATGACACACAGGATTCTTGGCTGTGCATGACCCCAAAACCCATGCTATGACACACTTCCCAATGCAATTTCTAGTCTCAGAGAAACTCGTTAATGGGTGTATGTTTATAAAATCTTAGGACTTTCCAGAACAAAGTACACCTGCTCAGTGTATCTTTTCTGAACTCCAGCGTTCTCTTTGAATAGCAGAAGACACTGGCAGAAAACTGTGGCATTTTCCAGAAGCTTAATCTTTCAAGGAACTACCATTAAATGTACAGCAGCCCTAAATCTTTAGTATCCCTTATGGAATCCTTTCTTCTGTATTATCTGTGTTTAAACATTAATGTGGTGTGTCACTCATTGTGTTTTGGAAAAGGACAAGTGGCCTCCTTCTTAAAACAACAACACCATAGTCCTGGACTTTGAACCCCATTCTAACAACAGAAGCTGTCCAGCCACTTCTATTGCCCACCCCGTCTTGCCATGGCTGCATTCTGTATTGCCAGGGGATGGGCTGAGGTGGGGGTGTGGAGAAGATGAGCAACCCAAGCATCTTAAGTACCTTGAGAAATCAGTGTCCTACTGCAGACTGAGAATAATCTAGCTCGTTTTACAGGCATTTGAAGGAGGATGATTCTAGTTTCTAAGCAAAGCAGTAAAAAGTGGCAAAGTGTCTTTTTCCCTTGTAAGCATCTCCTTGTCTTGAATTACTTTCTCTATAAAGGGAAAATAGAGATCTGCTGTGGTCTGAATCTTCATGTCCTCCCCAAATTCATCTGTTGAAATCCTAACTAACTACCAAGGTACCTTTGGGAGGTGATTAGGTCTTGGGGGCCCCACCCCTGTGAGTGGGATTAGTGCCCTTTTAAAAGAGGCCTGAGAGAGACCCCTCACCCTTCCACCAAGTGAAGACACAGCAAGAAGGTGCTGTCTATGAACCAGAAAGTGGGCCCTCACCAGATGCCTCATCTGCCAGGGCCTTGATCTCCCCAGCCCCCAGAACTGTGGAGCAATCCGTATCTATTGCGTACCAACTACCCAGTCTACGGCAGTTTGTCAGAGCAGCCCCAAAAGGACTAAGGCCAGAACTCAGCTGTGGCTTAATATTTCAGTATTTGTCCTACTATCAAATGGCAGACACATTTTAATTTTCCATAATCTCTTCCAACTGGAAAACATCTGACAAAATCACATATTATCACATACAGTGCCTGTAAATTAGGGTTGGGTGTGGTGGCTTATAATTATAATCCCAATGTTTGTTTTGGGAGGCAGGGGCAGTAGACTTGCTTGAAAGTCCGGGAGTTCAAGACCAGCCCAGGCAACATAACGAGACCTCATCTCTACAAAAAATTTAAAAATTATCCAGGCGTGGTGGTGCATGCCTGTAATCCCAGCTAGTTGGGAGGCTGAGGTGGGAGAATTGCTTGAGCCCAGGGGTTTGGGGCTGCAGTGAGCCATGATCAACCCACTGCACTCAGCCTGGGCGATAGAGTGACAGAGTGAGACTGTATCTCTAGGGGGAAAAGAAGCCAGTAAATCAGGACGAACGAAAGTAGTTTGTGTGCAGCCCCTCCTATGTCTCCCTATAGGTTTACAATCATTTCCATTGCAAATAGGCTGACGACGCCATTGGATTCCTCTGGATTGGGAATGTGATTTTCTAGTGTGTTCATTTTAATAAATTTCAGCAATTAAGAAACGACCTGGTTGTCTTTTACAGTTTCATATAAAGACATTTTGCCCATATGAAGGTGGGTGACATCATGGCAGCCCTCTTGACTCTAGGCGGAAGGCACTCCACTCAGAAGCCTACTGTAGAGCAAAAAGAAAGCGGACAGTTCTCTAACCACAAGCATGGGCGTTTTCACTGCATGTTTCTGTTGCTTCTCTTTTACTGTAATGGTACATTCTACTTCTCATAAAACAGTGAAACGTGAACCAGACCATTTCTCCAATGTAAGGGCTTAACCTGCACTGGGCTGCCATGTTGGTTTTTCGGAGGCATCAAACTAGGACCTAGAATGTTATCTACTTATCAGATGGCAAAAGGAAGGGCAGGGCTTACCAGAGAACACCGTTTCCCTATCAGCTTCAAGAACATTTGTATCCGGCAAACTTTTCCTTTCATAAATGTGAAAACAACCCCAAACAAGCTGCCAATTGATCATTTTAAATGACATTTAATCCAGCAAAGCCAACTTTAGCTGAGTAATAAAAATACGTTGACATTCAGGACATATTGAATTAGTCACTAACGGAGACAGCAATAGGAATTTTGTGGCATAAAGCAGTTGTTTCAAGCTCAGAGTATAAGTGGCTTTTATAACATTATTGATTGTTTTGTTTCTTTGGTAAAAATTATGCCTAGATGATAAAAATAACTGCCTGACCACACAATAGATTTTTTTTCCTTTTTTTTTTTTTTTTTTTAAACAATTGACATTCAAGCCATGTCAGTTATTTTTGTTTCTAAGATTTCTATTAAATAAAAGGCAGATCCTCTTTAGGTTCCTAGATCCTTTAGAGGTTGTTGCCACGGCTCACCTGGAATTTTTCAGCCTTTTCGGAACCCATGCCTGCACAGATACAATGTTCTTTGATCATCAATGTAAATGCATAATACTATATAATAAAGCGCAACACACTCTATAAATAGAAGTTCACTCCACTTCAAAACACCTGAACGTATATGTATAAAATGTTTTTGGATCACAAGGTATTCATTAATTTTAAGTGCATTTTTCTTAAACGAAAGGGCTTTCTTCTATCTCAAGGCACATGGATATTTTAAAGAAATTTCCACTATTTGGATTTTCTTTTCCATGAGAAGTAGTTTATGAAAGTGTTTAGCCCAAGTATAGTTCCCTCTCCTTCCTGCTGGGTGAGGTACCCTCGGTATCCGCAGCTAAAGGCATTGTAAAAAATCCCTTCCTGTGGTTAAGGAGAAATATTTTCACTCCCACGTCTGTCTCTTACCAGAGACTCATTGTATAAACTTATTGAGCAGAGATTGTAAAAAGATGGGCAATTCACACATAACCAACATGGTTTCTAAAGAAAAAAACCACGCTAGACAAAACTGATGCCTTAAAAAACTTTGAGTAGGAAAGTCAAATTATTGACATAGGGAATGTTTAATGATTGTGGTTAATTTAAATTTCAGGAAAGCTTCTAAGAAAGTCATTTTATGTTCTTTTAACTGCCCAAGTGGAATTTTAAAGAAGGCCTGCAAATGACAGTGTCATGGGCATAATTACCAGAAGAGAGGCTGAGTGTCCCTGTTACATTTTTTGAAATTTATTACCTAAAAATTAACGTTTATTTCCAGTTCAGCAACAAAACACGCAAAGTAGCATATGAAAAAAAAAGTTGCTACTAAGCTTTACAAATATGGTTCTGAACTGGGGGCATGTGGCAATATCTGGAGGCATTTCTGGTTGTCACACTGGGGTGCAGGGTGCTCCTAGCATCTAGTGGGTAGAGGCCAGGGATGCTGCTGAATCTCTTACAATATAGTAAGCAACCCCACAAATTATTATTTGGCCCAAATATCGAGAGTGTTGAGAAACCCTGCTTAGAGAAACACGGTTTACAACATTCAGGGGGCCATCTGCTGCTTGTTTTTTTTTTTTTTCCCCTCCTCCTCCTCTATTCTAGATCAGCCATTACCTAGAAGCAGAAAGTTGGTCAATCCAGTGCAGCCAGGTGTGTGTTGATACGCAGAGGTGTGTTTACAATGGGCAATTGCTTGTGCTTTGCCGTGGCTTAGGAAAACAGAAAACATATGTGCACGGTGGCACGCTGGGGGAGGGAGAAGTGGAGGCAAATAATACAAAAATCTACGCTTCCTGGCTTCCTGGGGCAGAAGAACCACAGCTGCAAATGAGGCTGGACCTTTTCACCTGTGATTACATAAGGTGTGGAGAAGGCTTGGAAACACCGGTATCCGAAACTCACAGCCTGCAGCTGAGATCCAGCCCGCAGTCAGAACCTAATAAGGCCCAGCCTCCGCTTTGCTCAGGTGTGGGTGCAGCCTGGGAATTCACATCCAGGGACTGCAGGGAGGTAGGACTCTGTATTACAGCACTGTGCGCCCTTACACAAACTGGAATTTCCAGTCTCCTCAAGCCCCTTCTATTATTTTCCACTCAGACACCATGCTGTTGATGTTTTTTTATCTTTTAAAAACATTGTCCTGAAACTTCCTCCTCTTTTAGGGCTCTTTGATTTCTCAGTTGTTCACACTGAAAATCAAATGCAGTGACTCAGCCGCTGGGAATATTCCTGCTGGAGTGATGGCTCCTCCCCTCCCCAGTGCTCATCTTATTCATCCCCTCCAAATATGGACAGCAGGCAAAGCTTCAGGGAGGGGAAGCAGGAGCACAAAAGTAAATCTCCAAGGAAATAAGAAAACGGAGGTGGCCTTGAAGGGCACCCCACACAGGCCTTCCCTGTCAGTGCCCTGCGTGGCTCTGCAGGCAGTTGTGCTGGCTGTACCCACAGCTCCCACACAGTCCCTCTCAGATGGGCAGGATGGCAGCTCAGCAGTGAGGCAGGGGGGGACAGTGACACGTAGCAATTAACTTTCTTGTGCCATGCATTCACATGTTGTCTCATTAACAGTCAAAAGGGCCCAGAAATGGGTATTACTATTCTCAATATTACAGATAAGGAAAGAAGGGCTCAGGGACATTATGCACCTGCTTGGGAGTCAAGAACCGGATTCCAATCATGCTGACTTCGCAGTCCAAGCTTTTGCCACAGGCCCACACTGCTTCCCTAGGACTGTTCGGGGCCATCTGTCTCCAGGAGCTCTTGAGGGTACTGGGCTACAGAGGTCTACAGAAGGGCATCTCCCTGAGATAGTGTGGGAGGAAGCGGCTCTTTCACCTGGTACTAAAACACTGGAATCCCTGTGGCTTCTGGGGACATCCCACAACCCTATCTTTTCTTTCCTGCAAACACAGATATTTATGCACAGATGCATGTGTGCGAAGGTGCACATGTGTCTGCACACCCCACACCTTCCAACAAAGGCCGAGGGCTGAGACTTGCCCCCAGCACTTTCATGCAATCCCTTCACACTTCTCTTTTACGAGGTCTTTTAGCTGTCAAGGCTGCTCCTGAGGCTCATGTACAAAATTAAAAAAAAAAAAAAAAGTCTATAGGCTTCCTTTGAAACAAATTCACAGCAGCATTAAACACTGTGGGAGGAAGTGGAGACAGAAGCAAGATGCCAGAATACAGTGACTTCTCCCAGTCCTTGAAGCCCCTGAGGATAAGCCTCAAACTGCTTTCTCTGGAGTTTCATACTTTTTTCTTCATCTTACTTCAGAGGCTTCCCTAATTGAATCTTTGTATATATATAATTCATCCAGTCAATAAAACCAAATCAAGAAAGTACATTGTTTTAGTTGGGTGACAAATAAGCAATGCAAGAGACTTGATGTCTCGCTGATTAGAATCTTTTTGTTTCTGTTAAGGATGTAACCTTGAGAGATAGTAAAAGTATTTTTTAAAGTCACAAAAGGCTACCTTTAAAGATTCCAAGGATTGCTGCGAAGTGTGTTCTAAGAGGGTTGGGAGTGAAGAGATCTTGAGCTGAGAGGAAATTCTGTGTCTTGCCTGCTGTAGGATTAATGACCCAACTGACCAGCGATAGCCTCACAAATCGAGAAGTTCATGTTCACAAAGATGGAGAGACTTCAGCAAAAGTTGTGAGAGAAACACAAGAAAGGAGATATTCTCTATTTGGGTAGGCCATGGCCTTTGAACACGTAAATCTGTACAGATTTAGGTCCCCACTTTTGGGTAGCAAATGAGGGGTTATGAAATGAATGGATTATAAAACAATTGTCAGTGTACCAACGAATCTTCTTCCTCAGCAGAGTTTTGGATTAAGGCCAAGGAAGAGACAGGCAGACAGGAAATCTGGTGGCTCAGGTTTTAACGGAATTAAAGTACTTTAAGAGAAAACTAAACTGACTGAAAAGTGTTCGTTTAAGATTTAGCTGTCTATAGTTAAAGCAGGAGCTTAGTTTGTGTCATGGCATAAAGCAAGAGGACATTGCCTTCCACCAGCAAGGATACGAAATTTGGCATTTAGAGATGCAGTGCCCTATCATCTAGAACAATGCCTGGCACATGAGCAGACTGGCAATAATTTTTGAATCAATGAATGAAGAACTGTATAATCCAAAGTGCAAATAAATCGTTTCTTTTACGTAGCTAAATACTTAGTATTTTATTTATGTTAATGATATTATCGTAACTATTCTGGTTGGTCTGAAAATATAGCCTGCAGTCCAGAACCTGTCTCCTCTCTTACATAACTTGTTATTGTTCCTTTCACATGTCTCAAACATGCCTTGTCATCTAAAGTGCAAATAATTCCTTGGGAGCAAGGGCACTGTTTTCTAAGTCTGCATCCTACATTGCACCTATGATTCCAAGCACACTGACCACCACGTACACAATGTTGCAAGGCAGAGAGCATCAAACGTTTTCTGTAAAGGGCCAACTAATAAATGTTTTAGGTGTTGCTGGCCATGCAATCTCTGTTGTAACTACTCAACTCTGCCACTGCAGCATGGAAGCAGACATAGGCAATACCAAATAAATGGGTTTGGCTGTTTTCCAGGAAAACTTGATTTAAAAAAAACGCATGGTGGCTGGATTTGGCTCACACTTTGGGCCACAGTTTTCAATCTTTGCTCTAGAGTCCCAGACCAGAAGGAAACAATAATTTTGGGAAAAACACTGAACAGAAGCTCGAGGCTAGACTCTTGATGTGTCTCAATCTCAGTTCCTTCACCTGTAAAAGGCCCTTCTACCTTTGAAATCAAGTCCAAATAAGGAATTTCAATACATACTGAAAACATGACTCACGGATGACTACAGTCACACCTCAGCCACCTACAGGTGCTTGTGGCCAATATACTTTCTGGCTTTGAAACACACTGGTGGGACACAAGCCAGTAAAACTTTTGTAGGTAAAGTTTTAGAAGATTGACAGATGCTTTCTGCTAGGCTCCTTGCTCCTAAATAGCCCATTCTTAAAGATACCAAGTAGAAAACAAGCACAGAAAGAGGCAACTTTTTCACTATTCCATACAGCGTTGGCTGCTGGATTCAAAATAAGACCCCAGCAATCTTGTCTCACTCCGTCTTGTGCTAAACTCTCTCCCATAAACACTAGCCATTCCAACCTGGTAAATTCTTAATAACAGTTCTCCTTATCCTTTGCAAAGTAAGTGACACCTTTAAAAATAAGCTACTTGTTATATTTAAAAAGATGTCATTTGTGATTTGTATTTAAACTGTCAACCACCTACTGAATTTCCTTTCTTGATTATTTTAGTTTTTCCATATGGTAAATACCTAACAGACATAAATTTGCATGTATCTTTTTTTTTTAATTATACTTTAAGTTTTAGGGTACATGTGCACAATGTGCAGGTTTGTTACATATGTATACATGTGCCATGTTGGTGTGCTGCACCCATTAACTCGTCATTTACATTAGGTATATCTCCTAATGCTATCCCTCCCCCCTCCCCCGACCCCATAACAGGACCCGGTGTGTGATGTTCCCCTTCCTGTGTCCATGTGTTCTCATTGTTCAATTCCCACCTATGAGTGAGAACAATTCTGCATGTATCTTAATGGTATGATGGAATTTCAGTGATAATAGATAATGAAAAGAATTTATGAAAAATTTCATATATATATACACATATATATACACATATACATATATACATATATACACACATATACATATATACACACATATATACATATACACACATATGTGTATATACACACACACATACACATATGTGTGTACACACGCACATACACATATATGTGTATACACACATATATGTGTACACACGCACATACACATATATGTGTGTACACACGCACATACACATATATGTGTGTACACACGCACATACACATATGTGTGTACACACGCACATACACGTGTGTGTGTATATATACATACGCATATATATATACATATATGTGTGTGTATATATATACACACATATATATATACACACACATTTTTTTTTTTTTTGAGACAGAGTATCACTCTGTTGCCCAGGCTGGAGTGCAGTGGCATAATCTTGGCTCATTACAACCTCCACCTTCCAGGTTCAAGCGATTCTCCCACCTCAGCCTCCTCGGTAGCTGGGACTACAGGTGTGCACCACCATGCCCGACGAATTTTTGTATTTTTTGATAGAGATGGGGTTTCACCATGTTGGCCAGGCTGGTCTCGAAATCCTGACCTCAGGTGATCTGCCAGCCTTGGCCTTCCAAAGTACTGGGATTACAGGCGTGAGCCACAGTACCCAGCCTGAAAAATGATAGATTTTTAAATGACCTCAATAGATCTCAACTTGTAGATTTACATTTCTACCTGAAATAGAAAAAATACACCGAGCCTTATCTTGCTTTGCTCCTGGTAAGTTTTCTCCATCTGGAATGACCTGTTTTTCTCTAATCTCCACTTGTCCACATTCTAAGCATTCATCCAAGCCCAGCTAAAAGCCAGCCCTCCATGTAGCTTGCCCTGACATCCCTACTCTGACCTCCTGTGGTACTTAACAGGAGCCCTTCTAAGATACATGTCATGTGCTTCGCTTTTATAGTTAACTGTGCTCAGCTCTTTCATGATAAAGACTGTGTCTTATACCTCTCTGAGGCTGTCCCCACCCCATCAAGAATGCAGAACAGTGCCTTATACACAGAAGGTGTCCAAATGCATAAATTCTAGGGCACCTGAACAAATCATATCTGAATAGTAAGAATTTAGCTTCATTTTGTGATCCACATTCATGAGTACTATTTCCATCTATACCCTCCAGCTATAGTACTCATCAGTTTGACATTCAGCAGCACCTTCATTTCTTTTTGTGCTGTGCTCATTTGAAAAGCTTTAAGGAACTAAGTTTTCTCATCTAACAGCTGCTTTACGGAGATTTAAAGGCTTTTTATGGCTATTCAGTTAATGACAGAACTTTTACGTTGTACACAGGAATCACCCAATGAATTTCACCTCCAATAAACAGAATCAATTTTACAAGGATCGAGGAGTCCAGAAAGACATCAGAAGAGTGGAGTACACACAGGGGTATCCTCAAAGAAACAAAGGTGCTTAAAACTCTTGTGTTTTCTTGGGAGGGTTACAGAATCAAGACTGTCAGACTACAGACTGGCAGAGCTGGAAGGAACTTTAGGGATGATTCAGTCCTACCTTCTTCGGAGAAAAACAATGCCTTTCAGTGGAATGAGTTAAATTTGGATTTGGTTGCATTAGTTAAAATATATATTGGGAGATTTAAAAACTTTTGAATATGCCATTATAGCACTGGTAATTAGTTTTAGGACATTGTGTTATACTGAAGGAGTTAACGCATTCCCCCAAAAGATCTAGGCCCCAGGGTTATTTTACATGAATATTCTTGACTTCCTAGAGCCATCAAGAAAAGCACATATTGCCTATTTCTGTGTGCCCTTGAGAGAGCGGGCACCCATAGACACCCAGGCTCATCATTTGGTGGGTGCAGTATTCCACCAAGCTTCCTAACCGATGAGGCCGCATCCATCATCAAACACTGATATTGGGGAATGAGATGAAAAAAATAGTAGTATAGGCTGGGTGCAGTGGTTCATGCCTGTAATCCCAGCAATTTAGGAGGCCAAGGCAGGCAGATCACTTGAGGTCAGGAGTTCAAGACCAGCCTGGCCAACACGGTGAAACCCCGTCTTTACTAAAAATACAAAAAAATTCGCCAGGCATGGTGGCGTGTGCCTGTAATCCCTGCTACTCAGGAGGCTGAGGCACGAGAATCACTTGAACCTAGGACGCAGAGGTTGCAATGAGCCGAGATTGCATCACTGAACTCCAGCCTGGGTGACAGAGACTCTGTCTCAAAAAAAAAAAAAAAAAAAAAGTAATATAATTTTAAGAGACTAATATTTTGAAATTTACAAACCTACTAAATAAGGGAAAAATAACTCCTCAAGTCTAAACCATGTGTCTTTCTTGATTCATGGGCTTATGGTAGATTCCCAAGAAGTGGTGAAGGCAGTGTCACCTGGGAGGTAGACAGGAGAGATCTTGGGAAGCAAGCCAGGCCCACGAGGGCAGCACTATGGACAGCAGCCACGGGCAGCAAGGGTTGTCCTGCACACCTCGGTCATGGGGCCCCTATCTGACCTTGGCAAAGGCCTTTGCCTCTCTGGGGCTCAGTTTCCTCTGTGGTTTCCCCTGTACAAATGACCCTTCCACATAAGATGAATACTGCAGTCATGAGCTACCTTAAAGAGCGGTCCTGAGAATTATAAACAAGCAAAAGGTATCTGCAAAATGTCAAGTACTGCTGCACACACCATGCAAGAAACAAGACGAGAGGGTATACAGACAAGAAGGGTATTGCCTGGAAAGCACGAGATGGGTCATTTATAGAATTCACAGCAATACACTGACCTCATCCTCCTTCTCCAATTATTTGGGGAAATTCACATGTTTTGCCCAAGCTCTTTGCTTCTTTATCTACTATTCTTTTTTTCCCCAGTTTTATTTTTTCATTTTCTGATTAAAACAATCTAATGTACAGGTAAAAGCAGAGAGATCAATAATATTAACCCCCATGCATCTATCACCCAGACATATAGCCACTAGCTGGTGATGGCTAGCCTTGTTTTATGTAGGCCCCACCCACATCTCACCCCCTAACTCTGCAGGATCGTTTTGAATGGAATCCCAAACATATATCATTTCCTTTTTCATAGTTTTTAAAACATATAAGTCATTTTTGTTTGCCATTTTATTTTCTGGATTCAACATCCCTGATGTAAATGATTTATAACAGTGAAACTGAGACAACACTGGTGGTGCACTTGGGGCCAGAGAAAAATCTAGAAATACATGATTTAAATAAAAAAGGGACAGTACCGGCCAGGCGCGGTGGCTCACGCCTGTAATCCTAGCACTTTAGGAGGCCGACGCAGGCGGATCGCGAGGTCAGGAGATCAAGACCATCCTGGCTAACATGGTGAAACCCCGTCTCTACTAAAAATATGAAAAAAATTAGCCGGGCATGGTGGCGGGCGCCTGTAGTCGCAGCTACTCAGGAGGCTGAGGCAGGAGAATGACGTGAACCCGGGAGGCGGAGCTTGCAGTGAGCCGAGATTCCGTCACTGCACTCCAGCCTGGGCAACAGAGTGTGGAAAAAAAAAAAAAAAAAAGGGACAGTACCTCAAGGCAGAAGTAAAGTAGGCTTGTAGGAGCCTGTTCTTCCACTGCCATCAGCATGGCAGCACCTTGATGGTCAGCTAGAGCTCTCACCGGGTCATGGGCTCAGGGAGGAGGGGGCATTTCTCACCCTTCCCTGAACAGGTCCGTTCTCTCCTGCCTCCAGGCCTCCTTCCCACTATCGAAAGCACAGTCACTTCAGTATCAGGCTCTCTCCCCTGCAAAGCCTTGCTTGGTCCCTCCAGTCAAAACACACCTTCCTTCTGCTTTGCTTCTACAGCGCTTTATTACTCTGGCAGACAGTAGGTGCTCAATGAATGCTGGTACATAAAATGAATGGGAAATGGGGCTGACTTCATTCTGCCTTATATCTTAGTGGTTTTCACCTTTGTCTCTCCCACTATATTCTAAATTCCTTGGGGAAAAAGATATTGCATGTTAAACTAGCTCTGTATCCCTACTCCTAATGCATTTATTTGTACACAGCAGGTGCTCAACAAATATCTAATGGAGAAATGCTCTACGAAAAGAGCTAACCTTGTCACATGGTTAGAGGATTAAGCTTCTGAAGAATGAGTTCATGTAAATTATGAGCATCCTAGGAAACAGACAATGTGTAGATATTTTTCCCACTGGTTTCCACTGGTTTCTTCCCTTAAGTAAGCAAATTTGGGCTTCTTATAATAAATGAAAGAGAATCTGGGAGTGGTTTCCTCTGTCCAAATGGCCCAGCAACACCTGCCTCCAATACCATAATCCTGTTTTCCTCTCCTACCCGCTCCTAAGGTGAAGGCTGCATGGCGTTACCGCTCACAGGATGGAATTACAGGCCTGAATCTGAGACAAAGCTTCTTTATGCTGTGTCTGGTCATTAATTAGCTGCTGGAAACTTCAGGACAGGGCCATTAGCATGCTCATAAACCTTTTATTTTAAATGTTTTCGCTTAGCCTTGATTCTGATGTGACTCTCCTTGTAAGCTGGACGTAGGACATTTGTTTCTTAACATTTCTGAGGCTCATTAACTACTCCATCCCAGCGGCTCATTAACCAAGCCATTAGGGATTTAGCCTCATCCAAGCAGAAGCCTCCAATTGCCCTCAGAGAGCCTTGGAGGGCGCCTAATTGGGAATGGTGCGAGGCTGGCTGCAAAGATCACAGGGGAGAGTGGGACTTTGTCAGGTCCCCATGATGCTGGAGCGGCGAGAGGGGAACTCACTCACCTGCTATTCTCCCAATGGGCATGGCGTGCTCTTCAGGCGGGGAGACAGAGACCATGATGTGGTTCATGTAAGCCAGGTCTTCCCGATGAGAGAGGTTGATGGGCTTCCCTTCCCTATGCAGCCCGTCCTCGGAGAGCCTGGACTGTTTGAAATCCACGGAGTGCCGGGGGTTCAGGATCAGAGGGTGCATGATGGGGCTGGGCATCAGCTGGATCACGCGTGTGCTCTCCTGCCGGGGGCTGGATGGCTTCGGGTGGGACTCGGAGGACGCTGGGCAGTGATTATTCTCCATGGGAGACACTGACAGAGGGTAGGACTCCTGGTGGTTGTTCTCCTGGTGCGGCCTGGGTCCCTGAGCTCTCTCAGCCGGGGAGAGGCGGCGGATCATGTTGTCCAGGGGGGACCGGAGGGGCCGCTGCTCGGGGTCAGGAGAAGGCCGGTGATTTGTCGTGATAGGTGACCTGGAGCGGTGCAACAGTTCAATGGTGGGAGGGTTATGGTGCACATTATCCACGGATGGCCTGGGGGTCCTCTGGACACAGTTATCTGTGGAGCAGAGGGAAAGACAATCACAGACCCCAGTGAGTTGGCAGGACAGGAAACTCCCTGCGGCTCTACAGGCGGTAAATGGAGGAGCGTGTAGGTATGTGTAAAGGACCTTTCTCCCCAGAATGCAGTGTCTTTTTCACTGCTTAACAATTTGAAGGGTGCATATTTTTTTTTTTTTTCTGTTTGAGATGGAGTCTCACTCTGTTGCCCAGGCTGGAGTGCAGTGGCACGATCTCGGCTCACTGCAAGCTCTGCCTCCCGGGTTCATGCCATTCTCCGGCCTCAGCCTCCCGAGTAGCTGGGACTACAGGCGCCCACCACCATGCTCGGCTAATTTTTTTTATTTTTAGTAGAGATGGGGTTTCACCGTGTTAGCCAGGATGGTCTGGGTCTCCTGACCTCGTGCTCTGCCTGCCTCAGCCTCCCAAAGTGCTGGGATTACAGGCGTGAGCCACCGCGCCTGGCCTTAAGGTGTGCATATTGAAACTATTTTTCTATTGCCAGACAACCTAAGGATGTCTACAAGCATTCCGTTAATGACCTACCTGTGGCCTGTAGGCACAAGGAAGCCAAACTTCCATGCCCCATCTTTTGGCCATCATTTAACTCTTCTACGTCGCTTTCAGAGGTGGAAGGGTTCTTACAGGTTTCTCTCTAGATGCTTTCATTGACTTACATTTTCACAACTAAAATTTTCATATTCTCTAACTCTAGGAGTTATTAGTATTAGTGATAATGTTAATAATATTAGTAATAATTATTAGTAATAACTATATCTTAGATGCTGGATTTCACTGTTTAAAACTTATAGCACTCCTGGCTGGGTGCGGTGGCTCCCGCCTGTAATCCCAGTTACTCGGGAGGCTGAGACATGAGAATCGCTTGAACCCAGGAGGTGGAGGTTGCAGCGAGCCAAGATCACACCATTGCACTCCAGCCTGGGTGACAGAGCAAAACTTTGTCTCAAAAAAAAAAAAAAAAAGAAGAAAAAAGAAAAAAACCCCCAACCTTATGACACTCATGACACTCCTAACCAAGAGATACCACTAGTACCCCTATTTTACAGATGATAAAACTGAGGCGTAAAGAAGTTAAATAACTTACCCAAGGTCACACAGCCAGTTAGGAGATTATAGAACCAGACTCCAGTCAGATTCTAGAACCTGTGTACTCATGACAACATCTGTCACTGCAATATAGAAACTATGACACAAAGTCACACCAAAACCTGCTCTAAGCATGCACAGTGGCCCCAATTTACAGAATGACAATCTTACTGAACTTGAAAGAACTTTTGGGAGCACTTTGCTCCTGAGTGCTCAGAGACAGGCAGAAGTAAGGAAGAAGCAGGATGGATGGACACCTCTAACTCATCCCACTCAAAGTTGCAAGCTGGTGACATGTGAGCGAGGATAACATCAGAAGTGTACACAGCTCAGCAAGAGAAGTAGCTCTGAGGGCTGGGTCGGGGAATGGACCGGCACACACCTGGCTCCAGAAGTCCCTGCTAAGGTGCAGAAGGACAGAAATCTGCCCATAAAAATGGGGATTTCTACACGGCTCCACACCCAACTCAATGAACTCTCTCTGGCCACATCTGTTCCCAGGGCAGTCTCACCAAAAGGATGTGCATGCTTGCTGTCCTTGTTCTGGTCAAAGAATTGTCCACAGTTCTAAGTAAAGCAAGTCAAACATATCACCTTTGTCCATTAAGATAATATACATATATGAAGAACACATAAAGTGAATTCCGTAATTTGATAGGGTCAGTAAACAGAGACAGACATAGTGGTTTTAAGTTTTACACAGGGTTAAGAAGAAAATGCGGACTTTTTTCTTTTTTGAAAGTTCTACTAGATCTCATCTATCATATGATCACTGAACAAAAATATTGTTCACAATATTAAAAGATCATCTCCTTGAAGGCAAAGGGCTTATTTTGTGACTACTGTATAACCCACTGCCATAAATTCAAGTGCCTCATCATTGGAATAGCTATCAATAGAAGACTGATTTAATAAATTATAGTATATATCTCTAAAAAATGGAGTACTACGTAAAAGTAAAAAGGAATGAGGAGTATCTTGATATTTTGCTAAGGACTAGCATCAGAATCTATGGTTAGATACGAAAAGCAAGATGAAGTATTTATGATCTGCCACCACTTATCTAAACAAGGAAAGGGGCAATTTCAGTTCAACAATAGCAGAGTGGCGTGTACCAAACTAACCTTCTTACGGGTAGAAATGAAAGAAACCATATTAAATACATTGAAAAAACTATTTGAAGGTATCAAGGGCAGACAAAAACCGGAGAGGATTTCACTCTTGAAAGAAGGGAACTGCACAGAGTGAGGTCCATATTTAAACAGCTTTCCCCCTGATTCTGTTGATCTCCTAACTGCCCTATGCTGCATGTTCCTCCCCAGTCCGTGCAGCACAGGGGCAGTTAGAAGATAAACAGAAAGTTGCTTGAGATAGAGTAGGTAGCTGCCAGAATGGCAGAAAATTGAAGAAACAAATCCCATACAGTGGGAGCCACAGAGGGGAGAGTGATTAAATTGGCATGTAAAAGCTTCCTCAAATTCTTGTCTGATTACCGAATAGCCCAAGTGCCAGGGAGACCCTTTGGAGTTCAGTGAAAAGCAACAGTTGTATAATCAAAAGATCTAAGCGGAAACCTCAGCTACTGGCTACTGCAGTGGAGACAGAGTTCAGAGTTTGAGTCTCATCAAGTTCAAAGGCTCTGTAAACACTTCAGGCTGTTTGTTACCCCAGAATGGCCACAATGTAGGAGTAAAAACCCTAGGACAAGGGGATCTGCTAAGGGCAAAAGGCAAAATAGAAACAGATTGGACCTAATGAAACGTAAGACCATGCCTCTACAGATTCAAAGTAACTGGCCAGTAATTTGATTGCCTCCTAGAACAAAAGTCAATACTCTTCAGTGGAATAGAACACAATCCAGTGTCTCAATGTGCTCAGCATCCAGTCACAATTTTCTAGATATGAGAAGAAATACAAACATGTGACTCATAATAAGGAGGAAAGGCCATCAAAAGAAACAGAACCTGAGATAATGCAGATGTTGGAGTTAACACAAACAAACAGAAAAACTTTACAGCAGCTATTATAAATAAGTTCAAGCCCTAAAAGAAAATCATGGTTGTAATAAATGATGACACATACAGGCTGCCAAAAGGGAAATGGAATTAAAAAAAAAGGCAAAATAAAGATTCTATAACTGAAAAGTATAATATCTGAAATGAAAGACCGGACTAGATGGACTTAATAGCAGAACGGAGATGAGAGAAGAAAGGGTTAGAAAATTTGAAGACAGATCAGTAAAAATGAAATCCAAACAAAACAAATCCTCAGTGACCTGTGGAACAATATCACGTGGTCTAACACACATGTAATTGGTGTCCAAGAAGGAGAATATAGAAAAAAACAGAGTAGAATAAATTAAAAAATAATGGCTAGATTGTCCTCAAATTTGGTAACAACATTATCAACAACAGTAAATTCGAAGGTCCAAGAATCTCAAGTAAGATATGTAAAATAAAAACCACACCCAGGTACACCATAGTCAAACTGCTGAAAACCAAAAATAAAGAGAAAATCTTGAAAGCAACCAGAGGAAAAAAAGAAACTATGTACAGGGGGAGATTATACTAATATACTATATATGCATAGTATGATATATAGTATATATATACACACACACCATATATACTATATATGATTATAGTATATATGATATATAGTATATACTAATACTATATAAGTATATACTTACATAGTATATATAAGCCTACGCTAATATATATAATATATTATATATACGAATATACTAATTATGGCTGACTTCTTTAAAAAAACCTGAAGAGAGGGACTGCTCAAACACACACACAAGAAGGTTGCAGATGGGAACCTATAGGTTGAAAAAAACTTAAGAGATACGTTAACCATCTGCAATGTATAGATGTTGTTTGGATTCTGATCCAAACTGTAAAAAACATTTATGAGATGGTTGGCAAAAAGTGAACACTAGCAGATTATTTGATGATACCGAGGAACTACTAGTTTTCAAGTGATATGATGGTTCTATTATGATTTTATAGTCTTTTTTTGAGACCTATGTTGACACTATTTTTTTTTTTTTTTTTTTGAGACGGAGTCTCGCTCTTTCACCCAGGCTGGAGTGCAGTGGCGTGATCTCTGCTCACTGCAAGCTCCACCTCCCGGGTTCACGCCATTCTCCTGCCTCAGCCTCCTGAGTAGCTGGGACTACAGGTGCCCGCCACCATGCCTGGCTAATTTTTTGTAGTTTTAGTAAAGACAGGGTTTCACCATGTTAGCCAGGATGGTCTCGATCTCCTGACCTCATGATCCGCCCACCTCAGCCTCCCAAAGTGCTGGGATTACAGGCATGAGCCACCGCGCCCAGCCTGTTGATACTATTTACAAGGGAAATTATATATCTGAGATTTGCTGTAAAATAATCTGGGATGGTGAAGGAGAGAGGAGGTAGACCACAGAGGAAGACATGATTGGCCTTGAGTTGATCATCAAAACTGGTGATGGGTACATGGTGATTCATTACACAATTCTCTTTACTTTTGTATAGGTTTGATATTTCCTGTTATAAAAAGCTTTTTTTTTTTTAAAGTGCTTAATTAACCTTGCAAGGATATAGGTTGGAAAGACAAGCACTAACTTCCTCACTTTAACCCAAATGCATAGAAATGCTTACTGGGCACCAACTAAAATGATCTGTAATCTTTTGTAGACAAGGCAAACTTTCCTTTTATAGATAATATGGATGTCAATTCTGCTGCCCATAGAAATGTATTTATCTTTTGTCCCTGGTCCACTTTTCATTTGTCACAGAATATGATCACTGTAAACAACTATTGAAGACAGTTCCAGTTTGAACTTTCCTATATTTTCTTCTAAATGCCATTTACAGAATGTCTCTCTTTACTTAAAAGCTTATTAAGGCTTAAAAATACTTAAGGATGATGAAGACCATGTATTGAAAAATCCCATTTCCTGAATCCATTTCCCATCTTATAAATTTCAAAACGGTCACAGGCGTTGGTCAGTAATCTGGTTACCTGCAGGCTTTCTTTGATGTCCTGGGCTTCAAGGCTTAGTGTGTGGGTGTGCACTCAGGGCAGGCCTTAGGAAGTCTGGGAGGACCAGGAGAGGAAGAACTTTCATGCCAAGGGTAAAGGAGGAACTGATGTAATGTCCTGGAGAGATTTCACTCTCCGTTCCTGCCCAGACCTTGGGAACAATGCAGGAGGGTGATAGTGCTTTGGATAATCCAACTCAGATTTTACTTTGGACTCAGGATCCAGGCAGGAACAGGACTTGGAGGAGCTTGATTTATTTATTTCTCCACAGATATCACTCAAAGAGGAAGTACTTGATGAAGCTGATAACATTAACAGTAGAGAACTGGATCCGAGGGTATTTAATTCCAGGCTCCTGGTGGTCTGGGCACAACCACTGTCAAGGCTGAGAGGCCTGCAATGAGACCCTGCAAGCTTTGTTTCAGTCTGCAAAGCAGTGCCCATGTATGGAGTAGGCTATGACATTCTCAGCCTGCTGCCTGCCGCCTCTGTTATTATAAGTTGGCAGCAGGGCATGGAAACTTACGAGACCAGAGCCGGCAGGCAGAGAAGCTCCGGACACAGGAAATGCACTGAGCGGACAGTGGGTGCATTAAATCCCCCAGATGTAGGAGTCTTCTGTCTAAAACAAGAAGATTTTTTTGGTCTGGCCTTGATGTCTGGGTTTGTTCTTGGTGAGCTGCCCAGCTGGAAAACTGGGAAATTATCCACATTGCCCTCATTCTGAAGGTCTTGATATGGAAGGGAAATATACAAGGAAGAGGGAGGGAAAGCCAGACATAATTAGTCCATGTGGGCACAGAAGGAAGGGAGGAAGAAAGACCAAGGACTGGCAGGGAACCGTCATTCTGGTTGGAAGTGTTTTCTGATCCCAAACCTTTTTCCTTGTAGACCTCTGTCAGACACAAATAATCCCTTCTTCTCACTGCCAAACGGCCTAAAATAAACCAGGACTTTAAGTGGGGTAATTTTCTTTACAAAAAGGTCTGATTTCTTATCCTTTCCTCTTATTAGAAAAGTTTCTCTACTTACAATTCATAAAAATTTGACCCAATTTAACCATGCTATAAATAATAAATAACCAGTAAACCTAAACAAACAGACAAAAAACTGCCTTTAGTGAAAGTTTTGACCGATAAGTTTCCAGGGAGAGCAAAGGCTAAGATCAAGTTTGCATCTCACACACCAGGATCACATTTCCACCACCGTGCTTTCCCTAAGCCCACGGATGCTGGTCAGAGAAGAAGGTCACCAGGGAGACGCAAATCAACAGGCCCAGGAGGTAATGCTCACTCAAGCCTCAGTCCACTGGGTTTCACTTTCTCCCTCTCCCAGTCATTTTGTTAAAAATTAGTGGGAAGTATGAATGATACACAGAGCTAGACAGAAGTCATAAGCTCAAGGTCTTGAGGTGGAATTCAAACTATATTTCATATACCACTCCCGGTCTCTTATGCCCATTATGGGTTGACTATCTCTCCCCCAAAATTCATAAGTTGAAGTCCTAACCCCTAGTACCCTCAGGATGTGATCTTATTTGGAAAGACGGTCCTTGCAGATGTAATTAGTTAGGATGAGGTCATTTTAAACATCCAATATGACTGGTGTCTTTATAAAAAGTATACTCTGGACTTCCAGACATACACAGGGGAAGAATGCAGGTGAAGATGAAGGCAGAGACCTCCAAGGCAAGGAATGCCAAAGCTTGCCAGCAAACCACCAGAAACGAGAAGAGAGTCATGGAACAGATCCTACCTCACAGCTCTCTCAGAAGGAACCAACTCTGGCACACGTTGACCTTGGACTTCTAGCCCCCAGAAAAGTGAGATAATAAATATCTGTTGTTTAAGCCACCCCGTTTGGGGTACTTTGTTACAGCGGCCCTAGCTAACTAATACACCCCCTACTCCAGTTACCTGACGTTCAACCTTTGCTTGGTTTGGAGTCTTTCCACTAACTGTGTACCTGGCATTTCAGCCTATTCATCCCCACAATGTGCCAATGTCACCGAACTCCCTTGGAGGGCCTGAGAAGAAAACTGCCCTAGTTTGGAGTGGATGATTCACATATGTTTGAGGTTATCAACAATAAACCCTAGGTAAGCTCCTAGAATTTTATAAGCATTTGATGAAAGGGGCTAAACAAAACAAAATGGGTAACCTGTAGTACTCTGAGGCTTAATCTTCATTACTGCAGGCCTGGGCAGGACTGCTTTCAAACAGGCCACCTTTCCAGGGGATCAGTACAGAGAGTACATGCACATCTGCTGACACAGGAGGCCTCACAGTCCTCACAGTCGGGGCTGCAGACTGTCTTGCTCTTCACAGGCAGTATAGGGGAGTCTCCTTTGTCTCCATAAAGCAGCACAAAAGAAGTGAATTAAAAAATCAAAGGATTGGATTTCCAATAAGTCAATTAGGTCTGTTTGGGTAATCCTCTCAATCATGTATAAGGCCTGGGGTCACAGGTGGCACAGAGATAAGGCAGAGAGGCCCTGGAGTGGGGAAAAGAGCAAGATGACCCCTTAACTGAGGGCTTCCTTCTCTGGAGATGAAATCAAACTGCTCCCAGCCCCTTATCTCAAAGATCAGATGGCATTTCCCTAGGGGTAAAGGAAGTCTCTTGGAGACTTCCTGCCTGTCTTGTGAGAGTCATTCATGCATATTAGGGATCTCTTGCCCCTAAAACTTCTGGCTTAAGAGAGCACGCTAGCCCTAGGGCTAAAAGCAGCCTCCAGTTGGAGGACCCTGGTGCAGGCAGGAAGGGTGAGGGGTCCCTCCTGTAATAGGCCGAGGGCCCAGACAGATGCAAAGAGGGTCTCTGCACAATCCAGTCCCTACACTCCGTCACAAAACACATGCTGCAGCAGGGGCAAGGGTCAGAAGGTAAAAGGTCATGCTGCCCTAGGCCCTGAAATATAGGAAGCAAAGCAGGAACAAAGGTCCTGGAGAGGAAAGCAGGACTTGCAGAAGGCTGGAATGAGGCTGGGTCAGGGGAAAAAGGTGTTAAGTGGTGCTCGTGGGCCCTGCTCCCAGGGAGGGCAGGAAGTCAAGATCTTGACCTGTTTCTGATGGGACCTGTCGTTACCTGCTGCCAGATTCAAGAATCCCAGAACAGAAAGGGCTGCAAAAAGGTTAATCTTGTAGTTCTTAAAGGAGACAGCCAGAAGATTAATACAAAGGTTCCAAAGGGGTCATGGAGGACCCAGCGCTCGCCAGATACTGCAAGGGGACATAAAATGCAAGCAGTGCTTACTTCCAAACAGGCCGTGTTCTGAGAGTAATGAAGACTGGCACTTTAAATGTATTTTCCCACAGAAATCATAGTGCAGATGAATCCTCAAAGGTGTTCTTGGATAACAGTGAGGGAGGCAATGGCCCTTCCCTACGTATAAGGTGCACAAACCTGATGTTTGCACAAAGTGGATGTAGTTGCGATATTGAGAATGGTTAAGAAAAGTGGAAGGAAAAACCAACTGCACAACATTGTGAATAGACTTACCACTACTGAAGTACACCTAAAAATGGTTAAAATTGTAAATGTTGTGTATTTTATCCCAATTAAAAATTTACACAAACAGAGGGGGGGAAACAACCAAATAACAGCCAGAAATATTGAATCATGATAATGAATAACATTTACCGAATGCTTGGCTATTCTAAGGGCATTTTCCGTATTAACTCATTTCTTTCTTCTTTTGTTTTGTTTTTTTTTTTGAGACAGAGTCTCACTCTGTCGCCCAGGCTGGAGACTCATTTCTTTCTTATGTCAACCCTTTGAGATAGGTCCTGTCATTTTCCTTCTTTTACAGGTAGAGACCTGAGACCCAAGGCAGTTGCCTGAAGTCACACAGCCGGTAAACTGGGGAGCTGGGATTAGAACCCAGGTAGTCGGGGGATGTAGAGTGCACGCATATACGTGCCGGCATGCTCTCTGGCTCTGTCATGTATTCCGTGGTTAATATGTGTAACAAAGATGTCAAACCCCAGCCCACAGCCTCCTTGACCCTGCAGTCATCAACACGATTCCAGCAAGACTAGAGAATCGAGTGGGTTTACAACCAGTGACAGGATGTGACTTGAGCAGCTAAAGAATGCGTCTACCTGTTACCTACTAAGCCGCTGTAGAGAGGGGCCAGCTTTCAAGGCGTGACCTGCACTGAGGGGCTGGCTCCTCAGGGGGTAGGTGACAGCCAGTGTGTCTGCTCTCAGAAGCCGGTGCCTGGCTCAGAACCCACAGTTCTCACAGGCTGGGAGATTTTCGTGATGCTAAGACGGCCCATCCCAAGGGAGTTAATGATCTAGAAGGGTGAATTCGGTCCAACTCAGCATGAGTTTTTAATATTATGAACTAGACATACTTTGGAGTCCCAGAAGTCATCTTTGACATTGTTTAGTACAAATTTGGCAGTAATGTAAGCAGGACCTGCCACACACTGTAGCCCCAGTCAGCTGACCTGAAAACTGCTTTGGCGTTCTCATCTCCACTACTGCTACTCGTCTTTCAATCATGTGCTCTATTTTCAGGGCGCCTACACTACAAATATTTATGAAAATGTATTTTGGTCTCCTCATTCTGCGCAGTGGAATGAATGCAGGCACTGGCATCAACCCCACCTGGGTTTAAATCTCAGCGTTGCTACTTGATTTTGGGGCATGTTACTTTATTGCTCTTAATCTTTATTTCTTCATCTATAAAGTGGAGGTAATAATATCACCTTCTTTATAGGGTTGTGGTGAGGATTAAATGATTCAAAGATATAAGAGCTTAGAACAGGGCCGGCACACAACAAGGACCCAATAAATGTTAGCTATTATTTTGTTATTAAGAAGCAGATTCAGGCCGGGTGTGGTGGCTCATGCTTGTAATCCCAGCACTTTGGGAGGCCGAGGCGGGCGGATCACGAGGTCAGGAGATCGAGACCATCCTGGCTAACACGGCGAAACCCTGTCTCTACTAAAAATACAAAAAATTAGCCGGGCATGGTGGCGGATGCCTGTAGTCCCTGCTACTTGGGAGGCTGAGGCAGGAGAATGGAGTGAACCCAGGAGGTGGAGCTTGCAGTGAACCGAGATCGCACCACTGCACTCCAGCCTGGGCGACAGAGCAAGACTCCTTCTCAAAAAAAAAAAAAAAAAAAAAAAAAAAAAAAAAAAAAAAACCAGATTCATATACCTCATCTTCTTTAATTATCTCATTAAAATTGTATACAACTTCCTTCTGCCAAAGCAGTCTTTGGGCACTTGGGTTTGGTGGTGGGGCAGGAGGGGTACGATTCCCCTCAATAAAGCAATCATATAAATAAAACTTCTGTGGGCCATCGCAGAACACATGCCACCCTCTCCATCTTTCACAAAGAAATGACTTCTCTCAATTATTGAGCCATTCCCATGTGCTAGTTGTAAGAAAAATTGAGATCAATTGCACTTCGATGCTTGAAAGTTCTCCTCATCACTTGCGATTTCCATGTTTACCTTGTGATAAAGAGCTGTCCCAGAGCAGAACTGCCACCTTAAAACTGCATCCAGTGCTACAGAAACAATCTCAGCCCTGCATGTGTGAATATCTGCAAATTAAAGTGATTAAGAATCACTGCCCCATAATCTCTTTGATGGGGCAGAGGACAGGATGCAACTAAAGAGCTGAAATTATCAAGCTCCAAGGGGGTGATGGGATGAGAACGTTTGAGAAATCCGGATCTTGCTCCTTCTCCCTACAGACTGCATATCCAGTCCCATGGGGTGATTCTGTGGAGCTGGTCTCATTCAGAGACTTTAGCCCAGAAGGGAGGCTTATTTTATGTTTCCGTTGAGTTTTTGGGGGGCCAATATTCCAGTAGTTCTAACACTAGAGGACAAATGACAATTAAAAAAAAATATATATATATATTTAAGGGGATAAAACCCAAAATAAAAGAACCTAAGGTGTGAAAAGAAGTTATCATCACAACTGCACGTGACAAAATAAATTTATTTTATAGTCATTTACTGCTTTGATATTTCTAAAGATGCTTTGCCTCCTGGTTTTTGTGAAGGAAGTAATATCATTGTTTATTTTACCTCCTTTCTACATAACTACCTACCTGCATTCTAATTCATATTACAAAGATAAAATGAGTCACAACAGTCAAGGAAAAAGAATGTCCTTAAACTGAGCTTTTTATGATGAAATAAGTGAATGACGCTACTCTTGCTGCCACTCTCAGAGGGGCAACATTATCTGAAGTTCTGAATAAGGTGAGACAAATGAGGAAAGAAGAGATTTTCTCCCGCTTCTGAGCAACACCAGGCAGGACACTGCTATGATTTTCTAGATTTTAGATGCTCAAGACCCTGAGGGAAGGGAATATGTCTTATCTTCATATCACCCAGGAAGACTCAGGTTCCTTGGACGTAATGTGGGGATTTGAGAGCTGTAAGAGACTGCAGAAACCATTTAGCCTAACCCCCTTCTTATAACTGGGGAGACAGAGCCAGAGGAATGAGAAACTTAGCCCTTATGATCTGTTCTGGCAGAATGAAGGGTTAGGACCTGGTTTCCCGGTTTCCAGATCTCATCCTTTAAAATATACATACATACTCACACACACTCACCCCAGTTTGTTTGTCGAGGATGGTTCTGGTTCTGGTTTTGCCTGAATATTTGATATGTAGTCCTGGCTTACTTATTGCTGGAGCCCTGTGTCACTGTCATAAGTGTGTTGGTATGGGTGAAAAATTATAAGGTTAACCTAATTATATAAAATCACCCTCCCTTCCCATAACTAATAAGTAAGGAAAAAGAGTGAAAATGCTGGTTTTTCTAGAGGTAAGTGTAATCTGAGGACTGCTTTGCTCAAGCCATGATGTGATTTCAGAATGGAGTACATTATAGAGGTAACAAATGTTCACATATAGAGAGTTTGAATTAGCATGATGATCATCCTCGTCTACTGTCAGGGCATGGAGGTGAACCTCTGAGCTAACACCAACTTCCTAGCTTCTAGCACTGCCACGTGGCTACTAACGAAGGCATGATTTCAATGTAAGTTTCAATGTAAGAAAGTCATAGAGGATACATGTGGGGAACTGGTGCTAGATTGAGCAAGACACATTTGTACTGTGATATAAATGCCCATTGTGAAATTATGAATGTCTGAACTGGTTAAGTTTGTGGCCACGACGAGGTGAAATCACAAGGCGGTTGAATGATGCCTTCTGTTTGCACTTGACCGTGCATGCTTCATTGTGCCAGGCTGCTTAACAGCTGAGTTGGGCCTTGTTCTCTTTCCATTCTGTCATTCCTATCCACCTATCCACCTACTTACCTACCCACCTACCTACTTACCTATGCCAAGTTGGCAGCAACATGTGTCATCTTGGGTTAACATACTTTTATATGGAACTGTATTCCCAGTTATGTAAAATAAATCACTGGGGAAGTAATATTTGATATGTATAATTTCACTTGACAGATTTTTTTTTCAGAACCAGATCTTTCTGTATGTTAACATATGCCCACATCAATCATCTGTTATCCTTCATAATTAAATGGAACAGTATTGATTCTGGAAACAATTTATGTTGAGCTGGATTTTTTTCTTTTCAGTGGAGAAGAAGGGAGAGAGAGAGGAAGTAGCTGGAGGCAGGAAACTTGTACTGATCCATGCACCTCTCTACTTGTTCTCTTTGTCATCAAGGGCACCATATAGCTGAAAGGCAGGAGGATAGGGAGAGGGCCACCTCTTCATATCACTTCTGTGCCTTGGAAAGCTCTTCTCCCTGGATACCACCGGATAAAGACCTACACTTCTCTCCTTGTTGTGTGCACCTGTTCACTGGAGCACATGCGCCCGGACATGCTCTCAGACCTTGCTTCCTGGCCATGAGCTTTAAGGAATGGTCTCTGAAAATGCACTACTTTTAAGAGCTGGGTCTGAAGCAGAGCTAACTGGTCTGCAGGGCAATGACACCCTTGACCTCGGCCTCATTAGCTCCATCCTCTTACCTACTGAGCTCACAACCACCAACATCATAATACTTGAGAGAAAGCTCATTACAGCGTATGCGGTGGCACATCTGTATTTACTTGGTTTGCGAGCAGCTCTCAGAGTAAGCCAGCTTTCTCTATTGCTGAGCTCCTGCAAATGAGAACAACAAACACACCTACTGCTGAGTCAAATCAGGCCAAAGGGAAAAGAGGAAGGATCTGTGAGGAGGAGAGACCATAAGCCTCCAATCACACTCAGGAATAAAATGGGGCTAAATTCCAAATGAGATTAACAAAAAAAATAATGAGAGAAAGACTAAGAGACAGAAAGAAAACCCATCACATACCCTTTGTATCTGAAAGGCAGGCTAGGTAATATATTCCTTGCCTTAATGTCAAGCTTCAGTAAACCCACCTCCTCTTCTCTGGAGTGGCTGGTGGCTATTATGCAAGCCGGAAATGCACATGGCAGGAAGAGCAAAAGAATGAATAACTGAATTGGGGGAGGAGGGCAGCTGCTAAATTTAGCAAGGGTAGAGTGAGGGGAGGAAAGGATGAGAGGAAGGCAGGGAGCGTGCACGAAATGCTGTTCGTTCTCCATCACGGAAGCGAGGGGCCCTGCTGTGAAATGCTTGGCACAAGGAGGTGGTGTCATCGCCTGGAGTCAGGCTCTCTTTTGTGAAGTGTTAATTAGGAAAAACAAGAAACTTCTCATTTTTTGGTTTGCCAACAACAAAACAAAATTGTTAGCCCTGCTCTTGGGGATGAGCAATCATTTTAAGGAAATGCCCCAAGGGACCAGGGTTTGAGGTCCCTAGTAATCTGCACCTAAGGAAAAGTACACATGAAGAAACTGATGCACGTTTGGACGTCTGTGGTCTGACCAATCCGAGCAGGAGGATCATGACCCTCAGAGGCACGATCCATCACTGAGTGCTCAAGCTGTTCAACTGTTTAATGCAATGGTGCTCAAGTAAGGTTTCCTTTCGCTTTGGTTTGGTGTTTTTGAGACAGAGTCTCGCTCTGTCGCCCAGGCTGGAGTGCAGTGGCGCAATCTCAGCTCACTGCAATCTCCACCTCCCGGGTTCACTCCATTATCTTGCCTCAGCCTCCCAAGTAGCTGGGACTACAGGCGCCTGCCACCATGCCCGGCTAATTTTTTTTTTTTTTTTTGTATTTTTAGTAGAGACGGGGTTTCACCATGTTAGCCAGGACGGTCTTGATCTCCTGACCTCGTGATCCGCCCGCCTCGGCCTCTCAAAGTGCTGGGATTACAGGCGTGAGCCACCGCGCCTGGCCTCAAGTAAGGTTTTTATACTCTATTTCTGTGCCCCAACACCTATTCTGGAACTAGGTCCAGGGCCTAAATTAAATTCTGGTCTTTTGCTTTCTACCAATGATTAAGAGGAACAACTGGGACACTTGAAATAAACACCGCCACTGAGTGAACTCTAACCAGCCTCCTTTGGTGCCCTATGCAGAAAGCCCTGGCCCAACACTGAGTTCATAGATTTGGGTTTTTTTTTCTTTCCTTCTTCCAACTTTTATTACCCCTTGCTAAAAAACTCTCCAATGACTTCCCATTTCTTTCCTCCATATTCCAGAAATCAAAGTTCTCCACACTCTGGTTCCAAGCTAAGCTCCTTGGACTAGCTCTGCAATGACAAAATGCTGATCATTGTGAAGGCAAGGGTGATGGCTCAGAAGGGTTTATTTATTTTATTCTATTTGGAGTATGTTTGAAATTTTCTGTAATAAAAGAGTGGGAGAAGATAAGCTTTATAATCCAAGTCATCTAATTGCTCTCTATTTCAAAGCCTTACCCCACCCTTACGTCATTTTCTTTGCCTGGAATGTTCTTCACTTCATCCTTGCTTATCAGAATCCTGCTGGATTTCTAAGGCGGGGTCCCCAACCTCCAGGTCACTGACTGGTACCAGTCCATGGCCTGTTAGGAACTGGGCTGCACAGCAGGAGGTGAGCGGTGGGGGCAAGTGAGTGAAGCTTCATCTGTATCTAGAGCTGCTCCCCACTGCTCGTATTACCGCCTGAGTCCCACGTCCTGTCAGATCAGCAGCGGCATTAGATTCTCATAGAAGCACAAACGCTATCATGAACTGTGCATGCGCGGGATCTAGTTGCACACTCCTTACGGGAATCTAATGGCTGATGATCTGTCACTGTCTCCCATCACCCCCAGATGGGAACGTCTAGTTGCAGGAAAACAAGCTCAGGGCTCCCACTGATTCGACATTATGGTGGATTGTATAATTATTTCATTATGTATGATAATGTAATAATAGAAATGAAGTGCAGAATAAATGTAATGCACTTGAATCATCCCAAACCATCCCTCACCTCCACTGTTGGTGGAAAAACTGTCTTCCACAAAACTGGTCCCTGGTGCCAAAAAGGGTGGGGAGCACTGCTCTAAGGCATACTCCAGAGTTGCTTCCTTTATGAGAAGACCCTGCTTCCTGCACCTGGCTGTCATGGACCCTTCCACCACACCTTTACGGTGCCTACTATATGGTTACGCTTCTGTGCTTCTGTGTACATCCATCTCACTGCTTCGCTTTGATCGTGAGCTTCAGGGAACCAAGAGTGTATTTTGTACATAGTAAGCACTCAATAATTGTCTACTGAATGAAAAGTGAACTTACACGAAGAAGACCAGCTTATCAAGTTAACAATTAAACTTCCTGGATTTGTCTAAACCTCAGGCAAGAAAAGAGAAACCTCTTCCAGTACCTTCTTCATGGTTCTGATGCAGTATGACCTCCGGCTGTGTGTGTATAGAGTTTCCAGGGTGGAAGAATGGTGAAAAAAGAATCCGAGGTTTCCTCTGCTTCAGAATATGCTGAAGGAGTTCATAGAGCACATCACCTGGAAAGAAAAAGGAAAGGGAAATCGAGAAATGGAAAGATGTTTTTCCAACAACGATCTACGGAGCAGCAGCTAAGTGCCTGGCACGGTGCCAAAGATACAATTGGAGCGCACCTGCCACCTCCTACCCTCACCAAGCTCATGGGGCACAGAATGCAGCACTTGAAACTCAAAAGGTCAGAGCGATGTGAAGTTGTAAATCAAACTTTTTTGATTATGAAAATCGTATACTTTTTTTCTGAGACAGGGTTGCGCTCCGTTGCCAGTGCTGAAGTGCAGAGGCACGATCTCGGCTCACTACAACCTCCACCTCCCAGGCTCAAGTGATCCTCCCACCTCAGCCCTCCAAGTAGCTGGGACTACAGGTGCGAACCAACACACCCAGCTGATTTTTGTATTTTCAGTAGAGACAGGGTTTCACCATGCTGTTCAGGTTGGTCTCAAACTCCTGAGCTCAAGTGATCCACTCGCCTAGGCCTCCCAAAGTGCTGGGATTACAGGTGTAAGCTACCGTGCACGGCCCCAAAAATGTTTTAAAAAGGCAGAAAATCAGAAAGAAAACAAAACATGACCTAGAATCCCATCATCACTAAGATACAGAAGCCCTGTTAATACTATCTATAGTTCTATAGTTAGAAGCGGGCTTTTAATAGTTGAGTATCCTCTTTTCCCTCCACATTAGGTTTTGAACATTTTCCCACATTACTGAACTGCTTCAGTAGCTGCCGAACAATGGCAGGGAATTTAAACTATCCCAATTTATTGCTCTTATTTTTTGTGAGGATGTTCTTTTTACATCTATCTTAGCTTGCACTTCAGATTACTCGAAGAATTATGAAGTCATTAAGAACATTTGTAATGCTCCAATGACAACTCATAGATTCTTCACAGAAATTTTCCCTACAGAGAAAAATATGCCTTTTTAACCAATCTCAATCCTAGACGGGAAAAGAATAAACATGAAAAAAATTCACAAGTCCGGTTAGAGGTGGTAACTATTCAAGATACTCTATAAGGAACTGGCATGTTCTGGGATGCTTCCCTCCTTTAAAAATGCACACAGGCATTGCTCCAAGGTTCCACAATCTCTAGAAAATCATCTAGAGATGTCAGGCCATTGCCAGAGGATGGCAGGGGCTGGGTTGAGCAGGTGCCTTTCTGTTCTGATATATTTGGTATTTGAAGTGTCCACGAGTAATTAGCAAAAAATAAACAAACCCCAAAACCTGTCATGGTCTTGTCCCACCCCTTGACTTAGATCCAAGCTGAAAATGCAGGTGGGTGCCTCAAAACCCTTTGGGGGTGGGTGATAAATCTTTACAATATCACAGGCCTGTGACTGTCTCCTCACACCCTTCTCCACACACAGATATGCAGTCAGCAGTAATAACAAACAATGGGTCTTTGTCTCTAATTTTAGCGACTTTTTTTAAACAAACATTTTAATTACCAACTTAAATTCAAGGCATATTTTGGATTGAAGATATTGCTGTATTATTTTTTCTTTCAAGCTCAGCATGGACCTGAGAAACGTTCCATATTAATTTCTTTTTTTCTACAAACTCCTGCTCCTCTATCACTGACACTAAATAAAACTCCACGGATACCCTATTCTAAGGGATTCCTGAGGGAACCTTGTGTTTTTGCCTTGACTTTGTTCCTACCTCTACCTTTGAAATTTGGTTGCTGTTAGTATAACTTTCTGCCACTACTTAGTATCATGACTAAATAAAGCAAAATACCTCAAAGAGCTGCAGACACCATGTCACTTGGGCATTTTATTAAAAGGAGATGGGCAGGAAGATGCAGAGGTGTCCTGGACCAGACTTTTGAAACTGCTATGTATAAGGCAGAACCATGGCACACATGACTGCATTTGAGAGCTGAGAACGGCTTCGGAATTCATTGAATCCAAACCTAGTAGTCATGGTGATGTCTCTGATGAGGCGGGGATAAGAAGCCTGAAATACAGTCCTATTTTAATGATTCATATTTTAATCTCATACAAAAATAAGCCCCTAATCAACACTTTGTTTCTTTTGGTTTCGTGTAATGACTTCCTGAACTTTTGCTAATTTACAGGGCCTCACACTTGCTGGGTTTTATCTGGTTTTTTTGGTAGTATGCGGAATAGAAAAATGAAAACATTGAAAAATGTGTTCCTGATGATTACTATTACTAAAAAAAAAAAGGTCCAGTAATTAGTGTATCCATTTTGGAAGGGGAGGCCAGGAAATATAAATTTAGTGTCTGTGAGGGTGTTCAGCTTGGTTCACTTAACCAGGCGGGCTGGTGTGGTGGTGGGAGGTGCTGACTGCAGAGGTGGGCACGGCTGCCTCGGTGGGAGTCCCAACTCCTGTGCACCAGGTGACCTTGAACAAGTCCCTGAACTTCTCTGTAAAATGCAAATAATAACACCGACCTCCAGCATTTGCTATGAGGGTTAAAGGAGGGAAAGGTCAAGAAGCACCCAGAGTAGGGTTTGGTGCACACACTGCTCCCTGGACCCCTCTTGGTGGCTGCTTCTGGGCTTGGAGAAGCCCCCGGTGGGGTGGCTCAAACAAGGGCTGGAGAGCAGGCAGGTGACTTTTCCTTCTGTGTTTTCATGAGAGAGAAACTGAGGAAAGACAGCAGCATGGTGAAGAGGCCATGCTCTGGAGTCAGACTGGTGCCTCCTCGGGCATGCCCTTTAATGTCACTTGGCCTCAGTTTCCTCATCTATAAAATGGCAGTGTTGATGGCATCTACCTTGTGAGATCGTTGTAACGATTCAATAAGATGGTCTATGTAACAAGCTCATCATGGCGTGAGGCAAACAGGAAAAGCTCAGTAAACACTAGTCATTGATTTTACTACCACCACCACTACCACCACCACCACAAACACTCCCATCATTACTATTCCTGATATTATTATAGTGGCTTGGGACAGGTGTGTAGATCTCTAAGGAGGTCTCACATGGAGAATAGAGGAATATCTGGGTCACGGCCAGCTTTACGTTCCCCTTCCAGAAAGGGTAAAGAAGGTTAACTGAGGCCACTCTCCTAGTCTTGGGTTCTCTGGACGTCTCATCCTGACCTGGTGGGCTAAGCCTCTGGGGGTCTGACACGTGGTCTGCCGCACACCTCCCAGGCTTCTGCATGGGCTTGCTTCAGCCTCCCATACTGACGCTGGCCAAGGGAGCAGGGTCAGAGGGGTTCTTCCCGAGTGTGCAGGAGGAAGCAGGGGGAGGGGCGGGTCAAGTGGACTCGGCCAGTTTCCTACCTAGACCAGAAGCCTATTAGGAGACTAATAAGGTATTGGGAGTTATCTTAAATGCTATCCATGAGGCGGCTACGGGTGGGAACATGGACCCGAGGTCCTGGGTACTGGGTCACGAAAAAACTTAGTTCTAAGACCCAGGAGTGTGGCCTTAGCTGAGTCAGTCCATGCACAGACATGTTTCCTCAGCAACTAGGGGCTCCGTCAGGGAATGCGGCTGGCTCAGCAAAAACACATCACCACCATGCGGACGGGGACCACTTGCTGTGCGTGCACTGTGAGCATATGATTGGCAGCGATAGTGTGTCCCAGTAATAACTTGGAATATTAGATCTAGACAGGATTCTAGAGGTTTCCTAGATTGACTCAAACTTTGCTCACTAAGAGTCTCCCACCTCCCCTTCTCCCAGAAAGAAGTGGCTTTGGCTGGGTACTTCCAGTGATGGGTAGCCAGTCACGGCGCAAGCAAACCATTTTTGGACAGCTCTAGTTGATAGAAAGTTTCTCTGCTGAGGTGGAATCTGGCTTCCCCTGCAATCCCTGTACTTTGGTTCTTAGTTTTGGCTTGTGAAGTAACACAGAATATGTGTCTTGTCTATAGCAGGTTGCTAAGTAAATGAAGACAGCCCTCCATCTTCTTTCATTTCCAGTGTCCCTTCATTCCTCGACACCCAGCCTGCTCTCTTGATGTATTCTTCCAATTTTCATATATGGAGGAGATCACATCTAAAAGGTGTTACTAACAAAAGAATCTGGCTAGGTGCTGTGCGTCACACCTATAATCCCAGCACTTTGGGAGGCAGAGGCAGGAGGATCACTTGAGCCCAGGAGTTTGAGACCAGCCTGGGTAATATAGTGAGATCCCCATCTCTACAAAAAAAACAAAAATTAGTTGGGCGTGGTGATGCGTGCCCATTGTCCCGGCTACTCGGGAGGCTGAGCTGGGAGGATTGCTTGAGCCCAGGAGGTCGAGGCTGCAGTGAGCTGTGATCACATCACTGCACTCCAGCCTGCATGAGAGTGAGACCTTGTTTCAAACAAACAAACAAACAAACAACGCCAAAACAGTCTCTGGGATAAAGAATATATTTAAAAATGTTATATTTATTTGCCTACTGAAAATAAAGAGCATGCGCCACAGCACTGTATATCTAACTTAGCTAATGGCTGAAATTCAAAGGGCATTTTTCAGAAAATTCTTAACCCATTTGATTTTTAATAAATCTTCTCTCTCTTCCCAGAAAAGAAACACAGTGACTGGTACTAACTAGTATTTCTATTGTACTATTCAATGGAACTGAGCCCTACTGGTCAAAGAACCATGGTTTTCGTTGGTTCCTCCATCTATCTTCACGCATACATACACAGTTCATGTAAACACACGCATGTGCAGAGGCTGATGTACCATGAAGCTAGTGAGCTTCGGGGCCCTTCACTTGCGCAGGTCCCTGGGAAGAGTTCTAGAAAGATTCATATTGCCCAAACCGTAAGCCTCAGGCCCATAAAATCTAGATATACTCCTGGGTGCATGCACACGCGCGTGCGCACACACACGCACACACAGAAACAAAACACAGTTTTGCATTGGTGATCTTTACATGAAAAGCCAGGCACGTTCTTTGAGAATCCTAAATTCCATTATTGTATTGTAATGTGTTCCAAATGGACAGGAGAGAGCGAGTGAACAATACTGCTGTGACTTGGCTGATCAATCTTACTAATGTCTGAGGACCAAGAACATGCAAGATGCTGTTGAGGGGGGTTAAATTTATTTAAGTTACTTAATTTTAGAGGAAAGAATTTGGGCTCTGGAGCAAGGGAGTCCCAAGTTTGAATCTTGTTCCTCTCTTTGTCAGCTGTATGCCCTTAGGGAAGCTATTTTTCTTCTCCGAGCCATAGTTCAGGGCTTAGTTCAATATTTTTGTGTGTAAAATGAGAACTATGCCACAGACTTGGCAGGGCTGTTATAAGGATTAAATGAGATGATACGTGCAGAGCACCAGCCCCACGTCTGCCATCATAAACGCTCAATGGATGGTGTCTCTTGCAATTGTCATAAGCGTGAACAGACATGTCTCACAAAATCTGGCAAAAAATGTTCTTTGTTTCAGTACTTTTGTATTTAAAGCACATGCGTAAGTTTTACAAAGTCACATTCATATGGATGGAATTTTTTTCCCCAGTTGACATCATTTCATACAGACATTTCCAGTTTACAGTTAGCTCTTACTGTCCCCATTTGCAGTCGTATTGCCAACTTCTTCTATTGGGTTTCTTCCCTTTAGCTTTTAAGCAGTTTCAAGTTTTTTTCCTGTCCACATGTACATGCCCCTTGTCCCCATCCTCCCTGTTAGGAACTGCTCCTGTTTCTCTCCTCCCTTTATAGCCAAACTTCCCAGGGGAGCTGTCCAACACCATTCTCACCACTTCCTCACCTTCCATTCTGGTTCCCACTCCCACCCTTCTCCAATCTGCTTTTGCTCAGGTCACCTCCCTGTTGTCAAATCCAAAGGGCAATGGTTGGTACTCAGGGAACTGCCTGACTTCTCAACAACATTCTCACCAGCAATCTCTACTTCCCTTCTCTTAGAATACTCCATGGCTTCAGAGATTTCCACTTATCCTGGTTTTCCGCCTACTTCTCTGCTCTTCCTCCTTCTCCAGCCCTTCAGTAGTAAGGTTCCCCAGGTCTCTCACCTGCCCTTCTTCTTGGGCAACCTCATCTACTCCCATGGCTTCAATCGGCTCGTCTATGCTAAATCTACTCCAGCCTGGCACTTCTTCTGAACTCCAGAACCACATTCCGTGATCTCCTAAGTAATTCCTCCTGGAGGTCATATAGGCACCACACATTTGATGTGCCTAACACAAACATCTCTACAGATGAGATGGTGTTTCTTAGGTCAGCAAATGCTCAGATGATCAGACCAGAAACCTGGGAGTAATCGTTAAGGCCTCTCTTCCTTCTCATCTCACATGAAAGTGGTCACCAAGACCTGCAGACTCTGCCTTTTATCTGTTTCTGGAACCACCTCGTCTCTCAGTGGGCCTCACCTTAGTTAATGTCACAACTATTGCTCGTAGACTGCAGCCCAACAGATGCCCCGCCTCCACTTTTCACCGCCGCACCTTGCCATGCCGATCCTCTGCCTGTAGTCCCAGCTACTCGGGAGGCTGAGGCAGGAGAATGGCGTGAACCCGGAAGGTGGACCTTGCAGTGAGCCAAGATCGTGCCACTGCACTCCAGCCTGGGCGACAGAGCGAGACTCCATCTCAAAACAAAACAAAACAAACAAAAACAAACAAACAACAAAAAACAAATGGCTTCTACTTGTCTTCAAACAAACATGTAAAATCCTGAACATGACCTGCAGAGCCCTGCAAAATCTACTGAAAAAATAATCAGTGAGTGAGTGAATGAATGGCTGTGAGGCTACCGTGTATCCCATGATATTTACTCTCCCCAAGTTTGTTTAGCTAGTCCCACAGTGGGGGTGGTTGGGGAATTTCCAGTTTTTAACTACTATAAATAGAATTGTTAAGGGCATCTTTTTTTTTTTGCCCACTCTTGGATGGTTTCCTTCGGCTATTTGCTTAGGAATAGAATTATCAGTGAAAGTGTATGATTAGTTTAAACGTTCTTATTATACGCTACTTGTTCTCAGAAGGCTGGAATCAATGTTTCGCATCATCTGCAATGCTACCTAGAGCCTCTCCCAGGGGGTTTTGCAACTTTTAACTTCTCAAGTTTAGCAGGTTTAAAGTAGAACCCTAACATTGTTAAAATCTGCATTTTTCAGGTGATGATTTGCTATGTACATATCCTTACACGTAGATTATCTAAGTAACACATTCTTTAATTTGCAAACAGCTCTCTCTTCTCTTTGATTTTTATTCAGAGGCTTCAGATTCCCTCTGGCCATTTTTTTTTTTTTAAAGTAAGAGTATGCCTGGTGTGGGAGAGGTACTTTTTAGATATGTCAGAATGTTCTCTCTGTTGGGCCCTTTCTGCCTTTGATGGGTTCAGGATGAAGCCCTAAGCTTCGGTCCCTTAAGTTACATAATAAATTCAACAGTGAAAACACCAGTGCATAACATGCCCATTCCTGTAATGGGACTGCTTGGTTTTCTAACTCTGCTTGGTCCTAGTTTCTTTTTTCTTTTTTTTTTTTTTGAGACGGAGTCTCACTCTGTTGCCCAGGCTGGAGAGCAATGGCGTGATCTCGGCTCACTGCAACCTCCGCCTCCTGGGTTCAAGCGATTCTCCTGCCTCAGCCTCCTGAGTAGCTGGGAATACAGGTGCGTGCCACCACGCCCGGCTGATTTTTTGCATTTTTGGTAGAGATGAGGTTTCACCATATTAGCCAGGATGGTCTTGATCTCCTGACCCCGTGATCTGCCCGCCTTGGCCTCCTTAAGTGCTGGGATTACAGGTGTGAGCCACTGCACCCAGCCTGGTCCTAGTTTCTAAGCATTCCATTCAGTGCATTTTTGCAGGCCAATTGAATTAACCTTTTAATTTAATCTGGAGTGCCTTCTGTGACCACAAAAATAAATTAGTCTTTTACTTAGCAACAAATATTTGAAATTTGGTTTAATATTTATGTCTTATACACAGAGACCCTGAGAAAAAAGGAACAGGTTGTGGGAAAATTTAAGTATCATATTTAAGACAAGAATAAATCTGTTAGAAAACAGATACAGTAAGACAATTACAGCTGGATATGGACTATAAGGTGAGATAAACAAAATAAGCTCTCGAGAAAACAGAACTTTATGAAATAAGTATGTGTTTAAAGGAAGCACTGTGCAGTTGGTTTTCCCTACGTTACCATCACATCAACTTGTATAACCAATGTTTAGCGTCATCTGCAAGGCTACCTAGGTCTCTCCAACTTTTAACTTCTTAAGTTTAGTAAGTTTAAAGTAGAACCTTAACATTGCTAAAACTTGCATTTTTCAAGTATATGACAACAGGGTGGGTGCCCACCTCCATTTCACAAATGGGACAGGCAAAGAGCTAAGAAATAAAATGATGGCCGGGTGCAGTAGCTCACGCCTGTAATCCTAGCACTTTGGGAGGCCAAAGTGGGTAGATCATGAGGTCAAGAGATTGAGATCATCCTGGCCAACACGGTGAAACCTCATCTCTACTAAAATACAAAAATTAGCTGGGTGTTGTGGCGCACGCCTGTAGTCCCAGCTACTCAGGAGGCTGAGGCAGGAGAATTGCTTGAACCCTGGAGGCGGAGGTTGCAGTGAGCCGAGATCACGGCACTGCACTCCAGCCTGGCGACAGAGCGAGAATCCATCTAAAAAAAAAAAAGAAAAGAAATAAAATGACTTTCACGTAAGTGACCTATCGAAGCATTTCTCTGATGTGTGATACACTTTTTTTTTTTTTTTGGCTTGCTCAAAGACACAGTAAAGAAAGAGCCAACTCTGGTGTCTTCAGACAAGGGTCATGCCTGCTACAACTCCCACATTTCATGGCTACAATTTCCCTTCTGTGACCTATATCCTTGGATGCTCTGACTTAATTCTAAAATAGCCAGTTGACACAGCCCTTCAATCTGGCAAACCTACCATTGCTTAATAGAAATTAATAGGCCAATTTTGATTCAAGAAATACTATGTAAAGACCAGTATTTTCAGTTTAACTTTGAAAGAAAATTTTACTATATTTGAAAAATATAAGCAAAGCATATTTCCAAAGACAAAGGTTCTGGTGGGTTGGAAAGGGAAGAAACAATTTGCAAAATCACACTCTAGTATATGAAAAGACTGCAGATTTTAGTCTACTAAAATCCTCAATATATTTAGCAAATCCCCAATACAGTTTTGCTGAATTGAAGGAACTCTGAACATATGTTTCTTTCCCTTTTTTAGCATTGATAGCAAGTGAGTGTAACATGAATTAAATTGATAATAACTTGTGGGTTTCCTTGTTCGGAGAAAATAATGGGTACCTAAATCCATTCCACCTGAATGTCATGCAATGGATAACCCTAAGTAAGGGTTAATATAAATGCCAACCTGTCTGTTCCCTCCTGTCAATGTGTTTTCTCAGAGTCTCAAAGTAGTCAAGTACTCAAATACCTCTCTGAATTTAAATCACTTCAGAACCAGTTAATGTGATAACTATCTAGTAGCCCAAGGTCTTTGTAAAATTATTCTGTCCAGGTGACGTTTTATAAAATTGGGATCCCTTCCATTTATTCTTTAACTTTACAAATGTTATAAACTTGTCATCTGTTATATCCTCCAACTGGGAGACTATTCCAAAGAAAATATTCCATTTGTCTCCAACCTTGAAATCTTCTGGTTAGAGACCATATAATTATTTAAAGCACACTGCAAATGTTCCCTGCTTTATCCTAGGGGTTGAAAATGGAGGATTCTTGTCCTGGAAGTAGATGCGATAAATTTGTTAAGCTGGTCAAAGAATATGGCATTCAGGGAGTCTACTGTATTTGACTTAAGGTATAATCGTATTCCAGGTAATTATAACTCATTGAGTCCAGTGCTCTCCTCTCTACATTGGAGAGGAGTTGTGTTAAAGAATGTTGTTTCCATATATAGAGAGCATAGAAAGCTACATTGTTTGCTAGCAACTTAACACTGTTTCAGTGTTGAAGTTGGGCTGAACTGTTAAGAATGGAAGGGAGCTTAGGATCCATGTGGTGAGAACTGCATTTTGTGGATGAGGAAAATAAGGCCAAGTGAAGTGACGTGATTTGTGAAGGGCCAGGTGTAGAAAGAAGCCAGGCCTGAGGACTTTCACTACACCAAACTGCTAAAGGAGAAAGCCCATGTCAGAAGAAACAGTGGCAAATGTTACATCTGGAAAATAAAAAGGATTTTCAATCTAGATCTTGCCCCTGCCTAAGGAGGATGCCTGTGGCCTTCCCCCTCTTGCTGAGTGACCCCTTCATCAGATGGGTCTTCTCAACTCCAACTTAGTTGTCTTATAAACCCATTCGCAATACTCCTGTGTTCTGTGGTAAGTTTTCCTACAGGCCCTGCTGGCAGGCATCGCCTTGAAATTCTGTCCATGGCTTTCTAGTGGGTGCCTTAATTAAATTACCTTCCGTATAAATTTATCTTTATCCCCAGCTCATAAAATTCTACATAATGGAGACGATGTATGATGCTCACATCTATTATTCCCAGCCCTGGCCTGCCTCTTGTTTTAGATGTCCAACTGCAGATCAGGACAAGTTTTCTTGAATGTCCTGGCATTGCTTGCTTTAAAAATGAACTCTAACCACTACTTCCAAGTCAGCTCCCCATCTTAGCTAGCCACTTTGTGCCTGAGTATTATTTTGATCTCACTGATCCAGTCTGGGCTTCACTGCCTCCCATTAGGATCACAGCAAGGACACTCTAACTAGCTTTCCTGCTTTAAGTAAGCCAATGAATCTACCCTACGCACTGGTGGAAAATGTCTGTTGCAAAAAGAGAGCTCCAATCATATTTCCCTGATCAAAACTTTCCAGTGGTTCCAATTACCTGTAAAATAAAACCCAAACTTCTTAACCTGGGTACTCTCAAACCGGGTCATCATTCAACCTACATTTGTTGAGTGCCACCTGGAAGCCATGCCCTGGTGTTAGGTACTGGAGACTTGGCGACTTAATAGAACACAATCACTGCCCACATTGAACTTTCCACTCTAGGGGAGGGATCCGGAGTAGCAAACAATCAGCAAACAATGTATAACACTGTGTGTGTGTGTGTGTGTGTGTGTGTGTGTGTATCTGTGTCAAGGGCCATGACAGAGGGAAAGAATGCTCTAAGATAAAGGAGAAACAGCACCTAGCCTAGATGGAGGTAGAACAAGATGGGAGAAAGGAAAGTGGAATGGAATTAGGGAAGTAGGGATGGGAGTCAAGAGAAGCCTTCCAGGAGACAGTCCACCAGTTTGAAATGTGAGGAGGCAATCAGACAAGCCGGAGAGGCATGGTGAGTGATGTTCGACCATGTTTCAAAGGGAGTGTCTAGCACGTGCAGTCTTGTCTCTGAATTCCTCTTCCATGTACACCAGCCTACATCTCCTTCTTCTTCTTTTTTTTTTTTTTTTTGAGACGGAGTCTCGCTCTGTCGCCCAGGCTGGAGTGCAGTGGCGGGATCTCGGCTCACTGCAAGCTCCGCCTCCCGGGTTCACGCCATTCTCCTGCCTCAGCCTCCCAAGTAGCTGGGACTACAGGCGCCCGCCACTACGCCCGGCTAATTTTTTGTATTTTTAGGAGAGACGGGGTTTCACCGTTTTAGCCGGGATGGTCTCGATCTCCTGACCTCGTGATCCGCCCGCCTCGGCCTCCCAAAGTGCTGGGATTACAGGCGTGAGCCACCGCGCCCGGCCTACATCTCCTTCTTAACATGCTTCCTCATCTCCTTCTTGTTTGCCTTTCAAAGTTTTCAAAGTCAGGCTCCATTACCTTGTCTATGAGGTTTGTTCGACAAGCCAGCTAGAAATGGCCCCTCTAATCTCTGAACTCCCTTAGCCTGTACCTGTGTACCTCTGGCATAGAGTTGCTTGGTGAATACTCATGGAATGAATTTCTATTGCCACCTCCTAACTGATCTATATAGCACCTCACATCCATTCTAGTGCATCAGGCTTATCAGGGCTTCCTGCCTTTTCTGCCTCTTCTACTCATCAGGTGGGCATTCTCACCATCACCCAAATATACTTGGTGATGCTGTTCCAATTACCCTCTGCCTACTCAATCCCACCCATTCTTCATGGTCCAAACCAACTCCATTCCTTCTCTCCCGACACCAGTGCTACTCTGCTCTCTCCCTCCTCCAGCCTTCTTTGGCCTTTTAGATCAACGCAATCCTGCCTCTAACTGGACAGTAACTTCCTTGAGAGCAGCACCATCTTCCACATGGCCCACCTGACAAAGACTCGACAAAGTGGCAAGGAACTGCGGACAGATTTTCACGTATCTTTGTTCATAGCTCTGAGCAGAGAGAACCCAGTTTCACAAATAATGCTAAGAGGTCACTGTGGAGGAAAATAAACCAGCTATAAAAAAGTGCACCTGAGATAGGATGAAGGGGAAATTTATAGAGACTTGGGAGGAAAGCTTGCCCAAGGTCCAAGTCAAATCAAGTCAAAACCCACCACTGTATTTTCCTTTGCTTGCTTTACATGAATGGTTTCATTGGAACACAAAGAGGTAGGGATTTTTCCTCCAGATATATAACGTTGCCTCTTTGAGTATAATATCTCTGAGTTTCCACTGGAATAGAAAAGGGAAGTATTTTGTAATAAATTCAAAAGAACTATTTAGGATAGTCTGATTTATTTACATGGTTGTTTTATAGTTTTCTTATTGTGAGATTACATACAGAATTGATGATATGAGACAAAATGTTTCAGGTATGTTTGTGTCCCTTCCAAATTACTCAATTTTGAAGATATAAACTTTCAAGTTTCAATAACATCTCTACTTCTGGGGAACTTCTTTAGCATTTCTTCATATAAACGGTCTGTGGCAACTGGGAAGAACAGTGGAGATACGGGTGCTGGGGCTTTATCTCATCTCCTGTAATGAGGGACGTTTCCTCATGACGGTTAGTTTATTAACTTCTGGCAGGTCTCCAGGAGTAAATAAAGGTTGAACGTAGTTAGGGACTATGCCAAGACCTTCTGCAGGATCCTCGCCCTTTGTCAAGTTACATCAGAGTCGAGGTCTGCAGTGGGATTCAGTAAAAGGAGGGCCTTGAGTACTTCAGTAATTAATCCCGCAAGAGGCATAAACCTGAGACCACAGTTCCCCTTTGACATATGTAGTTCCCAGACAGGTACCTTCTAAATATCCACAGGGTTTAGGAAATGAAACTGAGACAAATCTTTGAAGCCTTATCCACATGAGCAATACACTCTGCAGGTAGAGATGCTTGTTACTGAATGGAAATCTTCTAATGCATTATCAGGAGCCCTTAATTAGACAAGCTTTCTGAGTCAGATGAGCCCGAGGAGACCTCTGCTTGTATTTTTTAGGATTTCTACAGGCTACAAGATGCATTACCTCAAACGAGTCCTACTTCTAAGGGAAACCACTTGAAGCCTTTCTAAACTGGCCTTGGCTACTAGGATCTCCCATTTCCCAGTCTTTATCTGCAGTTCCCCCAGTTCTATTTTCTTTTCTAGCCCTTCTACGTCCTTCTCCTTCCTCTCTTTGTTTTCGGTTGAGCAGTTCACAGCCTGCATTCACTCTCAGCTATCTCTTTTAGAGAGTCAAAAGGCCAAAATGGCATTTTTTTCTTTTTCTGAGACAGGTTCTCGCTCTGTCACCTGGGCTGGAGTGCAGTGGTGCAATCTCAGCTCACTGCAGCCTCCACCTCTTTGGCTCAAGCAATCCTCCCACCTCAGCCTCTTGAGTAGCTGGGACTACAGGTGTACACCACCACACTCAGCTAATTTTTAAAATTTCTGTAGAGTTGAGGTTTTGCCACATTGCCCAGGCTGGTCTCAAACTCCTGGGCTCAAGCAATTCACCCTCCTTGGCCTCCCAAAGTGCTGGGATTATAGGAGTGAGCCACCACGGCCAGCCTTCTTTTTCTTCTTAGTGGCACAGTTAGAGCCCTTAAGTTCCAGTGTACGTAGGACTAAACTGGGTTCCTCTCCTAAACTTAAAATTCTCCCCCTTGGTCTGTAAACACTTCCTCTTCTTCCCTCAAACTGGCTCATGCTAGCATAATCTTCCTTCAACTTCCTTCCATCGTCATCCCTTCCTTGTGATGACTCACTGTTGGGATTTCTTGGGCCGGGTGAGGGGTGTTAAAGACCAACCACTAACTAAGAGACTTTCCAAGTTGGGCATATGCCAAGAGTCCAGACTCTCACCTGAATGAGGAGATCGATAGCGAAAGTCCTCTTTGGTCAGCAGCAGGAGAGCTTTGCCATTCATTTCAAACGTGTTGCTGTCAATTGGCCTTAAAGAAAACTCATTTTCAGCCCACTTGAGCCACTGGGCTACGTCATCCCTGCTCCAGTAAATTGGCTGCAAGCCTGTTGGAGAGAGCATGAGGCAGAAAGAAAGAGAGAAAGGTCTTGTCAGTTAGACAGCTGGAATAAAGGGAGAAGGTCTCTGAATAGTTAACAAAATGAGTCTCCACATCTCAAGAGCCCTTATGTTCAACTCTGAGTCCCCTCTCCAGCCCTTGTTTGAGCCGCCCCACTGGGGGCTTCTCGAAGCCCAGAAGCAGCCTCCAAGAGGAGTCCAGGGAGCAGTTTGTACACCAAACCCTACTCTGGGGTGTGCTGTCAGATTAACTTTTTATTTAGAGGCAAAATGAGAAAAAGATCTTTTATGTGTTTAAGGGATGGTAGGTCTTAGAGACCTGCCCTTCCTTGCCCAGTTCCAGGGGCTGTTCCAGGGTGCCCACAGCACCCACAGGGGCTCAGAACTATGACACGTGTCAGTGTGGTTGGAGGGTCCTCAGATTCAGAGCTGATCTGATTGCAGCCCAGCGTCCTTCTGAAGAAAGAATGTTCCAGAGCTGAGCTTGACCTTCCAGAGCTGCCAAATAATGAAATGTTCCCTGAAACTTCTTCCAGGAAGAGCAATTCACTCAGCCTCTGGGAAACCATCAGGCTGGCCTCTGGCAATAAGAGGGCAAAGTAAGGATAAAAGGTCTTCTGCCTTTTTATTCTACTCACTGACATTAGAGCTTCCTGGTGGGGTGGTACTTGAACTCTGAGTAGGAACCAAGTGGGCAGGAGGGGGGTACAGAGCAGGGGCTGAGAGGTTGGCTCAGGTTGGCTCTCTGGGAGCCTGACTGTAAGTCTATAGTTTTATTTTATTTTGCTGTTGTGAGAAATCTTTGATAAGTTAGAACAGTGGTTCTCAAAATGTGATCTTGGGACCCATCAGGGTTCCCGAGACCTTTGTAGGGTGCCTATGAAGTAAAACATCTTGTCATAACAATATTAATTATTTGCCTTTTTCGCTCTCATTCTTTCTTAGGTGGAATGTTCTAGAAGGCATATGATGTGATCTTGCAACAGATTGAATGCAGAAACAGAGATGAGCGTCCAGCCATCTTCCATTAAGCCAGATTTTAAGAGACTTTCAAAAATGTGTAACAATGCTACTCTTCTCACAAATTATTTTTGGTTTGGGAAAATATATTTTAAAATATGTTTGCATTAATATAGAGTTGGCTATTTTACTTGCTAAATTCATAAATATTTTGTAAATACCCAGGTTTAATTTATGTAATAATATGGTAACTACAGATAACTATAACCCATATAAGCAAAAGCTCTTTGGGGTCTCCATTAATTTTTAAGAATCAAAAGGAGACATGAGACCAAATTTAAGAACTGCTGGGTCAGAAGAAGCTGGATGTTCAATGGATCTTCATTCTCTAAAATCACATGGTGTGAATCAATAGCTCAAACAGAGCAATGGCATCAGTGTTGCTAAGAGGAGCTTCCGTCTCTCACTATAAGTTACTTAAACTTGCTACGAAGACTTCACAAGTGTGTTATAAAAGTGTCCCTCAGTTTGATCCTGGAAAAAATTACCTTTCATCCTAAACCAGGCATGCCAAAGAACAATCTGGTTTGCTATATGGGGCTGCTCTTCCTACCTGCTGAAGTGGGGAACAAACGGCTCAAATGCCCTGGAAAATGTCCAGGGCCTCTGGGCATGATTGTCTTCCAAGTGGCTCCTTTGCAAAGTGTAGTTTTGAGGAATGGTAGTTGGCTTCCTCTAAACCTGTGGAAGTCCCCTCAAAACCAAAATTCCTTTTTTGTAGTGCACCAAAAAAAGAACTACTGGGCACTGGAAATCATTAGAGATGAGCATTTAAGAGCTTTTTTCTTGGTGTTTTTAGGATAATTTTTTTTTCACATGGAAACAAATTAGAATTTCAAATAATAATTTATGGTGCATTACTGCTTTATGATCTTTAGAATAAAATACAGCCACTAAAAGTTTTTGTTTTTGACTCCTGACTGGCCAGAAAGTGATGCCTATTAAAAACAGTCCATGGATATGGGAAGTACCAGCTCTCTCCAATGACCTTGAAAACACGTATCTAGAATCACAGGGAGGTGGGAGTGGCAGTGAGGGTTACTCAGCAAAATCTCAGTTTTTGAACTGGTAAAAACCTTAAACCTAACTCCTTACTGTCAATGGTGTCACCTTTGAACAAGAATGGCGCTGCGATTTGTTATTATGGACCTTCCTCTCCTTCACACAGGGAGTTCCCATTAGGGGACACATGTGAAGGTCTGGTTCCTCAGGCCTAGGAAGGTGCCTGGAGGTGAGAGGTCCAGTGAGCAGAAGATGCTCAGGCAGAAACAGGAAAAAGTACAGGGTGGCTTATTGGAAACATGGGCCCCAAAGCAAATACAGAACTGAATCCTGCTTGGGAGGGGAATTGAGAGTAAAATGCTGAAGTTTCTGCAGAGGACACGCTGCAACGGAGGGAGGTGGGTGAGAAGGGGGTGGGGGATGCAAGTAGTAATTTGAGGTTCTTTATATTCTATGGAAGAAAATACTCATGAGTAATCTTTTCCCTAAATACAAGAAGAGTCACACTCCAAACAGCTCTGCCGGTTAAGCACAACAGTTTCTCTTTTCACTTCCCATTAATGTCTCCCACAGCCCAGCCCCTGAAGCAACCAGGGCCACCGTGTGGAAACCCCCTCACCAGGAACCGATGCAAATGCCCTCGGCTTATGTACAAGAGGAACCCAGCAAGTTACAGGGGAGACTGTGGTGATCCCAGCAGTCATACAAAAGTGATCTTGACAGAGCAAGCCACCTGCTCGAGGCCACTCAATACATTTATCAGCGTCGCTGCTCTTCCTTTAGCATAAAGAGTGAAGTAGGTGGACACGTTCACCGAGCTGGAAAGAGGCTGGATAAACTTTGGTGTTCAAAGTCAAGTCCCACTGTTATTTCCTTTGTAATTCAATAGAATAAAAAGGTTGTGGTGTAGAATTGAGGGGGGAAAAAGCCCCTTTTCCTTAAACCTAAAGCCCTTAAGACCTTGTGTGTTAGCGTGTCTAAATGGGATAGAGCCTTGCACCTGGAGGCAATTCTAATCAGGCTGATTTAATTTACTTAATAGTCATTTACTAAGCACTACTATGCACCTAGTACTGCTCTAAGCACTTTATATGAATAGATATTAGCTCATTCAACTGCATGCTCACACAACCCTATGATAGGGATTCAGATTAGGAAACTGAGGCCCAACGCATTTAAGGGACTTGCCCAAGGTCACATAACCCTAGTAATGACAGAAGCGGAGATCTGAACCCAGGCAATCTGGTTCCAGAATCTGTGCTCTTATCCATCACACTGTACTTCGACATGCATGTCCCATCCAGATCCAGAATTGAGACTGGTTTTGAACATCCATTAGGGATTCAAAAAAGACTGAGTGAATTGACTCCTACCCATCCAAGACTTAGATCCTTGGAGACTTTCTCAAATTATCAACAGACTAAAAATATAGCCAAAAAATCTGTAGATCCCTGGAGAAGTAGATTTATAAATGGGAAGAGGAGGGAGGTGTAGGTGGGACTCTGCTTTTAATGCATCCAGGAATAAAGTCCTCCCTTCACAGGCTACTTGCTCCCAGGCACTCATGGGTGCTTGGTCTTGAGAGTCTTACACGGCTCACAGCTGCAAATGGAACAGAAGCTGCATGGGCAGAATGAGGGAGGCACATACATAACTTGCTTTATTTACGGCCATCTCTTGCAACTTTAATTCAACAAAGTCAAAGAATATAGATGTTAATGATCATTAGGAAAAGGAAAAAAAGGAGAGAAGGAGAGAGACCATTACTCTGCACCTATATTATACTATTCCCTGTGCGCATAGCGTGCCTCTTGAGGGCCATTTACTAAGATCAGCATTTTTAATGCCAATTAGTTTCAGAGAATATTTGAAAAGAATTTTGTACAGAGAAAGTGAACTGCTGTGATTAAGAAAGTTACTAAAAATTCTACTGTACTTCTCCCCTCTCCCGAGTAGGTCCAGTATATTGTGTCATATCCTTCAGTGACACACCCAGGCCCTTAAACTTACTTCTAATATTTCTTCAATTCCATGCTTTAATGGGCAGCCACATTCATCAGTACATTTTGACCCTGTTTCAGACTTTCTGAGATGTTCTTAAACTAATGATGACAAACATGTTGGGAGACAGGAGCCTGGATTTTATTCCCAGATCTGCCATGAATTAACATTTGATTCTGGGCAGGCCACTCAGCTTCTCTGTGGCTCAGTGACTTCATCTGTACAATGACGGGCTTAGAGTATGTGATCTCTATTCCCTTCAGGGTTTCATGTAGTCAATATGCTCCTATTTAATTTGAATCCAAAAAACCAAAGAATACCTTACAGCCAGGATCTTTTTCTACAGAATTACTCCATGCCCATGGCCATGACCCTGAGATTTTGTAACTTCCTGAAGGATCTTCTGAATCACAGAAGACAGATTAATGCTTAAGTGTGTTTCATTATATTCTAATTCTTGGAAAAGTTATAATCTAGCTATGGCAATAATCAACATAACTGCTTGCATCGGGGTAGTACTTCAGAGTTGATAAGGTGCTTTCATACATATTACCTCATGTAATTCTCACAAAAGCCCAGTGAAGTCTGTTGCATTCTCTTTTCAGTTTAATAGAAAACAGGGCTTAGTCATCAGGTGATTTTATTGATTTGAGCAACACTCAGTTCAAGCTTTTCTGCTACAGTAGCCATTCAGCAAAACCACTCCTTATCCAAACTTTCTGTATAAACAGGAATTTGCTCTAGGTTCTACGTGCTGGAGACAGAATCATAAAATGTGAAAGATGGAAGCTGAAGCCTGGAAGTTAAGAGACTGACTCAGGATCAACCTGCCCCTGATCCCCTGACTTTTCCCAACATCCCATGTTGTCTCATAACTTGATTCAATGACCCACACCAATTTTGTAACCCTCAACACAGTGAGGACAGTTATCACGTCCTTGCTTAGTCATTTTGCCTCCAGATGAAACGTCCTTAATTGGTCCAAAGATAACTCCTCCACTGCAGTTTGTAGACCCTTACCAACCTGCCTGCCTCCTCCAGAGATCTATGTGGCTTCAATTCCTAAACGCAGCAGTAGGAACAGGACTAGCATTTTTCTTTCTCTGGACAATATACTTCTATTGATAGTAACAGCTAGCAATTACTGAACATTTACACTGAATCTTATCACTGCAATGATTATTATTCTTTTTTTACAGATGAGAAAACTGTAGCACACAGAGATGGAAGTGGTGGTGCCATGACAGAGATCCAGGTGGTCTAGCTCTACAGTGTCAACTCTTAACACCCCACCATAGTGCTTTTTGTGTAGCCTAATAACAGCAATGCACTTACTTGTAAGCAAGTGATTGCTATGTGCCAGGAGTCATTCTAAATGCTTTGCATATGTAACTCATTTAATCCCTGCAGCAATCCTGTAAGACAGGAATGATCCCCATTTATGGAGGAGAAAACTAGAACACAGGGAAGTTAAACGACTTGCCCAAAGTCACTCAGCCAGGAAATGGAAGAGCTGACATTTGAATCCAGGTGACCTGGCTCCGAGCCCACGTTAAAAACTACCTAACTCTCTAAGCTTATTTGGTGTTTTGGCAGGATATCAAATTAAATTTATGACTAAATTTTAAAAAGAAAAAGTTTCACGGTAGTTCAGCATGCAGGCACTGAGCACAAGCATGGAACCTCTATTTCCCAGCTGTGTGACCTTGTACAAGTTACTTAACCTCTCTGTGTCTTGCTGGTGTCAACTGAAAAATGAGGACAACTTTCATCCTGTGAATTAAATATCATTGAATCATAGATAATGTACTTATACAATTTTCAGATGACATAAAACTAGTGTAGAGTAAAATTATACACATGATGATGATATGAAACACACAGGCCAATATCTGGCATAGAGCAATCACTTAAAAAACATTAGCTATTGCTTTTGTACTGTTATTGTTATAATCACCTTTATAATCTCACCCTACCTGAACATATATAGCTAGCACTTGGAACCCAACTGTAAGAATGTATATTAATTGATATTACATTTTATCTTATTATTTTTAACCATCATCCCAGCCTGCTGCAGTCTTCTCCAGATTTCCATCGATTTCTAGCATCTATACTCTGTAATTTCACGTCATCTGTGGCTTTGCTAAGCATCTGTCACCTCCACAGGTTACTGACAAAGTGCAGATCGTATAGGGCTGAGATGGGAGTACCCTGGTGACACACCAGTCACCTCCTTTTGGACGGATACTGATCAAGTTATTGACTCCTTTTGGGAAGAGTTGTTCAATGATCAATCCATCTAAATACTCTGGTTTTTGGACATTTTCCAAGCTCATCCATGAAAGCAACATCAGAAATTCAACGAAACGCCTTCCTGATATCCTGAAATACAGCAACTACAACACTTAGAGCAACCTTATTAAAGAAGATGAGGAGAGAGGATGAGGAGCAGATGGCTGGCTCCAAAGTGATAATGTCTTCCACTCGTAACATGTATGTTTGAAAATCTGTCCTGAATTTTATCTGGAAGTTCCATCAGGTTAGCTGTTTTATTTCGTACCCACATTTTCCCCAGCTTCTCTTCCTAAAATCAGGTTACCAACAGTTCCTATTCTTTTAGTACAGCTTCCATTTCCCACAACCCTGAAGGATCACTGCCAGTGGCTTATCTTTCACCCCTCTGAGTTCTCGACCCTGGGATGTCATTTGTCCGGGCCAAGAGCCTTGCATTTATTCAGAACTTAGTTTGCTTTTACAATCAATTCACCCATCTCAGGCTTCAATTCCCTTCTGTCAATGTTTGCACTACCTGTTTCAGTCTGACAATCATTCTCCTTCATGGGAGAGAGAAAGAAGTTGAACAGTTTTGGTTTCTTTGCCATTTGCTGATGTTACCCCATCCAACCCCATCAGCAGGCTGACATCATGCTTATTCTTATCCTGCTGCCCACATTTATTGTTTTCTTAAGCGTATTCCATGGTTTTCAGCTCACTTACGTTTTAAAATTCTAGAGCTCAGAAACTCTCCTTTATATGTTTCTTTTCATTAAGTTGCTTTTTCATCCATTATATACATCTTTTTAAAAATCGGAGCTCATTAGACTGGTACTCACAAAACAGTGAGAAGATAAATTGGCATCATCTCTCTGGCAAACAACTTAGTGATATTTTAAGAACCCTGTAAATGTTAACTTCTCAGAATCTACCTTAAAGAAATAACTTAGTATGTGGAAGAATCTTTCATGCACAAAGATGTCTATTGCAGTGTTATTTTTAATAATGAAAAACTAGGAACAGCAATAAGGAAATAAGTAATAGTTACTGACAATATCTATGATAGAAAATTAATGCAGCCAGTAACATGATGAAGAGTATGTATTCATATTGAAAAATAGTATGTGTACATATGTAATAATCTCAATGCATAGAAAAATACAATGAAACGTAAAAATATTCAAAGAATTGACACTCAGTAAAATTGTAGGTGATATTCCCTGTCTCCTTTTCCTTTTTTCTTTCTTATTTCTCATTCTCTATTAAGCATGTTTTACTTTTATATTTAAAAAACTATTTAAGGGCTGGGTGTGGTGGCTCACACCTGTAATCCCAGCACTTTGGGAGGCCAAGGCCGGTGGATTGCTTGAGGTCAGGAGTTTGAGACCAGCCTGGCCAACACGGTGAAACACTGTCTCTACTGAAATACAAAAATTAGCTGGGCATGGTGGCAGGCGCCTGTAATCCCAGCTACTTGGGAAGCTGAGGCAAGAGAATTGCTTGAACCCAAGAGGTGGAGTTTGCAGTGAGCCGAGATTGCACCACTGCACTCCAGCCTGGGCAACAGAGTGAGACTCTATTTCAAAACAAACAAACACACACACAGACACACACAGACACAGACACACACACACACAAACTATTTAAAAATTGAGCTAATCAGAGAATATCCCCAATATCGCCTCATCAGTTTCTTTAGTTGTCTCCCTTCCTTCTTATTCCAATAAGGGTCATATGCAGTTGATAAGTCAGGATTTCATTTTCAAGAGCAGCCCAAATGACTCTGAGTTGTGTCTCAGCATTCAGATCATGAGATCATAAATACTTTTCCCTACATTTTAAAAATTTGTCTTAAGTCAAGAAAACACATCTGTTCTTGTCTCTCATTTCCCTTCCCCAATCCTAAAATCATGTTTTTATTCTCACCCTCTGCTATCATTTCTACTTTTCCAGACAATTCCTCATTTGTCAGATTTGAGTGCAAATTAGCAATGCTCCTCAATGCATCTTCCACCTTCTGGGAGATGAAATTGTGAATTGTTAGGTACATGTGTTAAGAGTTAACATGTCCATGCATGTAGCTGAAGGGGATTTTGCAGTGATTTGCACACGGTGCCTGGCACATAACAGTCCCCAGGTTTAATGCCAGACTGTACAGCCAAAGATTTCCATTCCTAGGCAGTCCACATCTGAGCCAGCTCTGCAGTCTGTGATTGGCACCCCTCTCCTCCCCGACACATCTGATCACTTACTCCAGCTCTGGCTTTGATGGTCAGGACACTCAGCTCTGTGCAGTTCAAAACATTACCAGATGCTTCCGCATCCATGTCATGCCATCATCTATTCTGCGAGGGAGCTAAAGCTGGCACAACTGTATTTTCAGAAGAAACTGAAGTTCAGAAATCGAGGGACTTTCCCAAGGTCACAATGAACCTAAGACCAAAACTCCAGCTCCAGGCTTTCTGTATTACCCAGTGAACTTCCCCTGGGTTAAAGGAAATAATGGATGTAAAAGCCCCTTGCACTCTAAAATGCACTGTAAAAATGTTAAGGGAATGAGGAATAATAAACCATAAACTCAACTTCTCATGGCAGGCCTGGTCTAGCTGCAGATCCCGAATACTGCTCGGTGCCCACAGAGCACCTTCTGACCTCTGCTTGCCGAGGGCAGGGTTTACTTAGAGTTCTTCCCTGTGTACTCTGCCCTTCAAAAGAAAACCAAGTGTCCTCAGAGCCCTTCAAGCTGCTTCCCAGAGGCACTTTTCCGGAGACTTTTCTGCCTCCTTTCCCTTCCCCACCGGCCTGCTCTCTGCAAATCTGCTCAAAACCCCCAGGCCAGCCTTGGATGCATTCTGACAAGCTCCACATCTCACTCCTCTGGGTCTGCCTGTAATCTTGAATGTGCTATCTGACCAAAGCTGCTTTCTGCAAACAAATCCTGTCACTAGGGAATTGGAAGTTCCAAAACATTTCCTATTTCTGTCCTCAAGGTTAGCCTGTATCTCAGCACTAAGTTTCCAAGTGGAGGTCGGAAGGTTATACTCATGTCTTTCAGCCCAAAGTCCAAGAACAAGAACACTCTATGTTCATGTTCAGATCCAAAGTCACAGTCAATTCCCTCGAATGATGTTTTTTCTTATAAACTTCATTTTGTGGATTTTTCTGACTTTTATCTAGTTTTAGCTACAAACGGGTTTTTAGCAGAAAACCTGTTGACAGCAAAACTGACCCAGAGCTTGCCGCTCAGCCTCACAAACGTGACTTAGAAGAGTTCTTCTCATTTTTGCTTCTGGGTAGCAAGCCCAATGTGGTGAGAGCCATGTAGCATTTTAGATCAGACCTTGGGTTTCGCAGTCAAATTGTCCTGGGTTAAAACACCGGCTGCACCACTTACTAGCGCTGGGTTAGTTACGCGTCTGAATCTGTTTCTCCAGCGGTAAGATGGAGTCCAGAATAGTACTTACCTCTTAGGGCAAATGTGAGCATGAAATGAGGTGATCCCTATAGAGATGTTGCACAGTGCCTGGTACAGAGCAAGTGCTCAATGCATTTTGGGGGGTTGGGTAGGACAAGGACTGGATAGTAGATGAGTTGTACTTTGTCCCGTGTCTCCAGAAGACCAAAATACTTTCAGCAGCTCCCTGGAGCTGCAGAAGCTGGAGCAAGCATTCTTGGAAGGTGCATGACGGCTCTGGCAGGAGCTATGAGGCCCAGTACAGTGCTTTGAGGAGGGGACTGAATTGTCATCTTGCAGGCTGGGAAAATGGCTCAGGTGGGGTTGCGGAAAACAGCCTGGATCAGGGAGAGGTTGGAGGAAAGAAGGCTGAAGGAGGTGCCCGCTCAGGCCCCAGGCTAGGCTGAGGCAAGTAAGACATTTGCCCCAGGAGCAAAATTTAAGGGGTACCTTTAAAAAGTTTCAGTAATCAAGATTAAGTCATGTAACGCAATATTTTAAAAATCAAAATTAATGCAGAAAATGTATGGTGACGTAAGCATCAACATTTTAATTAAAGTCCATATCAAAAAGAAAAAAGATAATGGGGAGGGGACAGCAAAAAGGGAGTGGGGAAGAGATTAGAGCAAGTACTTCTCAGCGTTAGGAAGAAGGTACAGGATTCTTTGAGAATTCAGCCAGAGTTCATAAACAAACCCCCCTTCAAAATGCACAGGCACATGGACACAAATATTTGCTTGTGATTTCAAAGCTTATAGACTACCTCAAGTTTATCCATGGATCCCTGGAGAATCCGTTTAGTATTTTTTTTAGTCTCGTGTATGCAAATAGTTCTGACAATATGTACCTGTGAGGTAATGCGAAAACCAAATCAGGTTTAAGAGAGATATATGTCTCTCCTGATATTTCAGGGAGAAAAACAGAAAAGAGAGACACGAAGGGTGCCCTCTTCTCACTTAGAAGTGGGGGTACAATGAAATGTTTGAGCTGTCATTTCTTTATTTGAAACGCACAGTCCTGACCTTAAATAGGGAATGTCCCTTCTTCAGTTATTATAGACATCATTGCTAACATATTGAAAGTTTTTCTTCATAGTAGTTAGGGTCAATCACTGCAAATAACCTTAATTTACGTACAATGAGGCAACTTGGCTATGCAAGGAGAGATACTATACAAGGATGAGTTTCTAAAGCAAAGAGGCATTAAGGCAGCATTTCCTATACTGCAGGGCAGAAAGGTCATTTTTATTATCAAACTTACTGATATGTATGCTTACAAAGAAGCCTGAGTTTAAGAAGAAAAAAAAAGTAGGAAAATAGATATTAAGAGTTGAAATGTTCCTCAAACAGATTTATTGAGAAATCGAAACTGCTGGAGGAAAGTTGGTGCAAGAATGTTTGTAATCCTCAGCAGAAATGGATGGGGTACAGAGAACATAAAGATCCTGCAGGATTTGCATGATTCACAGAACATGGATACTCTCCTGAGGGTGCCTGAATAAAGAGGGATGAAAATTCTTTCCCCTCCTGCTCTTTTAAACCGCACACGGACCATCTCTGGTGCCCGGCACAGTCTGCAGAACATTCCTGTGCAAAGTGTAACCAGAGTAAAACTCATTCTCATTCTGAACTGGGACCTGATCTGTCCGTCACTTGCATGGAGGAGGCTTGGCTTTGTGTGGCTCAGCTGTGCCTGTTCCCAGCCCTCTCGGGTGTCTCTATTCTCCTGCGAAATTTTAAAAAGCCTCTTCTCAGGATGGAGACAGTCCTGATAATCACTGAATTCCAGGAGGAGGAGGTGGAGGTGGACAGGAGGTGTGGGGGCAGGGCGCGGGGGCTGGGAGAAGGGAGTGCGAAAGAGGTGTTGAACTTTTACATGAACAGACCTCAGAAAATACACATAGGGACCCAAAGGCAAATCTGACCTACAGCACCTCCAAAGCATGGCTTTTCTAGAACATGCTGTTTTTTAAGGAGAATTCCACTGCACCCCCTTCTTCCTTGTCCTCTTCCCTGGCTCTTTGGAGAGTGCTTCCAAGTGCTTTCAAAGGCCCGGTTGGTTGCCTTTGGGTGTCGAATCTACCCTCCACCGAAAGGCTGTCTGGGCTGCTGCTGATTCAGCATTTCGCGGGGCAGACTGCTGTGACACACAGGCAGGATGAAATCATTTTAACAGCGTTGCTGACGCCTCATGAAACAAACAAACAAAAAAAAACAAACTTGGAGAAGCAACTTCTATTTAAAGATAATTGTGTTGCATTTGTGTGTGTGTGTGTGTGTGTGTGTGTGTGTGTGTGTGTGTGAGACAGACTTCTCTCTATTCTATTCTATCTCATCCCCTTATTCCTCCTTTCTGAGGACATTCATACGGAAATGGCTTTTATAGACCTATCAATAAAAAAGCTGTAATCTTTTTTCTCACCAGTTATTAATATATTCCCTAGTATTAGAGTTGTAAAGGTTACTAATCCCCTGGCTTAAGATGGTCACTTGGAGTCAGGAAAGCTAAACACCACCACAAAGCGAACCCCGTCTCCCCTTCCAGGGCCACAGATATGTAACTGGATGTCTCATGCTTTGTCCCTGGGCTTATCTGAGACTCCAAGGCTCATACTGGGAGGCCCTCCCTTGCTGCAGAACACTTTTCTCCTTGGCTCTGTCACCCCACCTGGGATTTTACATTATTCATTCGTTTGGATGAAAGCATGAAGATCTCTGTACCAGAGGAAGCAGGCAAAAGGAAAATGATAAATCAATACAGGCTGTTCACACTTAGCTTTGGTGGGTAGTCAGATGAATGAGTGGGGAGGAATGAGTCAGGTGACCCTTGAGTTTTAAGGGCAGACTCCCAAGTAGGTGGCAGGGGTCCTGGAGGCAGGATGGTAGGAGTGACAAGAGGTAGGAGCCCTCACTCCCTTCGGCCCGTCATCATTCATGGCTTACGATTCTTCAAAGGTGCTTTTCATTCTGTGCTGGAAAAGGTATGAGTGTTAACAATATAGATGTGAATATTCTGAGTTCTGGAAAGAGGCCGATGTCTGTTTTTTAACTTTGACATGGGAGTCTGGAAAATCTGTGAAGAGCATGAGTGGCTCATCATGGATGGAGCAAGTAATGCTAATCCACCAAGTGCAAAAATGCTCCCCTGAGGTTGGGCAGAGCGTAAGATGGGGTGAGGTCTCTGGGCGGTCTGCAGGCTGGCCTCCTGCTACCCTACTATTTGTAAAAGCATGCTGTTGGCCAGGTCCTGTGGCTCACACTTGTAATCTCAGCACTTTGGGAAGCCAATGTGAGAGGACTGCTTGAGGCCAGGAGTTCGAGACCAGCCTGGGCAACATAGCAAGAGCCCCATCTCCTTGAAAAACAAAATAAATTAGCCAGGTGTGGTAGTGCATGCCTGAAGTCCCAGCTACTCAGAAGGTTGAGGTGGGAGAATTGCTTCAGCCTAGGAGTGGCTGCAGTGAGCTATGATTATACCACTGCACTCCAGCCTGGGTGACAGAATGAGGCTCTGACTTTAAAAAAAAAAAAAAAAAAAAAGGCATGCTTTCTACTGTTGTTGGCAAGAATTGCTAACTTAATGGAAATATTTAAAATCTCTCTTAACCACGTTATAATAAAATGAAACAACGAAATTCAAATCCTGTTTTTGTCACTTACTAGCTCAGTGACTGGAGATGGCTGAATGTTGGCTGCCAAATAGAAATGTCCGTGTCCTAATCCCCAGAACCTGTGAATAAGACCTAATTTGAGAATGGCTCTTTGCAGACGTCATTAAGTTAAGGATCTCAAGATTATGCAGGTGGGCCCCAAATTCAATGACAGGTGTCCTTATATGGAAACAGAGGAGAGACGCAGAGGAGAGGAGATGGCCATGTGAAGACAGGGGCAGAGACAGGAGCGATGCAGGCGAAAGCTTGCTTTGTGGTTTTTTCCCCAGAGACTCCTATTATCCACGTGGTGAAATTTCTTTGCCGTTCTTCAATATTTGTCACTTTTTCTTGAGTTGTTTTTAAAACCTTTCTTGTTTCTTCTTTAAAAAATTTCCTGCTTCCCCCTTGTGTTTCTCTTTTAAAAAATCACCTTTTGTAAAGATTCATCTTGTATTCTCACTAGTTAACTCTTCATTTCTGAAATGATTTTTCTTTTACTTTTAATTCTTTCCAGAGTCTGTCATTTCATTTGGAAGTTTTTCTAATTCTGATTGATGTTGTGTTTGCCCCACGCTTCGTATCTTTTTCTTCTTACCTTTTAGCTCATTTGGAGGTAAGTAGGGTTTTGAATTGTTCTAAAGGCATGTTGTTTTGGCACGCTTTCTTGAGGGATGCTATTCTGCTCCTTCTGTTCCTTTATCTTATAAAAACTTTGTGTGGGATTTGACCTCACTACTTTTCTGTTGCTCATTTTCATCTGAAGACAATGTTCCGAAATTTTTATGAAATGGCATGGTTCCAGCCTTAGCAAACCCTCTCTTCTATTGTTTTCATGTAGCATTCAAATAAATGGCAGCTGGCTTTCTGAAATCTCCTGGTTCTGTTTCCTTTGGGAGACCTTGCATCTAAGTCTCTGCTGCCCCATCCTTTTCTTTTTCTTTTTCTTTTTGAGATGGAGTCTTGCTCTGTCGCTCAGGCTGGAGTGCATTAGCGCGATCTAGGCTCACAGCAACTTCCGCCTCCAGGGTTCAATCCTGCCTCAGTCTCCTGAATAGCTGGGATTACAGGCATGCATCACCACGCCCGGCTAATTTTTGTCTTTTTAGTAGAGACGGGGTTTCACCATGTTGGCCAGGCTGGTCTCGAACTCCTGACCTCAGGTGATCCACCTGCCTCGGCCTCCCAAAGTACTGGGATTATAGGCGTGAGCCACCATGCCTGGCCATCCCTAACCTTTTCAATGTGCCTCTACTCCCAGCAGCTTCTCCACAGCTATCCTGAAAGCTGGCCATCAGCGTGGCTGGTTAGTGGCAGAGTTCACAGGGCCCAGAGAACTCTACACCTTTCAGACCTCCTCGACGCCACTTGCCCTCACTACTATAGGAACGAGCAAAACCACTCCCACTTTCAGGCTTTCTGGTGAATACCTCTTGGCTATTTTTGGGTTTTCCCTGTTCCAAAGGCTACCAAAAGTCCCATTAAGGTGGGACTTGGGGATGTCTCGTCGCTGGGTTTTGGTTTTGCTATTGAGCTGCTCTGCTCTTCCGTGGGGATTCTGAGAGTTACACTGCTGCTGCCTGTGCTGTCCTCCCAGACTCTGTCACTGAAGACTTCATGCTGGGAAACACAGAGCCCCTTTGGTGTCTCATAAAGAAGAGCACCAATCTTCGGGTTCTCCTAGTGAATCGCTGCTGGGTTTTGTGGCAGTAAGTGAAAGAAATGTGATAATTAATCTAAGGGGTCTCTGGCCCCACCAAAGGGGGTTACAGCCCAAAGTGCAGGAACCACTGCACTCTAGAAACAGAGACAACAACCACAGGGGATACACAGGAAGAATCAAATGGCTGAGAGCCTCAAAGGGCACTGGCAGTCAAGGGGGGCTGAATGGCTTCTCCCACCGAAAGAACTAAGGAACGATTCTAGTGAAGATGAAACATCGAAATAGAAGGAATTACTGGCCGGGTGCGGTGGCTCACACCTGTAATCCCGCATTTTGGGAGGCCGAGGCAGGCGGATCACAAGGTCAGGGGTCTGAGACCAGCCTGGCCAACATAGTGAAACCCCGTCTCTACTGAAAATACAAAAAATTAGCCTGGCCTAGTGATGGGAGCCTGTCATCCCAGTTACTTGGAAGGCTGAGGCAAGAGAATCATTTCCACCTGGGAGGCAGAGGTTGCAGTGAGCAGAGATCGTACCACCGCACTCCAGCCTGGGAGACGGTGCCAGACTCCAACTCAAAAAAAAAAAAAAAGAAAAAAAGGACTCTCTAGTGGGGATTAAAACAACAGTAAAGACACAGCCTTTTACTGTCTTTCCATATCTCCTATCACCGAAAGTCAAGATGTCCAGATGTCAGAACTATGAAATTTTTAATAGTTCACAAAAGTATGAGTGACTCAGCCTGTCAGACATCTTAGCAATCCTAGATCGTGGTGGAGACCTCCCCAAGTTAGTCTTTCCCAAGTTCAGTGATGAATTGCATCTTCAAAGAAATACGGAGTTATAGTCACAGATTCCCCCATGCAAGCCCTTAGGAGGAGCGATCCAGCTGCTCATCTCAGAAAGAGCCCCCACAAAACCAATGAGGTGTGTGAACGCCAGAGGCCCTACAGGTGCGGTTGGTCTTGCTGTCAGCTCTAACTTCGCTTTTCCTGCTTGTGGCAGCCTCCTTTCTCACTGGAGTCTTGTCTATTTGGAAGACTCGACTCATCCCTGACATGCCAGTCTCGTCGGAGGATGCTGTCATGTACTGATAATTTTTAAAAATGGCTGTTTTAATGCAGCCCTTGGAAACTTTGCAAGAAATGTATTGATTTGAAATACTCAAGCTGAATTATTGAGCTTTGGCAAAGGGAAATAAATCTTTCCCATTCCTCCATGCCTGTTGCCAAGCCCAGCTTCCAGGAAGCAATGGCTGTCCTTTCTGGAAATGAAGCAAAGCTCAAACATTCTATCACTTTCCCTTTACTTCCCCCACTCCCTCTTCTCTTCACTTGCAATTCACTGACAAAAGCACTTTACATTCATTGCTCATTTGCCTGAATAGGCATCTGAATTAGTAATGCCCAAATTAGTAATGCCTGGCTGAGGCAGCTTCCTAAATAATGAGGCCTGATCATTTTAACAGACCCGGAGGCCCGTGGAAAGCAAGCCCGCAGCAGGACATTAGGTTAAACACTCTTCCGGTTTTATAACCAAAATTTCCCCTACAGACCTGGATGTGAACAGTAAAGGGTATATGTTTACTGATGCTACAGATGAATAAGACCAGGAGCTAGAAATGGGGGAGAAAGGTAGAGAGAGTGTGCGGGAAAGGGGACGTATGCGGGAGAGTTCTAACGCACAAGGCAGGATTAACAAAAACTTCCTGACATCTGCTGTTTCTTTCATTTCAGGCTGAATGATCATCTCACCTGGCCATGTGCCAGGGGAATTCCCATCACTACCATCAAAACACAGTTGGGTCTAACTGCTGAGCACTCATTTTGTCCACCTCTCCGTTCACTCACCCACTCACCCATCCGTCTAACCTAGGAGATGCCCACTATGCCTCGCGTCCCGGATCAGGCGCAGGGCATGTCAAGGTGAATGAGACTGGATTTTGCGGTCTGGAAGGGAAGAAAGGAATGTAAAGAGACATTTACAAGTTAGTGCATTCGTGCACGGCCAGGGAAGACTTTCTCAACTGGATGGGCCAACAGCTTTCCAGTCAGAGGAACAGCGGATGCAAGGCCTGCACACATGAAAAGAGCACAACCGGTTTGGGGAAATGTTGAGTAGTTCAGTAGGATTAGGACGTGAGATATATGTGAGTGTGTGTTCAAATGGGGGTGAGGGTGGGAGGTGACAATGCATCTCCATGTTTGTTTTTAAGAGACAGAATCTCCCTCTGTTGCCCAGACAACAGAGTTGTTGTATGGTGGTGGGATCATGGTTCACTGCAGCCTCGAACTCCTGGCTTCAAGTGATCCCCTTGCCTCAGCCTTCCAAGTGGTTAGGACTACAAGTGAGCCACCATACCCGGCTAATCTAAAACACATTTTTTTTTTAAGAGATGGGGTCTTGCTATGTTGCCCAGGCTGGTCTCAAACTCTAGCCTCAAGCAATCCTCCTGCCTCAGACTCCCAAAGTGCTGGGATTACAGGCATGAGCCACTGTGCCCGGTCAACATCTCCATTTTGATGCTTAATAGGCACGTTAGGCTTAATGAGGCCAACCAACCTCCAGATGTCACTCATCTAAATCTGCTGTTCCCAATCTTTCCCATCACAGAGAAGGCAAACTCCATTCTTTCTGTGGCCAAGGCCCCACACCTTCCAGTCGCCCTTGTTTCTTCTTTCTTTCTTTATTTTTTTGAGACTGAGTCTCACTCTGTTGCCCAGGCTGGAGTGCAGTGGCGCCATCTCGGCTCACTGTAAGCTCCACCTCCCGGGTTCACACCATTTTCCCACCTCAGCCTCCCGAGAAGCTGGGACTACAGGTGCCCACCACCACACCCAGCTAATTTTTTTTTTGTATTTTTAGTAGAGATGGGGTTTTGCCGTGTTAGCCAGGATGGTCTGGATCTCCTGACTTTGTGATCCGCCCACCTCAGCCTCCCAAAGTGCTGGGATTACAGGCGTGAGCCACCGTGCCCAGCCCCTTGTTTCTTCTTTTACACCCCCTTCTGGTCCATTGGTAAGTGTTATTGGCTCTGCCTTCCAAATGTATCCAGCTCTGCCCACTTCCGCCACCTCTGCTGCTACTACATTAGTCCCAGCCACCATCCTCTCTTGCCTGGATCATTGTTACTGGTCCCTGACTGGTCTGCCAGCTTCCACTGTTCCTTCCCTGCATCTATCCTCAACAGACCTGCCAGAGATTGATTCAAATCACATCACTCCTCTGTTTGTAAGTTTCATCATGTCACTCTGCCCAGAATCCCCCAGTGGCTTCCTATCTCTCACTCACAGTTCATGCCAAGGTCTTTACAATGATCTTCTGGGCCCTATATGACCTGACCTGTCTGTACCCAGCTCCCACCATCCTTTCCTGCCATCATCCTTTCCCTCCTTCATTCTGCTCCAGCCACGCTGACCTCTCTGCTGTTCCTCAGACCTACCAGGAACTATTCCCACCTCAGGGCCTTTGGACTTGCTGTTCCTTCAGCTGATATTCTTCTCCTAGACATCCTCACTTCCTTCAAGTCCTCCCTGGACACTCCTTCTAACATCGCATATCTGTTCTCAGACTCCCCCGGTCTTCTTTCTTGCTTATTTTTGTTTTCTCTTAGCATTCATCCCTAATCTACCTAATAATTTTACTAATCATGCTGTTTCTTACTCATTTTCTTCACTAGCATGTGAACGGACCTTTGTTTGGATTCCTGCTATATCCCCAGTGTCTCAAGCAGCTTCTAGCCCATTTTCAGTACTCAATATAATATTTCTGAATGGATGAGAAGCTACGGCACATGATGGAGACAGTGCAGCATGGTGCTAAGGAGTGTGGGCCTGGAGTCAGGTTTCCTGGGTTTGAATCTTGGTTCTCCCACTTCCTAGCTGTGTGACCTTGTGCAAGGTGCCTTACCTTTCTGTGCCTCGATTTCCTCCACTGTAAAACTCGGATAGTAACAGGACCTACGTCAGGAATTATGAGCATTAAGTATGTTGACATATGTGTAAGGACCTTAGAACAGTGTGGGGTATGGATTGCGAACTTCATAAGTGTTAGCTATTATTAGGAAGGCCTTGGAAGGCCTTGTCTGCTGTACTAAGGAGTTCAGGCTTTATCCTAAGGCTACAAGGAGTCACTGAAGAATTTTAAACAAGGGCGTAACATAATCGGATATTGTTTTCAAAGGATCACTCCAGCTGCAGAGTAGAGAATGAATTAGAACAGGGCAAGACTGGTACAAGGCGGCCAGTCAGAGGCTGTTGCAGAAATGGAGATGACAGATATTGTTAGCCTGAACTAAAGCAGAAGGGATGGAGAAAGGATGGGCTGAAGATACCATGGGGTAGAATTGATGGAACTTAAGAGATTAATTCAATGTGGAGGAAGCAGTCAATGACAAAATCCAAGCTCCTGATTCCTGAAACTAGATGAATAGAGGGGCCCGCCCATCTCATCCCACAGAGGATGGATTGGCGGGGGATATATTCAGCTTTGTTGAATGTGAGGTAACTGTACAACATCTAGGTAAAGAGGCCCAGTAGGCAGTTGTACACATGCATCTGTTATTTAAGAGAAAGGCCCAGGCTAGAGATAAAAAATATTTGGAAGTCCCCATCGCACTGATGATCGTTGAAGCCGCTGGAGTAGGTGAGTTTTCCAGAGGAAAACATTTAGGCAGCAGGCAATTTAGAAAAGGTGTATTCTTAAAGGAGGGAACAGCAGGGGACAAGACCGGGGACAAGTCAGAGGACAGTGGTATCTTGCAAGCCAGGAGAGTTTCGGGCAGCAGATGGCAGATGGATTCGGCATCTGGGGACTGCAGCCAGGGCAGAGGGGCAGCAGGCGTAGAAACCAGATCACGGAGGGTTGAGGCGCTAATGGGAGGTGAGGAGGAGGACACCATGTGGAGAACTCTTTCCAGAACTTGGCTGTGAGGAACCAGATTTGTGGTAGTGAAGAGAGATGTGCAATCCAAGTGGGCTTCTTTGAAGATGGAATGGAACTAGGTGCAAATGAGAAAGAGGCTGACTGTGAAGGAGGGGAGAAGCCCACTGGGGAGGCTGAGGCAGAAGAGCTCAGGGGAAGGGACCTCTGTATACAGGAGAGGGACGCCTGTTCCACTGGTAAGATGGTGAATGCATGTGGGTAGGGTAGGCTGAGGGCCAGGAGGGAGGAGCAGGGTGACAGCTGATCCCTCTGCAGGAGGAGGTGAGGCTGCCTGGGAGCCTGCAGAGGAGGGGTGAGACTATAGCTTAGAAAAGGGCTGCAGGGGTAGGAGGGACTCCAGAACCAGGGACACCCCAAGGCTTGAGAAGCAGCATGAGTGCCAAGTGGAGGGAAGAGTACTGAGCAAAGTGAACACTAGCATTTCTACTGTCCTTGGAAAGCACAGATTTTAGGCTCAGAGATACCAAGCCCCATATCGTAACTGGTATAAAACCCAAACCACACCAAATATTCAGTGAGAACATACAGTGTGCCCAGAGAAATCTTCCTTAAGAACCATTCCCATTGCTTTTTTTTTTTTTTTTTTGAGACAGAGTCTCTCTCGCTCTGTCGCCCAGGCTGGGGTGCAGTGGCACAATCCCAGGCCATTGCAACCTCCGCCTCCCAGGTTCAAGCGATTGTTGTGCCTCAACTTCCTGCATAGCTGGGATTACACGCATGCATCACCACGCTCAGCTAATTTTTGTTACTTATGTATTTTTTAGTAGAGATGGGGTTTCGCCATGTTGGCCAGGCTGGTCTCAAACTCCTGGCCTCACGTGATCTGCTCACCTTGGCCTCCCAAAGTGCTGGGATTACAGGTGTGAGTCACTGTGCCCAGCCCCACTGCTCTTTTGAATAAAAACCTTCACAACTCCCCACCAAAGGCACATAAAATAAAACCCCACTCTTCAAAGAGGCATTCAACTTCCTTATCACCTGGCCCCCAAGGCCCTTTCCCAGACCTTTTTTCCCAGCACTTTCCATACCTGCCTTCATCCAGATACACACCTCCCAACACCCCTCCCTGTCACCCCGCAGGCCTTTGCTCACACACTTGCTTCGTCTGTCTGCAACATGCTTTTCCTCCCTCCTTGCATGTGGAAACTCACATCTCCTTTAAGGCCTGAAACTGAAGTCACTCCTTCCAGGAAGCCTCCTTCTAAAAATGTCTTTCCTCCTGTCTTTTTGCTTCCAGAGAACTTTGAAGATGGATATGGAATTTCTAGGACGCCGTGTTAAATTAGAGTTATGAGTGCATATGTCTTTTTTCCCGCTAGGCAGTGAGCTCTGAATGCAAGCCTACTTATGTTTGACTTTGTACTCCCCACAGAACCCATTCCGGTAAGAGTTCATGCTCTTGAGCTGGCATGGGGGCTGGCCAGGCCTCGGGGTGCTGTGTGTGGCCAGGGAAAAAAAGATGACTTTTTGAAAAGCAACAATGATTTGTGCATTAAAATGGAACGTACCCTACAAGTACTGTCTTTCTGGCTAGAAAAGTACATGATTAGTTAAGTAGACACTGAGATCATTAGTGGAAATTACTCCATAGAGTTATAAGTTCAGAGCATAAGACATTTTTTACCCTGATCAACTGATTTATTTTTTGGTTCTTATTTCTTCCTAAATTTTCCCTGTTTGGCATCTTAGAGACATTTTTCTTCCTGCTGTGCCTCATCATTAACTCCTATTTCTTGAGCTTTCATAATACAGTACAGCAGAGGCTGTAGGAACATCACACAAACAGGATCTCTTTTGCTTCTACGAGAATAAGTATTGAAAGAATATTAACTTCTGGCATCTAAGGGCAAAAGCATAAATTGAGATTATACTATATACCTGGTGCGTTGGAGACACTTTCAATTTCATCTTCATAACAGCTCTGGAGGGTGGATATTACTGTTCCCATTTTCCAGATGAGAAAATGCAGACATGGTCAGAGGAGTTAACTAACTTGGGAAGATCCTGAGTCCAGTGAGTGCTGGAACCGGGGTTTGCAGACCAGCCTGTTTGACTCTAAAGTTCGGGTTCCCTCACCATGTTCACAGCACATCACCAGAGGCTTCTAAGGGCTGGAAAGCATTGCTTCCTGCCCCCTATCCAGCCCACTATGGTAATGGCATGTGCTATCCCTGGCTTGGGACTGTGAACATCCTAACTGGGCTGTGAGTCTAATGGAAGGATGGAAAGAAGCTGGTATCTGGTCAAAGTTTCCATTTGCTATAGGAAAATATTGAAGGAAAGTGGGAGTTTATTTCAAATTGTCAACTGCAGTGGGGACCCTTCAGCCACCTCCCTCCCACCCTTTCTAACTCAGCTCTCTGTTGTGTGGTGCCCCCACCATCCTTTGGCTTAGCTGGAGAAAGATGGCTGACTGCAGGCACGTTGAGGGAAAGGGAGCCAGGCAGATTTCCAATTCCAAGTTCCTTAGTCTCTGTATACATTAAGGTCTCTCCTCTATCCAATAAAAACTAAAAGGATCAGAGAGCTGAGAACCAAGAACGAGGCAATGATCTTTTAAAAACATAAAGCTGGCCGGGCGCAGTGGCTCACACCTGTAATCCCAGCACTTTGGGAGGCCGAGGCGGGTGGATCACGAGGTCAGGAGATCGAGACCATCCTGGCTAACATGGTGAAACCCCCGTCTCTACCAAAAATACAAAAAATTTAGCCAGGCATGGTGGCGAGCACCTGTAGTCCCAGCTACTTGGGAGGCTGAGGGAGGAGAATGGTGTGAACCTGGGAGACAGAGGTTGCAGTGAGCCGAGACGGCGCCATTGCACTCCAGCCTGGGTGACAGCGAGACTCCGTCTCAAACAACAACAACAACAAAAACATAAAGCTAACTGTTTTTGCTTAAATATTTTCAGAGGCTTCCCAGGGCCTCCTAAACTCCTGGTTAACTTCCAACCTCACCCTCTAGCAGACCTGGCTCCAGCCACACTGACATCTGACAGTTCTCAGAGGCACTGCATTCTCTGGCCTTCGCATGTGCCACCCCTTCTGCCTGGGATGAGAGACTTGGCAGACTGTTTTCTGCCTGGTGAACCACATACACTTCAAAATATACGGATATTCCTTACGGGTCACTTTCAGCATGAAGTCATCTATAACCTGCCATCCCAGGAAGGATTAAACGCACCATCTTCAGAGGTGTTGAACAGCAAAAAAGCAGAAACTGTAATAGAACTGCCTTCTGTATCATTTTTGAGTTTTAAACCCTTCAATAACTGCAGGTTCCAAGAGTTTCTACTATACCCAGCATACTGTCCCTCTGCCCGTCAAACGAATTTATTTGTTGTGTCCTGTTCACAAATATCCCCAAGCCTAAGTCATCACACACATCAAGCTCTTCACCTGGATGTCTTTCTGCCCTGAGCCAAATTAGGAGAAATGGCTGGCAATACTCCACAGTTTGCAAAGTGCTCTCAAACACATCATCTCATTTGGCCTTCACAGTCACCAGGTGAGTCAGCTGCATGGGCATTATCATTCTTACTTCCAGCTGAGCCACCTGAAGGGAACGGGGCTAAATGGCTTGATCAAAGTGGCCCAAGTAGACGGAGGGCCAGGATCAGAATAGAGATCTTCTGGCTGTCATTCCAGGGCTTGTCTAATGCACCAACTTGCAAATCAGAGGTGGCACCACGGGTCGGTGTCCTCCAAGAGGACTCTCCATGTGGACCAGTTGCCTTGCAGGGTGATCCTATTCTATTAGGGTATGATGGGCATCAGGAAATCATGGAGAAGGAATTAGAACCTTGTGTTTTAGTCCTGGCTTTGCCCCCTGCCTTGCTTGGATAGGACTCAGCTAAGGCACTCACTGTCTTTGAATTTGTTTTCTCATCTGGAAAGTGGGAGTAACTTCTTTTTTTTAATCATGCCCATCTTGCTGTGAGATCAAATGAGGCCATGGATGTGAAGGTTCTTCGACATGACTATAAAACATCACTAAGTCCTAAGTAGGTATCCTATTCTGGGGCGTGATTTGACTTCTCCTGGGAAGTATGTGAACTGATGAACCACAGGAAAGTGGGGTGCATCATTTTCTGTTGTGTTAGGGCCTCTGTTTCCTTCTCCTTTAGGCTTTTGCTGGGACTGAGCTCTGGGTTTTCTGCGCTGAAGCTGCAGAAGCAGCCCCCAGACCCTGCCCCTGTACCACAGCCACCTTGGATGGCAGTTCACATCACACTCCCCGGGAAGGGCTGGATGCAAGGCAGAAGCAGGCGAAAAGAGGGGCATTCTGCTCACATTTCTTTCCCTGCAGTACATTTTTGTCTTAACCCCTGCATTCCTAGACATCTGTACCCTTTTAATTTCTTGGTGAAAGCCTCCTCGTTGTATACTGCATTTATGTTTCTGCATAACATTTCCTTAAAGGAAAATGATGCAAACCACATCTCACAAAGCCTGAGAGAGGGCTGCAGAGCTTGACAAGGAGAGCCATCGATCTGAGCCCTTTATGATGTGGATGCTAAGCTATGCCAGCCTCTGAATGCTGGTGTCAGACCCAGGCATGACTCACAACACACACAGCTGGGCTAAGATCATAGAGAAATAGTGGAGAGTGTTTGGGGTGATCTGTCTCACACTCACTTTGGTGAACACATTTATGATCTTTCATGTCTGCAATACTTACTCTGAAAAAAAAATTTGTTTACCTGTCAGGTTTGAGATCGAATGATCTGTAGTTTGAACCCAAAGTATTGAAAAAAAAAATTTTTTTTTACAAGGTTTTGTTTACAAAGCCAAGAAAAGATAAAACATTTTAAGTTGGTACTGCCCTCGAAAATTATGGTGGATGTACACTTGGACTTTCTAAAACAAGATCTGAATAAAATAAGACACTTAACATGAAAAACTCTATTTAACACAATTTAATCTTTCTTTGATTCCTGAGTGGGTAATTCGGCATTTTACAGAACTTTGGGGTCACCATTATAAATATCAGCTGTCACTGTACTGGTAAAATATAAAATGTACCAGTTAATAATAGCTTTGCAATTCACAGAAAATCAGATAATGGAGGTTTTACCGTAACTGGAATTATGATGTTAAAAGAATCAATGCACTTTTCCAAAAGAGCCTAAATCATTTCTAGGAAATAATTCATGCCTTGTAAGAATTTACAAGGAAGTGCTTGATACTCCCTGGAAAAAATCAGTAGTTCTTCATTATTAAGTTTTCATTTTGCATGTGTACTTCATTGTATTATTATTGTGGTTAATCCTATGTCCACGGCCCTGGCCTCGAACCACACAGGCTCTTCTTAAATAAAGTGGAAGATTTCTTTGGCCTGTCCTAAATCCAAGGAACAATATGCAACTCTGCAAGTGCATATCACAAGAAGTCTTTTCAAGGTCGTGCTCTTGGTGACCCTTTGTTTAAAGGAATTTGGGCTGGATTTATAGTTGTCAGTTCTGAAGAATCAGGAAAGGGCAGGCCGTGAAGGGGTGGGGGAGGAAAAGAGAAGGAAAGAGGGAGGGAGGGAGGGAGGCAGAGGCTCATACCACACAGTACTGAGCCACCAAGGACAGAGTTTCTACACTGTTTCATTAGAACATGAAATCTACTCTGTTGTCTATGCGTCTGCTGTGAGCTGAAAAGAAGTCAGTTTACTTCCTCAGCATCTGGGGTCCCATAATTCTGAGTCGTGGCCACATTACCTCTGCTACTGAAAAGGCAAGAGCTGGGTTGCTCAGACAGCCCCGCAGTTCACACTGCCTGTGCTGCAGGCAGGAAGGTTTCCACCCAAAGGCCGGCAGAGGGAGGGTGTGCCCCTGGCGGGTGGGCTGGGGCTGGGGTGAGGAGGGGCAGGGAAGAAAGGGAAGGAGACTTCCTTTTTAATGCTGGTTCTCTTCTCAGTCCAATCCAAGTCTCTCCATGGAAGGATGGAAAATTCTGATTTCCTGTATCTCTTTGAAAACAATGAAATCCACTCTCCCCGGAGGGCAGGTTTGCTGAAGCTGTTGGCTCCGGCTGGCATGCACAGCCTTGGCTAAGTAGCCACACAGCACAGCATAGACATCCCGGCGAACTGAAGGCTCACAACCAGGAGCCTACCCCATGCACTCCCTCCCCAGCACCGGGTCACCGCAGCCAGGGTTCCTGGGGCCTCCGGAATGTCAGGGAGCCCCTCACTGCCTCTTGGGTGGCAGGAAATCACTAAGCTATGAGGATAAAGACCAGCCGGGGTCTCCATGCAGCTTTAGGGCTGATTTCTATTTCCCCTTGTGGTGGTGAAGCAGATTTCAAACTGCACTCAATACAGTCCCCAGCACAGGAGAAATGAAACCCTTTAAATCTTAGGCCTTCACGCAGGAGCCTCCCCTGCAGCTTTCAAACTCACAGAAGCCTTTTGTTACAGTCCTAGGAATGTGTACTTAGCAGAGAAAGCGTGGCTTTGTGGTGGCTGTGAAAGAATACTGAGGGCGGTGGCGGGGGAAGAAGAGACCCGCCTCTGGTAAGATCCTCTCCCGAAGTCTGATGGCAGCCAGTCTCAGAAAACAAGAAAATCCACCCAAGGACAAGGTACTCAACCACCCCCAGGGCTCTCCCAAAAGTGTCGGAGTGAGAGGAAGGAAAGCACTAAATATATTTGAGTATGTGAGTGAGCACAGGGGGAGGAGTGAGCTAAAGGGGTTTTACTGCATTGGTTGCTATAATTTGTGGGGGGTTCCTAAGAATTATTCCCATATCCTTCCCCAAGGGAACCTGTGAGGAAACTGGCAGCTGCTTATTGTGATCTAGTGTAACAGCACATAGTACAGCCAAAATACTGCAAGGAATTAGAGGCGGAAGGGGCCTCAGGACTGATCTTCACCAGTTTTCTGGTAAGATTTGTGCAAAACTCCAGTGAAGAGTGTGCACGCGGTCAATTTCTCCAAAATGGGAGAATATCTACAATAATGAGCAGAAACATAATAAAAAGCATTCTGAACAAGTGCAAGAAGACTCCTAATAAATATCTTATTACATGTAGCATATTTTACAGTGTTCTATAAATTTTAGGTAGACTAAAACCAAGGCTTAAAATGAGTTAGCATTGGGACATTTTTACTGCCACATGTGTCTGATTGCAAAGCGATGCTTTTAGACAGGGTTAGCCTTCTGCAAAATTCTTAAGTAGGTGATTCCATCTCAGCTTTCCAGTTCTCTGCCCTTTTCCCTTCTAGGTGTCATAAAATAGCAGGACCAGCACAGGTTTTGGACCAGGCAGCTCTGGTTTAAATCCCAGCTCTGTTCCTGACTGGCCTAGGACCTGGTCAGGTCATCTAGTCTCCTGTCTTCATTTCCTCATCTGTAGAAACTGGATCCCAACTCACAGGGATTGTTGTGAAAATTTTACGTGTGAAAAGTGCTGGACCTTAGCAGGCACTCAGAAATGTTATTTTGCTTCGTTCCAACCAAATCATCCCCTTTCCCATCCCTTCATGATCTACACATCCCTGCTTCATCTCACCACCACCATCATCACTAAAACAAGCATCCAGGAAGGGATTTAAAAATGCTAAATGCTCTGGTGAAATGACCACCAAGAGCTTAATGAGCCATCTCCCTGGTCTACATGTCTTTCTGCAAAAATCCATGCTCAAGGAGTAAACTGCTAATGGTAGAAATCCAGGCACCCAAGGAAGGGCTGGGAAGTGTTTCGAAGGCAGCGAGTCCTTTCTGGAAATCTGAAACCAGACAGATAAGCAGATAGCTGCAGTGGCCAGGTCACCATAGCATATTCCAAAAGACACTGCTTCTTGGAATTATCACTGGCCTTTGCTAAACAGCCTTTCCTTTTCCTATTGATTGCCAAGCTTTATATAAACAGAGCATTTCTCATTTTTAGTTAGATTCGAAATGAGTCCGGTAATCTAGATTCCACTAGAGCATGTGGTAAAAGCAGAAAGACTGGTTGAGGCTGAGCTCCTGTTATAAGCAATATCCGGGCAATGATTTGAGTTAGAGAAGACAAAAAACACAGGGGGGAAAAACCCTGAAAAGAATCAATTATTTGCTGTACCACCACTCTGAAAGTGGTTTGAGGCTTTGTTTTAATAAATGTCATGTATTTAAGAGTTTAAAGAACTTTCTGGACATTGGAGGTGTTTAAAAATTGGAATTGGAGGTGTTTAAAAAAAAAAGAGCTGCCTGTGAAACAGTGAGATTCCCATTGTTAGAGGTATCCAAGGGAAGGTGGGTGGCCATCGCTCAGTGATGTCATATTTGGAATAGAGGCAGAGTGTGAGGCTGGAATAGGTGACCTGGATCATCCATCTAACCCCAAGTCCTACCATAAATCTATGAAAGCAGCAGCAAACAAAGAGATAATAATAGTTTCAAATCTTTCAGAAGGTGTAGTTATTATTAAAGATGGACCCAATCCACCTTTCCAGGTTAATCCTAATCAGGAACAGAGAGGAAAATCTGACCTGTGGACTTCACTAATTGTGATAGTCAGACATCTTTTAGATTGGATTTTGCCAACTTGAATCTCAAGAGACCACAGGTATTTTTTATTTCAGTGTGGTTTCTCTTGCATTAATTCACATTTATACTTTTTGCCCTCCATGATATTTAGGAACCATGGATCATGGCACACAGATGCTTGGTTCTGAGCTGAGGGGCCATTTGTACTCACACATGCACCCTCCATACCTAAGCCACTCCCAGCTCTTTCAAGGTCTTCGAAATGCCTTTGGATTGCTGGTCTTTTGTGCTCTTTCTGAAATAAGGAAGTGCTTTTCTTCACGGGTTTACATTCAAGGGCTTTCTACACGAGCTCTCAAGTTGGACTTCTACTTGGACTTGAAAGTCCATCTAGAAAGCCCATGAACATAAACCCACTTCCAACCCCTCTGTATATTCTCACTCTAGGACACGACAGGGATTAGGAGAAAAGTGGGTTGGAATTCACTACTCATACTCAGGACCAGCTCACAGAGGTCTCAAGTAAAATGCTCCATTCCAGCCAGGTGCGGTGGCTCACGCCTGTAATCCCAGCACTTTGGGAGGTTGAAGTGGGCGGATCACGAGGTCAGGAGACTGAGACCATCCTAGCTAACATGGTGAAACCCTGTCTCTCCTAAAAATACAAAAAATTAGCTGGGCGTTGTGGTGCGTGCCTGTAGTCCCAGCTACTCAGGAGGCTGAGGCAGGAGAATTGCTTGAATCTGGGAGGCGGAAGTTGCAGTGAGCTGAGATCACGCCACTGCACTCCAGCCTGGGTGACACAGCAAGACTCTCTCCAAAAAAAAAAAAAAAAAAAAAAAAAAGCAGAAGCTCTATTCCCTCCCCATTTTCCAAGCAATAGCCAAGATGAAGGTTTTATGGTGGGCAGGGAAACTGGGAGGGTAGATGTGCATATGGTTTAATTATGGATTAAGGGACACCTGCAGACATTGATCCCTCTCAGCCGAAAAAAGGATGCAGCAGGAAGTAAACTACGAATAAAAAGCTGGTTTTACTGAATCAAGTATGTATCTCCTGGCTTCCCCATTTTGGTAAAATAATTTAAAACCACACATGGAAGAAGACAAATATACAGTTCGAGGTAATTATAAACATGTACCTTAAGTCAAGACACATTAATGTTTTGCAAATGATCCATTATTCTGGACTATCCATATCATTCTCCTCTTTATTAGAAGAGGAAATCAATAGCTGATAATACGTTCCTTTAGCTATGGCTAAATAGATCTTGAACTTCATTCCTATTTTACTTACTTTCATTCCTCCCTTCTACCATCTCCTTTTTTCCTCTTGTCTTCAGTTCTCTTGTTTTTCCTATATTCATTTTGCATCCTTCCTTCTCGTTTTATTGTACATTTTTTCTTCCTCCTTCTTATCCTTTTTTTCCTCTGTTTCATCATGCCATTATCTATGACCTCTCTTTTGCTCACTTCCTATCTTTTTTTTTTTTGACACAGGGTCTCCCTGTGTCACCCAGGCTGGAGTGCAGTGGCACGATCACGGCTCACCACAGCCTTAACCTCCTGAGCGCAGGTCATTCTCCCACCTCATGCCTCCCAAGAAGCTGGGACTACAGGCGCGTGCCATCACACCCAGCTAATTTTTGTATTTTTTTGTAGAGATAGGGTTTTGCCGTGTTGGCCAGGCTCGTCTCCAACTCCTGACCTCAAGTGATCTGCCCACCTTGGCCTCCCAAAGTGCTGGGATTACAGGTGTGAGCCACCACACATGGCCCTTGTCATTTTTAAGTAGGTCATCCTGTCATCAATGAATTCCCTGAAATCCCATTTTTCTATTCATCCTTTCTCTTCCAAGCACTCCTTTGTCAGAGGTACCTCACTTTCTTCTCTTAGTTTCTCTCAGTACTTTATAGCCTGCTATTACCCTCTTTGGTGTAGCTTTACTTTGCTTTCCAGTACAGTCATTCCTCTGCATACACAAGGGATTGGCTCCAGGACCCCCCGCCCAGATACCAAAATCCAAGGATGCTCAAATCCCTTATATAAAATGGTGTATATTTGCATATAACCTATGTGCATCCTCCTGTATATTTTAAATCATCTCTAGATTACTTGTAACGAATACAATGTAAATGCTATCTAAATAGTTGTTATATGCTATTCTGAAAGTCTGTATTTTTTTATTGTTGCATTTGTGGGTTTTTTTTTTTTGTTTTTTGTTTTTCTGAATATTTTCTATCTGTGGCTGGATGGAATCACGGATGTGCAACTCACGGATATGAAGGGCAGACTGTATACCTTGTCAGGTACTTTTTTCTTTTTATTGTATCCCATGGGGGAAATGGATGGTAGATTGGTGGAGGTGGCTAGAATTGTAAAGAAAAATATGAAATTCACATGAAGGCTGGAGTTACTCACATGACAACAACAGCTTATGGGGCTCAATTCTACTGCCCTTGCGTCTGTCACACAGTTGAGGTTTTGGAATGAACTACGTATGCCATCCTTGTTATCAAATATTTGAGAACAATTAGCTTTGCTGGCAAAAAATGACTTACATTGAGAATTCTAGGAATGCCTTGTAGGTATTCTTTTTCAAGTGAATTTTATGTTTCTTTTTTATGATTTCATTGATTTATGGGTGGATGTATTGCTGATGATCATTGGGGAAGGGGTCTGCAGGGAATTAAAGACAAAAACGTATGCTCCTACTACTTTAGAAGACTATGCTAAATGCAAAAAACATAGGTCAAGCAACTACTGGTTTCTCAAGTTCAAGAAGTAATTCCTATTGTTACCAGGAGAAAGGGTGATTTGATACCACCTACATTCTTTTTTCCAAAAAGGAAATAAAATTTGTCAGTCCAATCAAACATCCATTGCTCTAGTAACAGACACCTCTAGACAGGTGCATCCTGTTTCATTGAAAAGGTGGTTCATTTACATATAACCACTTAGGTAAAGCCTCCCTCTGTAAATAGGACATGTTGCTGCCTGCCAGTAAGTAAAGACTAAAGTGGGTTATTTGGTTAGCCTTTACATATTATTTTATTATGAGACTGCCCTTTCCCTTCTTACCCACTTTTCAACAGGCTCAGAAATGAAAAAAACTTTCATTTTTGAGTTTTCACAGCACAGTTGCAAACTCAGCCTTGAGCCTCACCTGCTCACTGTCTAATGAGCCCTGAAAACTTAAAGATTCCTGCCCAGGGTTACCGTTTTCTGACCGTGCATGTATTCATTTAAAGTCAATGTGGATCTGTCTGTACTTTAATTCACTCTACCAATTTTCTCTACCAGTACACATTTCTGCATGTGTTAAATAAAAAGTGATGTTGGCGTATACTACCAAAATCCACCACTATTTAGTGTGCATTTATTCTCTTTGAAATTCTTTAAGATCAAAATTAAGTAGACGCCTGCTTCTGCTACAATTTGCAATTGAAAGTGGTTTCTACTGAGCTGTAAAAAGCAATGTAGTTACATCCGATCACAATCAATCTCATGCAAACCACACGGTCTTTTCATGGATAACTTTACAGCCTAAACATACTTGGCAAACTGACGTTTGTGACCCTCAGAATCTGTCTGCATCTTTAAAACCTAGAATGAATTCTAGAAACCCAAGATAATCTTCAATGTGACAATTCTGTTTGACTGATTTAATCGGTGGAACACCATCAGTGAGACCTATTAAAAGTCACTGCTTTCTTTTAAGAAATGCTTAGCTTGTTCGGGATTGTCAGATCATGAGTTCATGCTGATTTCCAGGCTCAAAGGGTGAGGTCACAGAGTTGAGCTCCGCAGGATTTTTGGTGCTGTCCGGCAAAGGTGTGAGGACTACCATGTACGTAAGTGCCAATAAATGCAGGGGCCTGAAACTTGCTATTTATCCCTACACAGAACATGCAACTCTCTGGCCAGTTCTTTAAAATAATAAATATGTTACAATCAAACAGAAATGTATGAATGCTTGAAAGTTCCTTGAGGACGAGCCGCCTCTTTAATATTTTATTGTATATTATCTACAGTGTCTAGCACATTGCTAGACACATTGTCAGGAAACTTTTTAAACATGAAAACCTAAAAATGGCAGATTCATCATCAATGCATTTACCTCCATGTGTAACTAACAAAGGTGTGTAGAACTTTCCATCTTTCCTTGGTGCCTGCTTCCTCTTTAGTTCCCAACTACCAACTGATAAGCTTCTCAGTTAGCCTTCATGCAGCATTCATTTTGCAGTATAGCTAGAACACTATCAAATGCTTATCCTTTAACCTCTAATTGCCTGTTACTAGACTTTTGGGCCCAGAGCAATGCCTCTCAATTGTTTCTTACTTTGTACCTTTCACTCAGTTGATCACAAAGATTATTCCTCAACCTGACATCTTGATTATACTGTTCTTCTCCTAGGGGGCTACAGTGACTTGTCACTGTCCAACAAGGATGGCATACGTAGTTCATTCCAAAACCTCAACTGTGTGACAGACGCAAGAGCAATAGAATTGGGCCCCATAAGCTGTTGTTGTCATATGAGTAACTCCAGCCTTCATGTGAATTTCATATTTTTCTTTACAATTCTAGCCACCTCCACCAATCTACCATCCATTTCCCCCATGGGATACAATAAAAAGAAAAAAGTACCTGACAAGGTATACAGTCTGCCCTTCATATCCATGAGTTGAGCAAACAAATATGACAGTCTTAAGTCAATATAGTGTGTATATGATGTCATGCAATGCACACAGCTCTGTGAGGTAGATATTACTGTGCCTGGTTTATAAAAGAACCCAGAGTTTACGAGGTCCAAGGTTACTGAGGTAACACAGACACGGATGCTTGTTGCTCTTAGGATAAAGATCAAAATCCTTAACGTGACTGTCTTGTTCTACCTCACCATCTGCAATCCTCACCAAAGCAATGTGTCACTCTGCTTTTCCACAGCAAATTCAATGAATGCCAGTTGGGCTGGGCTTTCCATTCCCTGTAGAACAAATCCTCTTCCAGTCTCAGGGCCTTCACAGGCTCTGTTCCCCTCCCCAGAAATAATCCTACCTTCTTCTTTGCCCAATTAACTCCTACTTAGCTTTCAAGTCTCCTCTTAAATGTATGCGACACACCAGACCAGATTTCTGTATTTTATGCTTTCAAAGCATCCTGTACTGCTACATCAATGCTTTTACCTCCACATGTAACTACATTGATGAGACATATCTTGTCTATCCCTGCTCCTGTCTGACGTCCCACTAAACCAGATAGAGGAATAAAAAAGGTACAAACCCACAAGACAACAGAATGGGAGAGGAAACAATGGCAGTTGAGGGAGGTGCACAAAATTTTGGAAGCTGGAACAGACGGACAATTGGTATCTGACTCAGCTGAGCAGAAAATCTTAACTCAATCTGCCTGCAGGGGGAGATACCAATAAACAAACTCGTTTTCCTACCAGAACTTCATAAAACCTCAGAAACTGGGGGTTCCAAGTGCCTCTGAAGGCAGGCAGGGAACAGAGAAGACTAATAAAGCATCTGTGGCATGGCTGTATTCCACCCTCCCCCAGCCCAGCAACCTGCACCTCCTTGCAGATGAAAGGACATTTCCCTTGCTGGAATCAGGATGAATCTGAGAACGCCAAGTTCAGGAGGGAGCAAGGGTGAGCAGCTCTGGAATATAGGGGAACTCAGTGGAAATCTTCATGGTAAAAGCTCAAGTGCCATCATATATTGACTCTTTCTAAGGAGGAGCCCACAGGATTTCTTTTTGGACAAACTTGCCTTCCCAAAAGAAAAGACTCTGGAGTCTCCCATGAGACAGCCAGGCCCATCCAATTACCCTACAGGTGGACCCACTGGCATCATACCCCAGCTGTGCACAAGAATGGCCATTTTGAATAGATACCTAAGGGTCACCATCCAGTGTTTTAAAAAATTACATGTCAGGTGGTGAAAATTGCCAAGAAGAAAAATAGTGCAGGATAAAGGTGATGGAGAGTGAAGGAAGGTGTCGTTTGGATAATGCTGTTGGGGAAGCTTCTCTAAGGAGGTGATATTTAAGCAGAGGCCTGGATAAGGTGAGGGACTCTAACATGAGAGTATCTGGAGAAACAGCTTCATAGGCAGAAGGGCAGCAAGTGCAAATGCCCTGAGGTAGAACATAAACTTGTGTGTTCCAAGAATAGCAAAAAGATCAGGGTGGCTGAAGAGGAACTAGCAGAACACAAGGTGATGGAGGATGAGGGTGGAGAGGTTGACGAGATTTACAAATTTCAGATCACACAGGGCCTGGCAGTTCATACTGAGAACTCAGAAGGTTTCCAAATGAAACTGGAAGCCAGTGGAGGTTTTGGCACAGGGAAGTAACAGTCTGATTTATCTTACAACAGATTACTCTGGATGCTGTGTGGGCAATGTGCTCTCTGGCTAGTGTGAATTCCTTGGTAGACACTTATCTCCCCTATTAAACTGTAAGCAACATGAAGGCAGGGGTCATATCTGTTTTGGTCACTGATATATCCCAGCACTTCAGAGTATGCAGTAAACACCTGATAAAAATCTTTTGAAAGAATTTACAGAATAGCAAAAAAATAGAAAAAACTAGAAATCTGTCAAAGAGTCCAAAGTTCCTGATCCTTCTATTACCCTAAGTAGGCTTTCAAAAAAGATAATGATATTTAGAATACCAAAATATTTTAATACAACTTTGATGAAGATCAGAAGATGATGATGATGATGATGATACTAATAATATTTTTGCTCAGTCTACATATTATGACATCAATATGGTCTATTTTAGAGCAAGTATGCATTGAAAATAGCAATTATTCTTATGAAGACAAAAGGTGCTGACTAGTGTTTATAATGACAGACTTTCTGTATTTATAACATATTCCAGTTAATCTCATTCTATAATACAAAATCAAATGTAAAACCAGGAGTAATCATGTTGCAAAAAATTTAAACAGGCCCTATTCTTATTCTTCCTCTGAGTGCCCCAAACTAAATCACCATTTTGGATTTTTATATTTAAAGCTTATCCCAAGGCATTTTTACAAAATATTTTTCCTATCCTTTATAAGTACATTACATGCAGCATCACTCACCACTGATAATTCTCCATTTTGAAGATCAATACTCAATCACGAGGACAGCTTATTCTTACAAATACATTGAGAAAATTCACATAATTTTTAACATGTTCTAGAAGCAACTCAAATCCAATAAGCAGCTCCCTTTTGACTTTTAGGATTCATTCAACAAATATGTATGGAAACTGTGACAAAAAATTATAAAATATTATGGTCTCTATTTTCTAGGAGTCTAACAAGGGAGACTTCTCAGCGGACAAATTTCTTCCTAGTTAATTATAATTTCTTTCATTCTTCCCTAATTTGCAATGTGGACCAGGAATATAATCTCAAAAGTCCACCTAAAGACATGTCCAGTTCACTGATTTATTCTGATGCTGAAATGATTATTTACTATAAACAAAGCAAAGAGCACCAAGCTGGGGCAGAAATTTGGAGAGTTGGGACTGACAGAGGCCTCCATTAAATCCAGTCATTTTAGAAAGTAAGGCTAAAATAACCCCCAATCCAGGAAAACAACTATGAAGAAACTTGTGGAGAAATGGACTTTGGTAAATCAAGCACTTACAAGACGTTCTTGATGTGGCAGCTGTCTACCTATATGAAATAGATTGAAGACAAGGAGTCAATTATTTTTATGACACAATAAGGACAGGGCTTACAATAATGGGCTTATAGGTCACTAGAGAAAATTCAGGCTAATTAGGAGACCAAACTTTCAAACTAAGAGCTGGGCCAGGAGAGCTGCTATGGGAACCTACGGAATTCCCAACATTGGAGACATTCAAAGCTCAGTTCAATCCAAGGCATGATTTAGGAGTAATTATCTTTGCTGGAGTGCTGACAAAGAACAAAATAATCCACCAGAAGTCCAAACTAGGTGAAATGATTGTAAAGTCTATTTAAGAATTTTGTGCTATGGCTTAAGATTGGTCGTCCTGCAAGACATACCCCAGATGATTTACACTTGGTGCTAAGTGACCCACACAGCATACAGTGTCAACCATGTCTGACAATGACAAGGATTAATTAGAATTCCAAGTTCATAAGTGAGAGCTGAAAATAAATGTTTGCAGTGCTCATAAACCCTTAACACTGGAGAGTAATATAACAGGAATATGTTTTAAAATGATGTATGAAGAACCAGACCCAGAACTTTGAGATGGTTTCCAAAGCCCTATTAATGCATCCAGCTAGTATGTCGCTGCAGGTACCATTCTCGTTATAAATCTAAGCAGTCCATTTAACCATGAGGGCTGGTCTTCTAGAATAAGATCAGCTGATGAGAGCCATAGCTTTTAGCTCCTGGAAAATACCATCCCAGGGAGATTCCTGAGGCTTCTGTACGCTTGGACTTTCTTGCCCTCCCAGACTTGGAGAAGCAGGGAAGGGCCATCCCATCCTCTCAGCAGCAGAGCCCTGAAGGTTTTAAGTGGTTCAGGTTATCAGCCCCCGGCAGTGGCCTAACCAACAGGAAGTTTCCCCAGAGTTTCCATCACAGGAAATTTCCTGTAAGGAAGTCCTTACTGCACAAACAAAGAGTTCCTCGCTCTGCTCCCCTCCACCAAAACTTCAGTGCCCCACCGAAGGAATGTGGGCAGGAGGGCGTGAGTATCAACAGGGCTTGAAGGTAGCAGGGGTTGAGGGCTGGATGGCATAGGAAGAAATGGAGGGGAACAAAGATGTTATCTTACTTCTGCTGGCCTTGGGTTTGTCAGATAATTGCTTATTCACTGGCTCATGCTGGCTTTCATCTCCTGGCCTGCCTGAACTTGCAGTGAGAAGAATGCATGCGGGTGCAGGTTCTCCTGGTCTACCTCCACCCTTAGCCTATCTGAGTTTGATTCGTCATATCTGAGTTTGATTCCTCATCTGTACACCAAGGAACACTGTAATGATTAAATGAGATAGGTTAATATATTACATGAAAACTGGTAAACCGTAAGGTATCATTGAAATACAAGATACCACTAGCTTAACCATAACAGTATTTTCACTATAGCAAATGCCTGCGTGACTGTGTTATCCGCAGAATAGTCAGGTATGCCCTTGGAGGGCCATTCTATTTCTCAGTCTTTGTCAAGACAACCTGAATTGAACAGAGCACAACCTATACTTCAGCTCAATAGAATGTGATAGAAATAGTGCATTCCAATTACTTAAATTTTGGGGTTACATCAATATTAAATAAGCTTTTACATTCCAGCCATAGGAAACACGTCCAAAATGTAGAAAATAGGCCTAATTACCCTAAGTCATAGCCAGAGAGTTACCTCTTGCATTAAATTAGATAACTTTCTTTAAAAAAGTTTGCCTCGTTCTTTTAAAGGCCAATGTCAAAGCTACAAAGAATTGGTCAGCTGAGAGGTCTATTTTGTTCCCTTCCAGTTAATTTATGTTTCTCTGTTCACGTATTTGCCATCCGGATGCTGGGAGTCTCCTTAGAATTACACTTTAAAAAGTCACATGGGATGAGTGAGGACAAATTTTCGATGAATAAAGCTCACTTTTGCTTCACCTATATTTTTGCTTTTAATTTTAAAACCATGATGTAATTATACTACTTTGGAGGGCGGACTAAACCTAGTATTATCTAGAAAAGTCTCAGAAAATGTTTGCTGCAAACTATTCTTGCTTTTTAATTCTTGTTTTAAAAATATGAGACAGGGTCTGGCTATGTTGCTGAGACTGTGAGACTGGTCTCAAACTCCTGGGCTCAAGTGATCCCCCCAACTAAGCCTCCCTATTAGCTGGATTACAGGTGTGTGCCACCATGCCCGGCTACTTTTTAATTCTTTCTGGGGAGTAACTGGTCCCCCTTTCTGGGGGGGTAACTTCATTCTCATGAAGAATATTTTACATTTTGAAGTCCATCTGCAGCAACATGGGTGAATCTGGTGCACATTATGCTAAGTGAAATAAGCCAGTAATGAAAAGATATATATTACACGATCTCGCTTACATGTGGAATCTAAAAGTTGAACTCAAGCAGAGTAAAAGAAGGGATGCGGGTGGGGAGGTGTTGGTCAAAGGATACAAAACGTCAGTTAGATGGGAGGAATAAGCTCAGGAGATCTGTTGTATAACACGGTGATTATGGTTAATAACACTGTGTATGTTTGAAAATTATGAAGATGGTAGATTTTAAATGTTCTCACCACAAAAAACAGGTATGTGAGTTAATGGCTATGTTAATTAGCTTGATCTAGCCAGTCCACATGTATACATACATTAAAATATCATGTTTTATGTATGTATACCATAAACATATGACTTTTATCTGCCAATGAAAAATTAATTAAAATTTAAAATGTGATGGGGATGGGAGGTGAGATGGATGATGAATAGGAGGTGGGATAAGAAGGTCAGGTTACTTTTCCATGACCCAGAAAATGGCCTGGGATATTTTTCAGTCCTTAGATGTCCACTCCCCTTTCCTATGTCTGCCAGAGACTTCCAAGGTCATATATATTATCAGATGTAAATTGCCACCAGCTGAGACTTTAGATTTTTGAAACTCAAATATAAGCCCTGCTCTTCAGAGATGGACTCCATAAAAGCACTGAGTGAAGGCTGTAAAGAAACATCAAGAGCCTGGGCAACATAGCAACACTTTGTCTCTACAAGTAATTGTTAAAAATTAGCAGGGCATGGTGGTATGCCTGTCTGTCCCAGGGACCCAGAGGCTAAGGCAGGAGGATCACTTGAGCCCAGGCCATCGAGGCTGCAGTGAGCAGTGATCATGCCACTGTACTCCAACCTAGGCAATAGGTTGTCTCAAAAAAATAAAAAATAAAAAATAAAACACACACACGCACACACATCAGGCACTTGAATGCAAAGTAGACGTGCCCAGTTTGGGGACCAAGAAGGGGAGTATGAGGTATTAACGAGGACTTCATTTCGTAATGGCATTGCAGCACAAGAATGCATGGTTCTCCTGTTGGTTTTGATTGTGCTTATCAATTGGATTTATTAACCTCTTTTTTCGTAACAGTTCCATAACGTTTCCCTAATGCTTTTAGGGTCACATGAAGGTATGTCAAAGAGCCACGGGTTCTCCTCTCCTCTCTTTCATACTTAAGTTGGGATGGAGAAAGACCACCAACTCCAATGCCTGGATTCTAGAAGCTAATCAAGAGATTCCAAACAGTTGGTGGGGCTACAGAGGGCATGGACACTTCATGTGTGCTTATGAGGGACTGGGGAATGCACATGGATAATGTGACAGTGACTGTTTTTAGGAGCCCTAGGAAAGCACCGGGAAGGCTGTGAAAGATGGATGGCAGTAAAGGAGGTTGGGCACAGTGATCTTGTTCTGCACTAGACATCTAGTTCACTTGCAAAGTTGTGAACCTGTATGAGCCCATTCTCTCCTCGGGCTACATGGATAAGAATGTCTGTGGGTAGCTGTCTCCTCTTCTTCCTCTCCCCTCCCCCTCTGCCTTTAGTTAATTGCAGCTGTGGTCAAGGGACTGCAGCCAAAAGTCCCACAATGCACTCCTCCACAGGAAGTTCCCAAGATCTCTTCCTGAACAGGAAATTTCCTGTGGTCCAACAGACATTCCTCTCAGCGTTTATCACTCACATACATTTGTTTTGGCAGATACTGGGTCTTGGGTAAGAACAACAAGCAACGGTTGGAGGGAAAGCTACCTTAGAGAAAAAAATGCAGTTATTGTCAGGGGAAGAAAGTGTGACTGAATTAACTCCTATCTCCAAGGAAAACAAATACTAGCAAAATGGACTCAAGAGATCTGAAATGTGTGAGAATGTAAATACCACTCACACAGCTATGCAACACTAGGGATTTTATTTGTAACTCAAAGTGAAGGTAGGCAGGCTTTTTGGGGGCCAACTTCAAAGCATTTAGAAATACTCTTGTAAAATTTTCATTTTTATAAATGTCATGGCTACAGAGTGATTGAGATTTTACATTTTTTCTGCTGTTTCTTTATATATGTGCCCTAACGTAACTTATTTCCTCATTACAGAATCATTTCAATCTCTCCCACTTCTAGACACTAGCATTCCCCTTTCCTGAAGAGGAAAGAGCTACCCACGTGGCTCGCAAGCTAGTATTTCACATTTGTGTTGCTTCTCCATAGTGGAGTCTACACTTTCAGGGGCTCTAAGAGGTGGTATGAGAAAAATGTAAGTACTGGGGCATGACCAGCATGATTTTCCCTTGTAACTGGTCTTTCTGCCCCCGATCTTATAATCCATCCCTCAGCACATCACTTTCCTAAAATCCTTCAATGGCTGCCCACCAATTTGGAGGTCTTTACTTTTAATTTCCTTCATGGCCCAAATTAAACTTTCTCCTCTCCTAAGTCAACTGCTTCTCTTCTGTGGCGCAGTGACATGAAACACACTCCAATCACCCTACGTTCTAATTTGTTGGTTACTTATCTGTCTTCCCCAACGAATTACAAGTTCCTTGAGGTCAAGAACTATCTTATTTGTCTTTGGAATCCCAGTACAAAGGATTGTGCCTGATACATAATAGATAGTTGATAAGTTTTCCTTGGAAAGATAATCTCAAAATCTTATCCTTGTATGGTAATAAAAAACAAAGGAATTTCCTTTTGTTTCTATCATCACATTCCCAAATAAACCCATCACACAAAACTATCTTATATTATAAGCATTCTAGCAATCTAGTAACAACCTACAAGAACCACGGAACTAAAATCTTTTCCTTCAAATCACACAAACTTGGAATGTCCACTTTCTCTGGTATGAGAGATTTGTGCATACCATAAGTCCTATTTATTTTACTTGGGTTTTAGCTGCAGTGAGATGCTTGGCTGTCTGCCCCTACGGCCCAGAACCTTTCCAGTTAGGCTTACTTAACCCTCCTTTACTTTGAAGTTCAGCTCCACCCAGACTCCGGGACCAGGCCTACCCTTTATCAAGAGGAAGCTTGGGACCAGTGGTTCAGGGAACCAGTATTGAGTCACTCCTGCTGGCTTTTCTGTGCCCTTGTCTGCCACCTAAAAACAAGCCTTTGCTGTAATGGGATGCCTATCTTGGTTCCTACCCAGCTCTGTCTTCCAGTCCTTCTCAATAACAGAAGTCCTATGACCGAATCCCAGTCTCTGTGGCTGGATTTCTGCTCCTTGAGCTCTTTGTTTCTAAGGTTAATGCTGGATGCCAGCTCTCAACTGCCAACAGCCTGCCACCTTACCACATTCACCAACGACTGGCAGCCCTGGCCCTCCTCCCACTATCTGGTACTGAAACTTCCCTATGACCCTGACTCTGTGGGTACAGCCGAGGTTTTGGAACTGTGAATTTCTTAAAGAGAGTAACTTTTCATTTCTGTGTTCCCAGTGCCGGGACTATTGCTAGGTACACTGTCTGAATAAAAATAATGGTGTTTGAAAGAATGAATGGTCTCAAAATGGAGAGGCATGATTAGATCTGTTAGGGACATCATAGTAAAGGACCAACAAATTATTTCTGGGTTCTTTAGAGGAGAAAAAGAATCTTTCATTGAAGAAAGGACATCTAAATGCCTCTCGACAAGGAGATAAAGCTCTACTTTAAGAAATTACCCTAGGCCAGGCATGGTAGCTCATAGTGAGACCTTGTGTCTACAAAAATTTTAAAAATTAGCTGAGCATGGTGCGGCATGCTTGTGGTCCCACATACATGGGAAGCTCAGGTAGGAGGATTGCTTGAGCCCAGGAGGTGGAGGCTGCAGTGAGCCATGTTCATGCCACTGCACTCCAGCCTGGGTGACAGAGAGAGAACCTGTGTCAAAAATCAAAACACACACACACACAAAAAAAAAAAAAAGAAAAGGAAGAAATTATCCCTTAGTGCTATTCAATGTCTTAAAAGAAAGAGACAAGGAAAGTTTATAGAGAAGAAACCTGTCATTGCACAGCCTTGGTGTCCTTGATCGGCCCCACGCATGGACAGTGCACAGCGGAAGCTCTGGTTTCAGTGGTAGATGATGTATAAGAGTAAGAGGCGCCTTTAGGATGGCCAGTGTCTTTAATGCCCCTAAACACTTGGGAGGGCTGGCTGGTGGTTTCCACTATTTTATTTGTATCTCATTGGGTTGAGAGTCAGAAGGTCTGAGCTCCAACATTCACTCTGCCATTGACAAGCTTGATGACCCTGGACAAGTCATCTGTGTCTCCTCATCTGTTATGGGCTGTTGGAATGATAAATGGCACGAGGCTGCCACATTACAGGGTGAGTATGAATATGGCACATAACAGGTAAATACGAATCTTGGCCGAGGACCAGATGATGATTAATGCAATGTTGTTTTTTTCCTTTCCGGCAAGAAAAGGAAAAGCCTAAAGCTCGATCTACTTTCTTGTCTCAAATGCATCATAACTAGTCCTTTTCACTTAAGACTCACTCACAATGTACTTTCCTGCTTGACTGGACAGTGGCTGAACTGGAGGCTGAGGTGTCTGTATTTTATCTACGTCAAGTGAATGCTTCATTCAGAGGCAAAGGGAAAAATCTAAAGAATGTGGCCAAGGTAATTTGAGCTTCATCAGTGAGGGAATGGATTTGCTGTGACCACTCAGATCAAATTCATGATGTTATTTTGCTAGGCTTTTTGAAGCTGAGCTAACAGATAAGGGTGGCAGCCTCCTTCCTCCCCTCTTGGCTAACATTTACTGAGTCCTTGCTGTGTGACAGACACTGTACTAAGTGTTTTACATTTATATTTTCACTTATTTCTTCGAACCACCCTATGAAGTGGACACTATTCTTAACCCCATTTTATCTAGGTCTTTGGAGAGGTTAGGCAACCTTCCAAGTTGCTCAGAAGTAGGAAGTAGCAGAGCCGGAACTGGAATGTTATTGCCCACTGTACAATATTACCTTTCTGTATACCATGGAAACTGCACCTTGTTCTCTGGAATATGAATGGGTTTGGCCCATGCCTTCCATGGGTGGAGATGTAGTGGTGAAATCGATGTGGACAGAAGCCCTGGAGGGCACGCCAGTAAGTGACAAGCTGAACTTCCAAAGACTGCATGAATGGTTTTTAGGAAATCAATCATTAAAGTGCTACATAATCTATCATGGTTCCCAATGATGACTGAAATTGTTCACTTTGGCTCTATTGGCCTGGTTTCCTTGGAGGGTGCCCCTCCTCCATGCATCGTCCCCAAGGCCAGAACAGCTGGTGCTCTTTGCTAACTGGGCACCAGTTCCAAGGATAGGGAATCAGAGGCAGAATGTTTTGTGAGGAAGGCCCGGTGCTGGGGCACTCCGGCCACCAGCGGACTGACAGAGCCCCAAGCTCTTCAACTTCAGGGCTTTCTCTAAGTTATCCCAAGTTTAATATTTTAAGTATATTCTGCTTTAACCAAATAACAGTTCCTGCTTTATTTTTATAAATATTATATGCTGAGGTCCAATTTGAAGGAAGCAATCTTAGAAGTTAAAAGTAAGGCACAGATCCAGCTTACATTGAATGAAACAACTAAAAGCAAATATGCACATATGCCTTGTACTCTTAGACTATCCCTGAACAGACTTTAAAAATGGATTAGGCGAGTATCACAGTATTTGTGACTCTTACTAATGGCATGCCATGGACATCAGAGAAAGGCTGTTACGGTCAGTTCAACGGTCACAAAACAAGACATGTAAGATGAATTATTAAGTTTTGTGGGCAGTTACAACGGAAGTAGAGGACATGGTTCTTTACTTTGAAGTATTTACCACCAAATGAGAAAGAGAAAACAAATAAATGTATGCCTCAATGGCAAATCTCATTGATGTCTGCATGGAATGATAACTAGAGACTTTATTTCTGGGAACCACCAAGTAAAATAATGGTTTTCTCCTGCCAAAATGCAGACTTCTACTAATCCCCACAAATCTGAAATGACTGGTTTATCTTGCATAGCCATAAAAAATGGGCACTGATAGAGTATAAAAGGAAAATACCTCAAGAGATAAAAAACTCAGGTGCAAGGAAACCCACAGGTATGACAGTCAGGTGTCTTGCGTCAAGCTGACCTCTCTGCTCACTGAGTATCTCTCCCTTGATTCCACAGCTAGCACCAGGAGGCTATTTTTAATCACCAGGCTTCAGACAGCTGAGTCTAGTTAGAATAAGATCTCTGAGTACGGAGGCAGCAGAGAGGCGCCAAACGCCTGGAGCGTGCACTAGAAAACCTGCTTGTGCCCAAGCAGCTGAACTGAGAAAGAACACAGCCCTAAGATCACGGACCAGAATGGTCAAAATAGCCCCAGGTAAGGGTCAGGCAGAGGTCGGTTTCATAGGAAGCATCTTCCTTGTCTTTGAGCTTAGCCAATGTCCAGTTCCAAGAGCTATTTTAAGTGCACTCTTAAAGCTGCTTCTATCCTCACGCCCACACTAAGGTCCAGGATGGAGAGAGAGAAAGAGAGAGGCTGATTGATCGACTGGGCTTTACTGCTCCTTCTCTGACTTCCGTGGGTTCCCATTGTGCCTCTAAGAAAGCAGGATTCAGCGGGCGTCAGTGCTGTGGGCTATATTTATACCCATCCAGCTGCCCGGTTGCTGAGCTTTTCACATTTACAAACAGCAGGAGTACAAGACGCCTTCCAGAGGGACTATTTTCTCATGGTATTTATTCTAGATTTCTCTGGGATGATCTCAGCATTCATATCTTTTTGATGAAGAAAAAAAGAAAAAGGGGGAGGAAAATAAACAGTAGGTGGACACAGTTCTCTGCTGCTGAGGCAAGAGTATTTTCTTCTACACAAAAAAGGAGAACGCTGCCTTCCTGGCTTTCTTTGCCATGCAGCCAGGTTTATGCCTGGGAAATACAAGTAAGAGTCACATAGCGCTACGCAAGGTAACTAGGAGTACAGGCACCTACTCATCCTTGATCTTTCTTTCCTGCCTCCTGAGCGGCAAAACAGAGCACATATACTAAGAGAAGGGAGGCATCCCACCAGCTGTAGAGTCCGACCTGGGTTGAATCCTAGCTGATAGTGGTAGCCACTGTTCATCTGTGTGACCTTGTGACCTTAATTTACTGGAGTTCTCTGAACCTCATCTCTCCTAGTGGCCCCCAAACAGAGTGACCATTGGTTTTGAATGAGATGGTGTGTGGAAGGAACAGCATGGCTTTCTTTGTCTAATAACTAAAACATCTTCTATAACCTTGCCCAGTCCAGGACATAAAGTCCTATGGGCCAGGCACCTGTGGTAAGCAGCACCAGGCAATACAGCAACATGGTTAAATGAACAGGGGAGCTCCACCACTCATGAGCAAGCTTGCCGTTGGTGCCTCAGTTTCCTCATCTTAAATTGGAGGTAATAACAGAAACTTCTCAAAGGGCTCTTGGGAGGATAAAATGAGCTAGCAGATGTAAAGTGCTTAGGACAATATCTGCCACAGTTAGTGCTGGGTGAGCTTTAGCTATTATTACTGTACCAACTGAAAGCTCCGATATCAGTCACCATTGTTCCAACACTAGAGTATACAGAGAATATGTTAAGGTTTTTTTTTTTTTAAATTAAAGAACTATTCCTTAAAAACAGACATTAAAGCTTTAAAAATGTAAACATTAGTGGATGTGAATTTCGTCATTCTTCAGTTTTTCATCTCCCACCCCTCCCGTAGCCCCCTAACTAAAATTTCTGTTAAATTATTTTTCCAACACTGCTCTAGTTAAACAAGAAGTTGCTATTAATAAAGTAAGTTGCTCAAATAAAGTAACCATTTAGAACCTTCTGGGTTGCATACATGGAAATAAAACTTAATGCTTTTTATTTCCTCCTTTTTCTGCCCCTTAGCTCAGCTGCAAATAAGAATTGTTTGGTTTTACAGTAGATGAATGAAAATTGAACCCCATTAGCAAATGGGACCTGACACTGAAAGAGGATTAATTTTTTTTTTTTTTGAGATGGAATCTTGTTCTGTTGCCCAGGCTGAAGTGCAGTGGCACAATCTCAGCTCACTACAACCTCCACCTTCCGGGTTCAAGCAATTCTCCCACCTCAGCCTCCCGAGTACCTGGGATTACAGGCGTGCGCCACCACGCCTGGCTAATTTTTGTATTTTTAGTAGAGACAGGGTTTCACCATGTTGGCCAGACTGGTCTCGAACTCCTGACCTCATGATCCACCCACCTCGGCCTCCCAAAGTGCTGAGATTACAGGCGTGAGCCACCTCGCCTGGCCGAGGATTAATTTTTAAATGTAATCCGTCTCAGAGTTGTGTGGGTCCTATTCAGGATTTTGTCTAAAGTAAATTCTTAGCTAGCTCCGGCCAACACTTCAATGTCTGTCACTGGGAGAGCAGGAACAAAATGCACATCCACACCAGCCTCTTCTGCTCATCCTCCTATCCAGGTAAAATCTGACTGAAACAAAGGGGCAAAACATCATAAAGAAAGGGGGCAACATACTGCCTAAGTGTTCTGTACAGAAGGAGGGCCCAGCATAGTGCCTTGGTTTCCAGGTGTTCTATACATTTATACTACACGTGTATATTGATTTATCTATTTGCTGTGGATACAGGCTTTGCTTTTAGCCGCAGCTCTCAGAGCTGGCTCCTTGCTTCATCTTGCTGTCTTTCTAAATGACCATCAGTGATGTGTACGACCCTCCCAACGGGGTTCTCAAAATGTCTCACTTCTTCTCCAGAAAATGGAAGCTCTGTTTTGCTACTGCACCCACCCTGAAGATTAGTAGGCCCAAGGTGGGAAATGAAATCTTTTTTTTTAAACGACCACCAGGTGAATCTGTTGTGCAGCTGGGTTTGAGAAACATTAGATAAAACTCTTGGAAAATTTACAAGTATTATTAAAAAAAAACAGCATATAACAATATCAATGAACACTTATATAGTAGTATGTGTCAGTTATTATGTATTCACATATTGATGTCTTTATTGAATTAAAGGGGTCAGTGTAAAAACAAAAATATAACTATCTGGGTTCTATCCAGATTCTTCCATAGATTTCTTGTAACAAAGGAGATATAGCAATTTGTTTTCATCAACTGGACACGAATACAAAGCTACAACTACTTGTCCCTTATGCACGACCTTACAGGAATCTTTATGGGCCACACGTGTGACTCAAGTTGTACTGGTCTAAGGGTAAAAAGACTATCAATAGTGACAACAATTTCAATGGACAAAGAGCTTTCCTCCTGAGAAGCTCTAGTTTGACATACACATGAACACGTATTTTGGACAACATCCCTATGGCAGGAAGACTGTCAACATTCATCAGAGGAGGAAGTTAATTTTAGCTCTGTTCTCGTTCCCCCAAATCCTCTAAAGTAACAGTGAAGAGATTTTTAAGAAGGCACAAATCTACAAGGACAAAGACACCAGAAGAGATAAGGGGGTGGAGGGAGGGGAGAAAAAGAAAGAAAAACAAACCAGAAACTTGAAAGCAGAAGAACCGGTGGTAATTTACTTAGCAAACCCAAGAAAGCGGAATTCTAAACTCATAGTAAGGAAAGATGTGATATAACCAAATTCACATGGCAGAATCCGTGAAAGGATTGGGGACTGGTGTCACTAGTTACATGTGAAAATCTGGACAGTCGAGTCACGGCTCCTCCCCTACCATGGCAGATTAGAAGCTTAAGCTCTGGCCGGGCGCAATGGCTCACAGCTGCAATCCCAGCACTTTGGGAGGCCAAGGTGGGCAGATCACTTGAGGTCAGGGGTTCCAGACCCACATGCTGGCCAACATGGTGAAAGCCCGTCTCTACTAAAAATACAAAAATTAGCCGGGTGTGGTGGCGCGCGCCTGTGATCCCAGCTACTAGGGAGGCTGAGGCAGGAGAATCGCTTGAATCCAGGAGGTGAAGGTTGCAGTGAGCCAAGATTATGTTACTGCCCTCCAGCATGGGCAACAGATACTCTGTCTCAAAAAAAAAAAAAAAAAAAAGTTTATCCTCTGGTACCAAAATGACTAGGTGGAATTAACGGAAATTATATGAAAGATTAAAAGAACATGCATATGTTGACCACTGTGCTCACTGTGCCCCCTACCCCTTCTTCTCCCACTGTGCTCCTAGGAGGTTGGCAGCTAGAATCTACCCTCCAGGATGGCTACTAGAAGAGTCAACCATCTCTTGGGAATCTAAGCAGCCAAAGACAAAAGACCTGGAGATATTTACCCAATGGCATCCCAAGGAAATGTGTGGGCAGGCCACCCTAGAGAGCACGTTCACCCAGGCACGGAGAACTTGCCTTCAGTGCTTGAGGGGTCCATCAACTCTCAGAAATGGGCAGACATGCAGGGATCACCAGACGTTTGAGTATAGAAGGCAGACAGCAAAACAAAGACCAAAACCAGACAAAGGCAACGTGGGGAAAACAGACAACTCAGGGAAAGAAAAATATCATCCAGAGAGAAATAAGATATTGCAACTATGAAACAAAAACAAGATGCTATAATGAAGAACAAGTCGAACAAAAAAAGTACTTGAATATTAAAAGTATGATATCAGAAACAAAAAAAAAAGAAGTGCTGACAAAAAAGGTTGAGGAATCTCTCCAAGAGGAACTTAAAATATTAAGAGGTGAAAAATAAAGATAATTATTGGACCTACATCCTAATAATGGGAGTTCTGGAGAAAGAATGAAGAAAACAGGAGGACAGTTCCCAGAATGAAAGGAAATGAATATCCAGATTGAAAGAGCATCAGGATTAGCACAGACCCAGACTAAGGCACATTACTGTAAAACTGCAGAATCTGGGGAATAAAAAAATGCTTCCAGGGAACAATAAGTCAACAAACAAAGGTTTATGCAAAAGATTAAAGATCGGAATGGCATGGTCTTCTCAACAATGGCACTGAAAAAAAATGCAATGGAGTGCTACCTTCAAAATTCTGGGGGAAAATTACCCCATGTCTAAAATCATACAGTAAGACAAATAATCTATCAAGTATGAGGAAATAATCTATCAAGTATGAGGAAAGAAGAAAGACATTCTTCAGACACGCAAGGTCTCAATAAAGTTGCCTCCCCCCTACCCTTTCTCAGGAAGCTATTGGAAATTGTCCTCCATTAAGGCCAGAATTCAGGAAAGGGACTCACACCCGAAGGAGAGAAAAAGTGAACAAAGGTCATAGCTGGGCACCAAGCTGAAGCCCAGACCGAAGCAGGTAGAAGCTCTTGCTTCAAGGCTCATCACACCTATGGCATCTGAACTACTGAGAGGAGAGTGAGGCAGGGCGGATGAATTAGTGAAGGAGATAAAAAACCAAGTAAGAAGGACATTAAAACAAGAAATACGATCGTGGCTCACCCCTGTAATCCCAGCACTTTGGGAGGCTGAGGCGGGCGAATCGTGAGGTCAGGAGTTTGAGACTAGCCTGGCCAACATGGTGAAAACCCGTCTCTACTAAAAATACAAGAAATTAGCTGGGCATGGTGGCTGGCGCCTGTAATCCCAGCTACTCGGGAGGCTGAGGCAGGACAATCGCTTGAACCTGAGAGGCAGAGGTTGCAGTGAGCAGAGATCACACAACTGCACTCCAGTCCGGGCGACAATGTGAGCCTCTGTCTCAAAACAGCAACAACAACAACAAAAACAATAAATATACTATAAAAGCATCATTATCAACTCCAGGGAAAAAGAAAAGTGACTGGAAAAGAAGAACCATAAAAGAGTAGGTGACTCAGCTTCAAATGGCACTTATATAATCTTAATATGTAAACACTAAATTGTTCTGTCCAAAATTATGATTACGAGGATGCATCTATGGGAGGGGTTGGGGTAGGGGGAAGAAAGGACAAACTGTCATTTCCTACAGTGAAATAATGCTAGATAATATTTAGAAATGAAAAAAAAAAAAAAAAACCAATACAAGCACGTGATTTAAGAATTGGAGGAGGTGAATGACAAAAGAATCAGTTAAAAGATTTGAATGTGGTTGCCCTGGTGAGCAGGAAATCAAAAAGAAATCAAGAGTGAAGGGAGGGGAGTGGGGACATTGAAGGTGTTTGTAACAAGCCTTATACAACTGTTGGGTACTTTAAACTCCACACATCATAGTATCAGTAATTATAAGAACCAAATACAGTTATCAGAAGAGAAATGATGGCTCAGAGGAAAAGGGACTAAGAACTGAGTGCGCCAGATGCTAGGTTTCCTTTCTATTCAATTATACACATCCTCAAGAGCTCCATGACATTGCTATACTTCCTAGACCACTTTTTAACAGGTGGTGGTTCGTTTTTTTTAAAGGCAGAATTGCTGCGTTTGGTTACACACTGTGGAGGGGGAAAAAGGCCCAATTTGTGGGTGAAATATTAGTATAATTACCAGCCACATAAAAGTCTTATTAGTTCGAGATCTAAAAAAATATTTTGGAATGGTTTAGACCAATACTATGCAGTGTGACTATAGCCCTGTGCTAAACACATATTGCTGGAGTCCCTAATCCTATGGAAATGATGTCAAATGAACTGCCTGGGGACTAAGAAACAATTTATTCTTAGGCTTAATCTTTTAATGGGTATTTGTTAAAGAGATTCTTGCTTTGTTGGAGGGAAAGGCATGATGGATGAGGGCTGGACTCCTTGTAAATGTTTTCTTATTGTGCTTTACTCCCGTAATTAATGTACTTTTTTCCAGTAATACCAGGGCACTGGTGTGAAAGAAATCTGTTCAAGAATGAAAACAGATTGCTTACTGGGTCTTCTATAGGGAGGTTTCTCCTCTTTCCTTTTCTTCCTTGTATTCTTTTTAATATATTTTTGATTGGATTTGATACTGGGTGATACAACTTGGGCTTAGGGCTTTAGAAAACTGCTAATATTCTACACAATATTTTTGGCTTTGACCCAAAGCAGCAATGTCATAGACTCCATGTAAAAAAATCACTATGATCCCTTTGGCCATTTTTGGTAAAGGAAAGTATGCTGGCCTACTCCTAACTTGGCTACCTACTTGCTGTGTGATCTTGAACAAATGGCCTAACCTCTCTGACCCACCTTACTCACCTGCAAAACAAGGAGTGAGTCTCAGCCTTTTCACACCCAGAAATCTCTTACTCTAGAGCAGTACTCCCAATAGAAATGTTACCCATATAATGGAATTTAAAATATTTTAGTCCCCACAGTAAAGAGAAGTAAAAACACACAATCGACATCACTTTTAATAAAATATTTTATATAACCCAATGTATTGAAAATATCATTTAAACAGATAATCAATATAAATTAATGAAATATTCACTTTTTTATACTAAGTTTTTGAAATCTGATGTGTGGTTTACACTCACAGCGTAACTCAGTAAGGATCAGTCACATTCAAGTGCTTGAAAGCCGTATGTGGTGAGTGGCCATTATGTATTAGACAACAAAGCTATGACATTTTGAAAGATTCTGCTTACTCAAGAGCAGTTACTAGGAATAACTGATCCATTTTCACATTTATAACTCCAGCCATAAGCAGAGCAACCTCATGCTTCCACAGCTTGCTTAACCTTACAATATTGTCTCCAAATATAGAATTACCACGAGACATTTGAAATACTAAACTTGGCTCATGGGCCCCATTACTCTTTCAGACTCTTTGGGGTTTAGGGGGCATAATTGGACTAGATAACACCTTAGGGTCTTTTTCAGCTCTATCATTTAGTCATTTCAGCGTTTGATCACTGGCAACAGTATCAATTATGCAGGCACTTATCAGAGAAGAAAAAAAGCCAAGGATTTAAATAGGGAGTGGGTCATCTGCCCAGGGAGAGTACTAGAAGGGATTGGCATCTGCTCTCTTGATATGAGCCATTTCCCTCTAAGGTCATACTGCTCCTGACAGCTCTCATTAACCCTGAAAGCTGCAAAAGCAGCAAAAGGCATGGATGTATGCAAAGAATTAATGTATTTTAATGCTGGAAGAGTCTTTAGAAATCACCTGGCCCAATACTCTCCATGGCATCCTTCTCCAAGTGACTCGTTCAACATCACACATCTGTTTTGGGGTAGAACTACTATCCTGCCTCTTGACGCAGTCCTCTTCACTTACAACTTAAATCCCGCACATTAAAAATAAAAGACTCTCCTCTAGACATAAACTGAGGGTTCTCAAAATGCATCATATTTGATCAGAAATCCTATATTGATCCAGTGAGACTATGAGGACTAAATCTACAAATTATTTGTTTTTATTTTGGGATTATGTCAATTATATGTCCTATTTCCAGTTATTATATTTCATACTTATTCTGAATTAGCGTATATATATCTTTAATTAGGGAAAAGTGAAAAAAAAAACAAATTAAGTTGTACTTAATTGATAACAGATTTTGTGGTAGAGAAAATATTGCAAAACCTGAGATTCAGGCATGAAAAATATAATAAAAATGGAGACTTCATATGAAAAGACCAGAAATGATGGCGTCATACCATACTCCCCAAAGGAAGTAATATTGAGTGATGGTCAATGCATAAGGCCTGGAATAATCCCAAGAGTATTGAAAATGAAGGAATATTTTAAAAAAAACAAGAACCGTAGCCCGTCCTCAAATCCCTAGGACAGATTCCATCTTATACCTCCAAATCTTCCCTTCCTCCCAGGATATGTGGCCATTTTTTTTTGTAGCCAATGGCTAAATTATGCAATCAAACCTGCTAAAACAAGTGCCAAAATTAGATGCCAAGCACATAAGGCATGTTATTGGCAGTATCATTCCTCTGGTTCTCAAGTTTCCAGCTAACGCCAGTGTCCAGAGTTACTCAAGAGTTTAAGCTAGAGGATTGTGAAGGGTGTAGGCAACGTGACTAAAAAAAGATGCAAAGACTGACACGAACCAAATGCAAGGCTATTTGCTATACAAGGAGCCAAGAAATCAACTCCATGGCTTAGTGACATACTTCTACTCTGCAGAGGAAGATATGTGAAGCTTGTTGCAGCAAGTCTTTCCAAAAAGGCACACATGGAAATGAAAAAATAACATTAGCACTGCCATAATTCTCACTAATTATAACTGTAGAGGTGGTATTGGTGATAATGGAGATGGAAGAGCTTCATTCCCTAATTGATTCAACAAATACTTATTGAGTACCTCCTCACTGCAGGCATTGTTCTAGGCATCAGGGACACAGCAATGAACGAAACAGAAAAATCCCTGTTCTTGAGCTTACATCCTAGTCAGGAAATCAGGCACTAAGTAAATAAACAAGTAAAATATACACTGTGTCAAATGGTGATAAATGTTATAGAGGAAAAAATGTCATGGAAAGGGTATACAAGTGAAGGGGTGAGGTTTACTATGAAGACCTCACATTTCAGCAGATATCTCTGAAGGAGGGACGCAGTGGTTCAAGTATATATTTGGTAGAAGAGCATCCCAGCGAGCGAGGTCAGCAAGTGCAAAGGCCTGAGGTAGGAACATGCTTGGTACGGCCTGCCATCATGTCTTGCCAGACTTATTAAGAGATCCCTAACAGGCCTCTCTACTTTCACACTTCCCCCTCCTTTCTCCCACTCTCCCTCTTCCTATCCTCTACACAATAGCTAGAATGATTCCTTAAAATTCAAAGAGCATGTCAATCCATTGCTTACAATTCTCATTGGCAAATTATTAATACAAGCCAAAGTCCCGGCCAGGCGCAGTGGTTCATGCCTGTAATCCTAGCATTTTGGGAGGCTGCGGTAGGAGGATTGCTTGAGGCTGGGAGTTTGAGACCAGCCTGGGTAACATAGTGAGACCTCATTTCTACCAAAAAAAAAAAAAAAAAAAAAAAATTAGCAAGGCACGGGGTGCACACTTGTAGTTCCAGCTACTCTGGAGGCTGCGGCGGAAGGATCATGAGCCCAAGAGTTTGCGGCTGCAGTGAGCTATGATTACACCACTGCACTCCAGCCGAGGCAAGAGCCTGTCTCAGAAAATGACAAAAAACACAGTATCTTTACAGTGGCCTACAGCCTCCTCCCAAGTCCTCTTGCCCCACTCCTGTTTCCGAACTCCGCTCTTCCTCACTTGCCAATCACTTTAGACACATTTGCTTCCTCGCGTTCCTTTTAATACATCAAACACTTTCCCTCCTCAAGGTCTTTATTGTTGTTTGTGCTTGGAATACTTTGAACTCACATAGTCACATGGCTTGCTCCTCCTGTGTTAAATTCTGTATCTTTTTTTTTTTTTTTTTGAGATGGAGTCTCGCTGTGTCACCCAGGCGCGAGTGCAGTGGCGTGATCTCGGCTCACTGCAACCTCCGCCTCCAGGGTTCAAGCAATCTTCCCACCTCAGCCTCCCAGGTTCAAGTGATTCTCCTGCCTTAGCCTCCTGAGTAGTGGATTACAGGCGGGTGCCACCACGCCCAGCTAATTTTGTATTTTTAGTGAAGACGGGGTTTCAACATGTTGGCCAGGCTGGTCTCGAACTCCTGATCTCAAGTGATCCGCCCACCTTGGCCTCCCAAAGTGCTGGGATTACAGGCATGAGCCACTGTGCCTGGCCTGTATCTTGATAGTTTAGAACACACTTGGCACATAGCAGGTGCTCAGTTAATATTTCCTGAAAGAATGGGTCTCACCATCTCCTTTCACCCCTCCTACACTACGGTGTTGAGCAGCACAGGGGGAAACCACACAGACAGACAAATTAGTATCAATACAAACTCCAGGCCTCCCACTGGGAGGCGATGCCACGCGGTGGGGGGACCCCAGCTTGGCTCAATCAGGCACTCTCCCATTTCCTTCACTGCCACCTCCTGTATCTTTGGCTTCTCAGGCAAAACAAACAAACAAACAAACAAAAAAACAACCAACCACAAACAAAAAGGCTGTGAAGTGGGAGTTTCCACAAGTTATGAAGCCTGCCCCCATACAAACAACTGTCTTATGTTCACACACACCTTTCCTCTGATTTCAGTGTAACAAGTGTCCATCTTTCCATTGAAAATGAAATAATACCTCCATTTTTACTTTGCCTCTTATTTTTTCTCACTTCTACAAGGACTCTGTTCCATAAATCACCCCATATTTCTCCTTTATTTTCAACTCTCTGATTCTTACCAACAATTCTACATGGCTAAATACCGTCCATTAAATAAACAAAACAAAAGCAAAAACCTCCCTTCACCCGCTGTTGCCTTCCAGATCCTATCTTTTCTCTCGATTCCAATCCAGTAAGAGAGTCATCTATAATCACTTTCTTCCACATTTCAACCCACAGCAATCAGGTTTCCACCTGCCTCTCCCCGCCACAGAAATTGTGCTTACTGGGTCACTGATGACTTCCCTACTTGGAAAAGCCAAAGACACCTTCAGTCCTCATCTTACCTGAATTCTATGCAGCATCTGATTGGGCAGGATCATTCTTTCCTTCCTGAAATTCTCCTTCCTTGATCTCTGTGATTTCCCTCCTGTCTCTCTGGGGAGCCCTCTTATAGGCTCTTCCTTCTCGTCTTGCCACTCTAGATAATGGGCTCCACGGAGACTTGTCTTTTCTGCTTCCCATCCCTTGCTCCTCATCTGATCTGCCACTCACCTTGCCCAATCAATCTGCTTAATCACTTGAATGTTTCTCTTTCACTCCATCTCTCTGACACTGCTTTGGCTTGTACTTATTTTTTTCTCACCTAGATCATTGCTACAGCTGCTACCTACAAAAGCCTTCTGAACACACATCCCTTCTCTCCCCTATTTAAACTTCCAGCACAAAATCTAAACTCCTTAGCATGGCATACCCTAGTCATCTTTTCTTCTTTAGCCAGTCAATAGATGTATACTTATAATACATATACCTCCCATATTTTTCTTAAACATGGAAACAATTTAATTGCATTTCTTCTGTCAACACACCTGAGGTTATCTTATAAATCATTTTACACTCATACAAACCAAGGTGTTATAGTTCTAAATTACTTTTTGAGAATTAAAAAATTCAGAGAGAAATAGGACATAACCAAGCAAGAGTGTCTCACTCTGTAGTCAATACCTTGCACATCTACATAACAGACTGACTCCAAGCATTTCCCAGTGATTCCCCAATCCCTCTGTCTTTCCACATTAGTGAACATCCTACAAAGCCAATTTTAAAATGAAAAACAAAATATGAGCCTATTATTACAAATGTGCAGTCGCAGAAAACACAAATGCACACATACTGTGTGAGTAAAATAAAAAACACACTGTCTCTTAATAATAAAATGTTTAACATTTCACATTTCAGATAACGTTTCAGCTGTCTTTCCAGGTTAAAAACTCCTCTCAGACAAAAACAAAAAGTCTTCTTTTCTCTCTTAAAATCACCGAGAGTAGATACATTGATTAACAACAGTTTAACAAACTGTTAAACTACCACTGACCCACGAAGATTGTTCACATCTACCACTGACCCAAGAAGATGTCTTGCCTAAGCTGAAGTAGAAGGTTTTAGATTTGCCATGAGTAGACGAGTAAAGTGAAAGAGGGTACTTGGTAAAGATTTTACAGAGAGCCAAGCAGTGCATCTGATTTCAGCAAATAACTTGACAGTCTATCCTGACTTTTTCTTATGGGTTAGGCTGACAGTCAATTGATATGTAGTACCATTGTGCATATTTGCAAAAATGATAATGTGTCATTTATGGCATATGGCAGCAAAGAGATTTATTTGCCAGAAAACATAATCACAATATACTTGTTAACTATAAAGTTAACTTTATAGTTTTAAAACTATGCCTACCTGGAAGGCAGTCTCTAGCGGTATGCCACAGGGATCTTTCACAGGTCCCGTCCCATTCAATCTTTTTCCCTTCCAAATAATTAACATAAAGGTACAGAGAAAGTACTCATCTAATATAGAAGCCATAAAGTAGGAAAGAGGAGTTTATAGAAGGGATGATAGGCATTACCTCAGCCAACTTAAATAAAACGTAATAGGGTTAAATGTAAAGGCATATATTTTAAGTTTAAAAAATCCACAAAAGAAGAGTTCTGACTTTGGCTATAGTCCAAGTAAAAACGATCAATGTGAATACAACACAAATATTAAAATGCTAACATAACCTTTTGTTGCATTAATAAAATAACTGCCTATCCATTCAGCAATTAGTTTGCACATATTAGACGAAAAATACTGTTAAAGTAACTGTTTCATTTTGGGTAAATGGCAAAGCTGAGCATCAAATCCATATCTGATTCCAAAGTTCTGTCTCTAGACTTAATGTAGAAAGAATACACCCTATCTGGTTTCACATGGCAAAACTAGAACCAAGAGCAAAGTGACAGTGAGGTGAGTTTCAACTCTATTTTTCACATCTAGCACCATCCAAGAACGGGACGAAAAGGGGGCAGGGAAGTACTTCCCACTGAATACACACAAGCAGGGGAGGACTGTCCTGCTATCTCTGGGATGCTAAAGAGACAGTCGTGACGTGGATGACAAGTTGAAATATATCATCTCTGAGGTCCTTCACAATTCTTAGACTCATCGATCTTTATGAGAAATTATTAAAGGCAATTGAAAAATAAACACTTCCTAAGAGTTGGACATTGTACATATTAAACCAGCCTCATGTTTTTCTTAAAGCAGGGGTTTACTGTTGTATCATGAGGCAAGTTTCCTAGCATGCAAACAGAATTAGGAAACAAAACTCATTGAGATTTGCATAGTTTGCTAACATCTTGTACCTGTAACTGAAAGTAGGGGGAAACCCAAGCTGTTCACCTTTGGTGTGCTGATCTGGGGGAATGCAGATGTGGAACTGCTTAACTTCGCCATGAAGAAAGCTTCCACAGGACGTAAGAACAAGATGAAACACACTGCTATACAGTAACTTACAATCATCTACTAGACTTCTATATTTTTGTCTGCTCAGCATCCACATACCGCATGTGGGGGAATCCCAAGATTGGCAGAGCTTTCTCCCCTGTTCCCTGGAACATAACCTGGACTCAGCCAATTAGATGCACTTGCCACAGTGTTTGAGTCTTAAGGGAGTGACCAATTCCCCAGGGATGGTGAGATGTTATTTATGGCAGAGGTGCTAGTCTCACGAATTCATGTGTCCACTGGCAGCCGAGCTGTGGTGGCATCCTAATAAAACTGTCCTTATGGCTCCATCTCAGCTAAGCTCCGGGCTGCCAAGTATCCTTTTGCTTCTGCTACCTTATCAGCCAATGAGCTGCCCAATATACCTCCAATAAAAGCTTTTTTTTTCTCTGTGATTAAGTTGTTCAGAGCTTTTTGTTGTTATTTGCAAGGAAGAACTGGTATACTTCTAAAGTGTTACACCACAGAATGAATTTAGGTGAATATTTGCTGTTGTCCCAGGGCAGTAAAAAAGGATACAGGCTACTGAACCTAAAACCTATTCTAATATAAACCCCAAATTTTCTTCTAAAAGGCTGGCAACCCAAGTGACAGATATTAATATAATCTCAACTTAAAAAAACAAAAACAGCTACATCTATCAAACTAGAGGTTGTAACAGTTACAGTTCTATGAATATACTGTGTAATAAATTAAAACTTTCAGACTGGGTCATTTATTCAGCACATACTTAGTGGAAGCCTTCTCTGTACCAGAAAGAGAGAAAAGGAATGGTTTCTAATTAACTCTTTTGTTTTTCAGCATCTGTGTGAAAGCAGAGAAGGCTAAAGGTAGAGCGTGTGTGAAAAATATGGGCAAAACCTTTTAAAAAGTCATGTCATCTATTTGTAATTGCATAAAGCTTTATTTCTTGTAAATTTTATCAGCTCATTTAATTACACAGCACACTAGGCAAATGCAGAAGGGAATGAATGGTTACTTCTCAGCAATTCTCTTCACACTTTTTATCTCTGTAAAGAAGGATTCTCATCATGCACTGAACAGTCACAGTGAGCACCGTCTATACCAACCAATTTTCTAATAAAAACTTGGCTATCTGGAAAAGCTCTGAAATGAACCATTCTAGAGATCCAAGTTTTCCAGGGTACCATACTAAGCACCAAAGGTTATTTCAGTGATTATTTTAACAACTCTAGGGGAATTTTTCTACATTATATATTTTCCTTCTGGCAGAAAAGAGAAAAATAGCAGGCAGCCAAATGGTTGCGTCACTTGAACTATGTCATTTCAATCCTGGAAATATTTCTGTCTTGATTCCCTAGGTAGAAAAGTGGGCCTCGGTATGGAGGCTATTTTTAGAGTCTGACTTCTTTTTTGAGCAATCCATTCCTTTCTTGACGTGAATGATTACCAAGTCTAGCTTTGAACTACAGTTTCAGATCAGAAATAAGCACATCACAGGAAAAGTCAAAGGAGTTTCAAGTTTTTAAGATGGGAACTGAACAAATTCAGTACTGAGTTCTGGGGAAGGGCTTGTGTGCTCAATTTCTGCCAAATATATTTGCTGCAGTGATCCTCTAAGAACCATAAAAAGTACAAGCTGTAAAAGAGCAAATCATTTCTAAAATGATGAAAGGCTGAGTTTTAAAAGAGGACTTATTCGGGAAAGCATGCACAAATATACGCAGAGACGCACGTGTGCATCCACAAAGAGAGAAGTCAACAGGCTCAACTTGTATGTTTGGTCGAAGCCCAAATCTATGAAAAAATAGAGCAAAGCATTTAATCTGGCTCTGAAGTATTCAGGGCCTAGATATAGGAAGGACAAAAGCCACGCTAGTATCTACTTACAATGTAAATCTGGTTTTGGTTGTTTGCGAGATAAAATAACCACCAACCCAAGTCTGACAGTTTGACAGTGTTCAAGAAGCTACAATAAGGGGGCAGCCCTAGGGCTGTATCACTTGAGCAATCAGTTTTACAAACGAATAATGTGTCTAATCCTCTAAGGCCTTTTATCCTGAAATCACTCACACGGAGGGCTCCAATCTTAAAGAAAGAACTTAGCTTTTATATAAACCATGCAATACAAGCCCAGTGTACATAACTGGACTAATTTAATGGTGTTTGAAAGAAGAGTGATTTTTTTTTTAAGAAAGAAAAACTAAGAGCTCTATGGCTCAACAAGGGAGTTACCTTTCTCTTCCTCCAATAAGGCATCAAAGTTTCAGGCAGAGTTGGGAATGATCTACCCTCCACAAGGAAAAGGCAGCAGGACATCCACATAGGTTTTCACTCAGTGCCTCAGCCTGCTTCTTCTGGTTTGATTCAACACGCATATATTGAGAGCATCAGGCACTATACCCAGCCCCAGGAATCTCAGATGGTTACAAGAAAACACTGCCTTCCAGGAACTCAGGATGAGCACCAGCCAGGCCTCATTTTCTGGGAAAAAAGTTTCTTCTAGGGACACCTCTCCTCAAGTGGCTCACAACAGACAGGGCTATATTAAACACAGGAGTGTGTGTGTGTGCACACGCGTGTGCGCTCGCCAGGCTGCCCAGGAAGGCGCTGTCATTCACGGAGGACCTGCCACGTGCCAGATGCTGGACAGGGCCCTTCATAAGCAGTAACTCTTGTAACCTCACAATAACTGCATGAGATAAGCATCGTGATTCCCCTTTTTAGGGATGAGGAAACTGCGACCCTGAGACATCTAGTCCTGCAGTAGGCTCCAAAGCCGGTGCATTTTCTGCTATTTGACATGGCTTGCTCTGAGAACAGAGAAGTTCCAGGTCACGTAGGTGAGATCCACCCATTCATAAATGCTTAAGAACCATCCAGGGTGAGCCGAGTCCTGCTGTGTGCTGGGGGAATGCACTGGTGATCAATCTGGCACAGTCCCAGCTCTTGGGCTTCAGTGGTGAGGATAAACTGGGAACCTGTGTTAAGGGAAGTTGAGAGCACCTTGGAAGCCCATTGGAGGTGCTGGTGAGTCTTCTGTAAAGCCTGGCATGAATAAATGGCTTAAACTGGGGCCAAAAGGATGAACTAGAATTACAGGGAATTAATCTTGCTAGGGTGGGGGGTGGAGGTGGGTCAGGGGGAAGGGTTTGGAATGAAGAAGTGTGTTGTAGCCAGAAGAAAGAGGCGAGAGAATGTGATCAGCATGGGAAATGGGAAAGGCCCAGTACAGCTGGTGCATTTATCCTACTTACAGCAGGAAGACAAGGAGGGGTTTTAAGCGCAGGTGGGGAGGGGACAATGGAAAATGCACGCCCAGATTTGCATTTTGACACAATAAATCTAGGTGCAAGCTGCTGGGTACAGAAGTGACCCACTACGCCCTGATGGACAGAAATAATCCTGGGCAATGCCAGAAGAAAAAAAAAACAAAAAAACTCCACAGTAAAGAGAAAGAAATTCTACCCACAATCCTTCTACCTAGAGATAACCACAATAACTATTTTCCTCCATAGCCTTTTGGTTTATTTTTATGGATTAAAAACAATTGAGATGACTCTGAAGAGAGAGATTTGTACCCTGCCTTTTCAATTATATTATATGAGCATTTAAAAAACGTGATTTTTTTTTTTTTTTTTTTTTTTGACACGGAGTCTCACTCTGTCACCCAGGCTGGAGTGCAGTGGCGCTATCTCGGCTCACTGCAAGCTCCGCCTCCCAGGTTCACGCCATTCTCCTGCCTCAGCCTCCCGAGTAGCTGGGACTACAGGCACCTGCCACCACGCCTGGCTAATTTTTTAAATATTTTTAGCAGAGACGGGGTTTCACTGTGTTAGCCAGGATGGTCGCAGTCTCCTGACCTTGTGATCCACCCGCCTTGGCCTCCCAAAGTGCTGGGATTACAGGCGTGAGCCACTGCGCCCGGCCTAAAAAATGTGATTTTTAATTAGTGCATAATAGTCCCACATAATGACCTGCCTTAATTTATTGAACCTTGCTGGTGGTGGCCTCTGCTGCTCTGCAGAACCATGTGTAAGAAGGTTTGTCAGCATCGGAGAGTGTTCCCTAGGGATGGGTTATTAGAAAAGGAATTAGTGAGCCAAAGAGCAAAAGTGTTTTCAGGTCCTTTACCCATATTGCTGAAGTGCTTCCATAAAAGTTATGCTCACTGGATTATATTTTTGTTCTGCGGCTGCTGGTGATTTTTCATTTCACTTCCATATGTAGCCTCCCATGTGAAGTGCTGAACGTTTGGAGTGACCAGGTGTGTCAGATAGAAAGAATGTGTCCATCTCCTCATAGCTACATGTGTATTGAAAATTAACATTTAAAAAATTCTGGCTGGGTGTGGTGGCTCATGCCTTTTATCCCAGCACTTTGGGCGGCCACAGCAGGAGGATAGCTTGAGGCCAGGACTTGGAGACCAGCCTGGGAAACATAGCATGATACTGTCTCTACAAAAAGAAAAAAAAAAAAATTCCCTGCCAGTTCAAAAAACAAAAACTGATATTTTATTATTCTAAAAATCAACATTTCTAGTATTTGTTGGTATTTATTCTTTGGTGAGTTATTTAATTTAATGATTGAGCCAAGGTGTAAGTCAGGTCTCCATACTGGGACATTTTTAATGCTGCTGTGACGGGCTTTAGCATAGCACAATGTCCCGCATCCTCATCAAAACATCACTGAGGATTCACGTTCAGTGTAAAGAATCAATTCTATCACCCCAAAACCTCCCTGGGCTTAGTCTTGAGCCCCTCTTTCCACATAACCGTGAGCTCCCAGGCTAAATCTTGAAATGCCACTGCTGGTGACTCTTACAAATCCGGGGCTGGTAATAATCACCATCAAGCACAATTAGCAGGCTTGATGCCTGGCACTGTGGTAGACATGGTGTAAGGTGGATGAAATGGGTCTCTAGAACTTTAGAAATGCTGGTGAGACTGAAAATACCAGGTTAGACAGACCCAAAGAGCCACATGAAACAAAAACAGATCAGCACAGTGAAGCAATCAATAACATATTGACGTGTATGGAAAATAGTAATAACTTGGTGCTCAGTGCAGGGAACCCTCGCTGTCTCAGTGACTGCTCAGAAACCACTTCTTGGATGCGCTGCTTGTATGGTTTATCACGTTCCCTGGCCCTTCGGCAGCTCACCCGACAGGAAAACTTATAAATGTGGACTCAGTGTGAGCAATGACCTGAGCAAAGACCTGAAACTAAAGCAGTGATGGCGCCTTCTGCACACATCTGGTGGGGTAGGTGGAGTCTCCCCTCTAGATTGTAAATTCCACGGATTAACAAGAAAAGCGTCTGTTCTTGTCTACCACGGTATTCACAGTGCCTAGCAGCTATGTGGTTGATCACAGGTGCTCAGTTAATATTTGCTGAAGATGTAAATACAAAATTACCCTAAAGACATTTTAATGAATAATAAAGACAGCAGTGTCTGTATTTGACTTATGGTTTAACCCCAGCACTCATCACAAGGCCTGCCACTAAATAAGACTGGTAAACGTTTGTTGTGAATAGTTAAGTTTTTTTCCACAGTCCACTTTCTAGGATTAGAATCTGTGTGAGGGAGGCTGCAATACAACATCAGCTTCCCTGGTTTCTGCCATCAGTTCTGCTGCCGCCATCCAGTCATCTTCCTGAGGCCACAGTCCTAGGGACATCGGCTTTACCCTTCAATAGCCCAGCTTTTTCCTTTACTCCCAATTATTAACAGTGAAATTCTCAAACCACAGTTTTGACTGCGGAAAGCAAACTCATCACTGGTTCAAAGCTTCTTCCAAGGCTGAAACCATACAGAGACAGAGAATTACAAATACAGCACACAGAGGGCGTCTAGCCACACACAAGTCTGCAGAGATCGTGTTTTTATGCCCAGAGTTCCTGATTAGAGACATTCAGCTGAATAATGATCCACACATAGCAAGAGGAAGGTCTGATCCCCTTGTCCTGCCTGACCCCGGGGCTACGGTCCCTCTGCTGCATAAACTCAGAATTCCTGGGGGACATCTAAAGCAGTACCCTCTGTCATTCAGAGACCAGCTAACAAGTTGCTGGTTGTTCATTTTCTCCAAGTTCCTTCAAGGAGCAGTTTTGATGTGGTCCTCAGTACCGTGGCTGGCGTGCAGGCATGTATTTTACCAGCTTGATTGTGCTAGAAAAGGTGGTTAGCTGAAACAGGTTTACAGGTAACATACTTCAGACAGACTATGAGTTTTATATAATCTTTTGTGAGCCAAATGAAAACCTGGGCACCATTTATTTACATTTGTTTATTCCTCTTGGGAGGAGGGAAAGGTGCTTCGGGAGCCAACAAAGTTCTGGAACACAGACACTAAGGTATAGCTCATGCTTGTTATATCACATCCCTACAGGACCTAGGACAGGCAGGTGTGCAGGGCACTTTAACTGATGACATGAAGGCAGAGTCCATAGTCTCTTCACCTACATCCAGCCTTTGACTTTCTGAATTCTTCTCTCTGCACAAGCCCCAGTATTCTAACTGCAGACTCTCTTGCGTGGTTAACACACAGGATCTCTGTGCAGTTCCCTAGGTGGTGGGGCTGTTGTCAGGCCAAAATGAAATCCAGGCAGTTTGTTGACCAGGAAGAACATTGCTCAACCGTGGACCTGAAACTGCTCAGAACCTTCTCAACTCGCCCTCCTTTCTCATTTAACTCTCCTCCTTTCCTTAAAAGCAAAAACAAGATGAACAAATAAGCACCTCTCCTTTTCCTCCCCTTTCTGAGATCTGCCAACTTCCTCTTCCATGGGCCTTGTGGTTGGGTCTTGCTCCCAACGGTCTCTCAAACCCTCAGCCGGCTGAGCTCCAGGTCCGCCCTCAGTTGTGTGATGGCAACAGCCAGTCTCTGCCCGCTTCACTCTCTCTCTCTTCTCTGTGGCAGCACCCAGGAGACGGAGGAGGGCAGATGCCAGCCAGCGCAGCAGCAGGCAGCACTGCATTTCCCCAATGTTCAGGTCCACCACATCGGGTGATGCCTCCACAATGGCATTTGCAACGCAGCCCTGTGGAAGGGAGTTCCAGGAGAACCTCAGCTTCAGAGGACCGCCTTCCCAGACTTGGGGTAGACAGTCTAGGGTCTGTTTATGTTTTCCAAGATACCAAGTATAGTCCTCTTACAAATATGTGCACTGTTTTCCTCAACTGCCTTCATTTTCCTACCAGAACCCTGCTTATTTCTGAAAGTCTTTCCAGCCAGGCCATGAGAAAAGTGCTTCAAACACCTTGGACTGAGCCATGGATAAAGTCTCCTTCAAAGGGGTTCACAGCTATCATGGATCTCTTCCTTATAAGCAGAATAAACAATTTAAACTAGCGGATTACAATAAAATAATGTGTATTTATATTTGAACCAGACAGTGCCAATGTTCTGAAACTGGAATTTCACAATAAGGAAACCATGTTCTCAAATTCAACCTCTCCATCTTGTTCATTCCGACATCATGTCAAGAGCTTTTGCATTTTCCATTCAGTCTCACTGTAGTTGAGACTTGAGCAGAAAGATTTTTAATTAAAAAAAAATTTATATATATATATATGGCTCTTTGAGCTCTTGCTGAATTAAAAAAAATTCTTTATACCAACAAAGTAAACTTAAGACAAAAAGGTGACAAGGCAATAAGATCAAGATTTCATTTTTTTTTTTTTTTTTTTTGAGATGGAGTCTCACTCTGTCACTAAGCTGGAATGTAGTGGTGCAATCTCGGCTCACGGCAAGCTCTGCCTCCCGGGTTCACGCCATTCTCCTGCCTCAGCCTCCCGAGTAGCTGGGACTACAGGTGTCCGCCACCACACCCAGCTAATTTTTTGTATTTTTAGTAGAGACGGGCTTTCACCATGTTAGCCAGGATGGTCTGGATCTCCTGACCTTGTGACCCACCTGCCTCGGCCTCCCAAAGTGCTGGGATTACAGGCATGAGCCACTGCACCTGGCCAAGATTTTTCATACTTCAATCCTGATCTTGGACCTTCCCGAGACCAATCTTAGAAACAGCTTTATGGTATGAGCAATCTAAAGATCTTCCAACATCATGATTCTAAAATAAAAATTTTAGGCTTTTGTTGATTGAAGGTAGACCAGAGAGAATCACAAGGAAAGTTTAAATGGAGCATTACCATTCTTAGTTGTTCTTTTAATCATGCAGAATGGTGAACAGACGCTCTGACTTGGTGGTGGAAGAGAACTGCTAGTTTGTTTTAGTCAATATCAAGTCCATAGCTGACTTTTAGAGGAAATATGCAATCAATTACTTCCTTGACTCAGTGTAGTTTAACTCCCCTATACCCCAAAGATTAAACTCCTTAGAAATTTTGGGTGGGGAAACTGGTTTCCTTCAAATGTACACAACAGAAACCATCACCCCATCAATCAAACAAAGAATCTCATTTCAGAGTCTATCCAAGGCCAGGCATGGGCACAGACCTGATCACTGAAAACCATCTTTACTATTCGGACACCTTTGACTGTTGAGTCATAAGGTTTCCCAGGGAAGAGGTTCATGAAATTACCGAACTATATCACTGTTCTTCTGAATTCAAAAACATTCTCTTGTGGTTTAAGATAAACAGTGATCTCTGAGTCTTTCTGCAAACTAATAACCTTTTGCAACCAAGGTTCCAGAAAAATTAACCCCTCTGTTGGCTGCCTAGCTTCCAGATGTTGGTTGTTATGCTCAGAGATTAAGCTTTAACAGAGATGAATCACACCTTCTACTTTTTAGGTGTCTGAAAGTTTTTATACACATGATCACAACATTATCATACCTTTGATGGTGTAGGAAAAGGCACACTGTATTATATTTAGTCATCTACCTTTCCTACTGCTGATGTATCATACTAAGGGCTTTCAATATAATTGGATGATTGACCATCAGCACTGGTGGGAATTTGAGAATCTGGAAAATAAGAACCTGCGAGGTGATTTCCTCATATCACAGTGTCAGAGCTGGGTCTGGAGGCCAGGCTTCCTGACTCCAAGTTACATTCTTGCTCCACTGCAATATAGTTCTTTGCTATGCAAGTCTGATTAAACTTTGTATGAATTTAGTTGAAATCTGAGAGAACACTGCATTCTCAGAAGAGTCTTGGTTTACTCAGAGGGACCCAAGTGGTTAAATAGGACATGGTGTTGGTTATATGAACTGAAACTTCACGGCCAGAATTCTACAGGGAAGGGGAGTGTGGATCCATATTTCTTGATTTCTTCCTATTTGCTGTGAGGATCCACTTTCTCATGGGAACCTGAAGCTCTTAGTGTAGAGTTGTCATTGGCGCCATGTTGATCCGTTACCATGGAGATCACTCTGGTAACATACAAACCTGCCACCAGTCCAGACACACAAGTATCTCATTCTGACTCCCAGAAGGGTTTCTCTACCCCCACTCCCACCAGTTTGAAGTTTATCTCTGCTGAGATTTAGCTCCAAAGTATTTAGAGTTTGACTTTTAAATATCATTAAAAGTATGACTACTCAGACAAAGTGGGAGATACTGAAAAGGTGTCTCAAGATTTTAAAGCAACAAAGTTGACACACAGCAATGGCTCCCTAGGTTAGAGTTACAGACTCAGTTCTTACATTAGTTGACCAAAGAAACAAAATTACAGTGTGGAGTGGGACACCACTGAAATCACTGCCTACCCTACCTCTTATTGATATCTGCAATGCACTATTTTTGACACAATATCTTGCTCATCACGGTAAGCTGTAAAATGTGAAAGCACTGCTCAATGTTAATACCTACAAAGTCCTGCTATGTTTTCAGACACTGGAGTTCCTATATATGGCAGGTCAATGGCAATGCTGTCACAACCAGTCTCTAATGGGAGACAAATAGACTAGATGTTGGTCACAAGTTAAAGCATGTCAAAATCACTAGGCAAGGCCATTGGATCAACCATGAGGGTGCCTCAGAGCCATTGCATAGGCATTTTTCCTTTTTTTTTTTAAGAGATGGGGTCTTGCTCTGTTGTTCAGGCTGGAGTGCAGTGGCACAATCATGGCTCACTGCAGCCTTGAACTCATGGGATCAAGCAATCCTCCTGCCTCAGTCTCCTGAATAACTGGGACCACAGGCACGTGCTGTTACTTACTCATTAGCCGTGACTTATTCTTTATTCACGGAAGTCAAAAAGGCATTCTTTCTCAAGCATCAAAAAGGCTACATTTGTGCATGGGTCCCTGACACCTTTCTAGAAGAAGGTTTATTTTAATTTCCTCCAAATCCTAAGGTTATTGGAAGATAAGTAGAGGAAGGGAAGGAGGAAGGGCCTAACAAAACAAGTCTAGCATCCGGTTGACAGTGGCTAGATATGACCCTCTCTGTCAGGAATTCCAGAAGTCACAGAAGGAAGGCTGCAACCGCCATACTTATGTTCAGAACCCCCAGGCTTCAGGATGGGCCTGGATCACATGGGGACAGAAAGTTATCTGGCTTCCTTTAACATGGGCATAGGCAACCCAGCATCTAGTAAGCGTGAGGTAAGTGAAGGAGGGGGAACTTCCTTCCTCTGAATGCCCATCCTGAAACCCGGGCCACGGCCTCAGTCACACAGAGTCTTGGTGGTGCAGGGAAACTGTCAGGCACGTGAGAAGGCACTGTCACCTCCCAATATCCAAAGCAAGGCCTGATGGTCTACTGGGGCTCTCAAGGCCAACGAGGCTTGTTCCTTTTCCCCAGAGCTGTTTCCTTGCATTTTCCTGATTACCAGCACCTGTGTCTGAAGAGCAACGGCTATGAAGAAGATGATATAACTCAAACTTACTTATGAGCAACTTTCTACCTTTTTTTTGATTGAAAGGAAAGGATGGTGAATTCCATCCACCTGTCAGTCATCTTGCCCCGGTGACAGCCTGTTCAGCCTGTGACTCCTCTGTCTGTACCATCCTCCTCTTATCGTATTCTTCTCCCGTGCCACCTGCCCAAGGGCACAGGTAAGAGACACACCCAGGGAGTCACAGCTCTGGGCTTCAGGAGAGCACACACCTGTTCTGAAGACAGCTCTTATTCCAAATAAGAGCTACCTCCCTTCTTACTTCCAAACGAAGTAAATAATCAACCCCTCAATGTCTTCCACCTTCCCGCACTTCCTCACCAGAGGAGTGAAGGGGCATGTTACAGTCTAGATCTGGTCACAGCATTTCAAGAGTATTTTCTTTTTTTGTACCTTAAGCTCAAACGGGGAATATGAAGGAAAAGAATTTTTTAAAAGACCCCACTGGCTGCTATAGGCCAATGAAAGATTAAAGTGAAAGATTAAATTTCTCTGCAGGAAAAATGACACCATTTCTCCCCTTACTATGAACTCGAAATGACACCTACATAGTATTTTGCTACACGTGCCAAAGAATAACTTAGTACTGTGAGTCTTTTATAATCAGGTACCATCAAAATCGTTTTTTTTTTTCTTCTCAGATTTTCTCCTGGATGTTATCTGTGTTTTAAATAGAAGTGAATTTTAAGAAATATTTTGGCCTTGATTGAAAAATAGTTTTGAAAGTCCATATTCTCCAGGGAAGAAAAATGAGATTAACAATGAGAATGAGGAAGACAAGTAAATTCTGGAACTATCTATGCCCAAATAAGTGAAAAATAATAAAACTCTGGACTTCAATAATAGGACATACACTAAAAGCTTATGTGTACAGAGGAAAGCTAATAAAATCAAACACAGAAGCAAGAACAGATGTATGTTCTGTGAAGAGCTATGTAAGTTTTAGATATTTACCTCCTGTAATTACTACTCTACTGGGCACAGTAGGTGCTCAATAAATACTGGTTTTGATAATTATTATCCAAGTTTTTTCTCTCTTATTCTGAGTTCCTTCCTTGCTTATCTTTGTACTAGCACTGAGCCTACGGGTTCTTCAATCAATCCTTGTTAAACAGAACAAGATTTGAATTTTCTTCAGAACAAGCCCAAGCAGTCACAAATGGTATTTCCAAGGAATTTCACAAGGAGAAAGAGGCAGTCAGGTGCTGGCCACCTTCTTTATGTAGCTGGAATGTGGTAGGCAGATTTCTGTCCTAATATGCAAGGTGTGGACAGAGCTGGCCAGTGGGGTTCCAGGCCAAGCTGGCCCCAGGATGAACTAGAACAGGCTCTCTTTCAGAGGCAAGGGCAAGGGTGATGTTTGCTCAGTTTATCACCCAGGTATATTATTTTCCACAACGGAAAGTTGCAGGCTTTTTTGCCATTTCGAGAGTATGCAGACTATGAGGTTAATTTTGTTTCTTTTTGCAGCCCTGGTACGGGTTTGACTTCGGTTCTAAGCATAAGGTCAATTTAACAGCAGTCAAAACAGTAGGGGTGCACTGAGGGGATAAAGAACACAGGCTTTGGAGCAGGCAGACATGAGTTCAAATTCTGGCTCTGCTACCAGCCAGTTCTGTGGCCTTGACCCAATTACTTACCATCTCTAAGCCCTAGTTTCTGTATGTGTAAAGCAAAGATACTATCAGCTACCTGCCAGGCTTGCTGGGAGAATAAAATTAATGAGGAAATTTATTAAAGCACTAGTAACACATAGTACACACCCAGTAAACTGTGACTTTCCACATGGTATCTAAGTTTTCTGGTACCTTGGTTTTCTCCAATCAAAAAGCGTGCTTAGAAGACTGAGGCAAAATTGCTAATAGTTCTTTACTAATACAAACGGAAAGATAGAGGAACAATAATGCAGCAGTCCTAAAACTACATATCAGCACATTAAAAAAAAAAAGAATCAAATTAGCAGAACCAGTCAACACTGGGACTGTACCATGGAAGCCAATTTGGACAAGGAGAACCATAACGGGAATGGCTTAAATGAGCAGCCATTTGGAAATATCCTGAGTGTTCCCTGGAGCAGCTGGGAGGAAGTAAACCAAAGCCCCAAGAGAACCTTCTCTTGAGCAAACTCACGTTCAACCCATGATCCTAGTCATTTTCATGTCAGCATTCAGAGACCCCCTCAAAACAAGTTGCTATAGATGACATATCTGGCAAGCACCCATTTTTCCTGTTTACATCAGATATACTTATTAAAAAAGTGTAGCTTTTTCATGCAATCTTCTTCATCAGACAAGCTCTTATACAATGAATATTTCTTCCCTACTCTTTAGAATAAATCCTATAAACAGCTGCTAAAGGCAAAAACCTCTTAAAACTGATTATACAATGTTAGAGTTGGACAGAGTTTATTAAGGTCATAGAGTTTGATTTCTCCCAGTTTTACAGATGAGCAACTGAGGCTCATCAAGGTTAAACAGTTCATACCAAGTCACAGGCAACTGAGTGACAGCCAGGATTGAACCCTGGCCTCCTGGCCCCAAGTCCAATATTCTTTCTGCTATACCATGCGGCCACCTGAAACTTTCCACTTGTTTATTTTCCCCCACAGAGTCGAGCCATGCTGCACACATAGAAGACTTCTACTAAATATTTGCCAAATTGATCTACAAATTCTACAATTCTGCTGTCTTAGCCTAATACTATATTTCAGTCTCCAGAGATCCCAATAGTGGTTTAATAAGAAGTATGAAGGCTTATAGGAATTCACAAAGTGCCTCTGAAATCATAATCTAATTTCCTCACAACAATGTGAAAAAGGTATGACTGTACCCATTTTAGAGATAAGGAAACTGAGGCTGGGAGGTTCAGTGACTTGTTCAAGGTTACATTGCTGGTTGTATATTGTTAGAGCTGGCCCTTAAATTTAGACAACTGATTTCAAAGCCTGTGCCTTTTTTATTTCATTAACTTAAGCCTAATTAATAATGACTGTTCTCACGCCCCAAATGATACCGCCATCCTTCTTTCTCCTAGCCTGTTCCATTAAAGAAAAAAATTTAGTTCCTAAGGCATCATCATGTCAATTTCAGAAACAAAACAAAGCACCACATGCAGGCTGATGGAACTGAAGAAAATGACATGTTCAGGTACAAGAATATCGTCCACCCAGCACAGAGCCCTATTTCCTTCAACAAAGCAAAGAATTCAGACCCAGCTCCCAAGACCGGAATAGCACTTACATTTACTGCCTTCAAGATTTTAAAGGCCGGCCTGAGGAAATGGCTGCATTCTCCCCTGACTGCCCGCCCCCACCCCATTGCTGAAGACGTCTTCAATCATTGCTTTATGTCAAAAGGGGAAGGAAAGAGGTCATTTCTGTGTCTTGGCAGCATAGGGCTGTCACATAACCTATAAGGCCTCCACGCAGGTCAGGGATGGGCAAAGCCACAAAGCAAGGGAGCAAGAAACAGGCTCCCGGCCTGGCTGCCGGCTGCTCTCGAGAGCTGTTCAAGATGGAGCTGGTGGCAGCTAATGGCGGGGGTGGGAGGAAGGGAAGCATGAAGAAGGCTGTGAAGAAAGGTGTGGGGGGACGGATATAATCCGGCATACAGAAACCTGTCAGGATGGGATTTATTTTTGTTCTGTGAGGGAGTATAATAGGGCTTTGCCTGCACTCTCAATAGCTGTTTTGAAGTGAACCCGGCTGGTATGTCTTTAATTTGTCATTTCATTATGAAACTGTTTCCCTTCCAAGAAGCCTTCAAGTCAGGAAGCTCTGTCTGCCCACACAGGAAATTCCTTTGCTTCAACTTCCCCAAAAAGGAAATTTCCCTCAGAAGTGAGCCCAGCATATGCCTTTGAGCAGAGCTGCTTCAAGAAACTTTGGCAGCTGAGTCCTGAAAACACCCCTTGGCTTTCTGCTGCTGCTGGGATGTGTGGATAAACAGTTCAGCTTTCACCCAGCAAGTGGGGACCCCACCGAAACCGACCCTGGCCCACACCTTCCTCCTGCTTCTTCATTCTCCCGTGCCCTTGCTCTTCATCACCTCCTGTGAGCCGCCAAGAGTTTTAACCCTGCGAGAGGCAACCAGTACCTGCGGCTTTCATGAAGAAATAAGCATACCTGCATCACACAGACGCTCACACCCACCACGGGACTGTCCCAGGACAGTCTCAGCACAAGGTACCTACTCTCGTTTCCCCCTCAGTCTCATACACAAACTTGAGACTTCTGGCAGAAAGGCTGCAGCATTTCAAATGAAGAGGGCACAAGAAAATAAAATGACAAATTATAGTTCCTAAAGCACGTATGTTACCAAAGTACCTTTTATCCAGGGTGGTGGTGGTTTTTTTTTTCCCCATGCACGCTTTCCCACTGAGGATTTTAAGTAAAACAAGGAAGGGGGAGATATCTCAAACCACAGCCTTACAAAAATTAATCTCTCAGACATATTGTGAATGGTTAAGTGGTGAGAGCCCACAGCAGCTGTGCTGAAGTGAATAAGATACAGTATTTTATGAAGCTTCTTAGCAAAGAGGCATTAGCAGGAAACTGCCAGATTCACAGTTAAGTTTTTAATTTTCCATTTAAAATCACTTCATTAAAAAAAAAAAAGTGGTGAAAAGGAAACAATACAGAGACCTAAAGCACAAAAAGAGAGAATGGTATTGAACCTGAGACTGCGTATCAAGCAGTGGGGACCAAGAGAGACGTAGACAGATGAGGATCTAAGACGGCCCTGGATTTTCACTTTGCAATTAGATTGCATTGGAATGGTAGGGGGATGGGGTCTGATCTTATTACACTATGTATGTGCCAGGGCTCTGAAAGGGACAGTATTTACCAGGAGACAGAGCAAGGGACTAGGGAGAGTCATATAGTTCACTAAAATCTGGATATATAAACCCTGAAGTTTTGGGTTGTGGTAGATGTTTTCTGTGGGGTAGCTTTAAATTTTTATTTTAGTGAGTTATTCTGTTTTTCTGAAATTTGTGAAGCTTTAACCACAGTCAGATCTCAAAGGGGAACTCAACACTATTCTTCATGTTCTTAAAGTGAAGAGATTAGGCAATAGGGCTTTGGCTTCTATTGGAAGGCAAGGTGTATATTGGATGGACCTGTCTCCCACCTACCACCTCTGTGACTCTGGTCAAGTTCCTTTTCCTCTTTAAGTTTGACTCTTCATCAGTAAGATGAGGATAATAAAACCCAGTTCACAGGACTGCCTAGAGGGTTAAATGATACAATACATGTGAAAAGCGCCTACCATAAGCACTCAATAAATGGAAGTTATTATTCCACATGGAGAACTACAAAGGATCTTTCCCCCAAATTCTGCACACCTCCTCCCTGTCACACACACATAGGCCACCCAGCTCTGGTAGCTCCTTCCCCAAGGGTCAAGATTTTCCTGACCACTTACTTCAACTCAAGACTTGGATTACCATGCCCTTTATACATCTGCAAGATCTTGGCATTACGATCAAACGTGATCATCCCTGAAGTAAAGACATTTAGTGAGAATGGTTGAAAGGCTTAAGGATTCAGATTTATACTCCCAAATTCACTACTCCTGTCAAAGAAATGCAGATGACTTGCACATTCTCAAATCGCCAGTGTACTAGAGGAGACCTGACCTTCTTTGGCCAAGACTGATGATGGCAATGTCTTGAGAGCAATGGCCACGCACAGTAAGTAGCAGACTGCTCATCCTGGCCTCAGAGCTCCAGGCTCACAATGTTTTGTCTAAATCAGGAGGCCTGGATTTTCCATCTAGTTTTCCATCTGTCTTATCCACAGAGAAGGCCAGCCCTAAGCAAATTATAGTGCTTATTTCCAACTCTACCCACTCCGTGCTGGCCACGGTCCTTCCACTTCAAAAAATTCAGGAGATCTGATAAGCTAATTTTCATTAAGATATTAGGGACTTGAGGTATTAATTATCTCTCTCCATAACTATCTCCTGCCATAATGATTTACTTTTAAAAGTGGAGCTATGTGGAAATAATGCCTGATCCAAAAGGAATGTCTCAACAATGGAATTTCAGGCACCCTGGTCATTCATCGTGGGAGATATTTATGTTCAAAGCACTCTAAATCATTGCAACTGGGTGACCACATTCCCTGCTTAAGTATAACATTCACCCCGTTCACAGTCAACTATAAGCCCTCTGTCCTGGGTCCAAAGTAATGCTATCTGAACAATAAAGGTTTAGAAGGCAGCCACTTTCTGAATCTCAATACTCCTTTAGCAAACAAAGAAGTACCAGACATGAGAGAGCTACACAGCGTCTGCACAGTGCCAATGCTACAATACCCAGTTGTATTTCAAGTTCTTTTCCCCGATCACTGGGGTGGCAGGAATCGTCACAGTAGTAGGAATAATCACAGAAGCTTTGTGAAGCAGGTATCTGGAATAACAGCTATAAGACGATCCCAACGAAAGCACGTGCGTGCACACACACTTGGATTCATCTGAAGCAAAAATTTTTCTCTAAGAATCAAAAGAAAAGCTTATTTTCTTTCATAAGGTCCAAAATCTATTTGATCAGAGACAAATTTCACATCTTTTTAGGTTTTTGTGGGTCTCTGAAGCTCCTCTCAGCACTTGGTCAGGGCATTCCAGTAGTTTCATTTATAACCCATGAGTCTCAAGTGAAGAAAACCTCTCTCAGGGAATTCCTACTTTTGTGTTCCTAAAAGACCTTTAATAAAACCCCAGATACCTGGATGAATATTTGAATCACGGCCAAATTTTAAGGTCAGCAAGAGCCCCCACGAAAAATGCTTGACAGAGTTGTAAATAGGGGAACGAGAACTGCGTCTGTTCAGAGAGGGGACTTTGTGAGGTGGCTTCACTACCACCTCATAGGAGAAGTGAAAGGAGTCAGTGTGGGAGCTGAGGAGTTCAAGAACAATGGCGTGAAGGAATCAGAATGAAAAAGGAAAGCATTTTCTCCCCGACTTTGTTCATATCTAGTGGGAAACCATGCCTAACAGAGATGAACCTTCCAACCCATCCGAATAACAGGTTTGGGAACCTGCACCACCTTAGGGTTCCTTCCTGAAGCAAGGCATGCGAGGAGGAGGAGGAAGGAGAAAGAGTCATTTTATGTCCTCAAGAGGGCTGGCACCAAATCACTTACTCATATTTGTTTCTCTACAAAGAGTTCCTGATGTTGGTGACTTAAGAGCTACTTAAGGAGAAAAAATAAAACCCCTCATCAGCTTTGGTCACGAATCACTGCTGCTTTGGGCGAGTCTTTTCTCCCTAATCTTACACCCCCTTTTCACAGCCCATGGCAATGAGTAGATGATTCCAGCAACTAGTTGAGGGCCTCTATTTAGAAATACTTTCCTTGGGTGTGAGTTTTCATGCCCAGGGGATGGTATAAGTGTCACAGATTCTCTCTGCTGGCTGAGGCGGATGGAAATGTACTTTCAAGCTCAGCATCAAAGCCTTCACTTTAGAAGCTGAAAGCCTTCATTCCCTTGCCAACTGTGCTTTTTTTCTCCCATAATTAATTAATGCAGTATTAATTGTGCATGTGCTACGGAGCCGGCTAAGGGAGGATAGTGTGGCCCATCCACGCAGATCAGCTGGCTCTGTAAAGCCTAAAACCCAGTGGATACCATCTCCAGAGGGAGAAAAACGCAGACTGAAATTTTTTACAGGTTACAGGAAAGGCAAACACGCCTTGAGTTGCAGAGGGGATTGCCGCTAATCACACAGTTGGGGTCAAGTAGATAGTTAGCAGAAGCCACACCTGTGCATGTTGCATGGGGCAAAGGGCCAAGCCACAGACAATTCTCAGGCCAGAAAGGGGGCTATGAGAACAGGGGAGCAGGCCTGTGATCTGGCTGTAAGGTCCTGGGAACCAGCATAAGGCAAGAGTGGCAGGGACAGTCTTTAGAAGCCCTGCAAGGCCTAGGAGCTGGCACCAGTTCTCATCCCACAAAAGCATTAACCCGATTTCAATCACAGGAACCATAGGGAAATGCTCAACAGAGCTGGGTGTTGGATTTCCCTATTTCCTTGCAGGAGGGCTTCCTCCCAAAACAATCACAGGTAAAACGAAGGACAATTTCCTGTGTCATGAAAGTACCACCATCTGCACTAAAATTTGATGTTGAGTCCTAAAAATCAAGTGAATGATCATGAAATCTGGCATTTACAGATAATGTTCCACTGCTGATACCCCTTGTGTTTCTCTTCTGGAATAAGAGAACAATGCGACGATTGAGTTGGGGAGAACTTAGGAATCATATACTCAGGCCATTTCACTTTGCAGATGTGGAAACCACAGTCCTGAGAGATGGAATGAACTGCTGGGATGACCCAAGTAATCAGCCACGTAGAACCAGAGCTCAAGGAACTGACCCCTACAAGAGCATGTTCTCTGCCCTCTTACCCTGTTGTAGCGTGTTCTGGCACACATGCCATGTGGGTAAACTAAGGCACCAAACGTCAGGCAATTTTTCTGAAGCGTGTTGGCTTAACACAAATTATCAGGAAGTTCAGTGTTTTAAGGTGTAAACTCAGTAACACAATCTTCATTCAATCACAGCATCTTTCTTACTGTTTAATAACCATCTGTGAGGTAGATCATCTCTTTAAAAAAGATGGAAAATAATAGACAAGGAACCTCTTTTTACTTCATTTAGTTTTGTTTCTAACACTCCAGAATTTACACACATACCTGAGACTATCTGGCAGATAACAGTGTGCATACAGGATTGGATATGGAAATTTATCTTCCTTCAAGTTCAAAAGATAATTTGGTTTATAGCTCTGATTTTATCCATCTGGGCCCTCTTGTCAGTAATTTATATTATGCTTAAAAATTGGAAAAAAAAATCAGCCTGTTAGCTTGGATATTCTCCTTCTAACCAATAGATAGAATGAAACAACTTTCATTTGCTCCTCAGACTTTTAAAGAGTAATAGGGTGAAGTGGAAAATAAAAGTCTGGGTTTTGGAATTAGATACGGATTCAAATTGGGGCTCCTCCACTTTCTCTGGGTGACCTCGGGCAAGTGGTTTACCTGAGCCTCAGGTATAATATCTACTGTGCAGAGTTTGTTATTATTCAGGATAATATATATGAAGCATATACATATACACACATATATACATATATACACACACACACATATACTTTTATATACACACACACACACACACACACACACACACATATATATAATAATAGTAGTGATCATTATTTCTTCTTCCACACAACAATGCCACAGAGATTCTCTAGAGTGGCTTTATGATCTTAAACACGGTTGACCTCAGAGTGGCTCCTAAGGAGAAACACAGGCTCCTGTGAGCTGGCAGGTAGGGTACAATGACCAAAAAACTAAAGCTCATTTGCAAAGATGAGCTACTTCTGGAAAACAAATGGGTAATAAAATCCTAACAATGATACTTCTCAATCAGAGCTCCATAAATTGCTGGATACCCCTATAATTTTTAAATGGTGCTATTCAACACCCTAAAACTTGTCCTAGGTGCTTTTAAAAAAGTATTGTTACATCTTCCCTTACAAACCTTCACCCTCCTCAGTGAACCATTTCAGTTAGTACCCCCACCCCAGAAGTAGAGAATTTAGCCTCAGCTGACCTGGTAAAATAGGGTATTCACTGCGTAGCCCTGTGCAGTCAACTTTCCCTTCTAGGTATCCAATCGTCATCCACCCCACATCTACAGTTCTTTATCCATTATCCGTACCCATCATCTGCATTTCTATTACTGGAATCTTACAGCCCCATTTGAGAGCTACTGGTATCCATGATCTGCTGGAAGCAGAAATGGAGACCAATGTTGAAAGAATGGGGTTTTGTCCACACACCCAAGATGGAGGCAGTAAATATTGGGGCAGTGTGACTAATTATACTTGGGAATTTACAGTCAGCATGTGGCCAGAGCCAGGGCCAGTTTAAATCTCTCAAGTCCTGCTCTACCCCTCCTTCAGAAGAGATCAGAAAAATGAACCACAAAACACTCACACATGGTACAGGCAACTGAGAATCAGAATCCACCCATGGCAACAGCAAAAGCAGCAACATCTAAACGTCGCTGCTAACGTTTACCTCTGATGAAGTTGTCAAGGTCATCCTGCCAGAAACCCCAAAAGTTTGAATTACTAATGTGGTGTAACTCACACATGAAGCAAAATGGGAGAAAATATCAGTTATTTGAGCATGGAAACTGCTGTATTTGTATATACTCAGCTCAACCAATGCTTTCTGATAATCAGAGGAGGTGAGAAGTAACTTAGAGAAGCACATTCAAGCCAACACACTGAACCTTTATCACACCTGCCAGAAAGCATTAGGTAGATACATGTAAGGGTGACTGTGGAGCTCATGGACAGGAACTCCTCAATCTGCGGAAACCCATCAAGACGAGAGAAAGACCACAGACGTATTGAGGGTTGGGAAAATCCAAGAGGAAGCAACGGACAGAAGAAAAGAAGAAATGGAAATAAAGTTTCTGATTTCCTGTTGCTGTTCAAGTTTCATAAAATGGACTGGTTCTCATCGTCTTTTATTTTTTAAAGGGTTCTCTTAGTCTGCTATAACCTTTCAGTGTTGAGTCTAGAATAAAGCTGGGCACCTCTGGGCTCACATAAATAACACAGAGCACCAGGTAGGGACAACCCATTGTCAACAGTTTCCAAATGTCTACTTCAGAACTCTGAGGAAAGGGAGAGCCCGTGACACTAATGAGGGGCCGTGCCATCTTCATCCTCCCCTCCCCATCCCCCACAGCGAAACCAGGGCCACTTTGTCAGAGCTGACGCTGGAGGAACTGCCTTAAATGTACACAGAGCTCACTGCATGAAATGTGAAGTGAAAGAAAAGGTCAGTAAACCTCTGGTTATATATTTTTTTTCTTAAAAAAAAAAAGACATCTATAAATAGCTGCATTTATTGAAGCTGCTTCCTTATCAGGAAGCATGGAGCTAGGAATTAACGTCTGCCTGCATCGGAAATTCTTTCAGACAGCAAACCCAAAAAGGAAATTTCCCTTCCAAAGCATCCTGGCTGTTCTGCTGTGGGCTGTTTTTGCTCTTCAAGCTGTTTGAAGCAGCTAACCAGGGCCCTCGTACAGCCACATGTGCCGCGGGGAAAGTAGAAAGCTTCAAGCATTTGGATGTAAAAAGTGAAGGCACCCAAAAGAAGGCTTAAGGGGGAACAAAGTAGAAAATGCTAGTGGCTGGTCGGCTTTGTTAGAAGTCATTACTGCTTTGTAAGACACTGACAGAGAATTAAATCTCTTCTCCTTGTCCTTGTCTCAACTCTGCTGGTGATATCACTGCACGTCACAGGCAGCTGTGAGGAGAGGCCATTTTTGGAACACTGATGTGATAGCAAAGGACAGGGGAGGACTTGATAGGTATTAGAAGAGTGGGGAAGGCTGAAGGAGATTCACAGATTCAGGCGAGAACGGGAAGAAAGTTCCAGACTGAGGGAGAGACATGTGGGTAGGAAAAGGTCCTGGGATGGAGTGCCCTAGAGCAAAACTGAGCCCCTGGAAATCACAGGGGATCGTTTGAAAGCAAAGCTTATTTCCATTGTGACTTAGGAAGATTAGTCTCAATAATACACAGACAGAACCCTAGGTCCTTTCTTTAATGAAACACACAGACAACGACATGTCTGCTTCCCTTGGCTCCTGCATGGGGAAGCCACCTCCTCAACAGGCTATTCACCATAACCGGAAACAGAAATGGAGCTTTGGTGAGCTACCTGGCCACTGCAGGCCAGGCACTATGCCAGGTGCTATACATAAATGAGCTCTGATACTTCTAAGAAGCCCTCATTAGTAGGTGTCGTTAGAAACTTGAGTCTTAGAGAGGTTAAATCATCTCTCTAATAGAGCCAACCCTGAAATTCAAGTCCATTCACGTCTATCCAGACCCAAGCCCTTTCTATTACCATGGTTTTTTATTTGGAGACTTCCAAAAGCAGTGAGACCCTGCTCCTAGAAGGGCACCCCTAGCAAAATGCTGGGGAATTGGGTACTGGATTGAGCCCACTCTCAGAGCTGGCCCATCAGGGCCTACAGGACCAGCCCTGGCATTCTGGTTGTAGGGAGAAATTCAACTCTAACCTGAGCTCGCAAGAGAACAAACGGGGAGGCAGCAGGACTGGTGAACAAAACCAGAATAAACCATCCACAGGGACAGGCTGTTATCCTGATTCCTCTCCCTCATCCTACTACGAGGGAGAAGCCAGTCTGCTGAGGATTCAGCACAACTTCATGATCAGGTGGCATCACTAGAACCACACCGGTCCCAGTCCCTGCACCTGTGGCTGCCCAGACTTCAGCGGTCAGCAGTGCCTCTACTTTCAAGTCCATGAAACTCTTTATGTCATTATGTTTTCTCCTAAAAAAGCTGAAAGGTGGTTTCAAGAAGTAGAAATCACATTCGGCCTTTCACATGCTGTGTGAACCTGGACAATCCAGTTGACCTATCGGAGACACGGTCAGCTCATCAAACAGAATCAATAGCACCTGCTTCAAGGACTGCTGTACAATTAAGTGAGACAATAAGTATGAGCGCATCTTGTTATGTATAAAAATATAAAATAATAATGATGATCACGTTCAGCTCCCAATTTTGCCTCTTTTTTTTTGGGAACAAACATAATGTGAAAGCATATAAAATTGTTGCTCTACCCAATTAGAAAAGAGAGGCACTGCATCCCTTCTCACTATGCTGGTTCTAATATAGCTGTGCCTGTCACGTGGCTGTCTTAAACTCAGTTACTCTGCTGAGAAGGCAAAACAGCCGAGTGGGTGAGCAGCGAGGTAATGTTTCCAAAGGAAGGCATTAAATTAAATTATTAAACACACACAAGCAGGAGTAGTAATGTAAGAATTTTGAAAGATTCACAAGGAAAGGAAAGAGAGCCAAGGGACTATTTCTGGTGTTCTGACTCCAGAAAACGCCGAGCGGCTATTATGGCTATTTATTAACCTGCAACATCATAAACCCTAACCCTATTAAATATGATGAATGAGTCCTACGTTCCGATTTTTAAATATAATTCACAGGGATTTTAGAAGGCCAAATGGACACTGCAAAATGCACAGTCTGCGGGCAAATGGCGCAATGTCAACTAAATGTGAAATGATCATGTTTAAAAGAAATTTAAAATAACGACATTTAATTATTTAAATTCTGCCCCATCAATCTGAACTATACTTATATTGTTATCCTAAGGCGGGGCCTGAGCATCACTGTCTGAGGCCCAGTGTTTCATAAGGTAAGCCTCTGCCAATGAGCAGGCTGGCAGCACCTCGTGAGGTGCTGTAACTGCCCCCTTCAGCAGCCACTCCCCCATGAGTTTAGAAAAAGGGCGGCCTTTGGGTAGACAAATCAGAAAACATCCCTCCCTTGCGAGACTACAAGTCCCCTGGTGAGAACTGGGCAAAGGTATCCTTTGCTCCCAGCAACAGCCCTTCTCTGCGTAGAGTCAAGAGTGACCTTGCCTGGGCACCCTTGGGGGTCCTTGGTCTTTCAAGTGTTTTCAAGCTACAATGAAAAGCTTATGTTCCTTTAAAGAATGCAACTTTTTTTTTCCCACCTGTCTACTGTAATTGTACTTCGGCTCTTCTACCCTCAAGCTTCAAAAAAAATTCAGTACCCTTTATGGAAGAAGAGGAAGAAGAAGAAAAAATGATGCCCTTTCTATCCTCTCAACAAACATACTTGTGTTTGCTCTCCCGGTAAGCAGAGGGGTTCTGCTGTAGGACTGTTGAAGGGCACTGTCCTGGTAATCTGGGCAGTGAGTCAGAGCAGGATGGCACGGTCTGGCCTTTCTTCCCTGGGCTCTCCTCTTGCACTCTGCCCAGGCTTCTTTGCCAGTCCTTTTCAAGTCCTCTCTAATCAGCACTTAACACTTTACTCCATTTATCACTTTGCTTTTATCACTGGCAAATAAAAGGAAAAGGCATCACTCTCTACTTCTCAATAACTTGCTAATTTGTCATGCTGTGTCTTCAGTTTGGGTATAGCTCTGTGTTTGCAGAATAAAATGGTGAGAAACTCTCTGTATGAGAACCTTAAATAATATGATCTCTGCTCCTCTTTACCCCCATCCACAAGAATATAAGTTGATTTAAGAATGAAAGAAGAGAAAGGAAGAATTAAGGGAGAGGATTTATCTGGTAATCAATGGAAAATGGTGAAAAGAACCCACTTTGAGGCATACCAATCTGATGAGTATCTCTTTAAAATAAGCAGCTACAAGTGCCTTGGACTTAGCAATACCATAAATGTCCCGCTGTTGTCTTGGCTTTGAGATTCTTCCCCGTACTTTCCATGAGCATTCCACTGGGAATTGTCTGGAATCCCAGATTAAAACAGCAATAACCCAATTCCCTGGTTAGAATATTTATTTTCTTTTAGGTTTGGAAACTCAGCTGGGATGCATCTTTAAGTGTGTGGCACAGCTTCAGTCATCGTAGGGGCTATATGCTCCTCTCAAACAGGATGACAAGCAGCAGAACCCTGAAACGGGAGCGGGAGGACAGAAGCTCAGCCTCATTTGGAAAGTCCCAGCTGAGGGCAAACAGCAAGAGCCTGGGAACCTCCACTTCCAGAGGATTCAATACAGATGTCAGAACCAATGGTGTCACAATAGGTCTCATGCAGACTACCAAGGAGAGGTATATAAAGTTAGACTGCCATAGAGTAGGCATTCAGGCAAAATCATTACCATAATCTGAATCCATAGTCTAACTACTGATGAAATGGAAAGGTTTCCGGGAATGTGCTGCAGTTCTATATTTTATAGCTGTCTACGTGGGGACCCATCCATCCTTCGAAGGGTGATATGCAAGCCATTCAACAACAGATAGAACAGACAGAACAGCAATTAGAATAGATTCCAGCCATAAACCAATGCTACGGCCACACCAGTGAACACTGGCTAAGTGTCAACCCTGAATTCATCCATCCATCCATCCATCCAATAAATATTTACTAAACACACACTTTTTGGTGGTATAGTGGATATAAGATCCTAGGCTCTGGAGTCAGCCAGAACTGAGTTTGAGCCTTGACTCTATCTCTTACTGGTTCTGTGATCGACCTTGAAAAATTACTTAAATTGTCTAAGCCCTTATGTGTGACATGGAGATAGAAAGAAGACCTACCTGACAGGTATTGTGAGAATGAATTAAAAGAATTCCTGTAAAGGACTTCACACAGTGCCTGCTACAGGGTAATCCCGTGATAAATATTAGCTATTATGGTTGTGTGCTAGGCACACAGAAGGCACTACCAAAATGCTGGTAAGCAGCACAGACACGGCTCAATAAGGAAACTGTCTACTCAAGAAAAAATTCAAGTGTTAGTATGGAAGAAACAATTCAAAGCAAGGAGAATGATGCCTCAGATGAGAATCATAGTACTTTAAAGTTAGGAAGGCTGTTAAACATTTTCTTGTCAACACACAGTATTGTATGCTAGGAGAACTGAGTTAAATTACCCACAGTCGAACAGCAGAACTAGCTAAAAGTTAAGATCTCCTGACCTCCAGTTCAGTGTGTTTGTTTGCTTTCTTATTTGTTTTGTCAGGATAACATCTCGTGGAAGATAGTTAAGGAGCTTCCATATGTCAAGGCATCCAGAAGTGAACCAGGAGCGAGGGCCTCCTTGGGGGATGTTGCAATCTATAGGAATAAAACGTTATGAAAGAAATCTCAGCCTGTTTGTGATGAGTGTTTGATACTTTTTTTTTCTCTGTGCTAGAATTTAAGTTCCACAAGAGCAGGGGAGTTTTTTCTGCTTTGTTCATTTCTGCACCCCCAGGACACAGAAGAGTGCCGGGCACAGCAGAGGCAATCAATAACTATTTGTGAGATGAATAAATGAATGAATTAGGTAGCAGAAGTGTTCTGCCTGTGTGGCATGAGTATGTTCCATCCTGAGGCGAATATTTCTGAAGTGAATATATCGGTCACAGGATGACTTCTGGAGGAAAATTTCCTATCACTTGGCTGCTGTTTCTTTTCCAGTTGTGTCTGCTCCCATGGTGCCACAACATTCCAGTTTCCTAAGAACACTGATGTTCCCAGCCATGACCCTGGCACCTTTACAGTTCGAACCTCCTTAAAAGTAGAGGAAAAGATGGTAGAGTAGGGCTGTGTCCTTTACTTCCCTGCCCAAATGAAGCAGAAATGTCTTGACCATAGTAGGCAGCAACTTCGTAAATACTGATGGACGCAGCAAGCTGCAGGAGGGAAAGGATTCTCATGCCTCCAACTCCTCACAAACATCCCAGCAACCGTCTGCCCTCTGGGGCAGAAGGCATAAGCCGGCGGCAGTGTTCCCCCAGGAGCCCCCATATCACAGTCATCTGATTCCCTGAATTACCAGAGAGAGAAAGGAAGAACCTGCATCCTCTGTCTCCTGTTCTCTGCATTCAGAAAGCAACCTTCTGAGGAGGGTGGAACAGGAGGAGAAGAACTGGAGAGCATCACCCTGCTGGAGAGAGATGGTGAGCAAGACTGTGCCACCATTTAAGTCACTGGAAGGGCCAAGGTGACCTCAAGTGTCCTCTATAAGCTAGTCTTGTGCCCTCAGGATAACATTCAAGGCAGAGAAGCTGGCATTTTCTTGGACACTGTGAAGAGGGTGGGAATCAGGTGATTCAGTCTCTCCAGCTGCCCCAATCCTGTTTTATCACCTGAGCTGGGTGGCAGTATGAGAAAGGCAGACAAAAAGGACACAGCAGGTGTCAACGGCTTTGGAGGCCAGTATCAGCAGCACAGGTGTGTGGGCCCCAAACCTCTGCCAAGTTGCAGCTGAGGACTGAGACGGGGAAGTGGTAGGCCAAGGGGTAGAGATGATTTGGGAGAGAAAGGTGGAACCACTACAGACTGCAGCTGCTGAGGCAAAGCAAGCACAAGAGAAGCAAGAGAGAGTGGAGGTGAAGGAAAGAGGAGGCAAGAGAGAGGACCTATGCAGGCCTAGAAAACGAAGGGAAGAAAAGTAGCCAGCACAGACAGGGAGGGGAGGGAGGGCCCTGGAAAGAAAGGACGAGCGCACAGCTTAAAAACAAAGCAGAAGTGAGTCTGACTCACAAACTGAGCAAAATTTAGGACCAAAGAAAATATTAAAGTTGAGTAAGCGTGAATTTGAGAATACAGATAAACTTTGCACACACACAGAAATCATCTTGTCTACTAGGAGATTTAGTTGGCTCTGCCATATACTGCATGTTTCCAGGTTTCTTTTTTTTTTAACATGTCATAGTCAGGGAAGAAATGAATACACTGAGAAACAAGGAACAGGAACCTCAAATTTTTCAAAGGTATCTGGGGGTAGGGGGGTGTGAAAGATTCCAAAGCAGCGTGGCGAAGTCCTGTGAAAACCACCTCAGAGCTTGCCCCTCTCTGGCCTGGAGCCCACTGCCTGCCACCCCCGCCCCACGCCATCAATCCTCTGTCCCTCTCGGGTCACGAACACTCACGCAGGTGCGCAGGCAGGCGGATCGAGTCTTCCTCCATCCTGAGCGCTCGAGGCACTGGAACATGAAGTGGCGTCGAGGAAGCGTAACTCGGCACTGGGCTCTCTGGAGGTGTATATGAAATTCGTTCCTGCTGTTAAAAATAAGGGCAGGAAGAGGGGAGGGGGAGAGAGACAATGAAAGCTTGGAATGGAGGTATGAGACCATCTCGGGGTGGGGAGCAAAAGGGAGGCGGGGCATGGGCAGTACCAGCTTCCCAAGCAATCCGGCTTACTCTCTCCGTAGAGACACTGTATACAGTTGTCTTTCAGATGCCTAGCCTTGGGGCTATATAACAAAACTCTGCCATCGTTGAAAACAGCCTTTACTTTGGACTCATGTCAATAGGTGTACACCCTGTGGTTTGTACAAGTAAAAAGGAGGGACAAAAGGGAACAAAAAAAATACGTCCGCGAGAATGGCTTAAAGACAACTTTTTAAAAAATGACTTGCCCAAGTCACATAATTAATGCCATCACTATATTAAAGCCATGTTTTCTCTTCTGTAGCAATATCCCCAGCTTCTAATCAAAGTATGATTCTAGATTCACTTCCATAGTGAGCTGATCAAGTAAAGTGACAGCTTCAAAGATAAGTTCTAGATTTAGAACTTCAATCCACAAGGAAGATTTTTCTATTGTCCACCTATCTCACTATACAACCACCACAACCAAAAATATCCAACGTCTAATTTTTTCCTTCATTGCTAGGAATTATCTGCAACAATAATGAATATCTCCTTGTTCTTTTACTCTCCATCTCAGAATCGATATTTCCTTTCCCTCTGAAGTATTTCATAGTTCATTCAAAGAATTATCTGAATTTAAAAGAAGTACTGTTTGACCCCTTATCAAGTATCAAAGGGTGGGGTGGGAGAGCTTCCATGGATCCTCCATTTGAATTCAAACAAGCAGTGTTTGTTAGATCAATTAAAACAAACTAGATGGGGTGAGAAGGATTACCGTGAGTTTTAAGTTAAAATACCGCAAATAATGGCAAGAAACCGACTGTTGGGTTCGGCAAAACAGCAGTGCAATTTGTAGCTTAGATCAACATGCCAACTAGGTTGACTTGCAGTCCACATGTAAACATGACTTCAGGAGTGTCTGTGGTTTAACTGGGCAATGTAAAATGGAACACACAACATCCAAAAATATGGTGGAAAGGAAAGACCAGTAAGATGCCACTATGAAAATAAAACTCAAGAGCAAAAGAAAATCGTACATTTAAGTAAAGGGAAGGCAGTGTTTACGTTTTGGAAAGATAGTTCTTTAACATTTTACATCTCATCAAATGTGCAAAGGGAAGCGGCGGAGTCCTCGGCCTATAACCAAATTAAAGCTTCTCCTCTGCTCATAGCCTAGAAAGTCTGGCAGTTGTGGTAGGAAGTTTTGATTTTAAATGAATATATACATATTGTTATAATTTCCGAATGGAATTGCTATACCTTCCCTAAGGCACCCACCAGAAGCAAGTAGGGCAGTTGGAATATTTCTGTTTAAACATACATCCTGAGGTTTCTTGGTGAATTTCTTAATGAAGGGCAGGCACATATATCCCAGGTTTCATTTCTGGGTCAATTAAGATGTCCTGTAAAAAGTCACCCAGAGGCAAAACTTTCAACTGCACTTTTCTTGAACTTTAGCAGGCATCACATGTATTTTGAGAAACTTTAACTTGAAGGATGGGTTATACTTTTTGGTGTTTGGTTTGGGATGAAAAAAGCAAAAAAAAAAAAAAAAAAAAAAAAAGCCCACACATATAGGAAACATAAAATCTGTTCAGAGGTTTTTAAAGGTGAGGTGGGCTTCTGAGCATTTCAAACAGTCTGTTTTTAGAATTTAACAAATTCTCCATACTCTTCAACTCTTGTCTGACACCCCCCAAATCCCACTATATGTCTAGATATCTACCGTTAACTTTATTCTCGGAAATAGCTTTCTGTTTTGTTAGGGTTTTTGCAGAAGTGAAACTTGGTGAAGAAAACATCGGGCAGCCAAAGGGTCTTCAAATGGTGCTTCATGAGTGCAAGAAAAAAACAAGACAGCATTTCGAAATTCAATGACTCTTCTTTCCCTTGAAGCAAAGAGAAACTCACAAGACACTCTGGCTAGTCCATGAGAGTGAGGCCGCCTCATCCCCGCCTGCCCCAACTCCACCAAGGCAAGCTGGGAGAAACCCGGCCCTCCATGCTGACTGGACTTCATTTCTTAGGAACTCCATCCCCAGCCAGCTGACAAAAGAGTCTGGCTAGCTATTACCCTGAAAGTGTATATACTGTAATTTACTAAATTATCATTGCTTTGGACCTTCCTTTCAACTGTGCTCTCTTTAAAAGTAACCCCTTGGTGTGCTTTCACTTCTACATGGTTCCCTGACCTTACGGTGAAACACCACACTTCTGCACCTGCTCTGGGATCTGACGCCATCCCCCGCAAACCCCGTCCAAACAATTTTAGATGGAGACAACTGCTATTTCATGATGAAAACTTATAAAAGGAAGGCCAGAGATGAAGAGACTGTGGCCCACTGATCTCCTCACATTCCTGATGATGGTTTCTACTCAGCTGGAGGACAGTTTTCCACACCATAAGCTCTTTTTCAAAGGCTCAATGAAGAGACTTGTCAGCAACAAGAGAGGTTACCTTGACCAAGACGGACAAATGCACAATGTGCTTCTAGGGCCCCGAGCACTCTTCTAGTAGCCATGGCACACCTAAGGTAACTCTGGGCTTGGTGGCTGCAGAGCACTTGGGGACCCCAAAAGGATGCTGTACAGTGAGTGGGCTCTGTTCCAAGGAGAACAAAACACACTCTTGGGAATCCCACACTACAGAGACTCCTTTTGTCTCTCTTTTTGTGAATCTCTAGGTTGACTCTCACAGTGCTCATTTTTCACTCTATTGCAATAACCTCGCACTTAACATCTACCCTGGCACATCAGCAGACTATCAGCAATTGGAAAAATTAACCAAATACCACTATCTCAGATGGAGACATCTAGACAGAGAAGTTTAAGGACACTAACGTCTAATTTCCCAAATAAAGGGAACCTCTTTACTCTCACAACTGCTTCTCTGGTGCGACCCCAACAAAGGAGGGGGTGGTGGTGAGAGTCCCACCTCTAAAGCAAATTGTCAGACAGATGAAAACCAGAGCTGCTTTCTTTCTTTTAACATTATGGGGAGTAGGGGTGTGTGTGTGTGTGTGTGTGTGTGTGTGTGTGTGTGTGTGTGTGTGTGTGTGTGTGTGTGTATGGGGGGGATAACGATTTTCCCAAGAGGATTATAACCGCTGCTCTAATTAAATTAAAATGCTACAGACAGTGATATTAATGTATTCAAGTGTTGTAGGGGGATAAACTGCTGGTGGAGGTCAATGATGTGACTCAGAATGCCGTGATGTGGTTACATTATTGTTTAGATGCTGTAAAAAATAAAACACGCTGCTCTCAAATTTGCAGATACAACCTATCAAGCCAACCAGCTGAACAAAAGGGAAGCACTGCAATTTCTGAGGCCAATTGTAATACCTATGAGCAGGTTGTCAAGGAGGCGGCACAAAGCGCTGGGAAGAGAAAATAAGGCAGAAAACTGTTGTAGGCAAGAGTTGAAATGTAAATTTCACCAACCATTATAGAAAGCTTTAAAAAAAATAATGAAGTATGGAGTAGGGTTGTCTCTTGAAAGCGTAAGGACTGAAGCCAAAATGAGCTGCGTTCCCTCTCCCATTTCTCCCCTAGCCATGAAGGGCCAATGAAGGGTACCCATCTAATTCTGCTCATTTTTAAACTGAATGCTTAGGAGCCCGTGACTTCCCTGTAAAATAGGTGTATACAGTCTGTGCTCAGTAGGAGAATGGCATTTCTCCACGTTCCCCCACACCCACCCTCAGGTTGCATATTACAGAAGAGTCAAAAAATGAATATTATTACCAAAAGGTCTTTCCTCTTCAAAATTATTCAATATAAAGCTTCCATAAATCACGGGGATCCCCTAGCACATTTACACATTTATTATTATACCCTCTGAAAAGGCTGAGGGGTTGGGAAACTTAGAGCCTACTGCTAACTAAATATTAACATTCTGGAAATAAAGCATTTTTGGAATTAATTAAAACAGAAATAAAGTTGGTTGTGCTTGCAAAAAGATGGTTTGCAGGTAATTTCAAAGATTTCTCTGCTGCAGAACTGAGATGTCCTTGATATAGAAACTTTTCCTGGAAATTGTCCCTATCCCCATTATAAATGCCAGGACTGCCCCCAGTGATGGCTTCTGAAGCCTAGTTTGAAAGTCCTGAGGAGGAAGAGTGTCATGGACACAGGATAGTGGTCATTTCCCCACAGCTAGGGTAAAAATGCCACAGGCATGCTTTCATCCCATTGCACTTCGGTGTCCCATCACTGTGAAGAAACCTGCAACCCAGATAAGATGGAAAACAGCAGGCACCAGTGACAAGAGTGGTCATGCCAGCAATATTCAGTATTTTGAGAGAAGGATCTCTTTTCCACCCTGCAGGTGTTTAGAAAAGCTGCCTGAGAAAGCTGATGCTTGTACCGTCGTCAACTTCTACAGATTCAACAGAAGAAACCTCTCCTATGGGAAGCTATTTATTGAAATTTATTAAAGTGAAGTCTGAATACACAAGTATTTAAGTACACTCTTCTGGCTGCAAAAATTTCAAGTGGTGGTGATGTTGGCTTTCATTAAGTAAGCTTTTATTAACAAGCTATAGACACATTAACAAAAAATTGAATACGCTGAAATTTGAGCTCTAGAGTTTTCTAGGTTTCTGCCACCAGGAAAGCACAGATATACACAAGAACCTAAAGTAATACACTCTTGAAAGTCGACATTTTTTTCACTTGAAAAAAGCTATTGAATATTTTGTCCACTCCAAAATTCAGTGAGACAAACGTAAAGAATTTGAGAGAAGATGCAAATGCCAGTCTTCTTTTCTAAATAGACATTGTACACACAGCCACAGAGAGTAACATTTTTGGAATCTCCCCAGAAAGAAAGAGCATACCCTAGCATCTCGGCTAGAAAGAACACCACAGAGACTCAAATGCAAATTTTGATGTAGCAAAATCCACATCCACCAAATCACAGAAGTGAAGTTCATGATTTCTTTTCATCCAGAGAGTTACCAGAAGATGGTTTAGACATCCAAGATGGTATAGGGGCCCAAGCTGGCTTTCTTCTTGGTGTCCAGTGTCCCCCCTGCCCTGAAAGCAACATCCCTCTGGATGCTAAGCCATTAATTTTTACAAGCCAAATGGTGTTTGGGTCTCAACATTCATCTTGCAGAATACATATCAGTACTTCCAAGGGGAAAAAAATGAGTGTACCCTGTGAAAATGAGGATGGGTAGGAACTATACTCCTAGCATCTGAAGTCTCCTCTCTAGGTTACCCAGATGGCCCACTCAGCCCTTGGGGAGAGGGTACGCCAGACAAACCAAACTCAATGTTGCTGTGGGGATCTTCCAAGGAGCCCGCTTCACCAGTCTTAAGGAGTGCCCTTTCTCTAGTTTATGTAGATGGTTCAGGACGTGAGATATTCGGATTCCTGTTTAGAACTGAAATTGTCCCTTTCTTCTGCCTTTCTGGATGGTTACATCCTAAAATCAGAAGGCAGTATATTGCTTCTGTCAAGCAGATACAATTAAGTCAAAGCATCTTAAGTCTTCCTCTTACCCAGACCTGTATTATCTTTGCATAGTGAGATTAAAAAAAAAAAAAAAAAAAAAAAGAGAGAGAGAGAGCATTAGCAATAAGCCCTGCAATCAAACATCTCTGTAAAAGGTCATTGAGTTTTTTTTCTCCCTATGATTAAGAAATATTTCAGCATCCATCAAGGGTCAACTATGAGGCTAGGCCTATAGCAGGCATTACAAATTATGCAATCATACATCCTAGAATTTCCAGGATGGTCTCAATATTTAAAGTTCCGTGTCCTTTTACCCATAAATACATATGGGTAGTTGTATATAAATACTTAACACCTCTCAGAACACGTGTCACAATTGTAGCTGGAAAATACAGTCACTGCCACAATCAGGAAAGAGAGCTAGCATTAAGTGAGCATGTGGTATGTGTTCCCATGAAGCCTTTATTTTATTTCAGCCTCACAATGACCCTGCAAGGAAGGCATCGTTATCTCCATTCCGCAATGAGGAAACTGACTTGAAAACCGCAGTTCCAGTCACTAGCTTGGGAGATGGTGTGGCTGGTATTTGCGTGCAGACTGATCTAACTTTACTTCTCTGAACTGCTTTATAATGCCAACCAGTCAACAATGACTTCACAATGGGGAATTCCAAGAGACAGGTTCAAGCTTGTAAAAATCATAGCAGCCTTCGAATATTTCGTTGCTCTGCATCCTCACTCCTCACAGAATTCCAGCAGGATTCTTGAGGGTGACTCAACAGAGCTGCCTAAGCCAAGGCACCTACCTTCTTATGCATGTTGCTTATCCTATGGGTAGCACAGACTGAGGGGTAAATGCATTCAGCTGACGGAAGGGGACTCTATCTGATGTATGAGAAAAGTTCTCATGGCATGACCCCTGAGCAGGAGTAGCCATTCGAATTTATCCAGGGATCTACATTAACCATGGGACACAATCAGTAGGACCAAGAGGGCATTTCCAGGTTGCTTATGCAAATGATAACTTGGCCGTGGCTAGAAATCTCACTGGGCATTTTTGAGTACAAACATATTACTTTCTATCCTAACATTGTCTTTAACAACAACGGAAGACATTTCCCTTGTTCTTATCTGCTTACCCAAGAGCAGCAAATCTAAAAGTACAGGTGAGATAAATAGAAGCAGTAAGGAGGAAAGAAGCCTGCCAACATCTATTTGGTGCCTATAGTGGGCAGATCTCTACACCAAGAAGGAGCTGAGTCTGCCCCCAGAAATCACAGTGGCCGCAGTCCAAGCAAGACCTCTCCAATGGCCCAAAGATGCACATTCCCAAGAGGGGAATGGATGAAGGCATTAAGGATATATGTGGCCTGTGGGGGAAAAAAGATTTAAAATCTTCTCGGAGATGTCTTCAAATATAGGAAGGACAAGTCTAAGAGAGACTCAAGGCTTGCTTGTAGTAGCAGAGGACAGAGCCAGCAACAGATACCGATGCACTAGAAGGAAGGCCTTTCAAACAGCTGAAGTCTCCAGATAAATGGGCGATTTACTGTTCTCCTAAAGCTGACTTAATGCTGAGGCTGAACAGTTACTCTAAAACACGTGCTTGCACTGGGAAGGAGCTGGAGTAGGAGAACTTAAAGGTTCCGTATAACTGCAAGATGCTGGTTCTATACAATCTTATCTCCCCTGGTAAGTTAGAGCTTATAAATTACAGTGTGGGTAGAACAGCTCCAAATAAAACACGGACACCACAGTCCCCTTCTTTATCAATTACTCCCCTATGCCTCCTCACAGGATCCTAGGGTTCTACTGAATATAATTAGAAAAAGCACTAGTTTCTAGAATTAGGAGCAATTTCTTTAAAGACAAGCACCAAAGCAAAAAACTTAAATCGACTTCTTTATTGTTCCCATTTTAAAACATTTTAATTAAGATACTTTCCATTCTTGACATGCCATGAAATTCTCTCTTTTTTTTTTTTCCTGAATTTCCTTAGATATTTCTAACATGGATAGTAAGCGGAAAGTAAAACTGTGATTCCTTGTCACGTCAGGCTGTGGTTACCAGGGAGGTCTATGAAGGTGGCCCAGTTCATGTGGCTGGAACCCAGTGTGGATGTACACGCAGGCAAAGTTACAAGCTTTGAACCTGCATGGGAAAATTTAAATCACACCATTCTGCAGCCCCAGGCTATACCTCTAATCCCTGCCATGATATAGAGGATTGCCTTTGCTCAAAGCAGAGATTAGATGAGCTCAGCAACACACATCACCACTCCTGGAAACGCCATAAAAGTGCATGTCCTACTAACAGCAGGTCAGCAGCATCAATTCAGCATAAGAAAGGTGGTGTGACTTTATTTATACAGAACCATCAGACGTCACCTCTGGGGAAGAAATAAAGTCTTGCTGTTGAATTTATCCAGCAATGCCTCTAAGCTTGTGATCCACCTTTTGAAAGAGGGTCACTAAATCCTTTCTTCCTAGTTCTAACAGCAGAAGAAACAGGTACTGAAATTAACAGCAGCTTGTATCCTGGGCACAACAAAGTGGCCAAGTTCAGCTCTTTATTAGCTGCTTTCTCCTCCATTAATGCTATTCCCTTTAATGGTCTGGCTATTATAATTAGCCAATCTGCGTTGTCCCTGCCTGGGGCTAACAAGTAATGAACTGAGACAGTTGCTATTTAGTTGTATCAAGGGCACCATTAGACAGCGCTTCTCAATCTCCCCCCAAATGAGAGATACCTTCCAGGCATGTACTATTGCCACGTGACTGTTCTTGTACGTTCCCTCACAGTGGACCTGGGGTGGGAGCTTCCCCAGGTTTTAACTCATGAGACTTAAAACCTGGGCAGAAGGAAAGGATGAAAGCAAGGCTCCTGCAGACACTGGCAGCCCAAAGGGCTTGGAACCTGAGCCTTAACTATTAACTCCTCCCTCCCTTCACCTGCATTCTTTGCCTCTTCGTAAACCCTTCGCCTCCTCCTCAAGTAGCTTTCTTCTTTGTGCCACAGCATCACTGAGGGCTTTGCTCTTTTTTGTGTCCTTCTTTAACGGCTATATCCTGGAAGTCTTGTAAAAGGAAGAGAAAGAAAAGCGACGGCTCAGACTCACAACCCCAGCGAGCTGCAACTCAGACCTCCTTCAAAACTAGAAAGATGTTTTGCCCTGTGATTTATCTTTTCGAAATGTCTAGAGCTTAAATGGACCACACATGCCTAATAAGAAACTTGAGGTTTTAAAGATGTGACATGAGAGCCAGGGGAGAAGATTTATATTCTCATTCAAATGAGGAGAGTGTGGAGAACCGCTGAATAATGCCCTGTACTTGATACTACCCCACTGCTGGCCCAGGCTCTAGGCAGCCCCAGCAAAGCTGTTTGTATGAAGACACACCAGGCTCTAAGGGATACCCCAACCCTCACCCCCATCTGTAAGGAAGAAGGCTGGGTTACAACCAGGACCACAGTCAAACTGAAGAAATTCCCTCGCTCTACATATATCACATAATTCCTGGGTCACTTCAGGCTCCGAAATAAACAGAAATAGGAAAAGCCTCATGAATTCTACCTACAGTAACAAGCGCAAATGAGTCTGGAAAAGATTTATATCTCTGGAAAATGTTTACTACCAAAATAATTTTCAACAAAACCAAACAATACTGTACTTAAAAAGCAACGTAAAAGAAATGAGTCAATGTCTCCTCAGTGTTGCTGTGTGAGAGATTCGGATAACAATACCCAGCCTTTGTCGTCACACGGTATTATCTCAAAGATAAAAGAGGTCTGGCGCAGTGGCTCACACCTGTAATCCCAATACTTTGGGAGGCCAGGGCAAGAGGATCCCTCGAGCTCAGTAGTTCGAGACCAGCCTGGGCAACATGGCGAAACCCCGTCTCTACAAAAAATATGAAAAATTAGCCAGGCATGGTGGCATGTGCCTGTGGTTCCAGCTACTTGGGAGGCTGAGGTGGAAGGATCACTTGAGCCCAGGAGGTTGAGGCTACAGTGAGCTGTGATTGTGCTACTGCACTCCAGCCAGGGCGACAGAGCAAGATGCTGTCTCCAAAAAAAAAAAAAAAAAAGAAAGAAAGAAAAGAAAAATGAGATGAAGCTTATAAAATATTTTGATCTTCTTGCAACAAAGGTTCTCTACTAATGCAAGGTGTTATTATGATGAAGAATTTGAGAAATCCCAAATTAAACATTACTTTTTTATGTAAGCCTTAAGAATTAAACTTGTCTTTATGTTGTAAAATGGGAAACTAACTTAATTCAAAAGAAGACTGAAGATTGACAGTAACTGGGGAAGGAGGCAGAATTTATCCTCTTCCTTTTATAACTCGAAAAAGTAACATACAAACAATCTTATATACTGATTAGGAGTGTTACACACCTGTGTTTCCTTTAAAAAAATTTTTTCCAGAAGTCATAATCACCTTGGCAAGTAATTTCTACCTATACTTGTCAAATATCATAGAAATTTCCTGATTCTTAGGAATAGGGACTCAGAAAAGGCATCATTCCCTTCATTGTGGTCATGGGTAGAAAGTCTGGGGAGTTTTGTTTCTGACAACTAATTACTAAAGCAAGTTCTACTGACAAGGTGACTACTACCCTGCAAATGCCACCAGCATTAATACCATTCTAAAAAGTAAATGAATGAGAATGGAATACAGAAGTGTGTGTGCATGACAACAGTGATTAACGGAATATTAAGCAGCTTGAAATAAGAAGGAAACTCTTGTAGCCCTGTAGTTAAGACCAATTAACAGTTTATTTTACATAAGATTCTGTGCCTTCATTAAAACTATTAGTGTGCAACAGTACATAGAAAATATGCACTCAAGATCAGCTAACAATTCAGGAAACATTTTAAATCAGGCATTCTGGCTATTATCTGTGTATTAGAATCACCTGGAGAAACTTTAAAACACAATCCCAATAGCCAAGTAAATCTCCAGGGATGGGAGCCAGGCATGAACGCTGTTAAAGCTCCCAGGTGATTGCAATATGCAGAGCTAAAGTTGCGAATCACTGTCTTAAATCAAGACATAAATAAGCAGAATAAATCAAGACATATGTTAAAGGATTCTCTTTCACAATAGGTTTTAGAAACCTTATTAATCAATTTGCTAATTGTCCTTCCCTCCTGAGTAAATTATCACTGTCCTACCTTTAACCATAAAATAGAGATTATTTGTGTAATACAGGAAGTTCCTGAATGATGACTACCTGACCTACATATGAACAACTGCTCCAAGCAGTGCCTGAGCCATGGTTGTTATTTTCTCCCTATTGCCTCTGCAGCTCCCCCCATGTCCACCCCAAGGAAGGCTTCTCAGCTTCACTTTCCGGAGCTCCACACGGAGCAGTGTCCTGAGCACTGGCTGCACTTGTGTGTGGCAGGAGCAAGACAAGGTTAATAAAAAACAAGGAAGAGGAAAGGAAAACCCACCCCACTTTTGGCCTGCATTCCCTTCCCTCTCTCGCATCCAAAAGGCTGTGTCTGTCCATCTTCATGTGATCAAGCTCCAGACCACTTTCTCATGCTGGAGAATGGAGAGATTGGAGATTGGGGAACCACTGTTCCCTGGGTGAGGGGAATGATCCCACATGATGGCTGTCAAGGTTGCTACAGAGATGCACCTGTGCCATTTTAAAGGGGCCAGTGGGACACATTTTTTTCCTTACAGTAACCTTGCTACTTACCATGGTTCGGTCTTTATTTTTGCACACTGCACTATCAACTCATTATAATCTGAAGAAATGCCTTGAACTCCAAGCAGCTGACTAGTTAGTAAAATCTTAGAACCCTAAACAACTAGAAACCTTGAGCCTACTAAGGCTTTTCCAAGATAAAAGCCCTTCAATTACATGCTGCTATATCCTCCTAATACACCCACGAGTCATGTCACTAGAACTAGCACAAAACCTACCTCACAGATGTAGAAATTGAGGTTGAAGGGCTAAGAAGATCCCTGAATGAACCACATAACTGCTCTGGATGGGGCTAGCAGTCCTAAACCCAATGTTGTCTTCTTTCTCTAGAGTATACCCTCTGCCTATAGTATTTTAAAAACTCTTGGCCATCATGATAAAGTCTACGTACAAAGTGGTTCTGAAGGGTAAAAGTAGTTTACTCAAGAACCCGGCGTATTTATTTACTCCTTCCTTAATAAATTTTTTTTTAAAAGCCTCTGGAAATTTAAGTTCTTCCTGTAAAAAAAATTCTCAACAGTTTCTGAGCATCTTGATATTATTAGTAGTATTCTATCTATCCTTCCTTTAGACAAAATGCAATTCTAAACAGTGATAGAATTAGGAGAACAGTGGCATGAATATGGCTTTAATATCTGAAATTCACTGGGTTGTTCAAACTACTAGAGTGGGTAGTAATTCTCTTTGCATCTTTAGAAAGCAACTTGCAAACCAAGCTGTGAAAGCGTGCTACAGCATCAAGTCTTACTAGGGGCTTCAACAACGGTTCCAACATGTAGCTGCCAACAACTGAAATCTATAAATAGGAAAATCTGGAAAGTTTAACAAAAAAGTTGAAGGAGGGACTCTGAAAATCACTTGGAGCTTATAGGGTTGAAACAAGAGCTAGACGAGCACTAATATTTCCTTTCATGCAGTGGAATTCCCCTTTGGTTGTATTACTTTATATTCCTTGCCACAAGGAAATGAAATCTACACTGACGATTACGGAGATTTCTGCCTGGCGTAAAGGTACAAGGACCCAGCAGGCACAAATTCGTACTACGCACGAATGTAGTTTTTTGTTCCCATGAGAATCAGTGGTTTCTGAGTGGGTGAAAATGCATTTTAAAATCATTCTGATTAACAGAGGTAAAGCTGTCCTCTCAATTAACTTACTCTTATTAAAACCTATTTTCCAACCCTCAATTGTCATAAACCCATCCACATAAAGCAACTTGTTAACACAACGGGAAAAATTATGACTCTAACTTTTGAAGTCCAGCAACTTTCCCTAGAAAGTCCAATAATGCTTCTGATGGATCCCGTAAGGCACTGTCTAGACTCGCACTGTCCCACAGAAATATAAGGGGAGCCCCATAGGTAATTTAACATTTTCTGGTAGCTACATGAAAAACAAGAGATGGGTAAAATGCATCTAAATAACATAGGACACCTAACTCAATGTGGCCAAAATATTCTTTCAATGTATAGTCAATACAGATAATTACTGAGGTATTTTATGTTTTTTTCATACTAAGTCTTCGAAATCTGGTGTCTAGTTTCCATTAGAGCACATTTCAAATCCGACACTAAATTTTTGCTGGAAATACTTGATCTGTATTTAGAGTTCATAAAATTCACAGTTGAAAAGGTAAATTCACATATCCAAGCTATTCCAAACACACTTAAATAGGTTTTTAACAACTGAACTGTGTTTTTTAATTAAAATTGAATAAATTAAGAATCCCATCTCTCTGCTGCACTCACCATCCCCAGTGCCAGTGGCGAGCATGTGCACTGCAGGTTGGATACCTGGGCAGCACCTCACAGGGATGAGTGGGGGCCACGCACTATTCCCCATCCTTTCAGAAACATCATAAACTCTGGAGAGATGATGACAGAAGTTGACCCCTGTTCCTTTTCCTTCTTTTCCCCAACAGCAATAGTCATCAGAGTCCCTCATACTAGAGGCCCCTTACAGAGGACACAGGGCATGAAGGTGTTTTCCTGCCCTCTGTCCTCAGAGACCATGAGCCCCTTAGCACTCAGCAGAAAGAAGACAGTGGAGTTTAGGCTCCATCAAATTAAGTCTTCTCTGTCTCTCTCTCTCTTTTTTTAAAAATTACCTAACAAATTTCCCTAGAAGCTGAAAAACAAGTTGGTTCAGGACGCCACTTTGCAAAGTTTCAGCTCTCCTCCCCAACACAAATCATCACTATGCAGTGCAACCTCTCCTCATCTGGGTCAATCCTGAACTTGGCCATAACACTTCGGAGACACCTAAAAAACGTTGCGCAGCCACAACTCTTAGAGCTCGGGGCACTCTTTTGGATATGACTTGTTTCTACCATCTTGAGTTTGAACCGTAAAACAGGTTTAAACTTCTCCAAAGAATCATTTGCACCCCTCAGAAGAAAGATGAGTCTCTAACTAGGAGAAAATAGAATTAAAATGGAAGTTCTTTACAAAGTGAAATACCTGACTCGAAGTTCCTAGAGAGCATGTCTGTGCCTGGGGTGTCGTCATTTGCTGGCCTGACTCCCAGGCTGTAGGTAAAGCAGCTGTGGAAAAGTGGCACAGGGCAGAGGCGCAGTGGGTCACACTTGTAATCTCAGCACTTTGGGAGGCAGAGGCAGGAGGATCACTTGAGCCCAGGAGTTTGAGATGAGTCTGGGCAACAGGGCAAAACCGTCTCCATTAAAAAAAATTAAAAATTAGTCGGGCATGGTGGTACATTCCAGCTACTTGGGAGGCTGAGGTGGGAGGATCACTTGAGCCCAAGAAGTGCAAGGCTGGTGAGCCATGACTGCGCCACTGCACTCCAGCCTGGCTGACTGAGCAAGACCCTGTCTCAAATTTAAAAAAAAAAAAAAAAAAAAAGCAAAAACAAACAAAAAACAGAGAGAGAGAGAAAGAGAAAGAGAGAGGAAGGAAGGAGGGAAGGAGGGAAGGAGGGAGGGAGGGAAGGAAGGAAGGAAGGAAGGAGAAAGCAAGCAAGCAAGCAAGCAAGCAAGCAAACTAGCAGAGCAGCATAGGCTTTCTATGCTGTGACTGATGTTGCACCGGAAGGAATCCTTCTTAAAACGAAGAATGCTACATGGTAAGATACACCCAAGACACCACCATATAAACAACCTCTTACCGAGACTAACCTTACAGTTTAATGCAACTTGCATTCATTCTATCTCCAATTCTAGCCATCGTTATTGGCTTTCCTCCCCTTCCCTGCAAGGCTAAAAAATAACAAAAGTCTAAGCCTGAACAAACACACTCATTTACTTCCTCCACATTTATGCTTCCCCCTAAAACTACAAAAAAAGTGGGCAGGGGCAGATCTGAGTCTCAGTCTCCTTGGCTATGAGATGGAGAAAACTGCGTTGACTGACTGATGAGGCCCTGAGAAAATCAGTTGAGTTAAAATACATGAAAAAGGCCATACAAACCATGATGCATTATTCTCACACCATGGCTTCCATTTCTTTCTGACCTAGGTTCAAAGACCGATGCTGCTTCCCTCATCCACTTCTTCCATCAAGTGCCTAAAAAATTAATATGCATTGTCTCACCATAAGACAACATTTTACATATATTAGAGCACCAGGAGATAGAAGACAAGTAGTTATTTTCCTCGGTTCAGACTAGAAAAATAAATCAATCTAATTTTCAGAGGCTTGCCTCTAACGTGTCTCATCTACATGACAGGGCAAATACTGATAGAATAAAAATCTCCATATGACCCTGAATTATCCTACAACCTCAACAAAAATCCCACTTGTTTCAAAACACTGTTAATAAACACTTTTTAGTTGCATAAACGTGTTGAGAACACCTCTTAGAACTGCGTGCAGAGTCTAAATTCAGTGCCTTACACAGGTCCCTCCCCATCCATGGACTCAGCTGCAGGTGCCCCTATTCAGGACTCCCTGTCCTGACTGTTGTAGAGTTCCAGGCCAAGTCACCCCAGCCCATGCTGGCCTGAACTCCTCAGCAAATCCTTCCCTTCAGTCTGGATCTAGGTCTTGTTCTTCACAATCCCTTGTTTCTTAATTGATGGTTCACTGGAGCTTGGACTTTGATTTCCACGACTGTGGGCCTACTGTACCTTCATCCACCTCTCAGACCCCCAAACCACACAGGAGCCCCAGGCCCTCCCACACACCCAGGGGGGAAGGTTATCATCAAAACTCTGCAGGCACAGGGACCTTGTCTGCCTTGTTCACTGCCATATCCCTTACAACTAGAACAGAGCTTGCACTGGACACTCGTGAAGTATTTACCAAATGAATGAATGAGCCTCATTAGATGAGCTCAAAGTATTTCTAGTGCCAACACAAATTCATCTTTTGTCCTGTGTTTCCACCTAGGGCCATCTACTGACTTACTGATGAAGTTTGAAGTCTAACTGTCTACATAAAAATCTTGCTACAAGCTGCCAGCCCTGCCCCATCTCCTCTCCAGTAGATGCGCTCACCGCCCTATCACCCAGTTCTGTGACTTGTGTTTAAGCCTTATTCCAGTATGTTCCAAGTTCCTGGAACACCTTACCTACTATGATCCCATCCCATCAAGTCTGTTCCCTCTCGAAATAGATACTTTACAATGTATTTATACTTATTCCAAAAAAGCAGCACCATTCCTCAAAAATACTTTAGAAACACCTCTTTCAGATCTTTCAGAACCAGTTATAGATAACAGTATATTGCCGTTTCTTGTACCTGATCAAAAACAATATCAAGTATACCTGGACAGACTTGACACCAAATGTCACCTATCTCTTAAAATTTAAATCCCATCTCAAGGATCAAAGTTGTTCATTGCTCTAATTATCTATGTAATGTTTCTCTCCCAGTTAGACTAAAAAAGGGGACACAGACTATGTTTGTGTGTGTTTTTTAAGACTGCCCTGCTCCAAGAACAGTGCCTGATACACTGTAGATACTCAACAATTGTCTGGTGAATGAATGATCTGAAGACCTTTGTAAAAGATTTTTCTTTCATTCAGCAAATATGTGCCTGGCACTGCTAAGGGCTGAGAATATGGAAATGAGTGAGAAAAGAAAATCTCTATCTTCTTTAAGGAGCTTATAGGCTAGAGGGAAAAAAAACTTACTTAAGGGAAAAGGAAAAGAAACTATCATTTATTGTCAACTACTATGTGACAGGCACATACACTGTTTCATTTAAACTTCCCAGCAATCAAAATAAGGGCGACATTTAAATTCTCATTTTAAAGACTAAAAACTTGGGATTCAGCAATGTTATACAACTTGCATAATAAGCGACGAGCTGGCCGGGCGCGATGGTTCACGCCTGTAATCCCCGCACTTTGGGAGGCCAAGGCGGGTGGATCACCTGAGGTCAGGAGTTCGAGACCAGTCTGGGCAACATGGTGAAACCCCGTTTCTACTAAAAATACCAAAAATTAGCCAGGCGTACTGGCGGGCGCCTGTAATCCCAGCTACTCAAGAGGCTGAGACGAGAATCGCTTGAACCCGGGAGGCGGAGGTTGTGGCGAGCCGAGATTGTGCCATTGCACTCCAGCCTGGGCAACAAGAGTGAAACTCCATCTCAAAAAAATAAAAAATCATCATCATCATCATCATCGTAAGTGACAAGCCAGGCCTGGAACCCAGAGCCTACTGATAGCAAAGTCTAGGTCTTTTCTTTGATCACGCCAAGCAAGGGCTGTTCAATTAAGTAGTTTGTTTATTAGGGTGACAACTTTTCAAACTCCAAAACAGACAACACTTACGTGGATGTTTGCTCTTCAGCCTCACCCCATACTATTCAATAAATCACCCTAGGTGCCACCCACTGATCTCACCACTAATCTCACCAAAGACCAACTCCCATAACCGTAACTCGCAGAGACATCAAGAAGCCAAAGGCTTATACAATTGGGGGTCTGTGACCCTATTCTATCCTGGGAGGTACTTTCAGCAGAAGTGGCCATGTGAATGTTGGTGGGTCTACTACAGACACGTATAGTGGGGTGGGTGGGTTAAGCAGCAGGTAAACCCTGGTACACAGGGAAGTGAAGAAATAGGAGGCTTGGAAGCAGGACCTAGTATTAGTAAAAAAAAAAAAAAAAAAAAAAAAAAGGCCACCTTGCCACCTTTGCACCTTTGGGACACATGCCATAAATTACGAAGACATTTTGCCCATTAATAAGTAGAAGATGAAGAACAGAGCCTTTCAAGTTTCACTTCCATGACACTTTAGAGACGAAAGGTTTCATATTGTTATCACAAAAGACCATTAGGGACCACGTTTTCCTTTTCCTTAGATGTCTTCATTCAGTTCTAAAAATATTTTTGAGCAGTATAGCATAGTGGTTAAGAGCTACGGCTTGGAAGCATCCAGGCTTACTTTGCCTCTTGGCTCTAGCACTTACTGTGTGACTTCATAGAAGTTACTTAAACACCCCAAGCCTAAGTTTCCTCATCTATAAAATGGAGTAATAGCAACACCGGCCCTACTGCATAAGATTCTGAGGATTAGAGGAGATAATGCCCTACAATTTTGCATAGTGCCTGGAGCATAAAAAGCTTAATAAACATCAATGACAAAAGTACTTGTACCAGCACTGTGATAAATCCACATACCTATGTATAGACATACAGATATGGTAATTTCTTCTTCTTCTTTTTTTTTTTTTCTTTTTTTTTTTTGCTCATCTCAGCCCCCCAGGTAGCTGGGACCACAGGTGAGCACCACCACACACAGCTAATTTTTATATTTTTTGTAGAGACGAGGTTTCGTCATGTTGCCCAGGCTGGTCTCGAACTCCTGAGCTCAAGCAATCCACCCATCTTGGCCTCCCGAAGTGTGGGGATTACAGGCATGAACCACTGCGCCCAGTTCAGATGTGGTCATTTCCGAGATGGCTCAGCAGCGCCACCTGTGCTAGGCTCAAGCTATCACCTAATTACATAGGGGACTATATGATAAAAGATACGATGTTCATGTACAACTATTATCTACTATGGAGTTTATATCACTTTCAAGTGCCTCTGCAAACTGTTTTTTAGCAGGGAGAAAATAAGAATAAAAATGGGAAAATGGAAATCCAAAGATCTGATTCCTTTAAAGATGCTGCAATAGAAGTAGCCACTGCCAGGTCTGCATCTCCTGGTGCAATCAGATAATCCATCTATCTAGATTGGATAGATACTTGAGGAGGAATAATTCAAGGTAATTTCCGTTACACCACTATCCATGTTTTCTCAAGGGAAAAACATGTATTTGCTTCTTTTGATTAACATGTTAGTGGCTGCAACTAAAACATCAAGTGGTCGGCCGAGCAGAGGTTTTCCTGCTGGTTTTACAAAATCAGTACAGCGGGCCACCTCTCAGCATCAGCTTCGCCTGGATTTACAAGTAAACTCTTCAGTATGGCTGAACAGGGTATGTGGGTGTGTGTATATTGGTAGCTGTATGGAAACTGGATTGCTCTAATAATAAACACATTTCATTCCCTGCATTGAGGGTGCTGGATCCTTGCTAAAGATCCTTTTTTCCACTTAGTTCCATAAATATTCCGGGGAAGCATGGCCTAGTGTGAGTTGTCAGAATGAGAACCTGTTGTGATATTTCATCAGCACCCACTCACAGTGCACTTACTCTCCTTTACCTGTAACTTACACCTTCTCTGTACCCTCTGGAATTAAACCGAAGAGAAAGGATGAAAACAAGATGATATGTCAGAAAACACGGTGCGGGGGCTTGAAGGGCTAAGAAGAATGAAGTGGTTAATTTTTTTTTTTTTTTTTTTTTTTTTGAGATGGAGTCTCGCTCTGTCTCCCAGGCTGCACTGCAGTGGTGCGATCTCGGCTCACTGCAAGCTCTGCCTCCCGGATTCACGCCATTCTCCTGCCTCAGCCTCCCGAGCAGCTGGGACTACAGGCACCTGCCACCATGCCTGGCTAAATTTTTGTATTTTTAGTAGAGACAGGGTTTCACTGTGTTAACCAGGATAGTCTCAATCTCCTGACCTCATGATCCGCCTGCTTTGGCCTCCCAAAGTGCTGCAATTACAGGCGTGAGCCACTGCGCCCAGCCCAAAGTGGTTAATATTAATATGCTGAGTACCTTCCATGTGCCAGACACATAAGATACTGTATGTTTCTATTTCATCAATGGAGAAACAGAGTCTGAGTGGGGTTAAAGAACGGGCTTCCCAATGTCACACAGTGGTGCTAGAATTTGAAGCAAAGTACGTCAGATTCTAAAGCCACAATCTTTCTACACTTTCACCCCAAAATGAGGAGTAAGAATGAAAGTGACACTGTGGATTTAAGGAAGATAATAGAAAGTCTATTAGAAATATATATTTTTTGAAACTTGTATCATTTAACATAATGATTACAGAGCTGGAATTGGGCAATTGAAATGGAGAAGAGCATCTTCTGACATCCAGGGTCATGTGTTCAGGCTCAGGGACAGGGTGCTTTCAGAACAAGGGTTGTTCTTGGTCCTCTAGAGGCAGAAGGAGGACGGGGTGGTCTGTGTGTCGGATGTGGCCAAGCTGGAGCACCAAGGAAGCCCCCAGCCCTGACAAAGCAGCACATTCAAACGACACAGTGCACGATGGCAGAAAAAGATGGGGTGGGATACAATGGGGGGAAACTCCCCAAGTCGGTGAAAAGGTTTGTACTTGAAGGACAACGTCCTTCTCCAGAGTAGAGCTTACTAAAGGAGATGCATCCCATTTTCTTTTTGAACCTCTCCTGCTTTCTACTTCCAGCTTCTTTCCTCCTGGTAAGTTTGGGCAGGAAGGGGCCTTAGAAATTGAGACCAGCATCCTCATTTTTCAGATGAAAAACCTGAGATCAACAGAAATATTTGAGATCACACTTCTTGTTTCGGAAATCAGGTAGTTAGCAGTTCTTGTTTTCGTTTTTCACCATATAGTGCAGTAAAGGGGAAAAGGGTAGACAAAAAAACAAGAAACCAGAAATATTACTTTGCAGAGACATTTCCACGTACCTCGAACTGCACTAGTTCTGCGACTGTGTGCTCAGTGTTGTCTTCTACCAGGTGATGCTAAAGATTTGCACTGAGCCATGCACACACTGCTGTCTAGGTCAATTCTTAAGGTAGCTGCCTAGATTTAAGGTAAGGACTGCAGGGTGGAACATCTTCTCTTTATGCAGAGCTACCTGAACTGGTCGCCTTCTTGGGTGACCCAACCATGCTGGTTTGTCTGGGACTGAAGGGGTTCCGGGGATGTGGGGTTTTCAGTACTAAAACTGAAATCCCAGGGAAACTGGGACAAGCCGGTTACCCTACTGCCTTCAGTAGGATCACATTTTCAACTGAGCTAATACATACAGACAGACAAAATGCATTTAGCTGGAAGTTTTAGCTGGTAGAATACCAGCTAAATGGTAGTTAACATTTTAATTTTTTAAGAAAATTAGCAAGATGCAAATTAATGACTATGAAGGGCTTTGAGCCCTTGGGGAGGAAGGTATTCTCAAAGTAGGAAGTGTTAAGTTCATAAAAGAAACAATATGAGAAGGCAGTGGGGCTTTTTCATACCTAACAAGTATGACTAAACCTGTAAACACTTCCTGTTCCGTCCCATGTTTTTCTGAAATTCGCTTTTCCTTAAAGGCCAATAAGACAGAAGAAAAAAAATTATTCTTTCTCTTCTCTTCTTAAGAATAACAGTGGGAAATTTCAAACCTCCAAAGACGTCTAAAAGTTTAATAAGCTCTTGCTTTTATATATAAATATTAAGGAGAAACAAACAACACTCACTTTTCTCCATAAGCATCCTGCATTCTTACTACATGAAATTTTGAGTACGTAGAAAACCATCTGATCAGGGAAGACAAATACTCACACTTAAGTAGCACTGACTTACTCCTCCACCTAGTTATATTTTCAATACAAAAATTTTTGCTTTAATTAAACACTGTGTTAGGTGCTGACAATGCAACACCGAATAAGAAGGACATACCTTTATTTCATACATCACAGTATCCTAAAGATCAAAACCTGCCTTTCTAGACTTAGTCATGACTCTTCTTATTGCAGTGGAGAAAGAGGGCTGCCCCTAACAGCAAAGCTCACACTTAAAATCATTTCTCCCCAGCAGCACTTCCCATTCACAAAGAGCAGTGCTACAAAAGGCAGCCTCACTTTCACCTGTTCTGGGTCACCAACTACACTGGAGGGGCTTGGCCTAGAATCGGGTAGAGGGGATGTGAAACCAAGGAGGGGGTTACACTGGGGAACATGTCACTGGGCCTCTACTCACAGAAACAGCTTAAAGCCACCTGTACCCACATTTGGGAAACGTGTGTCTCTGGTCTCCTGGAGGCATAAATTGAACATTATAATATTCTAGGGAAGAGCAAACAGCAACCCACTGAGGGGTCTTGGGCCATGGGAAAGTCTTCCATTCCTCTACTTCTGCTCTAAAGGGTTGATTGTTGTACACTCCAAAGCAAAAGAGGAAAATCAAACCCAGCTCAGAAGTCCGCCCACATTCTGCGGTGGAGAGAGTTGCCAAAACCATTCTCTGCACCTGTAGGATGAAGTCGCAGGTTCACAGAGCAGGGACAACTGTCAGATGTCCACCCCGCAACATGGCTCCCTCACAGGAGAGTCCACAGTTATGGACCTAGGTTCTCTGCTGGGCTGCGCTGGACAACCCGTCCTTAGAACTCTAAATCCTGCCTTTGCACAGGCTTCCTTGGAGCTCTCTGAGGCCTTGGTGACTTGCACCTTTGTGCACACTACAATTGGCTTCCTTGAGCTTGGCAACCCCAGAGCAGCAGCCTCATTGGACTTCTGTTTGTACAGGACTTGTCAAGCAGGTTATGCTGCTTTTCTGCCACCTTTCTTTCCAGACACCTCTAAAATGTAAAGTTATCAGGAAATAAGAGAGGGATAAGGTTTTCTCACCACAATCCCAGAGGCCTACAAAGGCTGCCTAGACCGTGGGCTTTGCTGAAGGCCTGCTGCTGGTCTCTTAAATGGTGAGGCATGTTTTTTAAGGATTGTAGAGGAAGAGTTGTCAAATATAAGGTCAGAGTCAAATGCACTGTGTTTCTATCATTACTGCTGGCCTCTTTACAGAGGGAGTAAAATGCACCCCTCGACGCTGGCAGCAAGTCCTCTGGTTGCATCAATAATTTTCGCTTGCACAGAAAAATCCCCCAGTAACGCATAGATGGTCATGAACTCCCCTTTCTATTTTGCAGACCTAGAAAGCGTGGTAGAGAGAAATTAAATGCCTTTGTGAATCAGCAAAAAACACATAGGGATAAAACCCAGGACAGCTGGTCTACCTGCTTTAACCCATGCATTCAGCACACCATGGGGAAAATAGTTATTTTTTCACTACAAAAGAGGTGACCTTCTACTTCAGACATGTAAGATAAAAAAATTTTTTAAAGATACGGTTGTTTTGTTGAGAGAACAATCAATAAAATAGTAATGCCCAGTACAGTTTTATCCAGAGGTCAAGGTAGTATCTAACCAAGGTCAAGACTGTATTGAGTCAAGAGTTCAAAGGCCACTATCTTCCCCATAGTATGAGTCAGTCAAACTGAGATTGCTTCAAGGTTAAGGAAGGAATCATCAAATTGCCAACAGTCATACCAAACAGGACAGGGAAATTGGCTATTCCTGTCACATCTCCTTTCCATTAATTATTAAGTAGTTGACTTAGGGAGCAACCCTCTCAGATTCGGGGAGAGTCCATTTATGAGACATGAACTCAAATCTACCACACAGCAGCCCAGTCCCCCCCACCTGATCCCACATGGCTGCCTGGCAGTTCTAAGGGGCTTCCAAAAAATTCTCCAGTTAAAGGCACAAAACCTTTGAACAGGCCTTCAATTCTAGTGCTCCCACCCAGATGAGACTACTCAGGAGTTGAGATAAAATCCTGAAAACATGGGCAAAGTTCAACTGACAGCTGCCCCTTCTAGGCCACGAACTGGCACACCTGGCCAGTTGGCAACGGTTCCTTCCTTCAGCAGATCTTACCTGCCTGAGCAGGAAACGGTGATAAGGCTAAAGCTAGTTCATGTTGACTGTCACGCTTTCTCACACTTGAGCAGAGCCCAATTTAGAAATAGCCTTAAACTGTTGCTTCAGTTCAGTATGTCACAGAGCCATCAAAAATAATAGAGAATGTATGTCAAAGTGTTTTGTAAGCTGTAAAGCCCAACCTACCGTAGTACATATTATCATTTTGATATTAAATAATGCTAAAGAAGAATATTAAATTGTAAATAAACATTGATAACTATGGAACCATGTAGGTATACGGCTAAAGACTTGAAGTCAGATACGGGTAACTGGTAACTATGCAAAAAGGCTCAATTAGAAAAAAATCTTTTCAGGTGGTTTAAACATTTAATGAACAATAAAGTGTAAATGGTTTCCTTTAATTATAGATGTCTATGATCCAATTCAATAGTGAAGCTAATGTCATAAATCTTAACCTGAAGGGGATTTCTAGGTAGATTTCCTCAAGTCCAGCCCTGCGTCCTCTATGACTGCAAAGTAAATGGACCTTTTTTTTTTAAGGCATAGACAAGCAGTCCTCAACCTTTTTGGCACCAGGGACTGGTTTGGTGGAAGAACATTTTTCCACGGACTGGGGGCAGAGGGATGCTTTCAGGATGATTCAAGCACATGACATTTATCATTAGATTCTCATAAGAAGCACACAACCTAGATCCCTCACATGTGTCATTCACAACAGGGTTCGTGCTCTTACGAGAATCTAATGCTGCCACTGATCTGACAGGAGGCGGAGCTCAGGTGGTAATGCTCACTTGCCCGCCACTCACCTCCTGCTGTGCGGCCCAGTTCCTAAAAGGCCACGGACAGTACTAGTCTGCGGTCTGGGGGTTGGGGACCCCTGGTATAAACTGTTCTTACAGGAGGTATAAAAGTGCTTGTCACTGCATAATCCACCTGTAATTTACTCCTCTGTGCCGAATAAACAGCCAGCTTGAAGAAGGAGTAGACAGGTGACAGAAGCCTTTACATAAGGCCCATGAACTGAAGCACAGGCCTCAAGTGTTATAAGAAGGGGAGGCCGGGGAGCGGTGGCTCATGCCTATAATCCCAGCACTTTGGAAGACCGAGGCGGGCAGATCACTTGAGGTCAGGAGTTCGAGAACCGCCTGGCCAACATGGTGAAACCCCGTCTCTACTAAAATTTTAAAAATTAGCCAGGCGTGGTGGCGCGTGTCTGTAATCCCAGCTACTCGGGAGGCTGAGGCAGGAGAACTGCTTGAGCCCGGGAGGTAGAGGGTGGAGTGAGCTGAGATCGCACCACTGCACTCCAGCCTGGGCAACAAAGAGAGACTCCGTCTCAAAGTAAAAAATAAAAATAAAAAAAAATTTAAAAAAGGAAGAGGAGCTACTTTCTCCGCGGGGTCTCCTGTCATGGAGCCACCAGAGGGGCTCACACCTGCGGGCCACCAGGCCCTTAGGCCTCTTCCCTGCCTGTGATGCAACCTATACAGACGTGTGCTGTAACGCTGGCTGCACTTTTCATGACCATGTACGTCACAGATCCATTCCCCCCACGCTTTTAATCAAGCCTCTTAACTAGAAAACCAGCTCCAAGGAGGCTAAAGGGTCTGTTTTCTTAGGTCTTACTTCTTCTTCTCTGAGTCTTTCTTTAGGATGATTATGGCTCTCCAGTGACTTCACAGGTGACACCAAAGAGGGAGATGAGGAACAAAGCAATGCACAATGATCAAAGGGAACAGATACCACAAATAGAACAGAAAGCTCCCAGGCACGCTGCCACCACGAGGGAGAGGGCCCTAAAGGATGGTTTTTACACCACAGCGCCTACACAACAAAAGCTGGGTCTGTGAGGTGTGCGGTTGGCTTGCGCCCGCCTGCGGGATGCCGGGCATGTCTGCGTTATATAAGGTTTCTCCTGTACTGTGCTCTCTTCTGGGAGTCAGACAAACTCCCCATTCAACAGCTCTCAATCCAGGGTGGTTGTTTATAGATATGCAAGGGCAGGCGACCTCCTCAGAGCTAAAAGGCAAGTCCTCTGCATGCTGGTGTTCCAGCCGTAGTTCACCTACCCCCACAATACAGACAATGTCTCTTCCCTGACACAAAAGCCACTGTGCGTGCCCTTTCTCTGAATTGCTGCAGACTCAGATTCAAATCCTGGCAATGATATTTCCCAGCTGTGTGATTTGCACAAGTAACTTGGTCCCAAAGCTCGGTTTCCTCACCTGTAAACTGGAGATAAAAACACCTATCTTGAAAGGCTGTGCAGATGAAGTGAAGTGTATGTGTGTGTCGATGGCTTACACTGCAGTGTGACAGTGGCTGGAAAACAGGAGTCATTTCTCTGCCTCTCTCTAGCCTAAGTACTCATATGCTTAATCCTGAAATAATCTGTACTTTTCTTTTAAGACAGGGTCTGGCTCTGTCACCCAGGCTGGAGTGCAGTGGTGTGATCACGGCTCACTGCAGCCTTGAACTCCTGGGCTCAAGCAATCCTCCCACCTCAGCCTCCCAAGTAGCTGGGACTCTAGGCATGCCCCACAGCTGGCTAATTGTTTTTTCTAGGGATGAAGTTTCACTATGTTGTCCAGGCTGGTCTTGAACTCCTGGGGGCAAGCGATCCTCCTGCCTTGCCCTCCCGAAGTGCTGGGATTACAGGTGTGAGCTACGGTGCTCAGCCCTGTACTTTTAAATTATTTGTGTATTTATAGTGTCTCCCCACCTAGATTATGAAGGAATCATGCCATTTTCATTTTTACGACCTACTGTATGAGCTAAGTGCATAGTGGGTACACAAAATTACCTGTGGCCTAGGCTACTGCAAGAGTGGATCATTTCCCCACATCCAAGGATATCTGGTACTGTTTCCTGAGGAAATGACTGTGGGTTCTGAACACAGCTGGTCTCCCCTCTTTTCCTTCAGCTCCTCACACTCCTTCTTCCAAACATACCCCTTGCCATTTCAAATGCCCTTAAGAATTCTCATGAGCCAAGTTATCCATTCATTTGGTCATTTCTTGAGTACATTTCTAGAGTACATAAACATTTCTTTAGTATGTACTATAGGCCAAATATAAGAGGCACTGTGGATACACAGCTGGATGTAGAAATAGCTAATATACAATTCTTGCCTACCCTTGAAGCAACTGGAGGGAGTCAGATGGGAAGTTAACTGTCTTAGTCATGTTGTACTGCTAGGAAGGAATATCTGAGGCTGGGGAATTCATAAAGAAAAGAGGTTCATTTGGCTTACAGTTCTACAGGCGCTACAGGAAGCATGGCCCTAGCATCTGCTTCTGGTGAGGACCTCAGGCTGCTTCCACTCGTGGCGGAAAGTGAGGCGAGCCGGCGTGTGCAGAGATCACGTGGCAAGAGAGGAAGCAAGAGAGAGGCAGGGGGAGGTACCAGGCTCTTTTTAGCAATCTGCTTCTGTGAGAACTAACAGAGCGAGAACTCACTCACCCCACCACAGGGAGGGCAGCAATCTACTCAAGAGGGATCCACTTCCATGACCCACACACCTTGCATTAGGCCCCACCTCCAACACTGGAGATCAGGTCTCAACATGAGGTTTGGGGAGAGAAACATCCAAACTACAGCAGCAACATCTGAAGTAATACAGATGAGTGTACATGTAAATCCTATGGGAAAAGAAAAAGCCATAATTCAGCCTCAGAATAGGATTCTGAAATTTTTAAAATATATATTGCCTTTGAGATAGACCTTCAATGCACTTAACTTTGTTGAAACAGCAGGTTAAAAAGGGAACTCCAACCTGGTCTGTTACAAAATAGGTCAAAATTTATTAAAGCAAATAACATCCCAAGGAAAAGCTCGGGGCTGCCAAGTCCTCGTCAGTGTCTTTTCTCTCATTTTGAGCCATGCACGCTGCACAAAAGAATTTTCTTACAACTAAAATTTGGAATTCTGACCAATCCATTCACACACATATTCACAGCATGACATATAAGTACTCAGCACTAGCCTAGAAGTTGAGTGGAAAAAAAAAAAAAACAGCTAAAAAGAAAGATAAGTCTTAAGAGCTCCCTGCAGATTCCTGGCAGGGAACATGTTCTGGAGAACAGATGTGCCGCGACCCAAGGTGAAGCTGATGGGGAAGTGGGCAGGGAAGTGGGGTGGCCGTAAGTTCACGATAAAAGAAACAGTCATAAAACTATACACTTCCCAAATGCAAATTTGGAGAACCTCAGGGCAGGAGGATAAGACCTATGTGTCTGGAGCAACCACTCCAAGACACTGGAGCAGCCACAACCGAAACTCTGTTGCGATTTATTCAGTGTCTGCCTACGATTTCATGTTAATACAGGACACCCAGTCCAAATAGATTTGGGAAACCTGCAAGGGTCTCGTGCAAGGACCTCACAGCCAGACAAGCCTCTTATCTAGAGACATATCTACTACAAATATCTTAAGGAACTGTTTCAACAATTTTCCCAAGTTAACACTTTATTCCTAGTTCTCTAAGGCTTATTATTTTTCAGCCCCTCACTCCCCTCAACTCTTTATTCTTGTCACCAACTCAACCCTCTTCTGATACACAGAGCACAAATAAAGGCTTCCTGAAGACTAGGCCTTACTTGTCTTTGTATCCTACCCTCCATCTCTGCTAGTATCTAGCAGAGTAACCGGCATATAGTAGACTTTCAATGTTCATTTAATACTCAGCCATAGGGCAAGCAAAGAGAAACAATGAGGAAATAGACCCTTGAAAATCACACCGCATACAGATTCTCCCCTAAGTATAAAGTCTCCTGGTACTGATGGGCACAGGCCCACTCCACGTGATCGGCTCAAAATACTAAGGATCCACGAACAGGCCTTGCAGCTTTCTCCCAAACCATACTCCTTTCTCTGGGAGCTGCCTGCCAAGAAGGCTGCGCATGGAAACCTTAAACCTTGCTGTAAGCCCTGGCCACATCAATGGTGCAAAAGTAGCCCCTATCAGGACCTGTCAAGGGGAAACCTGAGCTGCAAGAGTAACTGGAGACTCAGGCAGCTGACCTGCTTACGATCCCTTAGTTGAGAGTTTAAACCAACTGTAACTGGGCAGTACTTGACAACCAGCTTCCCTAATGAGACCAAGAGTTAGGAGAGCTGACACACAGCACCCTCAGGTCAGGGGTGGGGGAGGGAGTATGCCACCACTGCACGGGTCAGAGAACATAGGGTGACTTTAAAGGCCCTGTTCTTCCTCTGGGCACCCCCGAGAGTGTAGGTCCGGCCCTCCCAGACCAGGACTCCTATGCTCTTCCTGGGGACTCTCAATGACACCTGGCCTTGTCCCAAGGAATACTCGTTTTAAAGATTTTTGATGGGTGGTCCAGGTAGAAGCTAGTGAAATAAAAGCTTTCTCAATGGTTGGTGATGCCACCTTGTCTTGACATGTGGGCCCCTGCAGTTGGGGAAAAGAAAGAGCAGAGGCCAAATTTACCAATGTGTTGGTCAAGGAGAGGCCAGGATAGGACAAAGGAAGAGAAGGGAACCCTGATAGATAAACCCTGTTTGATTTTTAAGGATAACGAGATTCAAGTAATTAATGTTCACCAAACTCCTACTATGTGCCGGGTACCACGCTGGAATAAAAGGCAAAGAACAGGTGAACAGTCCTGAAAAAACTCACAAAGGTCATACTTTATAACTAAGGTACATTTTCTTTTTCATTTAGAATGGATTAATTTTGTCACAATATGGCTTTTGAAGAGCAAGAAAGAATGGAAGGGAAAAAGGAATAACTGAAAGTGGAAGAAAGAAGGCAAGCAGGACATGGGAAAGGAGGGAGAGTGCGTTGTGGGTATTAAATGTGATAATCCTTGCAAAGTACTGAGTCAATCTCTGGCCTATAGTAAGTGCTCAAAAAATATCAGTCACTATATTCATTGTTACAGAGAGCCTATAACCGTGTCATACTAACCTACAATGCACACTTGCCATAGAGCAGGGAATGTTCTAAGGGCTTATCACATATTAATTCATTTAATACTCACAATCCTATGAGATATTAGGATTCCCATTTTACAAATGAGAAAACGAGGGTACAAAGAGATTCTGTAAACTATCAACTACCCAGTCACACAACTACCAAGTGAGAGATCTGAGATTCAAGCCCAGGTAGTCTGACTTCGGAGCTCAGCTTCTCATTGGTTTCACCTGTGGTTATTAAAGTGCGGTCCCTGGAACCGGGAACTTCTCAGATTTGCAAATTCTTTGTCCCACCCCAGTCCTACCAAATCAGAAACTCTGAGAGAACGGCCCAGCAACTGTTTCTAAAAGCCCCTGAGGTGATTCTGAGGAACACCAGAATTTGAGCACCTCTGCATTAATTACATTACAGTGCTTCTCCACGTAGTGGCTAAGTTAAGGCAGATAAGAAAACATCACTTCCTCCCCGGATCTGGCCTCACCTGGCAATGGGCAAAGGTCAAAATATTTGGGTTGTCCATTTCTCTCAGTTTAGGGCCTGGCCTACAACTGGGGTTTGGGAGAGTAACTTCAATTCTCTTCATTTTAGGAGAAATCAGTTTGGCTTTTCTGACTTTACTCTTTGACGTAGAAAGCCTAGGAGAGAACAACAGGCCTTGAATATTCTTAGAATAGTTTAACTCCTTCATAACGTCTGAACATCAGTTAGCAGATTTAATAGGCTGCAGTGCCCCAAAATGTCCACCATTAGATTAAAAATGAAACTTAAAAGAAAGCTTTGCTTCCAGTGTGTTAATTTAGCTTCCAACAATGCCTAGCAGGTGAATGTATCTCTACATTTTACTGGAGTTAACTCAATTATTCAAAGCGATTACAGTTTGTGGATTATCTGAGCCTCCTTCTTCTCCTCCCTGGAGCTGCTCACCTTTTGGCCATTTCACTGTTCATTAGCACCTCTACTGAAGATACCCAGGGGAGAATAAAAGGTGAGGAAACTCAAACCAGTCGACTTTTCTCCTTGTTAGCAGTTCTGATAAAGACTTGGTGGGAGAAGAATTATTATTGGCTAAAACAAGACACTGGGATTATCTATGGCTTCAATTTTCCATGCTCTCCCAGCCCCTAATTATCAGATACAGTCAAGTCAGCCTAACTTTATAGTGACAGCCCAGTCTACAAGTGAGCAGGGGCATAATATTCAAATTCTAGAATTTCCACAGAGGTAACCTATGATACCTTCTTCCTTAAATTACAGCTCTCAAAAATGCCAGGGTGATGGACAACTTTGATCACAGGTGAAAAGGCTCAAAAAGAGATCCCACAGCATTTTAACAGCTGACTTTTCCCACCATTCAAACTTTCTATGACCTAACAGAATATGTACATCTTAATATTTTACTCTCGTAAGAAAAATAAGGAAACTAATGTTCATTAGGCATCTATTATATGCCAGGGTGCCAGACCCTCTGCTGGATGTCTTATAAATATTACCTTGCTTAATTCTAGAACAATTTAGGAAATATTTTTTCTTTTCCAACTTTTACTTTAGACATAGGGTTTACGTGTGCAGGTTTGTTACATGGGTATCTTGCATCCAGGTAGTGAGCACAGTACCCAAGAGGTAGTTTCTGACTCATTAACCCCCTCCCGCTCCTCCCTCTAGTAGTCCACAGTGTTTATTGTTCCCATGTTTATGTTCATGAGTGCTCGATGTATAGCTCCTACTTATAAGTGAGAACATGCAGCATTTGGTTTTCTGTTCCTGCATTCATTCACTTAGAATTATGGTTTCCAGCTCTTCCAACATGGTTACCCATGTTGCTATAAAGGACATGATTTCATTCCTTTTTATGGCTGCAAAGTATTCCATGGTGTATATGTACCACATTAAAACAAAATCAAATCCACTGTTGATGTGCACCTAGGTTGATTCCATGTCTTTGATACTGTGAATAGCGTGGCAGTAAACATACAAGTGTATATGTCTTTTTGGTATAATGATCTAGTTTCCTTTGGATATACACCCAGTAATGAGATTTATGGGCTGAATGGTAGCTCTGTTTTAAGTTGAGAAATCTCCAAACTGCTTTCTACAATGACTGAACTAAGTTACATTTCCCCCACCGGTGTATAAGCATTCCCTTTTCTCCATAGCCTCACCAGCATCTGTTATTTTTTGACTTTTGATAATAGCATTCTGACTGGTGTGAGACAGTATCTCGTCGTGGCTTTGATTTGCATTTCTCTGATGATTAGTGATAATAAGCATTTTTTCTTGTTTGTTGGCTGCTTGTATGTCTTCTTTTAAGAGGTGTCTGTTCATGCCCTTTGCCCATTTTTTAATGGAGTTATTGTTTTTTTGCCTCTTGATTTAAGTTCCTTATAGATTCTGGATATTAGACCTTTGTTGGATGCACAGTTTGCAAATATTTTCTCCCATTCGGTAGGTTGCTGTTTACTCTGTTGATTCTTTTGCCGTGCAGAAGCTCTTTAGTTTAATTAGTTCCCACTTGTCAATTTTTTGTTTTTGTTGCAATTGCTTTTGGGGACTTAGCCAAAAATCCTTTGCCAAGGCTAGTGTCAAGAGGGGTTTTTCCTGTGTTTTCTTCTAGGATTTTTACAGTTTGAGGTCTTAGATTTCGATTTAATCCATCTTGAGTTAATTTTTGTATATGGTGAAAGGTAAGGGTTCAGTTTCATTCTTCTGCATATGGCTAGCCAGCTATCCCAGCACCATTTATGAATAAGGAGTCCTTTACCCCATTGCTTGTTTTTGTTGGCCTTGAGCAAGAAATTTTTATCCTGATTTTACAGACAGGGAAACTGAGGCTCAGGGAATTTAAATCTGAGTTCATAAGTGTCAGAACTAAGAGCTGAACACAGAGTTGCCTTTGCCTCTCCCTAAAAACTGTGCTGTTTAACCATACAACTCAGTCTCAATGGTTTCTTACTTATATCCAGAAGTGTCTTTGACAACACTCTCAAGGCTTATTAGGGAGATGACTGTGCTGATGGCTCTTCGTGACTCTTAAAGATTAATGCTGTGCCTGAACATGCTAACACCATCCTCAGAAGCCCCTTTTCCTATCTTCAGATATCAACTCTTTCCCCTTCTATAATCACTGATACCAATAACCCACAGCTTCTCGTCCTTTGCCAAATCTGTATGAACTGCCACCAGTCCTGTTTATAGCTTCTGATTCGTGGGAGACCAGGCATTTCCTGCATGGTGGGAGCCTGAGGCCACGGTGGGAGAGGGGGCGGTAAAAGATGCCTTTCCTTCCCGGATGACTCAGAGCCAATGACTGTGCCGGAGCCCAGACAGCAGAAGCCTGTGCCCTTGGCGTCACCACAGGACCGCTTCCTATCTCAGTGAGGGAAGTGGCTGAAAGAGCCAGTGTGAGGGAAGAGGAAGGAAGGAGGCAGAGGGTCTGTTACCAGTCCTCATCCCTGCCTTCCATTCCCGCTTCTCTCTTGTCCCTTGCCCCAGACCCACCCCCGTGCTGGATTTTAATGCACAGACTTGCCTTTCTCAGATTCAAGCCTGACTCTGCCCTAGCACCCCCAAAAGACGCCACAGCCCATCAAGTTCCTCCCTGTGAGAGACATCGAGGCCTCTTGGTGTTGGCCAGAGATAAATGCATCTTTATTCAGAGCCCTGTAAAATTACAAACTGGTTTGCTTTATTACTTGTCAGCTGGTCCTTCCTTGCCATCCCTGGTGAGTGAAAGACAGGCTAGCATGACTGCATCTCAGTGCAGGAAAATGCTACAAGAGCTTGTCCTTCAGGGAAGAAAATCTCCTGATGTCTATACAGAGCACTTACTGTCTCTATCACATGACAGACCTAAAAGATCAGGATCTTTCGTGGGTCTATGTTTGTCGGTATTTTTAATATGCATGAGATTGCCCAAAGGGACTGTGAGATAACTTGGGGCAAGGACCACATTTCCTTCACCAAAGAGTATCAACATGATGCTAGATTTCCAGGCAGTGCCTCCTGACTTGAGATGCAGGCCTCCTGCGTGGAGCAAATGGATTCCAGACTCCAGTATACGGCTCCCCGTGGTGCAGGCTTCAGTTTCCCTCTCCCCAGCGGCCTCACTAACAGGGTGGCAGCTTAGCCAGTCCCTGGGCAGCTTCAACAGCTTTGATTAAATCTGGTCTGCTTCCAGTCCTGGAGATGCCAGAGAAATCACACTGATTACCCTAACAGACTGGATGAAACACTAAACACATACATTCTGCACAGCCTCAACAACTTCAGGAGAGAGAGAACCCAGACTCTGGGCAATGCCTGTCTGAATGACTCTTTCTGAATCACAGATCAGGGATCTGCCATCAGCCCTCACAGTGATTGTTCTGCAAGTCTGGCAGCCCTAAACTGATTCCTGCTTATTCTAAAATACAGTATTGAGCACTGGGCTGGCTTCGTGAGTGTGCGACCTGTGACCTGTGCAGTCATACAGAGGTCCTGTGCTTGTCTGAGAATTTTTTTGAGACACAGTCTCACTCTGTTGCCCAGGCTGCCTCCCAGGCTTAAAAGCAAGCCTCCCACCTCAGCCTCCCAAGTAGCTGGGACTACAGGCACACACCACCATGCCCAACTAATTTTTTTTTTTTTTTTTTTTTAGTAGCGATGGGGTTTCGTCATGTTGCCCAGGCTGGTCTCAAACTCCTGAGCTCAAGCGATCCGCCTGCCTCGTCCTCCCAAAGTGCTAGGATTTCAGGAGTGTGCCACCACACCTAGCCAACCTGGGTTTGTTTTAATGCTCTGCTGTGGCTATCTTGAAATTCTTCCTAATTTTTGAACAAGGAGCCCTACATCTACATTCTGCACCAAGTCCCAGTAGTTACCTAGCCAGTCCTGCCGAACACTAACTCCATTCAGTCACTTCAAGACATCTTGTAAGTCTGGGAAGCTGTGCCAAAAGAAATGGGGTGTGGTCAGGCAAGGGGTGAGGCTTTGGGCTGAGGTGTGGGGGCTGCTCAGCACAGGGGAGCCCAGGGTTCCTGGAACGGGGCAAGACACCAGCATGGACCAAGGAAACAGGAAGGGCCTCTCAATGCACACAAAAAATATTGCCCACTTTGGACCACTAGTTTTTGGAAGTTTCGGAAACTTCCCAAATCTATTTCAAGTTTTTTATTATGGGCCTTATTTCTATCTCTCTGATTTATATAAAACCTGACTTTCCCCCCATGTTTCGAAGAAGGTTGTTTTAAAAGGTGGCATTCTGTTTGTTCTTTTCAGCTCAAAAGAAATTTGCATGAGGTAAGGGGCTGTTGAGATTGAGAACTCCACTTCCAGGCTGTTAATTCTGTTCAAAGTCCAGGCCCACTCAGCTAGAGAACGGGTTGTTGCAGCGAGTAGTTGGAGGTCAGATACCACTGATCAGGCTGAGTGGGAGGGAATATCAGGGGACACTCACAGTGTAGAGTGTCTCTGGGTACAAAGTTCTCGATGATCATCAACAACAATAAACTATAGGAAAAATGTCCCACGGTGTATTTTGTAAGAAATTGCCTTGGGAAAGCATTCTCATGCGTTTTCAAAATGAGTCAGATGACAAAGACATTGCTTCTTTGAATGCTTCAGTAACTGTCTTGTGATCACTTGCAGGCGCATGAGGTCGAGCCTTTTATTAATGTTCTCAGACATGACAGCTAGAGATGGACGGATGTTCCTTATGCACACACATGTATACATGCCCCATAGCGTTACTGTATTACACTATAGGGAAAAGCAGTTGCCAAAAAGATATTTATTTAGGATAAATGAATATTCCATAGCACCCCTGCTTGTTACTACACTCTGTCTGAATCCCTGTGCACAGCCTGTCCTCCAGAACCATGAAATCAGCAGGAAGCAGATATGTTTTATGGGCTATGTGTCACTTAGCGCCGCCTGCGCATCCTAATAGGTGATGAAATAAGGGAGCTGCAGCAATTGCTATTGAAGCTGAAAATGTGGCCCCCTTGGCTCCAGGTTTGTCTGCTCTCAGGAAGGCATAGCTGGTTGCCTGCTCTTTGCAAAAGGAAGAAAATGGAACTGAGCAGACACTGCTGTATTTGGAGTGGCAGAGCAACATTAACATATACGATGCAGGAAGGAATACAACGTGGGCAAAATAAAGCTTTCCCTGAGGCTCAGGGGAAGCATCTATCTGTGTGCACTGAAGGCCTAAAGCACCTCAGCATCGCCTGCCTGCTGAAATACGGGCTTGGATGAGAGCTTGCTGCCTACCATGCTGTGCTTTGACCCTTGGAATCAAAATCTACCTAATGATTTTAGATCTAAGAGATAAGGAGTCTTTGCCTGCTTAGAAGACTGGGAGAAGTGGCTGAGCAGTTTACAGACTGTGTACAACTGTTTGAAGGCCACAGAGGTGCTCTTGGAACTGGGCAGCATGAACATGGAGTTGAACCACTCAGATCTGGGATACAATAAGCTCAACCTACTACAGCAGCTCAGATGACTATTTCACTTACCATGTGAAAGAAAAATCACATAATTTTAGAGCTGGAAAGGAAAAGAGTGATGCTCTTGTTTGAGTCCCTTATTTCAGAGATAGAGAAATGCAGATGTCTAAGGCAGTCCAGCTGCAGCTCTGAATAATGAGTCTTCCAAAGCATCCTTGGAGCATTGCTAGAAGAGAGGGCAGAAGAAAGGAACTAATCCTGCTCTGCCCACATCCACCAACTTCAGCCAAAAGTGAACCACCTTCCACCAAATACTAACACAAATGCCAGTGCAGAAACAGAAGCAGGATGATGGACCCCAGCGGTTCAGGTCAACTCGCTTGGGTGGCATAAATCACTCCCAATTCACCAGATCACAGCCCTGATCTTCACATATTCGGTTCCGAATGATCTTTTTTTTTTTTTTTTTTTTTTTTTTTTTTGAGAAGGAGTCTTGCTCTGTCGCCCAGGCTGGAGTGCAGTGGCATGATCTCCGCTCACTGCAAGCTCAGCCTCCCAGATTCACGCTATTCTCCTGCCTCAGCCTCCCGAGTAGCTGGGACTACAGGCGCCCACCACCATGCCCGGCTAATTTTCATGTTAGCCAGGATGGTCTTGATCTCCCGACCTCGTGATCCACCCGCCTCGGCCTCCCAAAGTGTTGGGATTACAGGCGTCAGCCACCGCGCCCGGCCCCAAATGGTCTTAAACACAAGGGTAATAAGCAAGATGTTGCTTTCTTCAACTTTTCAGTATCAGATCCAGAGTGTTCCGCAAATTCCTTTTTACCCAGATTGCAGGCTTAACACCATCAGGTCAAAGACGCTGTTCTTCTCTTGGCTCTTCTATTTATGTGAAAAAAGAATTGCTAAATACTTGTTGATTATTATAAGAAACCTACAGAAACCTGATGCAAATTCTCTGATTTGAGTCAGTTTTCCTTTATCCTCTCAATTTAGCTATTTTAAGGAACTCAAAGCCCTTACTTCCAAAGGTCACATTGTGAAATTGTGACCAAAATAACAGAGAGAAATCGGCTGTCATAAATCCTCAATTTATGATTATCAAAGAAAACAAAACTGCATCCAAAAACAAGGAAAACAATGTGTGACCTCTATAAGTTCGACTCTTCCTCAGCAGCATCAGGGAGTACTGATTAGGAAAGCAGCAGGGCAGAGGAGTAGATGGCACAGCGTAGCTGGGACACACCTGGGTTTGGATCCCAGCTGTACCACTTACTAGCTGCAAAACCTTGGGTGAGTTACCTCCTTGAGTTTTGGGTTTTCTCATCCCTAAAATAAACATAGCATCCCTGTTTCATACAATGGTTGTGAGGATTGAAGGTGATAATGAGTATTTAAACCACCTGGCACTCACTATGTATCTAGTAATGGTGACCTCAAGTTGCATTCCTGGTTCTGATAATCATTTCATACCTTGGCCTCCTTCTCTTCATCTTCAAAATAAAGCAGTCAAAATAAATAATCACTAGGGTCCATCTCCACTCAAGGCTCTAAGAAAAGACGAATGCTCAACTCTCCACTAATCCAGTCTATCTAAAGGCCAGTGAAAAGAGAAATAGCCTATATTTCCGTAATATCGTGGTTTTCAGTGTATATGCTCATAGAACTATCGAATTTGATGTCACCCCAAGAATTCCTGCTCATTTCGGTTAAACAAAAAAGACATGGTCTTCCCCATTTGAAAAATCTCAAAACGATCTCCACATTTTACATCCTATTGCCCCTGCCACGGCTCTGTCATGTAACGTGGGTATCATCTTTAATCATCTCCAAACTGGGTGTGATGGGCCCATGGTCTTCCTTCTCCAATCCACCTTCCACGACTGTCAGTCATCTCTTCAAAACACAGAACTGACCATACTCCAACCCTTTAACTGCCTTCTAACCGTCTTTGTGATTGCCAAAGCACACAAGCATGCCTCCCCACCTTGTGTTCCAGCCACTCACATACGCAACTCACATGCCCCTGCCCTCCTCACCAGGAGTCTACTCCCTCCCCTCAGTCTGAAACAGTCACTTACTGTAGACCTTCCACACCACCCTGTCTACATGTCTGTAAGTGTCTTCCATCACAGATCTTTTTTTTTTTTTTTTTTTTTTTCACCTCAAGGTATGATTACTTACCTAAAAGTCTGTCTCTATAGCTGGACTATAAGTTGTGCTTTTTCCGTCTTTGGTTCTCAGCCTCTTGAGGCTGCCTGTGTTAAGCCATGCATGTAGTAGGTAGTTCATAAAGTCATACTGAATTATTTACTTAATTGGTTTCAGCAGGCCCCTAATCAAATACATGCTAGAAGAGAAGAAGGCAGGCTGCGTAGTTAGGCAATTCATTATCACAATATCTTTGATTAGTCAGCTATCACTTTGGAAAGTGCAGAGAACTGGAGGCAAGCCCATGAGATGTTGGACATGAGGCTGGCTGAGTTTTGATTGGGAGCAAAGAGCAAGAGAGAGCCGTTATATCTGTGCCCAGAAAATGTGGGGAGGCCAAATCTGTTTTCTTTCTGTCTTCCCTTGCCTCTCTTTCTTTGTCCTCTTTCCATTATTACCTCCTCCTTCCTCTCATCTCCAACGTTAATTCATTTGATAAATATTTAGTGAGTGCTTATGATGTGCTAAGTACTGTTCTGACACTAAGGATACAGCAGCAAGCAAAATGACGCCCCTGCATTCTAGTGCAGTGCATCTCAAGCTTTAATGTCATATGCATCATCTGTGGGTCCTGCCAAAGAGAAGAATTGGACTCAGCTTTCAAATAAAGGTGATGCTGATGCCACCAGTCCACATCCTCTGGGAAGTAAGGTTCTAGACTAGAACACTGGTTCTCAAGCTTGGTTGCACATAGGAATCTCCTGGGAGTTTTACAAAATACTAATGCTGAGTCTCTTCCTTATAACATTACTGAATTTAATTGTTCTAGAACACAGGAGAGGATTTTTTTAAACTCCCAGGGTGATTCTAATGAACATCCAAGGTTAAGAACCACTGTCCTAGTGGGAGGATGTAGACAGAAATAAATATATATTCCAGATAAAGACTATGAAGAAAAACAAAGCAAGGCAAGTGCAACAGAACGTGAGAGCAGATATTATATCATTTTATTTATTTTCTATAAGGTGCTCAGGGAAAGCCCCCCTGAGTGGAAGACATTTGAACAGACACCTCAAAGAAGTTTAGGAAAAAGACATGCAGTCATCTGAGCTCCATGTAGAGGAAACAGCACACGCAAAGGCCCTGAGGGAGAAGTGCGCTTGATATGTTTGAGAAATAACAAGAGACTAGTAACAAAAGAGGAAAGCAAAAGAACATTTGCTATGAGACTTCATGGAAACAATGGTTTACAATCATAGTAAAACAAGTAATCTAATCTTAACGGAAAGTCTAGACACACAAAGGCTGAAGGAGAGTTCAATTTGAGTAATGATTTAAATCTAAAAAGGTGATTACCAAACATTTGAAAGCAAAGGCAATGCACACGTATGTGTTAGGGCAGAAGAACTGTATCAGATAAATATCATTATCCTCATTTTAGAGGATAAATATAATTATCCTCATACAGAAACTGATCAGAGGCTCACTGAGGCATGTTCACTTGCCCATGATCACATAAGAGCTAGACCACCTCTATCCTGACTGGCATCAGGATCTGTTCTCTTTCCAGTTTAAATTCATCACCCACCTGGTCATTCTCCCTTCTTCTCACTTCACGTGTGGCTCCCATCTCAGGTAGCAGGTGGGAGGTGAAGGGCAGGTGTCAGAGGTAGGAGGAAAAGGGTAACAGTGAGGAGAGAGAAGGAAAGTAAACGAGGCAGAAACAGAAAAGGCTCAAGCATGAAGAACAGTGGCCTCCTCCGTGCACGCCTGCAGCTCCTGACCATTCACACCTGATGCTCACAAACTCCTGCGAGGGGGATGGTTGATTTCAGGTGTCAACTTGACTAGGACGTGGCACCGATATTTGCCTGAACACCGTGAAGATACCGTTTAGATGAGATGGACATTTAAGTCAGTAGACTCTGAGTGAAGCAGATTGCCCTCCATAATATGGGTGGGCCTCAACCAATCAGTTGAAGGCCTTAAGAGAAAAAAACTTGGGTCTCCCAAGGAAGAGGAAGTTCAGCCTCCTGACTGCAACATCAACTCTTCCCAGGGTCTCCAGCCTGCCATCCCTACATACACACCTATCTATCTATTGACATCAACAGCGATGTGGATCTCCTATTGGTTCTGTTTCTCTGGAGAACCCTGATTAACACAGATGAGCACGACCTGTAATACCATCCCCATCTACGACGAGATGATGGGTCTCTGAGAGGTTTTCCAAAGTCACACGTCTAAGAAGGGACTGGACTGAGACTGGCACCTAGGTCCTTTCTTCCACACAGGACCTCTGTTAGAACTGTCATTTCATCTTAAGTCTCAGACCAGATTAAAATACTAAAAATCTGACCACACATGAAATGTTTGTAATTGCAATTTTATCCCTTAAAACGGATTAGATGGATGAAATAGGGACTACAGCAAAGGCAAATGAAAGGAATGTACTTCACTTTGTCTACACTGGATGAGATGACTGTCTTTTTGATCTCTGAGATTGCTAAAAAGTAAGATGGGGGGGTGAAGGGAGCATGTTTACGAGGGTTCAAACGTCCACCTGAGGATTAAACAGAACGCTTTGTTTTCACGAGGCTTCCTTGTTAGGCTAGAAAATAATGATGGGAAACTAACACAATCGCAGATGCCAGGCTAGAATTTTAGGACTAAAAAACACAGAAAAAAGGCTGGAGTTTGCTGGAGCCTTGACAAAACAGGAGACAGAAAGTGGAAAAAAATAGAGAAAAGTGATTCAGTGATGCAATTCCACCCACGGGGGGAAGGTTGGGAAATACCATACAATTCTTCCTCCAAAATGTTGATCAAAATACTTTCTGGTTCAGAAATAATGATGTTGAAGAAAGCAAGGAAATGACGTACAAATCATGACTTCAGACGAATATTCCTCTATACCTTATTCATTTTACAGTCATTAAGAGTATGTCCCTAACAGGACCCAGGGGCCATTGCTCCCTTGTTTAACTGACATCTGAAAATGCTTTAAGGATAAATGTTTGGAAAACAGAAGCGCAGCATAGATCTCCCGCAGAAAACAATGGCACACAATGTTCTCTTTTCTTCAAAAAAGGAATTTCAGGATTAGAAACAGTATCTCTATATACTGGTATCTATGTGAGAGTGCAGGAGAGAAGGAACCACGATGTATGAAGAAAAAGGAAGGAAAATGTTCCAAAAAGAAAGTTTCCACACTTAAATGGGATCACTTCTGTTCCCTCCACAAATGAAATATAGAAAACTAACCTCACAGGCAAAGAAACTCCTAGAACTCTTGCTGTGTGATGGTCTTCTCGATGTACTGCCATTACTAAACAACTGAGTGAGACTCCATCTCAACAGGCAGGGAAAGAGTTAAAGACACTGAAGAAACAAAAATAACGGGTTGAGTTTGTGCTGAAAACCTGGAGAAATATGGCTGGGAAAAGAAAACGAGAAAGGAGAGGCAAAACTTAATGCCAGACTCAATTCTCTGGGGACACCCAGAGCTCCCAAAGAATAGGCAAAGACCTTCCATGCTATTTGCCCAACTCAATCGATTAGTGGTGGTCAAACTAAAGAGTGCTGTGATTATTTAACATTTGCTGTGGTCCTGTGAGGGAGAGGAAGTGCCAAATATTTACCAAGTCTAGCTGAGGCCTCTGACCCTCCAAGCTAAGGCTTCCTCACCTGATGCCTGGTCTCCACTTAGTCTCAATGGGCTATCCTGCAGCCTCCAGGATCTGCTTAAACACAAAGTAGGGGGCAGCTTTCTTGACATGACCAGAGAGCAGACTCATGACCCTACACTAACCATCATGTCCTAGAGGTACCCTACAGGATTTCTTCTTAGGGCTCAGGAACTGTGGCCACCAGAAGGCTTCTGTCAAAGAACCAGAGCTTTCTAGGAAAAGCAATACTTTCCTATCAACGACCCTCATTAGCCTGCATCAGCTCCAAAAATGCCCTAGCTATCAACTAGCAGAGCGCAGGGCCCCAAGGCAATAGGCGCACTATAATACTAGCATTGTGATACTAACAGTAGTGTATATTTGTAGAGCAATTTCCAGTTCATAATGTGTTTCAGAAGCGTCAGAAGCAAGCGCTCTAAAGTCGGACTACCAGGACTCAAATCCCATTTCTATGACTTTCTTGCCATTTTCTCACTGCAAAATGAACAAGATGATAGTAGTTACCACCTGGGATTGTTGTGAAAATACCATGGAATAAACAGGCAAAGCACTTAAATCAGTATCTAGTACATGGTGACACATAATAAATACAGACTGACATCTGAGGAGACAGGAGGTCAGAGAAACTAAATGCCTTTCCTTGTAACAGGCAGAACCAGGGCTCCACAGAGAAGGTACGGGAAACCATAGACATGAGTGTGCATGTATGCTGGGGAGGGAATAACGGTCTCTGAATGACCAGAGAAAGCCACGGAGCTTTGGGAGGGGACAGAATACTAAAAGGGAGAAAAGAGTTCTCCAAAAAAAGCTGGCCTTGCTTTTACAGAAAATCAAGGTTTCTCTTCCATGGTGTAGGCCAGAATCATCCAAATGCCTTTCTGATATGCGCCTAATATACTGCTGACCTCCCGATGTGAGAATACTCTGCAAATTAATTCTGCAGTGCTACCTACGTGGCATACAGAGAGGTGTGATATGCTGTATTAGTCAGGGTTCTCCAGAGAAAGTGAACCAATAGGGTGGTGTGTGTATATATAAATGCATACACACACACAGATATTTATTTTAAGGAACTGGCTTATGTGCTTATAGAGGCAGACAAGCCCAAAATCTGCAAGATGTGCCAGCAGGCTGGAGACCCAGAGAAGAGCCGGTGGTGCAGTGTAAGTCTGAAGGCCATCTGCTGTGGCATTCCCTCTTCGGTTCTATTCAGGCCTTCAACTGATTGGGTGAGGCCTACCCGCATTACGGAGGGCCATGTGCTTTACTCAAAGTCCACCAATTTAAATATTAGTCTCATCCATAAATACCTTCACAGAAACATCCAGAAGAATATCTGATCATACATATGAGCACTGTGGCCCATCTAAGTTGACACATAAAATTAAGCATCACTTGTGCCCTAGGTGTTCTGCATTCAGAGATCCTATATCACAATTACTAGATTTCCAAAGAAAACATGAGATCTAGCCAGGTGCAGTGGTACAGGCCTATATTCTCAGCTATTGGGAGGTTAAGGTGGGAGGATCATTTGAGCTCAGGAGTTCCAGACCAGCCTGCACAACATAGCGAGACCTCATCTCGAAAAGAAAGAAAAGAAGAAGAGAGGAGAGGAGAGGAGAGGAGGAGAGAAGAAAAGATCAAACGCTTTCAAAAAAGAAAAAAAGGAACGGAATAAAATCTGTAAAATTTAAGACAGTGGCTAACTGGGATAAGAGGGCAGGGGTAGAATGAGGAAGAAGGTAGAGGTATATAGGTAGGGTATCAATATCAGTCATTTTGGTTCTTATGTTGGGTGGTGAGTTCATAGGTGTTCACTGTATCATCATGCTTTGTAACTCACATAGCTTCTTGGTTATATATCAAATATTACATATAGAATACAATGGGGGGTGGGGAACGAATCAAGCTTTCAGGCCACACGTGTGCATCACCTCAATGCAGCCTCCCCTGACCACTCCTGAACAGACATTTCTCTTTCTCTGATCAACTGTCTCTCCATTCATGAGCTGATATTGCTAGGTAACTTTTCATGTGCTTAGACCTTGCCTTTTCGAATGGATTTTAAGTCCCTCAAAATTCTGGGACAGTTTCTTACACATCTTTCTACTCTCCCACAGGGTCTGAGTGAGTGTCTGAGTAACTCAATAAATTCTCATTGATGGCTGAAAAGCAAGATGAGTCGGGGTAGGAATAACAAAAATAAACCAGCAGAAAAGCAGGGTTGGTTGAGTGGCACTGGGTGTCAGCTTTCTGGAAGTCACTAACAGCTCCAAAAGTTGACTTGAGAGGTCAGAAGCGAGGCAGGGTACATATACGATTCCTGAATGTGCCTAGAATGAAACAATGTCCATCCCCCATGATACTGGCCTACAAGTGGTACCTGTGATAACACAGCAAGGCTTGTAGAAGGGAATGTACACAAGACAGGGGGGAGTCTGGGCCGTCTGTGATGTCCAGACTGCAAGAAACCAGTGGAAAAGTCCCTCCCAGGGAGGTGGCACCTCAGCTCCAAGTTTCCTTAAGAAAACGCAGTTACAGCACCATTATACTTCTTGCTAAGTCCCCAAATTTCCAGTCTTTCAGCAGCTTCCCACCCAGTCTGTTCAATACCTTAGAAGACAACAGCACTCCCTTGCAGAGCACAAGTGAGGACTGCTTTATCTGTTCTCAAATTCCAAGTCTACATTCTTGTTCTTTTTTTTTTTTTTTTCACTGAGACTCCCCAACCCTAAACTTGAGATGCTCCCATCTGTCCCATGAACCCCAGCTCTGTCTGGCTTATTCCAATTTAGGTTAAAGAGATCAAGGCTGGATGTGGTAGTGAGAACTCTCTCCTGTTGGAAACAAAGGTTACCCTGAAGGAAATGTACAGCTTTCGACGTATGCTCACCACAGAGGGAAGCATAACAGAACATTCAAAATTATAACAGAATAACTTAAAATCAGGCTGAGAAAATCACAAATACAACTGCTAAGGGAAGAAAAGATAGACTTCAAACGGCTTATAAATTGATCCTGCTAAAAGGTCACTTTACTGCCATAAGATAGGAGGAGACAAAGTTGAGATTAAAATTATCATAACCATGTTCTAGTTCAGTTTCTCAGTTAACAGGTAAATATGGCCCTGTGAGGTGACATGCCAGGTCACTGGACGGAGAAGAACCAGAGCCAGGGATCACCACTCCATGGCCAATGCCTGTGTGCCATGACGTTCTCCAGGACCGATCCCCTTGGCCACTTGCCACATACGACTCGGGGCCTGTGTACCTGGCACTGAATCAAAGAAAGGTCCCGATTAGAATCCATAAATCTACATGCAGGAGGTTAGAGGGGAGAAATTGAGAAGAAAATCATTCTTTCCATACACTAAAAGGAAAATCATCAGTGGCTAAAGCAATCTGAGAACACCCATGCTTCCGACATTTCTCACATTTAGAAAAAAACGCCCCATGATGACAGAATTCTCAACACCAGCCTGCTATTTGGAACTAAAGGAACAAGTGGGAGCATGAAAGGGATCGATGGAAACGCAGTGCACAACTAGGATTTTCAAACAATCTACATCCAGCTCAGGTAGAGAAGCGCTGCGATTCCCACAGGTGTGCTCCCATTCTAAGCCAGGAGACCACCTCTAGCAGGTGAGCCTGCCTGCCACAGCAAGCCTGCTCATGGGAAATGAGCCCGCTGCTCAGGATTCTTTATTATTTTTAAGACTTCCCATTTGAGAAGCAGGGAATGTGATTTTTTTTCCTCTCCAACACGTTTTTTTCACGTCTAGCCTCCTTTACACAGCTGCTCTTCTTCAAGACTCTGCAATTGAGCGCTCTTGTTTACTTTCTTCTGAGTTCCCTGAGGTTTGATTGTTGAGGCCTGTGCAAGTCAGTGATTAGCATTCTGACTTCAATTCCTTCTTCAGAGTCAGCCAAAGGAGTCCAAGAAGTTGGCCACAACCACCCCCTGGGAACAATAGACCCTTTCTACAAAATACAGGTTTGTCTTCCTTTTCAAATACACAGGAGTTGGTCCCCTGGCAGAGAGGTCTACCTGACAGTACAAACTGTTCGCTGTGAAGTAGAGGGCTTTCCAAACAAGCAGCATCAACCTGCAGGTCATATGTGCACCAGAGTAAAGATTTCACCTCGATTCCATTTACAGAACTCAAAAGGTAAATTGTACGCCCCATCTGAAAGAAAACAGATATGGCTAGGAATGCAATCGTCCTAGAAATACCTGGCTTGTAACAGTCGGGCCCTGCAAGGGCAGCTGGGGTGTATGATGCAAGCCAGTGCTCTCCCACCCTCTCCACTTGCCTCTTATCTGTCCTGCTCACAAAACAGTGCAGGTGGCCCTACTATCTCCTAGCACCTAAAACTGAAGTCATTAGAAAACTCAGTAACCTGCCAGGTAAGGAGGGCTGCCCCTCATGGAAGCTCGGAGCACACTGATTCACTATTTAACCTATGAAAAACAGACAGCAGCCTCTAAAAGCTGAAATTCACATCATGCTCTCTACTCTTTTTTATTTTTATGCAGGACTGTTTTACAAGAAACAATCTTGCAATGTGATAGTGCTGGGCTCTTCCAGCGAAGAGAAATGGAGTCTAGTCCCTGCTCTGCCCTTTACTAAACTGGGCAACTTAACCTCTGTGCATCTATTTCTCCATGTGTACAAGGACAGTAAGACTGCCATCCTGCTTTTCTCACACGGTTATTATCAGGATAAAATGAGATAGCAAAAGCAAATATTTTTAAAGCTGCACTGCAAATGAAAGGCGTTGTTATTTTCATTCCTTTAACCAACTGGGAAGCCAGGCCTGAGGACATCAAGAACTCAGATGCAAGGCTGATGCACCTCAACAGAAGGAACGTTCGCTTCCTATCATCCCCATCCTAAAGAAGTCCTGGCAGGGGACCTCTGAGCCACTAAGACCAAGGCCCTCCAAAGATTTGAAAACCATCAAAGTTCAGGGGGTGACCCCCCCAAAATGGAGCTCCTGCCGCTACAATAAGTCTCTCAAAAGGATTCTGGAAAAATCTAGATTCAAGGCTCCTGCTTTCATTTCTCTGTGCCTCCATGGATATTAAAAGCACTTAAACACAGGCAGCTGAACTGACTCCTGGCCTGCTTTCTCATGGTGGAGAGAGTACAGTGGTGGCCAGAGGGTTTGAGTGGGCAGACAGGGGCTTAGGGTTGTCTCAATTGCCTTCTCATCTTTCCCTTGGAATATTCTTTTCATTATGAGGGCACCCTGTGGTTCAAGTCAAATGCCCGAAAAATAATGTGCTGTTTTTATTATGTTTTCTTCTAGTATTTTGTTTTACCCTTTTGTTAATATGTTAATGTATTAAGTCAAGTGTCTAAGGTCTGGGATATTATATCCTTAAGTCAGACTACAGCAGGCTAGACCAGACTAAATCAAGTTATTATTATTTTTTGGCTACTCAGGCCGAGAAGAGTCGAACAGTCCAAAGCAGTTTGCTGCAAAATTGCTCCATTATCCCAATGCAGATAATCTAATCGAAAGCCGCTCGAAAATCATCTGAAGGCCAGGGCAGAGAATATAAATAAAGGAGTCAGATGCCTGAAACACACACACCCCTCCAGAGATTATTTATAAACCAGGAAACCTTGATTTTTTGAGAGCCTTTGGCTATTGTAGAAAAAATTAACAAACCTGACTCAGTGGCAAATCATCCTGAATTGTTTCCCGGAGCTAGCATGTTTGAGCACCGGCCCACTTCATCTCCTGTTTTTTAGATGACGTTATGTGTCTCCTGTTCTTAGCACACTATTACGTAATGCAACAACAGCAACAGAACCAAAAGGCCTTGTTAACTTTAGTCTTTGCGTTGTACATTAAGTCTCTAGACACGCTCATCCTGTGCACTTGCCATTTTGTGTCCTTTGACCCACATCTCCCCATTTCCACCGGCATTAACCACTGTTTCATTCTCTGTCTCTGTATTTGAGCTTTTAAAATAAATATTTCAGATAAAAGTGAGATCATACAATATGTTTCTTTCTGTATCTGGCTTATGTCACTTATCATAATGTCCTCTAGGTCTATCCATGTTGTGGCAAATGGCAAGATCTCCTTTTTTAAGGCTTAATAAAACTATATTCTATTAGGAATTTTTGTTAAATATGTAGATTTTAGTTGTTCTTGTCCCACACACACACACACACACACAAACCCCTGTGAGAATGGTTGCCTACCTCACTATAGCAACCCATTCTATTAGCTATATGTATCCCATAATATCATGTTGTAAATCTCAAATATAAACAATAAAATTTATTTTTTAAAAGAAAGGGCTTGGAGGCTGGGCATGGTGGCTCACACCTGTAATCCCAGCAAGGGAGAGGCCAAGGTGGGCGGAACACTTGAGGTTAGGAGTTTGAGACTAGCCTGGCCAACATGGTGAAATCCCATCTCTACTAAAAATACAAAAATTAGCCGGTTGTGGTGGCGTGCACCTGTAATCCCAGCTGCTCGGGAGGCTGGGACAGGAGAATCGCTTAAACCTGGGAGGCAGAGGTTGCAGTGAGCTGAGATCACGCCACTGTATTCCAGCCTGGGCAACAGAGTGAGACTCTGTCAAAAAAAGAAAAAAAGGCCTTGTAAACTCACTCCTCTTCCCCTTCTTCCGCTATCCCCTCCACTTCCTTCTTCTCCTTCTCTCTGGTATTTGCAGCACTCTTCTCCCCATGATCCACCTTCACTACTCACTGATTCATTCAGCCAGCATGTCTTGAGTACCTACCATGTGTCAACACTGGGCTTGATGGCAGAAACACAGTAAAGAACTAAAAAGACACAGTCCGTTTTCACGGTGCTTACCTTGGAACGGTGAGACAGACGAAATAATGAGTAAACAGACAAAATACATGCAAGTTGTAATAATTTCAACTAAAGACACAAGTCTAAAATAAAAACTAGAAGGATGACCTGAAAATTCATCGTCTCCACTAGATAACTTGTCTTTCCTCCTTTCTTCCTTTTTCTTCTATTTTCAAAATATTAGAAATATACATTTATTTTAGGTGTTGACTCTTACACTCCAAGGGTGGTCAATTACTGATCTCTTTATAAAGTTGGTCAGTCAATTACTTATCTCTTTCTAAAGTTGCCCTCAAATCTTAAAATTGAAAGGAATTACATAATTAAGATTATTTGGTTCAAACTCCCATCCAGGAAGCTCCCCGACTCAGTCCCCTCCATCCCCAAGAAGGAAACTCCACATCTGCTAATGGGTAGTTAGTTATAAGGGACTCTGGTGGGCTCTATTGATCATTCAGAATAGCCCCCACGACTTAACATGCATTTGCTTTCACTTAGTGCTCTTGGGAAATAAAAAATAACTGAGTAGTTAACTGCACAATGGAAACATGGCCGCTAGGTGAAAGCCCCATAAGGGCAGAGTATGTGTTATAAACTTCTTGGTATCATTTCATTGGCTTGCTCGTAAATATCCTTCTGTTTTTTTTTTTAATATTGAAGATGATAAAGTCTGTCCATTTTAATCCCCAAATTTCTCTAACCTTTCCTTTGAAAACCCATGTTCCAAATCTTAAATTATTTTTATCACACTTCTCTTCATCTTCTATATTTATACACATTGTTGTAAAGGAGTGACTAAAACGAAAAAATAAGGACTGACTAATGCAAAGGTTAACAAAAGATGATTTTCTTTGAAACTCATTATTTTTAGTATATTTCAGCACCTTTGCCTCAATCTGCTTTCAGTTGAATAATGACTCCTGAGTATTTTCTTTCAGTACCTGTAGCAAGTAGTATTTTCACTTTCCATATTTGTATGTTTGGGACCCTCCTATAAATGTCACTTGTTTGTTTTCTTCCAGAGGAGGTCTCACTCTGTCACCCAGGCTGGGGTGCAGTGGCACGATCTTGACTCACTGCAGCCTCAACCTCTCCGGACTCAGGTCATCCTCCCACCTCAGCCTTTCAGGTAGCCGGGACTACAGGCATGTGCCACCACGCCCAGCTAATTTTTGTATTTTTTGTATCAACAGGGTTTTGCCATGTTGCCCAGGCTGGTCTTAAACTCCTGGGCTCAAGCGATCTACCCGGCTCAGCCTCCAAAATTGTTGGGATTACAGGCATGACAAATGTAACCTTTTAAGGATCCTGAGTAAATTCATTTTTTCTTCTAATTTTCCAAAGTAATCGCTCACATTTTACAGTTCAGAATAGAAACTGCATATGAACAACGACTATGTCTTCCTGGTAAGCCCTTCATGAAGAGCCAAGGTTCTATGGACCACTAGGTAGGTTCTGATGACTCAAAGTATGTTTATACCCTTGCATGAAATTTTTGTTTGACTTCTTTTGTTACCAAGAGATTACAGGCAGTGGGGAAGGGCCATGGGGGTGGGGATGGGGGGGATACTTCTCCTGTAGCTTGGCTAACCTGTTTTAATTACAGTTAGACTCCAGCTATTGTATATTACATGCAATCACTTAGCCCATGAAGACTATGAAAAACTATCCTTCCAAGTGCCCAGTTGGGTAGAAAGCCTGAAGGTAGGAACCTGTCCAGCTATCTTGTACAAATCAATTCATTCTTGCCACTATGGGTATAATAAGATCGGAGAAATGTTCTAAAAACAGACCTCTAAACTGGAATTGAAATTATAAAAACTTCAGAAGACAAAAAGCAATAGGTGGGAGCAGTCCAACAAACTCTGCTGTCAACAGGCCCGATGCACCTGACCATGAGCAAATTCTTCTCTCTCACTGCCTTGCTTCAGGCCCTCACCATCTCTGGCCTAAAATGCTGCAACCACGCTCCCTTCCCATTTGCCCCACACAGTGGTCTCTCCCATTCCAATCCATTCACACCCCCCTGTCAACCCACAGATCGAACGGGGTCAGTCTAACTGCATGAGGCCTCCAAGTTACCTGTACCCCAATCCTTAGCATGGCATTCATATACGCCCTAATGTCATTCCCCACACTCTCTCCACTTTCTATAAACATCAGGCTGTCCTTGCGATTCTTCCAACAAACCTCGTGTTTCCACTTGCCTTAGCTCAGGCCATTCGTGGAACACCATCCTTTTCTTCTCTGCCTTGAACAGCTTCAAGGTCTGTTTGAAATATGACCTCTCCTTTGAACTCTTCTTACCTCTCCCTCACGGTCCTGAGCAGATCACGCAGGGCCCTCTGTTCCTCCTTTGGCACCTAGCACATGGTACCACAGTTAGCTGAGTACCCGGTTTTCTCTTCTACAAGACCGTGTACTCCCTGGTCACAGGCAGAGCCCCTGATACACAGTAGCTGCTCAGTTGCTAAGCGAACATTAATAGCCTCAGTTTTGCTACTCAGCTGCCTCAAAGAATACCACTCAGGAAGACAGGATGTGCCTTTGGAAGTTTCGCTTTGGGAAATGCCCAAGCACAGAGCTGGAAGAAAAATCTACCTCTGGCTACAGAGACTAAAAACACTTAAACTCTTGAGTCTTAAGACAATGGCTGCCAAAAAGGAATGAAATTCTGACACATGCTACAACATGGATAAACCTTTTAACATCATGCTAAGTGAAATAAGCCAGTCACAAAAGGTCAAATGAGATTCCACTTACGGAGAGACCTGGAGTAGTCATAATTCACAAACAGGAAGAAGACCCCTGATTACCAGGGGCTGGGGGAGGGGAGAAGGGCATGCCAGCGTTTGCTGGGGACAGAGTTTCAGCTGGGGACGATGTAAAAGTTCTGGAGAGCGCTGATGGTTGCACAACAATGTGAATGTACCTAATGCTACTGAATTGTATACTTAAAATGGTTAAAAGGGCAAATTTTATATTATGTATATATTACCACGATTTTTAAAGTGCAAAAGAAAAAAGAAATGGCAAAAAAAAGTAAAAAAAAAAAACATAGGGACATAAAGGACAGTGATACAGTGGCTTTGAATTTGTTTACCAACTCTCAGATTACTGGAATGAGAGGATCCTCCTCAAGGCCTTACAATGGAAGTTTTAGAACTAAAGCCTGGAAGCCCTGTCTTCCACAGTAGGAAACAAACAGATGAAATACAGTGGACCCTCGAACAGCATGTTTGAGCTGCGTGTGTCCACTTATATGTGAATTTTTTTCAGTAAATTTACACTGAGTGGCCTGCCTTTCCTCCCGCCTCCTCCGCATCTTCCACCTCTGCCACCCTGAGACAGCAAGACCAAGCCCTCTTCAGCCTACTCAACATGAAGATGATGAAGATGAAGACCTTTATGATGCTCCACTTCCACTTAATGAACGGTAAATATATTTTCTCCTATGATTTTCTTAATAGCATTTTCTTTTCTTTAGCTTACTGTACTATAAGAATATAGTATATAATACATATAACAAACAAAATATGTGTTAATTAACCATTTACGTTATCGGTAAAGCTTCTAGTCAGCAGTAGGCTATTAGTAGTTATGTTTTTGGGGACTCAGAAGTTATATACATAACTCAGAAACAGAAAGTAAGATATTGCATGTTCTCACTTATAAGCAGGAGCTAAAGAATGGGTATACAGGAACATACAGAGGGAAATAACATATATTGGAGACTCCAAAGATAGGAGGCAGGTTAAGGTTGAAAACCTACCTATTGGGTACAATGTTCACTACTAGGGTGAAGGCTATATTAAAAGCCCAGACTTCACCACTACACAATATATCCATGTAACAAAACTGCACTTGTACCCCCAAATTTATTTTTTAAAAAGTTATACACAGATATTTTTCCTGCGTGAGGGGTCAGCAACCTAACCCCCATGTAGCTCAAGAGTCAACTGTATATTCAAATACCTTTCACTCGATTCAGTCAATACACAGTGTGTACCTCCAATGTTCCAGGCCTCATGCAAGGCACTGAAAGGGGATCAAAGTTGATTAAAAATGGCCCAGGGCATCCTAGGGAGAATGACACAGATACACAAATAACTACAGCACTGGGCTGACTTGGACTAAGGTTTATAAAAAGAAATACAAACGCAGTAGGAGAAACAACAACAGTAAGTTCAAGACATTTTTCCAACAGGAGCTCAGGGAAGGCAAATTCATAACAGTTTAATGAAGGAAGTCCAATGCATGACCTTGGCCCATTTGCACCTTTGCATCCTCCCTAGTGAATGAGGAGGGGGAACGCAGTATACTCGAAGGTCCTCCAGCTGGGAGGACCTTCCTACATTTTACATAACACAGAGGGTGGCCACAACATTTTGGGATGTGGGGCTGGGTCTGACCCAGAAGAGCATTTTCCTATCCTCTTTACCTCCATCCTACAGCTGCTCCATTCTATCACCCATGAAAAAGCTCAATAATCAACAAACCTTCTCCGCACTTTATTTCTCCTCTGTATTTATATATATTTTCAAGTATCCTGCAGGATAGCTCTTTGGGTTTCCACAAATATAGAAGAAACACACACACCCCTGCATTTTTTTACTCTAAAATTTCAGTTTCTAATTAAATCTTGTACATCCCTCATCAAGATCCATCTACATATAGTTTTATAGGCTGGAAAAATAGACCTATGCTGCCTTTTCCAGATGATTCGTGTTTTATGGAATAATAAAATGGGTAATGCTTAATTAAAATGAACATTTTTAAATGAATTAAAATGAGCAAGCTGTATTCTACCAATTTTGAAGAGTTTGCATGTTTTAGCTCTTGGATGTGTATTCAGCAAAACTGTTATCAATACATGCAAACCCCACTAAATTCTGGTTTCCTTCCATTTATCCTAGATGTCTTCAGAAAAATGAGAAAGCCTGGCTCAAGCAGAAAAGAAAGAATGTTGTCCTTTCATTTTATTAAAGCACTTTGAAAGGGGCAACCTATTACAATTATCCCTTTGCAATATTGCAGGAACTTAAGTATTTAACAAAAGATAGGAAGAATCCTGAACATGGCAGCATCGTGCTCTAATGGAGAGATCTTCAGAGTGCGATGATAGTGGGTTCTGGAATCTGCCTGTGTTCAAATCTGGGCTGTGCACTTTCTGTCTGTGAACTTTAGGCAGGTTACATAACCTCTCTAATCCCCAACTTCCCTACCTGTTAAATAGTTTAGTAGTAGTAATACCTAACTCAGAGGGTTGTGCTAAGAACTAAACAAGAATGTACTGACATGAAGCTCTTAGCACAGTGCCTGGCACAATTAATAAATTGTTATTCATCAATTTATATTGTTCAATGCAACCACCAGCTCAATCTCAGGCATTTCATTCAGCCTTTTTGGATCTATCTTGGTTCTCCCTACTTCTATCTTACAAAGGTATTAGGGGAAAAATTGAGGTCACACCTATAAAGAAATATGAGCTACAGGAAAACATTAAACTCCCTTGCTAGTTGTTGAAGGAGCAGGCTGCCATGTTGTGGGTGTCTAGGTTGGGAGGCCCACATAGTATGGAACAGAGGGAAGCCTCCAACCAACAGCTAGTAAGAAACTAAAATCCTCTGTCCTACAACCACAAGGTACTAAATTCTGCTAACAAAGTGGGTTCTTCCTCAGTCAAGCCTCAGATCAGAACACAGCCCTGGCTAACACATTAATTACAGCCTTCTGAGACCCTTTGCAGATGACCCAGGTAAACTGTGTCCAGATTCTTGACCCAAAGAAACTGAGATAAGAAATGAATGTTGTTTTAAACCACTAAATTTGTGGCAGTTTGTTATGCAGCAATAGAAAACTAATACTAATGCAGATGTTAGGAATGCAAGCAGACCCACATGGTACAAAATACACACGTATTTCTATGATTTAATACCATGCTGTAGTGATTCAGCCTTCCTGGAACCTGTGGCAGGGAAGGACAGGAAACTAAGGACAGATACTTAGAAGAGTCAGTGGTAAAAACATATTCTCCATAGTAATGGGGTATGGAAAAAGAGTAATAGTTTTCTATGGTATTTCATCAAACAAGGAACAACCAGAGGTTTTTTTAAATTTTTTTTGTTTTCAATTTATTTTCAAATTAGGCAAGTCAGCCTTTTCTGGATGCCAAATAGAACAAGAGATTTCGTCAAGTCCAAATCCTCTTGCCAAATTGCATTACCTTATGGGCATGATTGGAAATCTCTCGGGGCTTAGTTATGGGAAGGATTCACAAGTCAGATGCCCAGATTAGACAGCCCACATGCAACTTAGTTCACATTAAATACACTCATCCAAACCAGGAGATAGGAAACTTTTGTGAAGATGTGGATTCTGCCTTCATTTTTTAATTAATTACTCCTCTCACAAATGGATATGCTACACTACTCAGACACTTTTCCATTGCTCTTACAGTAACATCCCCTGCCCTTTTATCAGTATCCCCACTTAAACTTACACCCCTAAATTCTTAATCAGTCTGAGGCCTTCTTAAGCATTTTTCACAGAATTAGGAAACTTAAAAAGTAAGACAGGTCCTTGGAGATAATCTTGGTCATATTCTCTAATTTTACCAGAGAAATTGCAAGGCCCACAGAAGTCAAATGAGTGACTCAAGCTTAAAAGCAGAATCCTTTTACAACCTTTAAGCCGTTTCTTGAGAACGGAGATGAGGAGTATGTTTCTCCCTTAACCTTCCCTTTCAACTTTTCCTGCACCTGTCTGTTCAGATGCCTGCAGCCTCTGCTAAGTACCTCCTCTGACTGGGAAGCATTTCTGTGAAGTTACAACCACGAATGGAGGAGTTCTCGGGTGGCTCCTGTGTAGCTTACAGGCTATGGTGACATTCAGGACCCATCAAGTTTCTGCCATTGCTGTCAGTCCCCAAGAAATTTCAGCCAAGTCATGGCAACAAAATAAATGATCGACTCCACTGCCTAAGTGATGAGTTAAGGCACAGTGTAGTCACAATCTATGTAATCCATGTAGATTCACTGATTGCAGCTTAGGGAAAAAGACAGGAAGGAAATCTATTCATTTAAATTTAACAATTATTTACAGAAGTATTACCTACAATTTTTCTATAACTTATCTATCTGTTCAACAAACACTGAATATCAATCATGTGTCAGCCAAATTGCTACTAGAAATAAAAAGATGATGTAAGAAATAGTCTCTGCCCTCAAGGAGTTTGCATTCTAGTGAGGAAATACAATATTTAGTAATTATAATAAGGAACTTATTTATTTTTATTATTATTTTTTTGAGACAGAGTCTTATACTCTGTTGCCCAGGCTAAAGTGCAGTGGCATGATCTCAGCTCACTGCAACCTCCATCTCCCGGGTTCAGGCAATTCTTCTGCCTCAGCCTCCTGAATAGCTGGGTTTACAGGCCCCTGCTACCATACCCAGCTAATTTTTGTATCTTTAGTTGAGATGGGGTTTCACCACTTGCCCAGGCTGGTATCGAACTCCTGACTCAAGTGATCCTCTTGCCTCGGCTTCTCAAATGCTGGGATTACAGGTGTGAGCCACTGCGCCTGGCTGGGAACCTATTTATTGAGCATTTACTATGGGCCAGGTGGGTTATTGGTACTTTAGATGGATTAACTCCCTTAGTTTTTATTGCAACTCCATGAAGTAGGCACTATTTTAATCCCTATTTTACTCACAAGAAAACTGAAGTACAGAATGGTTAAGTAACTTGCCCGAAGTTCATGTATTCATTGTTTTAACAATGATCTGCCTACCACTCTAGGCACAGCTCTATGTGCTGGGAATAAAGCAGTGACAAACAGATGAAAATCACTGTTCCCATGGAGTGTACGTACTAGTGGAAGGAGAACAAACATTAAGAAACAAGTAAAAATCAATATCAGAGACTGACAAGTGCTATACAGAAAAAAGAAATAAAAACTCTTGAAACTTTGAGTTACTCATCACTGAGGTTTCTCCTGTGTGATGTGTGCTGCACGTGTTAATAAACTCTCTATTTTTCTCCTGTTAATTTATCGTTTTGCTAATCTTATTTAGAGGAAAAAGTTTCTTTTTTTTTTCCCTACACCTATCATCTCCCCTCCCCAGGCCTTAGGGGTCCTCATCTCTAAAATGAAGGAATTAGACCACAGGAACTGCAAGAGGCTTGGTAATTCTAATATTCCATGAGTCGATGATTAGGAAGAAGAAAGATGTCACTGGTGATATGGAAAAAGCCAACTGAACATGCTAAGCGCTGCTGACCGCATGAGACTCCAAAGCTCCCTGAGCCCACCGCCTGGTCAGAGGACGAGGGGAGCAGCTGAGGTTCCTCACAATCCTCCAGGATGCACACCCCTAGGTCTCCAGCACTGGAGAAAGAGTGGAGAAGGAGGCGCCTGGAGAACACAAACACAAACACAAGGACAGCCATGAAGGCGAGAGCTGGAAACTCCTCAAAATCTGACTCTGCATGTTGCAGAACTAACAGATGAAACCCGGTTGAGAAAAAGACAGCCTTGCCAGGTGTTGAGTCACATTAAAGAAACTAGTCCTTCTCCCTCCAGCCTGTGCCATTAGGATTTGCTCCATTTCACTTCCCTGAAGTGCAAAACTGGAAGGGATTGTAATACAACTCACTTCAGCTGGAGGACCCAGGATCCAGTAAAAGCAGACAGAAGCTAGGGCAAACTCCAGTGCCTGGCAGGAGAATTCCAGTGTCTGATGAAAGAATTCCCTTCCTAACAGCAATGGTCCTTGCTGCTGTCACTCCCTTCTTTTCCTCAGTGTTCTTGGCTCCAACTTTCTCCATGCCATTCTATCCCTGTCCCTATCCCTGACTTTCTTATTTAACTCTCAAATCCTAATTACGTGAGGTGGAGAAATCTCTATTTCAATTCATTAGAATCTGTTCCTATCACAGTAATTTTCTAAGGGGTCATATGAATTTGGGCCAGATTTGGTATCATTAAAAGGAAGGATAACATACCTTCAGTTCACATCAGATGAGTCTCACATGCACGAAAATGCCAGAAATTAAATGTTTCGCATGGGCCTGTCTTCGGTATCCTTTGACAGGTCACAGCAAAATTCAGTATACAAAGGGTACAGAGATGACCTATACTAAGTGACATACACCATCTTTACATGACCGGTTCCAAATTTTGTTTTTTTAAATCACACGTCAATCTAAGGGAAGAAAAGCACAGTGCTAAACTGATACATAAGACATGTTGAACCAAATTCTCTCCTAGCTCCTTAAAGAGAGGAAAAATAGCATCTCCACGGGGAGGGAAAAGAACGTCTTATTCCAAGCACCAGCAGGAACATGTCTTCTAAAGAGAGAGATGGGACAAACACACACAAAAGTACATGTGGATAAATGATTACGACTTTGCAGAGTTGAATATCTGAAAGCAGAGAGAAGGCTGTAACAAACACAGAGACAATAACCAGGTGGAAAAAGAGTCTTCACTGGAAAAGTTTAATAGGGAGGAGATATTTTAAAGTACTGTTTTGAAAGCGAGAGCCATGTTTAGGCAGAGTGGTGCCCATTCTGTCTGTATATGATCATCTTCCCACCTAGTCTCTGCACTCAATGACATGAAAAATATATTGAGCATTACAGAAGACAGTACATTTGGTTTAAACATGGCCATTGGACTGACTTGTCTTAAGGGGTGAACTTTTTATAAAAGCAACAGATGGGTCCCCAATTCAGATAATTCCATAAGAAGCTATTATAAAACATGTCATGTGCATTACATCTTACATAGCCCTTATACTAAATTAGTGGCCCATTTTTCAACCGAGGACACTGAGCCTCAGGGGTTAAATAATATGCAGACTCACAGAGGTCAGAAGCAGCAGGGGTAGAGTTCAAACCAAGGTTTACCAAATGTTGGTCTGTGTTCTTACCACTGTGCTAGGTAGCTACAAGAATACAAATAAATTAGATCTCTAATAAGGTTGGCCTAAAATGATTTCCAAAAAGCCATCCAACATATAATACCCTGTTATGCCACGGCATGATACAGTGTTTCTCTACCACCATCCCTTTCAATAAACTTTTTATTTGGTACAACTCCATCCTATCTTCGCAAGCATGTGTGTTTGTGTATGCAGTGGCCATATAATCTCCCTAGTTTGAGGGAGAATTGGTCACAGAGGACCAGCTGTTTTCTCCAAGAAGTGAGACTCCTGCTACCCACTGGCCCTCTCTGGTACTCTTCCCTGAAATCATCACTCCCTCTGCTAGCCATAGAGTCTCTGAGAACAGATGGGCAGGGATGGATGTGGGTGCAGCAGCCATCCCTGCAGCTTCCCCCAGTGCTTCATCACTAGAAAGCAAATGGATGGAAGCAGCTGGGGACAGAGATAGTGCAGGGAAAGCACTGAAGGACACCAGAAGTGGGTAGCAGAATTGCCCCAGCACATACTGTTGCTACCCCTGTGATGGAGTTATCTTGGTCCAGACCCTGGACAGAAAAAAACTACTCCATGACCACAGGCCGTTCCTGAGTCCGAACTTGGGTGAACTCTACCATCCAAGCAAACAGCCTGACAAGGACCAGAGGTGATCGGGATCTTCTCCCTACTCTGGGCACAAGGTCAGGCCTGTCCTCTTAGCCAACTGGATATGCCACCAAGGGAAAGAGTGAGAGGATGACACTAAGTAGCACAGACCCAGATGACTATTGTGGGAGACAGGTTAGGAGTAAGTGAACATGACCTGTCTACAAACCCCAAAACTGAAGAGACTCACAGAAACACAAGTACTGCATGACTTCCCTCATCTGCCTCCAGGAACTGCATACGCTGCATGTTACAGTCAAAGCCAACCACTTGCCACGGCCTGCGTGGCAAATGTTCTCCCATGCCTTTAACTTCTCTGAAATCGTCCGCCCCATGTGCCTTCCCTAATTTATCTGACAGATGCAACACTGTCTCCCACCACCGTAAGTCTTCTCTCCCAAGGAGAGGTAGGCACTCTCTAAGACCTAAGTTCTAAGGTACATATAATAATGCATTCTATTTTATTTTTAAATTTATTATTATTACTATTCTTGAAACAGGGTCTCATCCTGTCGCCCAGGCTAGAGTGCAGTGGTGCAATCACAGCTCACTGCAGCCTCAACCTCCTGGGCTCAGGTGATTCTCCCACCTTAGCCTCCCGGGTAGCTAGGACCACAGGCATGTGCCACCATGCCTGGCTAATTTTTTGTAGAGATGGCTTCGTCATGTTGCCCAGGCTGGTCTTGAACTCCTGGGCTCAGGCAATCCATCCGCCTCAGCCTCCCAGTGCTGCGATTACAGGCGTGAACCACCACGCCTGGCCTCATAACGCATTCTAAATCTTAGTTTGCATACTGCCTCTCCCAGCTAGATAGCAAGTTCTCCAACTGCAAGAACCAGGCTTTATTAAGACAATGCCTGCCTAGTTCCTGGTAGATGATGCTAAATAAAATAATGCAAAGAATTGACCTGATTAGACACATAGAGGAACAAAAAAAGACTGATCTTATAAGGAACATGGCTTTACCTGCAAAGAATTTAACATAAGATGAAGTCAACAGGCATTAACTGTACTGAAGTCATGACTGCAGAAACAGTTGCTCCAAGCACTGTGGGGCTGGGAAGTTAGTGGGAGGAACAAAATTAAAATAAGATATGTAGTCCGTCTTCTGTTGCTTATAACCAAATCCCTAAAACTAGGTAATTTACAAAGAAATGAAATTTATTTCTTACAGTTATGGAGGCTAGGGAGTCCAAGGTCAAGGGGCCCCATCTGGAGAGGGCTTTCACGCTAGGAGGGACTCAGCAGAGTTCCAGGACAGTGCAGGGTAACACAAGGTAAGGGGCAGAGCATGCTAGCTCAGGTCTCTCTTCCTCTTCTTATAAAGCCACCAGTCCCATTCCCATAATAACCCATTAATCCATTAATCCATTAACCCATGAATGGGGTAATCTATTCATGAGGGCAGAACCCTCATGACCCAACCACCTCTTAAAGGCCCCATGTGTCAATACTGCCATACCGGGGATTAAGGCATTAAGTTTCAACATGAATTTTGGAGGAGACAAATACTCAAACCATAGAAGTGTCTTGTCTCCTATGAAGTCTACATGCTACTTCTTCACACCAAACTGAAATACAAAGTACTGAGGACTTACCTTTATTGTGCTTCCCACAAACATTCTCCCAGTGTGCAGTACTACTGCTGGTTTCAAAATAATGGAGTCACGAACACAAAGGACTCTCTTTTGCACGTGGACAACTGATTATACATACATGAATATATTTATGGCAAACCTGTTTGCAATTGCCAAGATCCTAGCACCAACTTCAACGCCCATCAATGAGAGAGTGAATGAATAAACTGTGTATAATCGGCTCATGATGGAACATCATACAGCAGACAAGGCAAATTAACTACCGTGATGCATAGCAATACACATGAATGCTGGCAGTCGAGACGTTAAGTAAAAAAGTAAGTCCCAAAAGATTATATATGGTCTGATATCCTTTTTATAAAGTTGAAAGGTGATAACAATTAAATACATATCTATATAGCTACATACTTTTTATGTGTGTATGTCTTATGTTTTTATGTGTTCCATTTTAGAACGATATGTAAGCGAAATAAAGTATGCAGAAAAGGAAACATAGATGTATACAGGGTTCAGATAATAGTTACCTTGGGTAGAGAAAAGAAGGGAGAGGAGGTGTGGGAAGGATGGCAATCTGCTCAGACGCAGGTTATGCTCCAGGTCCTAGATTTGTCTGGGGGGATGGGTTTATGGTCACTGCTACAGACAAGGTTTGTGTTACCCCAGAATTCGTATGTTGAAATCCTAACTCTCAATGTGATGGTATTTAGAGATGGGGCCTCTAGAAGGTGTTTTAAGTCATGAGGGTAGAGCCCTCATGGATGGGATTTAGGTTCGTATAAAAGAGGCCTTAGAGAGCTCCCCGCCCTTCTGCCATGTGAGGACACAGTGAGAAGTCAGCAGCCTGAAACCCAGGAGAGGGCCCTTACCAGAATTTGACCATTTGGGCACCCTGACCTCAGACTACCAGCCTCCAGACGGAAAGAATCAAATTCTGTTGTTTATAAGCCACTCAGTTTATGTGTTTTGTTATAGCAGCCTGAAGTGACTACATAGTTGGTTATTACACTATTTATTTTATATAATTTTATTTATTTATTTATTTATTTAGAGACAGAGTCTCACTCTGTCGCCCAGGCTGGAGTGCAGTGGCACAATCTTGGCTTCCTGCAACTTCTGCCTCCCAGGTTCAAGCGATTCTCCTGGCTCAGCCTCCCGAGTAGCTGGGACTACCGGCGCCCGCCACCACACCCGGCTAATTTTCATATTTTTAGTAGAGATGGGGTTTCACCATGTTGGCCAGGCTGGTCTTGAACTGCACCTCAAGTGGTCTGCCTGCCTCAGCCTCCCAAAGAGCTAGGATTACACGCATGAGCCACCGTGCCCAGCCCATTCTATCTTTTTTAGAGACAGAGTCTTGCTCCGTTGTCCTGGCTAGGGTGCGGTGGTACAATCATAGCTCACTGCAGACTCGAACTCCTGAGCTCAAGTGATTCTCCCACCTCAGTCTCCAGAGTAGCTCAGACTACAGGTGTGTGCCATCACAACCAGCATAAAAATATGAAGATAATGTGTTTTGAAGTAAAGATTATGACTAATCCCATTCTTTGCATATAAAGTCCAATATCAAAAGAGAAACAACAAAAAAATGAAACTACAAGAATATCATAACACAGTGCCGGAATCGATACAAAGCAGACAGGTGTCTTGTAAGGACGTGAGGAAGGGGGAGAAAGGACAGCTCACACTGCATCTACCACAAACTGATTTACACCTGCCATCCTCTATCTAAATTATCAAGCAGAAGGAGACAAGAAGGGTGCATCCCTACGCCCCTTCTCAGTCTGCGAGCCACCTCTTTCTTCCTGGCGTCTGCAGTGGGGACTTGAGCTCTGGACACCACCAGATGCACTTCAGTTACCTCAGCACCACAAAGCACTCATGGGCTGGCATTAATCTCATCTCTGAATATTCTGACCCTTTTCAAACTGCATCATAAATCCATGCTTGTGACACCGAACACCCTTGTGAATCTGTATTTGCGCACGAAAATCCATCAGTTCTATCTTCTGCTAGAAGTTATACTAAGCAGATGAAGCTCTCCCAGGAGGGTCTGGACCGTATGCCCTGGAGAGAGTGTGCGGCAGATGTCAGAGAAAAAGACAAAGGGGGGTGGGGGGGGGGGGGAGGGAAAAAGACTCCCAGTGGGAGACAAATGATTCTGAAGAATCTGCCCCAGGGGGAAATGTGGCCAACCAGAATGCGGAAATACATCCAATGTCCACAAAAGACATGGCAGAAAGCTCCCGCTTCCCCAAACATCCTCAAACCAAGCCCCTAACCTGAAATTTCAGTTGATGCCAGCTTATTTTTTCTTTTAAAAAAAGCTAGGGAGTTAAATGTTGGAACCAGAATAGCAAATTTGATCTGCTCACGGAAGCTTGCCTGTTAGCCTAACTGTGGACATTTTTGTGCCAGGATGACAATCAAGTTTTTTCTCCTGGAGAAGACTGGAGAAGAGTTAGCCATGGTTTAAAATGAAATGAAATAAAATGAAATAAAATAAAATAAAATAGCAAATGTACTGTGCTTTGTCTTTAAATATTCAAACGACGCCTAGAGAAGCAGTGGTCAGGTCTGAGCCCCACTCCTCCCCACCTCCATCTGGACCCTGACCCTACTATTCCTAATTTCAAACAGACTCCTTCCTCTACTTACTCTAGGTTTTGCAGAGATCCCCTAACAGCATAAAATTGTATTATGGTACTCCCTGTCCCCAGCCCCAGCACAGGGGTTCAATCTACTTCCATACTTTAAAATGCTCTTCCATACTCCCAGTAAACACTCCCGCCCCCCCGCCCCATTTTCCCTGCCAGGCTGAGTCCTGGGCCTCCTTTGCAGTAAATAATCTTGGTGAGATCTTGCCAAAACATTTCCTAATCACATATTTTCTTTGTCTAAAGAGAGTTATAGATGCAGTAAGTAGCCTGTGTTCCTAGTCCTTCCCACATTTTCAGAAGCCCATGTCATTTAATGTGAAGCTTGCTTTGCTTCTTTGAGCTACCACCACTTACACTTTATTTTGGAGCCTGTATTTAAATCCTAGATTAATCAGCATGTAGAAGAAAACTGTGGTAACTCCTCTAACCTTGCTCTCTAAACATATGATGTCCTGACCAGGGGATCACTAAGGATCCTTCTAAGCAGCCCCTGGGACCCAGAGCCAGACCTCAAGGAGCAGCTAAGGCTATGGTTATCTTAGTAGGGTCTCCACACGCTACCACACTCCTCCTGGGGTTTCTACGGTTGCCCTAAACTGTGGATTCTTTGGCACCAAATCCAGAGAAGCATAAAGAGGGCCCTGAGGGGGAAGGACACCTAACTCTGCCTTCTGCAGTCTTGAGGCAGGTTACACAGCAGGATGCAGGCCTCGTATGAACTGCTGGGAAGCCCAGCTTATCACCAGTGGGACAGTGAGGTTTTGCCTGATAGCTAAGATTTTGTAGATATCCATCCCTTAAGGCCAAGGGAGAAAGGGCTAATGGAAAATCAAACCACTAGACAGCCACGAGACTGAAGCAGAAAGCATCAGAAAGCCCCAACTTGAGCCATAGTGGCTGCCCTGCAATGCACCCAACATTCCTCTTGCTAAGTTCATTCGCTGGTTCTCCCACTACTTTCTGGATCAGGTCAAAGTGCCTTTAACGGGGGCTAAAGGCCCTTTAATCATGCCCCAACATTGTACCTTTCACTCTTTTCCTGTATACACCAGACTCTTCCATGAGGTGGTCGGCTTCCTTTGCCCGTAAGGTATCTACTTCGATCCAGTTCTCCTAGACCACCCTGACGTGGCTAAGACTGGGGCTCTGGAGTCAGGCAGCCAAGACTCTAACAGGCAGCCCAGACTCCACATTTCCCTGGTGTGGGACCCTGGGCCTGTTAGCTAACCTCACTCAGTTTTCTGAGCTGTAAAGCAGGAAAACTAATAGAAACATCTTTCTTATATGGCTGACATAAAGAATAAATGAGCGAATACCTGTAAGAGACTTGATCAGTACTTAGCACACGGGAAGCACTCAGTAAATGCTGGCTGCTGTTGCTACCATTGTTATCATTATTCCAGTTCACAGCAAACTTTCTCTGTGCTTTAAACTCCTTTAGTACATATTTGCATTTGGCACTGATCACACACTGCTTTGTGCTATTACTCGTCATCTTACACATATGGCTTCTCTCAACTAGGCTACAAGTCCGTTAAAGCTAAAGACTACAGCTTATGTGCTTTTCTTTCCCTACAATGCTTGAAAGTATCTTAAATGGAGGAACACAATAAATGTATGCTATTTAGCAATAATTGCACAATACTGTACTTATTAAGCATTACTTTGGCTAGAACTGTGTTTTAAGTTCTTCATATTAATTTACTGATTTCTCATACTCAGCAATCTTGATACATGAGTGATTGGCACCCAGGGATGTGTCTACTCATTTTCTTATTAAGAAAAAAAGGGGGTGTGGCGCTGGGTGCGGGTCACGCCTGTAATGTCGGCACTTTGGGAGGCCGACGCGGGTGGATCATCTGAATTCAGGAGTTTTGAGACCAGCCTGGCCAACATGGTGAAACCTCGTTTTTACTAAAAATACAAAAATTAGCCGGGCATGGTGACATGTGCCTATAATCCCAGCTACTTGGGAGGCTGAAGCAGGAGAATCGTTTGAACCTGGTGGGGGGCGTGGGGAGCGGGGAGCCGGAGGTTGCAGTGAGCTGAAAAAAAAAAAAAAAAGAACAGAAAAAAGGTGGGGCGGTGGGGTGGGGGGCAGTGGCTCATGCCTTTAAATCCCACCACTTTGGAAAGCCAAGGCTAGCAGATCATTTGAGGTCAGGAGTTTTGAGACCAGCCTCACCAACATGGTGAAACCCCGTCTCTACTAAAAATACAAAAATCAGCTGGGTGCAGTGGTGTGCGCCTGTAGTCCCAGATACTCAGGAGGCAGAGGCAGGAGAATCACTTGAACCTGGAAGGCGGAGATTGCAGTAAGCTGAGATTTTGCCACTGCATTCCAGCCTGGGTGAGAGTTACACTCTGTCTAAAATAGAAAAGAAAGAAAAAAAAAGGTATTGCCAAGCAAACTTAAATTTTAAGAAAAAACTACAACAGAGCATTGAAAGTCATAGCAGGGCCAGGTGCGGTGGCTCACGCCTGTTAATACCAGCACTGTGGGAGGCCAATCACTTGAGGTCAGGGGTTCGAGACCAGCCTGGCCAAATGGTGAAACCCCATCTCTACTAAAAATACAAAAATCAGCCAGGTGTGGCGGCACATGCCTGTAGTCCCATATATTCGGGAGGCTGAGGCAGGAGAATGACTTGAACCTGGGAGGCAGAGGTTGCAGTGAGCCAAGATCACGCCACTGCACTCCAGCCTAGGCAACAGAGCGAGACTGCATCTCAAAAAAAAAGTCATGACAGTGTAAGTTGCTGTATGCATCTCTGTACCACTCCAAAAACATCCCAGACCCTTTTCTGACAATCAAGGTGTGCAAAATGGTCTCTAAAGGGCATGAAAGCTCATGAAAGACAGAACAGTGAATTCCCGACAGATGTAAACAGTAATTTCCTACTTCACCTTTGACAGCTCCAGGCCCTGGAAGAGTGCTTGAGTAAATAAAGACAAACTGAATCTACCATAAACTCTCTATCCCACCTACTGGTATCCTATCCCACCCACTGGGAAGAAAAATACAATCATTAGTCCCTGGTGAACACAAGAGCATTGATGTCGGGCAAATCAAGAAGACAAATGAGGAAGAGTAATTATTTCATAAATTGCAAAACTATCCACAGCTTTTAATGTAGCTGACTGGTAAAGCCTAAAATACCAGCACCTTTTTCAGGAGTAAGAGTGATAGAATTTTCTGGATTAAATCAAAGATATTTTAAGCTGTCTTATAACACAATGGAATTTTACTTTGTGTCCAATTCAGGGGTGAATACTAACCCTGAAGATTTTCTTGTAAAAAGAAAATATGTGAATCAACAAATACTTCCACTGTGGACTAAATGTAACGTCTTCGAATGTTTAGTCTGACTGTGGCTGGCTGTGTCTGAAGAAAGGCTGACAAACTCTCTGTATATGTATGCAAAGACTGTTTCTTTCAAATTCTTCTTTTAATGGCTGAGAAGAAAAAGGTTGAAATCATCCACTTTTGTTCAATCATATGAACATAATGCCCCATTTTATCTTTATTACAGAAAAGATTAAGACAAGAATGTACTCTAATTTGCTATTACATTTACATCAAACTTGATCGAGATCATCTTCTCTATGCATCCTCTCTTCTTCCTATCACCCACATACACATTCATATGTACATGAAAATACACACACACGTGTGTGTGTATTGCTGGTTTTTGTACATTTGCTTCCCACTTCCTGGTTTTTACTCAGATAAGAAGAAGTATTAAAAAGTCATTAGAAAAAAAAGTTGTCACTTTTATTTTACCCAGAAAAAATTAGGAAGTGTCCCAAATCTCAATAGGGAACTTCCCAGCAGAAAATAGAGCTCTGTTATTACACAAGAAGGGTCTGTGCCCCTAAGGGTTTCTAGGTTTCAAAGGCGTGATTTAAGTAGCCTGAATTTTCCATTTCTTTTTTTCCTTTTTTTTTTTTTTTCTGAAATGTTCATGGACAATGAAGCATAACTGATCAACAAATCGACCAAAAGGTATCACAAAGCTCAATATTGGTGTACTCCGGATGGTCCTATTTACCCTGTTGAAAAGTTAAGACACTGAAAATCTACACATTACAAATGACTATAACTAAAGCCAGCATTAACAGGGAAAAAGGTGCCTAGCTAGATGACACTCCGCAGGCCCATCAAGCTCTTCACGCAGTGGCAAATCCCTCCACTTAGGACACTGTCCCCTGGGCCAGCTCCTGCCCTTCACCTGGTCCTCACACTCATGCCACCTCCTAGGCCTTCCCTGACCACCGACCTGGAATAGGATCCCCCTGGCCCTGCGTCACTCTCTCTGTCATCTACTGTGTTTCTTTCCGAGCACTGATTGTTAGCAGAAATTATCTTGTTCGTATTTTACTTACATTTTGTCTGTTTCCTCACGTTAGAATATTGGCTCTTGGGTATTATAACACCAAGGCTTTACTTTTATGGGTTGTATCTTCAGCCCCAAAAATACTAGGCATTTTATTTGAACTCTAGGTATTAATTAGATAATATGAAAACATGACCGTTAGCTTTATTAGGTGTAATAATGACATTTTGCTTGCTTGGTTTTTAAGTCTGTTAAAGACACAACCTGAAGTATTTATAGCTGAAATTCTGAGTGACTAGTACTTCAAAATAATAGGGAAGGGGAAGGGTGAGAAGGATGTAAGCATACAGATAAAACAAGATTAGTCACGTAGTGATCACTGTTGAAGCCGAGTGATGAGTACATATAATTCATTATACTGTTCTCATCACTTCTGAATATGTGTGGAAGTTTCTCTAATAAAATCTTAAGGCCTGAATGTAAAAATGAAACAGGTAATATTCCATCTATTTAACTGAACATTTATTTGACCTTAGAGTAGAGAAAGACTTTCTAAGCAAAATATTAAAGGAAAAAAACACAAATAATATGTTTTAAAAGCTAAATAATACTGGATGCTCATTTAGTCTGTCAAATTAGTAACATTTCAAAAAATGCCACAGGGCAGAAGCGGATTGTTAGAGGCACTGGTTTATCTGCCACTAAGATTTATCTGCCACTTTATCATTTACAATTATTTTGTATTTATTGAAAGAACTGCATGTACACATGATGTTTACATTCATCTTAAGTAAAATTAATTGACCACATTGTTCCTGAAATTCCTTACATGCAGGGCCAACTCCCTTGAATCACTTTTTTCTCAGTTGTCGAAGTCAGTGACAAATGACTACCTTTACCCTCTATCCATGTGGCAATACACATCTGTTGAATTAATTGTCAATTAATTTTATAACACAGTGTTTAGAAAAGTCAGGCTTTCATCTTTATGCACATTTCCATAGTGTACTTAAAGAAATTCCTCTTGGAGAGAAAAAAAAAAGCTAAACAGAAAAGTTTGGGAGGCAACTATATGAGGTTCATATTATGAGACAGAATGCCACAGGAAAAAAAGGTAACACAAGAAAAAAGTAAAGAGCCCTTTAGGGAATTTTTTGGGGGCAATCTGTTTCTGAGTTTACAGCCTGGTGACATTTCCAGGAAAACAAACTTTACACTCAGGCTCAAAGTTTGCTCTCAGTTCCTTGAGGTATGGGAATCAAAGAAAGAAATAGACTTACAAAGCAGTCTTGAGAAGTTCATGCCCCCTTTCCTCCTTCCATTCCTAGTACCATGAAGCTATGTTAAATGAGAAAATAATACAGTCTAGTGGCAGATAACATCATGGCTAAAAACTGATCATTGTTAGGGTCCATCAAAAAAGGATGAGCAAATTTATTTATTAAAGTTATTCTGACATTTAAAAAATTTGATCTTAGTTGCATTATAGTTTCAATGTCTTATCTACCATGGAGGCACCAATATGAAAAATGTGGCTAAGTCTATGTGTTACCTATGAAATGTGAAATTAAATTAGTCTTGTAAAAATTCAAACATGGCCTGGCTCAGTAGCTCATGCCTGTAATCCCAGCACTTTGAAAGGCCAAGGCTGGCGGATCACTTGAGGTCAGGGGATCAAGACCAGCCTGGCCAACATGGCAAAACCCCGTCTCTACTAAAAATACAAAAATCAGCCAGGCATGGTGGAGCGCGCCTGTAATCCCCACTATTTGGGAGGCTGAGGCAAGAGAATTGCTTGAACCTGGGTGTAGTGAGCAGAGATCAATCCACTGCATTCAAGCCTGGGCGAGAGAGCGATTCCATCTCAAAAAGTCACATGTTCATGTCCAGTTTGAATTATTGAATCTACTCAAGGAGGAATCTTTAAGTAAAAACAATTAGCATTCACAATGAAAGTGCAAACAAAAATATGCTGTATAAGCATGGTACTGGTACCAAAACTGATATATAGAACAATGAACAGAACAGAGGCCTCAGAAATAACACCACACGACTAGAACCATCTGATCTTTGACAAACCTGACAAAAACAAGCAATGGGGAAAGGATTCCCTATTTAATAAGTTGTGTTGGGAAAACTGGCTAGCCATATGCAGAAAACTGAAACCCCTTCCTTACACCTTATACAAAAATTAACTCAAGATGGATTAAAGACTTTTTATGGTTTTAGGTCCATAAAAACCTATAAAACCATAAAAACCCTTGAAGAAAACCTAGGCAATACCATTCAGGTCATAGGCATGGGCAAAGACTTTATGACTAAAACTCCAAAAGCATGGCAACAAAAGCCAAAATTGACAAATGGGATCTAATTAAACTAAAGAGCTTCTGCTCAGCAAAAGAAACTATCATTAGAGTGAGCAGACAACCTACAGAGCAGGAGAAAATTTTTGCAATCTATCCATCTGACAAAGGGCTAATATCCAGAATCTAGAAGGAACTTAAAACAAATTTACAAGGAAAAAACAACCCCATCTAAAAGTAGGCAAAGGATATGAACAGACACTTCTCAAAAGAAGACATTTATGCGGTCAACAAACATACGAAAAAAAGCTCATCATCACTGGTCATTACAGAAATGCAAATCAAAACCACAATGAGATACCATCTCACACCAGTTAGAATGGCGATCATTAAAAAGTCAGGAAACAAAAGATGCTGGAGAGGATGTGGAGAAATAGGAATGCTTTTACACTGTTGGTGGGAGTGTAAATTAGTTCAACCATTGTGGACAGTGCGGCGATTCCTCAAGGATCTAGAACCAGAAATACCATTTGACCCAGCAATCCCATTACTAGGTATATACCCAAAGGGTAATAAATCATTCTACTATAAAGACACATGCACACGTATGTTTATTGTGACACTGTTCACAATAGCAAAGACTTGGAACCAACCCAAATGTTCATCAATGATAGACTGGATAAAGAAAATATGGCACATATATACCACGGAATACTATGCAGCCATAAAAAAGGATGAGCTCATGTCCTTTGCAGGAACATGGTTGAAGCTGGAAACCATCATTCTCAGCAAACTAACACAGGAACAGAAAGCCTAACACTGCATGTTCTCACTCATAAATGGGAGTTGAACATGAGAACACATGGACACGGAGGGGAACATCACACACTGGGGCCTGTCAGTGGGTGGGGGCTAGGAGAGAAATAGCATAAGGAGAAATACCTAATGTAGATGACGGGCTGATGGGTGCAGCAAACTACCATGGCACGTGTATACCTATGTAACAAACCTGCACATTCTGCACATGTATCCCAGAACTTAAAGTATAATAATAAATGATAATAATAATAATAAATAAAACGTGAGAATTTAAAAAATTTGCTATATAGATTTATTCACTAAATTGTGGTCTGAAAGACCTTAAACGGTGAAAATGAGCATGACACATATAGTCAGAAATTTTCATTCTTAATTTCAGTCTTACTTCCTGATTTTCCACATCATTCCATGGAAGTCACTGAACTTCTGTGGTTTATGATACATAGAAACCAAAAATACCAACAACACAGCAGAAAGGGGCATGAAATTTGTTTAAAATCATAAATAGCTAACTTTATGTAAATGTTCACTTAAGACCACAGACCCCAAATCTGTAGTACACTGTAAGGGAAAGAAAATTACCCTGAAAAACAAAGAAACCCAATGGATTTGCTACTGTTCCAATTGCAATGGAACCCGGATGCAGACGGCTTACAGCTGCCTCAGCATGATAAATGACCATGCTTATTCCTCCATCCATATTAGAAAGAAATTAGGTCTATACTCAGTGGGATGCAGGACAGAGTCTTGCCTAGGAGGCTTCCATAGAAAATGGCTTCATCTGTGCCACCAGAAAATGTCGACCAGGCTTTGAGCACCTTAAAGTCTCCTACCTACCTATATATGATGGTGCAACATTTTCCTTGTCTACCCTGGGATCCAAAAGCAAAGAAGATTTTAAAGAACAGAAAGTAAGGAGCATCACAGAGAAGTAAATGCCCTTAAATGAATCTGAAATAAAAGGTCTGAGATTCATCTGAAGGAATGAGCCACTCTCAGCCTTCTTCTATTAGAGGGAGACAGGCTAGGGAGAGGGCTGCTTTATGGCCAGTTCCTGAACATGGTACAACTACTGTCTAAGAGATCATAGGCATGTAGAAGTAGATCACCAACGCCTGGGGAAAATGCTCTAATTAGTTTCTAAGCAGATGATTTTGCTGCCTGAAGGTGAAATAGGGACAGTTCATCATTTTAGCAAACACTTTGCTATCTGTTCTTCCCCTCACATGAGTCTTTAATGGAGAGAGTTAATCCTTGGCTGTAAGAAAATCAGTGTATTAGGGCTGAGTCAAATTATATGAGATGCCTGCCCTGATGTGGTCCCTGTCCTAGCTGAACATGTAGTATGGACCTTTTGGGCTGACGACAGCTACAGCACCATCACTAAGGGGAGAAGAGGTTCTCAAACAAAACCAAAGGAAGCAAAATATTCCACTATTCAACATAGTTTAGAAATGAGAAAAATGTGAACAATGAAAATACTAAATAACATACATGGGTACACTTTGCAATTTGGTTCTAGCATATTATCAGCAGATGTAAAATATACTGCCTGCCCCCCAACAAGTGTAAGCTTTTTATTTCTAACAGTTTCTATCTGAAGGGGCCAGAGTAGTTCCATTTGGTTCTCATGGGAATGCCTCAGATAGCTGACCAAATTACTCTTGCAAAGTACAGAGCATGAAAGATTGCAACCCCTACCTGCATCCTTTCAGTATTCGGAGGTCAAAATGCCCTTATAGCCAGAGAACTATCAAGCTGGATGTCTCAACTTTTACAGAGAAAAACTACAAGCCCAGAATGGTAAGAGTCTTATCCAAGGACACAGTTAGTCCCAATTCCCAGCCAAGTGTTAGTCTCACTAGACCATGATGCCAAACTAAAATGAAATCAATGAGAAGAGATTTGTAAACTTGAGAAGAGTAATATAATGAGAAAGCGTGTGAACACAGAGGATGAATACTGATGGATGCCTACAGAAATGGGGTAACTCTCCTAGATGGCTCATGGAGTCAAGAACAAGCAAGTCTGAAAGTTAAGAAGCTGTTTCTCCACCTCTGATACATGGTCTATGAAAGACACAAATCATCAAATGTTACAAATAATGGAAACTCTTCCTAAATGTGCCATTTCCCTGTGGGAGGAGAGAAGAGAGTGACAAGAATAAATAGAGTCAGATCCCATGATGGCTCCATTTAAAAAAGTATTTATTTATAGACCGGAGAAACATCAAGACCATTCAACATGCTTTGTGGCAAACCCAGCAAGAAGGAAAGAAAAGATCACTCTGTTCCTACCCTTCACCAGTGTGCAGAACCTATGGAACGGATGAAAAGAGAATCTGTGAGAAGAACTAGCAAGCTTTACCGAAGAAGAAATGGTCTTTCTAAAAAGTGCAACCATTGATTCATTTATCGAGCACTAAGAACTTACTCTACCTATGCTGTGCATAACTGCTAAGAGTGGCTGTTTCTTTCCAAACAACCATCTGGTCTTACTTTTTTCTTTCTTTCTTCTACTATATAGCTGCTCAGGGCCTTACTTTGATTTCAATGCTGAGAGTCAAAGGGGTGGGTAAAGAAAAAAAAATGATCCTTTGAGACATGATCTTTTCCCCTAAAGTGCTTATTCCTTATTTCCTGCACACTCAGATTGTGTTAGAAATTGTATTTACACAAACACACACTAAGGACAAGAACACTCTCCTTTCAACCTCAATGACATTAATATCTGTGATGGTTAATTTTATATGTCAATTTGACTCGGATTATGGGGTGCCCAGATTACACATTATTTCTGGGTGTGTCTAGGAGGGTGTTTCCGGAGAGATTAGCTCCTGAACAGTAAAGCAGTCTCCCTCCCCAATGTGGGTGGGCACTATCTAATCCATTATGGGCCTGAACAGAACAAGAACAAGACGCAGAGGAAGGAAGAATTCACCAGTCACTCCCTTTTTTTCCCCTGCCTCACAGCTTACATTGGGACATCTCATCTCATCTTCTCCAATCCCCAAACTGGGATATATTTATACCATCAATTCCCCTGGTTCTCAGGCCTTTGGACTCTGATTGAATGACACCAGTGGCTTTCCTGGGTCTCCAACTTGCAGATGGCAGATCATGGGACTTCTCAGTCTCCATAATCACGTGAGCCAATTTCTCATAATAAATAAATACATTATCTCCTTGTGGTTCTGTTTCTCTGGAGAACCCTCATAACTCATATTAATTCTTGAAATTGTATGAACAGCAGAAAAAAGGGATATAATCGGAGCAGAAAATAAGGAGATTCCAAGAAAAGGAGAAACACATTTCTTCCTGCAAAGGGAAAGGAAATCAGGAGGAAAAAAGTGCTGCCATGTGAGTTGTAGAGTATATGGCATAAAACAATCAAAATGCGCCTCTAATTGCCAACCACCTAGGTCTGTTAGTTTTGTTAGCTAACCAAAATGTAGACTGACCTCCAGACTAAACATACAGACCTCCTTCCTGACCTCAAGAGGTTCCTTTACCTCGGGCAGTTGATCAGCATCCATGCTAAAAAGCAGCACACACTTACAGCCTTCAAATTGGAGCGTGATATTGCCGAGATTTGCTCTGATCTCCAGGGCCTCAAAGCACTCTCCCTTTTTGTTCTGTTTTCTGGCCCAAAGTTCTTATAATAAGGATGTTATATGCATGGTACCTGGCCATCCATAATCCTTGTTCTTTAATTTATTCAGCAACAGCCATGTGTCAAGTGCTGGACCCCATGCTTGGCACTAGGAATCCAGAGATGGGCACAACGAGGCTCTTCATCCAAAGGGTTTGGCACAAGTGCAGGAACAGAAGCAAAGGGTGCTGACAGCACGGAGTGAAGTGTCCAAGCAGAGAACTGCACGAGGGGAAGCACCTACCTGTGCCAGAGGACGCTGGGAGGCGCTCCGGTGACTGCACTGGGAGATGTCAAGGATGAGCAGGTGTATGTCAAGTGAATTTTACAAACATTATCATGGTAGATGCTCTTGGAAACACTATAAAGTAGGTGCTACTATCCTCATTTTACGGTTAAGCAATGGGAAGTTTAAAGAGGTCCAGTAATTTGTCCGCCAAAGTTATAGAGTAAGTGGCACTAGTGTAACCACATTACACAGCAAGCCACTTCAATCAGAGGCCTCATCTTCTTCACCCGGATAATTCTGATAATGTCCAGCATGTAACAGGTGCTCAATACGCATACATCCAATCAATCCAACTCACTGGACTTCACATCCCATGTTCTTTTAGCTCTGTCCTAGTAAAAGTAATCATGAAAGATTCATATAAAGAAAAATCTAGCCATCCATCTGCTTAAGAAACAAACAACAGGTCTTAGTGCAGTGCCGTCATTTCAGGCCAAAGACAGAGTGTATGTGTGTGCATGTATATATGTCCGTATACAGCCAAAGAATCTAGATGCATATGCTATCTATGTTCTCTTAGTCAGAGCCAGGAAAGAACTTGGATTCTCAGTAGCAGTTCAGTTCAGCTTTGTAATTATTGGCAGAGAGAGAGGCAGGAGGAGGGAGGAGAGAGAGAAAGGTTCCTCACAAAGCCAGACCCATCTATCTTGTTCTTCTTTCTCAGAGGCAGCAACTAGAATTGATCTGTGATCGTTTTTCCTGTCTTACAGGAATATCCAGAGAGCCACAGTGTCCTTGTAGAGAGAATAGACCTCCCTTTAGTTGATTCGGATTGGGTTTAACAACAAGCAGAAACTCAATTTAAAAACCAAACCACTGCAGGTTATGTGTAACTTAATATTCTGAATTTCCAACTAAAAATTAAAAACTCCATATTGTTTTCCCTGCATAAGCAAACGTCTAACAACAGGCGATGTCTGACAATATTGCAGATATGCATTACCCTCTGCTAATAGTCCTGCAAAATCCTGTGGACTGATAAGAATGCTCGGGAGAGCATCAGACACTGAGCCAAACACAGAAAAAAATCAAAGACCAAATTCTGTTTTCCACGCACTCCTTCAATCAACAGATATTTATGGAGCACCAAACCTACTCCCAACACTATGTTCATAAGCTCAAAACCAAGATGGGCTCTGATCTCGTGGGCTTATTGACAAATGATGCATACAAACAAGGTGATGTGATAGAAGTTTCAAAACGGATGTCATGAGGGCACATATGAGGGACATCTCATCCAGATTTGAGGAGTTCAAGAAAAGACCCCAGGGAGATAAGACCTAGGAAAGAGCCATCAGCTGGGATAAGAGAGATAGAAGGAGTGTTTCAGGGAGTGGCATGGGCAAAGGCCAGGAGAGAAGAGGATGGCACCTCTGTAGAATGCTAAGGAGTTGGTGTGGGCAAGGGCAGTCCAAGACAAAGAGCAAGGGACAGGGCCAGATCACGCAGGGCCTTGCAGCCTGGTCAGGGTTAGTTGGGCTTTAACCTGAGAGTAATAGAAATTTGTCAGGGCAAGGAATGGTCTAGGAAAACAGGATGATCTGGGACTGGGGGAGGGAGAGGCAGAGTGGATGATCCAGGATCGGGGGAGGAAGAGGCTGACTGAGCTGTGTCACTATAACTCCTACATTTCCAAGCTGAGAGTAGACTAAGAAAAAGGCATAAAGCTGTGTGCTCTGTCACGTTGCCTCGCTTGGCAGCTTCTAGTCTCTAATGACTGTCTGCTGTCCTCTCCAAAGCCATCAGCCAGGCAGGGCCCATTCCAAACTGACAAAGAAAGTGACATGAACAAGCAAGAAGTGGCCATAGGTGATGGCAAGAAATAAAAGGCAAGGAATGAGATGGGAACCTTAGATGACTTTACAGGATTATTTCATTCAACCACTTCTAGGTACCCAGTTCCTCCTTCATCAGTTTCTTTCCCTTTCTTTTATTTTCTTTCTTTCTTCTTCCTGCATCAATTTCTCTCCCTTTTTCTTTTCCCTCCTTCTCCCTCTCCCTTCCTTTCCTTCTCTCTCTCTTCCCTTCCTTTCTTCCCTCTTTCCTTCCTTCCTTTTTGTTTAGAGACAGAGGTCTCACTCTGTTGCCCAGCGTGAAGTACAGTGGCATGATCATAGCTCACTGCAGCCTCAAACTCCTAGACTCAGGGGATCCTACTGCCCCAGCCTCCTGGGTAACTGGGACTACAGGCACACATTACCACATCCAGCTAATTTATTTTATTTTTTTATAGAGACAGGGTCTCACTTTGTTGCTCAGGATAGTCTAGAACTCCTGGCTTCAAGTGATCCTCCTGCCTTGGCCTCCTAAAATGTTGAGAATATAAGCATGAGCCACCATACCTGGTCAAATTTCTTTTAGAGGAAAAAAAACCTATGCCTTGCTGTAAATGAACATTTCTTCTGAATGTACAATATGTGCTAACTAACTTTAGAGGGATACAACATGAAGTTTGAGAAAGTATATTTTCCAAAAGGATTGAAATGTATAGATGCACTTGCTCAGTGATAGGTAATACTTTAAAATATGTATTAGGATAACTATAGGATTTCCAGGGGCTTTTTGTTTATTTGCTTTATTTTTGCTCTTTGTAGCAGAAGTACAAATGGCAGACTCTACAAGGTCTTCAAAGAATGTTTTCTGGGTAATTCTGAGATCAATGTAAAAACACCTGGGAGCTACAGGTGCTTGGGGGTTACAGAAGAACATCTAAAAAAACACATCCTGGTGTTCTCACTCCTTGTGGTAATAAACTCTCAGGGGCTGGAGGACTAGGCTTACCCCCATGGCTACAGCTAGGTCTACAACTATTAACAGACATATGCGTGCAAAAAGACAAGGCCTGTCTCAGGGAGCTGACGGAGGGCCTGGCTGTACCTTCACAGCCCATGATGCATTAAATCCCTTCCATAAATGTTGACTGAGGGGCTCCAGCTTTCCTCCAACATTAGGAGGGCAGCGGGTCTCACCAGATTTACCCGTCATCCTTAGGGAAGCGGGGAATTGGTGGATCCGGACACAGCCAAAGAACTCCTGAGCACCAGGGGCCTCCGCTCCTGGGGCAGTGAGAGAGTGGCAGCCAGAGAGGTCTCTCCCTGCCCCTTCTCACATCATCATCTCTCTAGGTGGTGGACACTCATGCTTTCCTGGAAAACAGCGGAAGCAGCTGGCTCACCCAGGGTCGCACAATCAGGGCTTCATGGGGAAAACACCAAACACACACACACACACACACACACACACACACACACACACACACACAAATAACCCCTACATTAACCCCTATGGGCCTTGAGCTACAGCACACATTTTAGCAGCGCCACAGAAGGTGCCAAAGTGTTTCTATTGTCTCCGGCTGTTTTCTGCATATATTCATTATATTAAAACCACTGTCTCCTCTTTGGATATTAAATCTCGAGGGCAGGGACTCTATGACCACTTTCAGAATCCTCCAACTTGGAGTCTCGGTACTCCTTAATGAAAACTGCACATAAAAGAAACATTGCCATTGTTTAAAAGCCTGAGCTTCCCTTCCTAGGTCACTGGCTGGCCATCTGCTCTTTGGCCCAGAATTCCTGCTTTCCCTCTTCCTCCACACGCCCATTTGAACATCCTCTGGCATTTTATATTGCTATGTCTCATGGCCTATGGAACTAACGAGGCAAGGACTTCCCAAAAATGAAGGCGAAAAAGGAAGGAAGCGAACGATCTGGCCACGCGAGCACACTGCTCTTTATTGTTTGCTAGATTCCGTGCATTGTATCTGCGGGGTGGTCTGCTGGTCCCCAAGGTAAAAGCCAACTAATGTGTCAAATATGCATTACGATTTGTACCTTTTAGAGAAAGGTGGGATGGAGGTCATTCTTTCTGAATAAAGAGAAATTCCCTGAGATAGATTTGCATTGGTAGAAGAATAAAAACTTTACTTGCTTCAACCAAATTCCAAAATATGGCCATTCCATTCCTGAGTTTTGTTAGTCAACTCCACTCACAAGAGCCATGGAATCACTGCCAAATCTCAGTCTAGAGACCACGCACACAGTTTGACTAACTCGGGGGAAAGGAAAAGGATCACTCTAACAACAGTCACAGATAATATCTGGCCAAGATCAAATACAGGATCATTACCCAAGAAGACACTTGAAAATGGAATACAGCAATAAAAATGAGACAAGCTCTCTTACATAAGAGAGAAACTGATGTATTTGGGCAACTACAAAGATGACATTCGGAGGGCCTAGTAGGAAAAAATATTGATTTCTGAAGGAATGATTCACTCATCCAACATACTTTCCCTCTAATCACTACTTCCCAGACACTTCCTATGTAAACTTGGTATTACTAAAAACTCCAGGTCTAGACCTGACTTTACTGCTTTTTCATTTGTTCCATATAGAACTCTTCCATGGTCTCTCCTCAGATACCTGGGCAGCAGAAGGTTTAGTATCTTAACAGTGCTTTCCTCTTGATACTAAGATATCCTTTATTTTATTCTGATTTGTAGTATGAGCCCTTCTCTCCAACATCAGCCCTCCCTCAATAGTCATCCAGATTTTCTTCTTCATGGACATCTCCAAATTCTTTCCCAGCAGAGTAAACTCATCTCACATCCTGCCCCGCCAAATCCCCTCCTCATTCACCACTCCCACCTGCTCAGAAAGCTGCCCCTTCTGCAGCCAGGATCAACACCCTCATTCACACACCCTCAGAACACTGCAGCTTGGCACCCTCAGAGCCACAAATGGCCCGCTGCGAGAGCCCTGCACAGTTACCCAGCTCCAGCAGCTGAAACCCTCTCCCTTTCCCTTCTGTCACTGAATGTTCAAGTTCAAGGTTACTGAGAAGTGCCAGATTTCGTCTGGAAAGTCCTCCAGTCAGTGAAAAGGCTAAGGGAACACAGAGGTTTTCTCCAACAGGCAGCCTTCCCAGAGCAGTAGGATGGCGATAACTTTTGCTCTTGGCTAATTCAGGGTTTCCCACAGAGCATCTGCTCCGGACTCTTCCACGGTTCTGATCAACCCTGTTCACCGCCTTCCTACCCTCACCCCAAGGGGATCTTACTTCCACTTTGAAGTTCAATACTGCCAAGTGGTCCCTTTCTTAAGACTTGGCCACTCGGTAATAGCTAATATTTCAGAGCAGTGGCCCTGCTGTTAACACGTGTGGTGGGGGTCAGTGAGATTTCAGTAAGGTGGCCGTCTGTTATGAGCAGCATGATTTACAGGCTATGTTGCTGATTATCTCTTAAAATCTCTTTTAGCTCTGCATTTTGGTGAAGAGCACTGTATATTATACGCAAGCTTTGTCTCACCCCATTAACGGAGGACAACTGTATCAGCCATCTGAGCCCGAGTTCCCATGCTACTTAATTGCTACGTCGTTGTGTTAACGAAGTTAGGAGGGGGGCTGGCAAGAGCGTAAATCACCTTCACGTGCAGATATTTGTGGTTTTATTTTTCCTTTTGCCAGCTTGTCTCTCTGTTTCAATTGCCTACCATCTGCCTTTGAACAATCTAAGTGTGAGCAGATAGATTTTATTTGGAGGATGAAATGCTTTGAGCTCATCCTAGCAAAGCATTTTCATATACTGGTGTTCAGGGCATTTTCTGTTTAATAGGATCTCAGAGGCGATTCGATTTGGGTTGGGAGTTGGTTCCTTACAATACTCAGAGTACATTGTCAAATAGAAACCTCCTGATTATATTTTGCGACAGAAGGAACAGGGTAGTCAAGGGTCCAGAAGTCACCTCTCACCTTACAATGAGCCCTGGAAACACCCCACTGGAGTGCAGGTGACAAGGCAGACAGGCAAGTGTTTTATGCGTACATCCTAGTTCCTACTCTACCATCCTTCATTCATTTTCAGCTTAAAAAAAAAAAAAAGGATCAGATCCAAACATGAAGCACAAAGGACCTTCTGATTTGTGTTTTTTTTTTTCACATGACCTAAAAACACCCAATTAAAAAGTAGGTTCATTCACTCAGTTCACCTGGTTGAGTTTTTCACACGAATAAGATTATTTTGACTTGAACCAATCTGTTATTTCGAAAATACAGCCTAAAATAAAACTAACTGCTGGGTCAAAAGTCAATATACACTGGTGGGAGTCAGGAGATCTGACTTCTAGTTCTAATATGGCAATAATAGCCTTGGGACCTTCAGTAGGTCACTTAACCGAGCTTTGGGCCTTGGTCTGAAATTCCTTAAAACTATAGCTCTAAATGTCTAAATTCTGTTATTCTAATGAATTTATTTATTTTTATTGATACATATTAGATGTACATATTTTCAGGGTACATGTAATGATTTGATACATTTATAATCAAATCAAGTTAACTGGTATATCCATCGCCTTAAATATTTCTCTTTCCTTTATACTAGAAACATTCAAATTATTCTCCTTAAGCAATTTTAAAATGTACAATCGATTAACATGAACTATAGTCACCCTACTGATCTACTGAACATCACATCTCATTTCTTTCTATCCAAATCTAATGACTATCTTCTGAATTACAAGTGCCTCTCAGTCAGAACTGATTGGATAGTTGTCAGGATGATACTTGCCACAGCCCTTTATTTTTGGGACAGGAGACCCAAAGCATTGTACAGCAAACCCCAGGTTTAATGAAAGAGGCAAAAGAGACAAGGCTGCCACCTTGGGCCTCTCTCAAAAAGCTCCCAGAACTAGCCACTCTAGCAGCAGTTTTAAGCTAGAACCCTAATTTCCTTCTCTCTTCCCCGCCCTGCCAACCTTACCCTTTTTCAGGAACAAGTGGGATGAGAGCAGGGGAGAGGAGGAGGTCCCTGTCTAGGGAAAAAGAAAGCCCCAGGAACCTTTAAGGTTTGGGTTATTCCCATCACTTTTTTGGGGCAGGACAGTTAAGGAAAAGCAAGAACAACCCACAATCCCTGCTCACTTAATATCCCTCTCCAAAAAATATGGGTTTTAATAAAATGCTAGTGACTCTTCGTTATAAATGATTAGAACCCAGAAAAGAATATTTTTAAAACCCTGCAAGGCAAGTTTCAAAGTGTAGTACTTACTGAAATGTCATGCTTTAGGTAGAATAATATTTCATCTACCCATCTATCCATATGAAAGCTATTAAAGGCCACTTCTCATTTACAAAGAAAGAATTTGTACGTATGTCTGACCTGGTCTTAAAACTGATCCTACAAGCCACCTCCCTAAATCTTCTCCCCAGTTATACTCAGAAGAGTGTGAGCTTCTCTGCTTTTGTTCCTAAAATGCTGCTGCCCTATGGTGGGGTTAGACTCCAGCAGAATTTCCTCAATCCCTTCCATTTAGTCCCAGGACAGGGTGTGTTACAAACAGGATGTCACTACCCTTACAGTGAAAAATGTTACAAATGAGTAACTATAGTTAAAGAATATAACTACTTGAGTAAAGGTTTGAATAGGAATGCCTATTTAGTTATTGAAATTACAGCAATAATTAGTTTCTAAGACCACTATTTGAAAAATTGGTAGCCTCAAACTGAGTTTCTTACCCAAACGAAGTAAGACTCATATCACTTACAAAGAAAAGGGTAATTTTTAAGCTTTTACTCTACAAGAATCACATGAAGTACTTCTTAGTTATTAGAAATTTGAAATTATTGTAATCAAAAGCTGCCCAAAATCTACTGTTTTTCCCTTCTTCCTGAAAGGCGTGCTTGATACCAAATACTATTATGTCCACGTGGCAAATTTTGGCCATGAAAACTGATATAATCTCTAATTACAAGAATACAGTGTATCCCCGAAGAACAAGAAAATTTTAAAGATAAAAAGGAAACGATGAACTACAACATGAACAAGCCCAGGTGAACAATTAAGTACTAACACAGTCATTTTGGGAAGGAATGTGATTGGGGTAGAATCATCGAAAAGCAGAGAGAAGGGCAAGAAGATGGTGTGAAGATGAGTGAATGGCCGCCGGGGAAGAAGGGCCTGCAGGTCAGGGGATGAGGCACACCTGCTTGTGAAGATCTCATTTCGGCACATCCTACTTTAAAGGTTTACAGGCCAGACATTACGTGCTGGTGGCGACGGTTTCTATTTTGGGAATACGAATGAATATATGATAAAATGAGGCAGGACCAAGATTATTTTATATTAATAAAGAAAAAGAGGGTTCCTGTATGAACAGAACATGAATGGTAGCTCCCCAAAATACCTTTACAGAGGTGAAGGGAAAGAAAGGCTGGAAGAAGATGGGGAGGGACCCGGGGAGGAGGTGGAGAACTGAATGGTAAAGCTAAGTAAGCTAATAATAGAGGCAGAAGGAAGTACTGCGCCACAGGAGATAGAGATGTAAAGGCAGAAAAGCAGGCGAGCCTGGGAATCGCTGGTAATTATCCTATTGCACAAGAGGCAGCACAGCCGAGGCCTCAAAAAGAAGAAAGGAAAGAAAGAAAAGAGAGAAAAGAAAGGGAAGAAAGGAAGAAAGGAAGGAGGAAGGGAGGAAAGGAGGAAAGGAGGGAGGGAGGGAGGGAGGAAGGGAGGAAGGGAGGACAGGAGGACGGGAGGAAAGGAGGGAGGGAGGGAGGAAGGAAAGAAGTCCATCCATGTTCCTTCCCCCTCCTCCCACAGTCTTTTGGATCAGACTTCGAAGTCGCTTACAATCCAAGCTTGAGATTGGCAACTGCGCACCTTATGGTTAAAGAGTTCTACTATGATTTGTGAACAGTCATTTTGATGTTTTGGGAATGCATATAGGTTTGATGTGGTGTAAAGCCCGGGAAGGGGGAAGCAAAGCCCAGGAAAGGGGAAGCAAGTTTAAGGAAAACTTTTAAAAAGATATGTGTGCATGTGCATGCGGGTGTGTACAGAATTAGACCTAATTTTAATTGTCCCACAAAGTAAGAGTTGCAAAGAGTTGTAGGGATCTGAAGACGTGGCCCTGAGCTCAGTACAGCACACCCAGAGGACAGCCAAGTACAGGAGCAGACGGGCAGCTGCCTCCCATCTTTGAGCACAGGGATGTGCCAAAGGAACCAGTCTGCTGGCCCACAACGTCCAACATCCTGCTCTGAAGATAGCCAGTAAGGAGGTGTGCACTTGTGTGTGTCTTTGTTTAACAGAGGTAGCACACCTGGCCGGGCAATTGTGCAATAGGAAGCCACAGGGGGAAAATTTCTTCCTGATCTCAACTTGTGATCAGATTCCGCCCTGAAGCATAAGGCTTAAGTGTCCTTGCAACTTTCATCCAGAAGAAAGAAAAACATACTAACTAGCCCTTCTCCGACCCAGCCAGGGATCATAAAAATCGAAGAAGTTCAGAAAAGACCCTTGGCGTCTGTGCTGTCTTTGGAAACTGGGTGCCACCTTTACCACATAGAAGACTAGTTGAAAGGCTGTTCCTCTACAGCCCTAATCTCACATGATACTCTTTTCGATAGAAATAATTTGTTAGAATATAACGGCATATCCTTTTGTAAGGCTTGCCACATCAATTTAAAAAAAAAAAACAAAACAGTGCGAAGTCCTTTACCAAGTCACACATCACAATTTAGAATTTGGAAAGTACGTTAGCTTTTGCTGGGTGGAGGAAGGGGAGGGTGTCCCTCCCACACATCTACACAGGGCACTTGTTATTGCATTCTTATTGGCATTTCAATCACTCTTTAAGAAAAGGCTCATGAAATTTTCTCCAAGGCAGGTCAATTTTTAAGCAATTTCAACTGAAAACAATGTCCAACAGACCTATAGTTGTGGTAGTTCAAAAGTCTGTTCTCAGCTGGGTGTGGCGGTTCACACCTGTGATCCCAGCAATTTGGGAGGCTGAGGCTGGAGGATCACTTGAGTCCAGGAGTTCAAGACCAGCCAGGCAACATAGTGAGACCTTGTCTCCACAAAAAATTTAAAAATTGGCTGGGCGTGGTGGCTCACGGCTGTAATCCCAGCACTTTGGGAGGCCGAAGCGGGTGGATCGCGAGGTCAGGAGTTCAAGACCAGCCTGGCCAAGATGGTGAAACTCTGTCTCTGCTAAAAATACAAAATTTAGCTGGGCGTGGCAGCGTGCACCTGTAATCCCAGCTACACGGGAGGCCGAGGCAAGGAACTGCTTGAGCCTGGGAGGCGGAGGCTGCAGTAAGCCGAGACCATGCCACTACACTCCAGCCTGGGCGGCCGAGTGAGACTCCATCTCAAAAAAAAAAAAAAAAAAAAAAAATTAGCCAGGTATCGTGGCACACACCTGTAGCCTCAGCTACTTGGGAAGCTGAGGTGGGAGGATCGCTGGAGCCCAGGAGGTCGAGGCAGTGAGCTATGATCATGCCACCGTACTCAAGCCTGGGAGACAAGGCAAGTCCCCATTTAAAAAAAAAAAAAAGAAAATAAACCACCAGGTTTGTTCTTCAGCAGGTTGCTAGAACCAAGACCATAATCCGCCATGGAACTAAATGGCGGATAGTCTCCAGATTAGATTGTGACATGCTAATTCTTAGGAACCCTAGGTTCATGAGCATCGAGTCCTCTGAACACTGGGCCTGGTAAGGCTGTAAAGGGAGGGGAAGTAGAAGGGGAAGGAAATGGCTTCTCACTCAACAGCCTCAACAGTGAAGACATTGAGCAAGGGTTCTGGTAGCATTCATGGAGGAAACTTGAAGTCCATAATAGAAGCTTAATAAAGACCTGATGATTAAAAAAATTCTGTTCAACTACTATCCATCGGCCTTCCTCTGTGCCAGGCACCGTGCTGGACACTGGAAATGTAAGCAGCACATTGTCTGAGGATGAGGTGTGTACGCTGAGTGTTTAAGAGGGAGCACAACTTCCGTGGCTGCCCCTACCTGAGCAGCTTCTTAAATGTGTATTTTCACATTCATATACAGACCTATGCTTTCTGCTCCCTAAGTGGTCCAGATCAGCACCCGTAACAACTCTCAACCTACTGCACAAGCCCTCGAGGAGCCCATGTGAGCAAAGCAAGAGGACCCTTAAATGCCCTGAGTGGACAGACAGGCCAAGAGAAGCCTCGTGGAGACTGACCCACCGGCAGCCAAGATGAAGTCAAATCTGGCAGGGCTGGCAGGCAGCTGCCGCGTAGGTCTGCAACAGAAAGCCCCCAGCAGGCGGTCAGGAAAACTTGTGACGGTTTCGGGGAAACTGTAAAAGGACTCTTGCTGGGGTCTGGTTGGGTTCAGGAAGCTAAAAGTTTTCACATATCCTAATGCCCTGAATCCCAGCTGTACCTCAATGGCAACAGAAATAGGGAGAAAACGAGCTATTCAGGCTTGTGTGGAAGGCCCAGTTTGGTCTGCTTATATCTGAAAGTAACCTGATTTCTCCCAAGTGGTCCATTTCCCACTTATCAGATCACACTTAATCAGATTCATAACCCTAACACACTCTCTTAAGACTGCCCTCTTTAAATAAATGTCACTGGGCTATCCACTGTAAACAGCAATATTGAGGCTGTCCTACCATCCGTAAGACATAACTTTGAGTTGTTTTTCTAGTCCCATAGTATGCCCAGTCATTCTCACTGGTTTAGTCCCTCCAGGCAACCCATTAGGAGTAAAATGAGAGCTCCAGAGAGATCTTCATCTCAGATAGGGTAGGAGAGAACATGGGCTGTACAAGAGAAGACTGGAAAGAGCTGACTCAAGTAAGAGAGGGATTCTTCCCTTGACATGGAAAGGCCAATCACAGACCTCAGAGAAGTTTCAGCAAGCCGTGCTGCTCTTCCGGGTTCTCTCTCCCTACTAGCTCTTAGAGGAATGGGGTGGGGGAGCAACTGGCAGCCCCATACGGTGGTGACCTGCCACTGGGTCCCAGATACCACAGCCAGCTATGGCCAAGACCGCACACAGCTACAACAAACAGCCACTGGTTCTCTCTCCCTGACCCAAGAGGCATCCTGAGCCACATCAAAAAAAAGGATGATCAGTTAATACATTCATTTATCTTGGGCTGTCTCTGCTGTTTCTGGCACATCCAGCCTGAAGGTTCTCAAGCTTCTTCTCCAGCTATCTATATTCCCCTCTAGAAAGTAGGCAACTGAGAAGGAGAGCATTTGTGAGTGCCCTGTGTGTACATGTCAGTACTTATGCCTCACAGGAGCCCCTTAGGTATGGGAGGTGGCAGTATGTTCGCCCTGACATGGAGTCCTGATATGTTTCAAAACACAGGTCTCTACCTTTCTTCTTTCCTCAACCCTCACAGAGTATTTGCTCAGGATGTCAACTGTGTGAGGTCTTTATCTTACATATCAAAGAGCCTGGCACCAATTAAGTCCGTAACAGAAGCTTAATAAATACCTACTGATTAAGAAATTCTATTCAATTAATAGCCATTGGCTGTCCTCTGTGCCAGACCTTGAGCTGGACACTGGAAATATAAAAATGAACCCATCAGACTCCTGTCCTCAGCAGGCTTTCAGTCTAGTGTGGATGATAATTCAAGGATAACTGGATTGTTGCCAATAACAGAAGCAAGTTCAATAAGCTGGGGGAACACTGTGCCCAGCAGCAACAGGGAGGCTTGAGAAATGGACTTCCAATGACAAATTGGCTGCCAGGCAGAAAGAAGATCGAGGGAAGATTCCAGGCATAAATGTTTGTTACATGGGATGGGCATAGTGGCTCATGCCTATAATCCCAGCACTTTGGGAGGCCGAGTTGGGCGGATCACTTGAGCCCAGGAGTTTGAGACCAGCCTGGTGAAACCCTGTCTCTACTAAAAATACAAAAATTAGCCTAGTGTGGTGGTACGTGCCTGTGGTGTCAGCTACTCGGGAGGCTGAGATGGGAGAATCACCTGAGCCCAGAAGGCAGTGGTTGCAGTGAGCTGAGATTACTCTAGCCTTGGCCACAGAGCGAGACCATGTCCTCCTGAGAAAAAAGTTCATTATGTGGTTGGAACATAATGTGGAGATGATACTAGAAAGGTAGGCAGTAAAGGGCCTTGCAGGTGACAAGAAGCTGTGGTTCATGCTACACTGTGGTACTGTGGTGTGAGACAGAGAGTAACAAGATCACATTTTTATCTGCAAAGAATCATTCCAAGTTGTGTTGGGGGTGGGGACAAAATGGAGGAAGGAAGATCAGAGAGGAGACAACTGAAAGGTCTGGGGCCAGAAGGAAGGCAGTGACAGCCGGTATGGAGGAGAAAGACGAGTATGCACCAGACTGCCTGGCAGGCTGGAAAAGATGGCACACCTGCCCTCCCAAAGCTTCCATTCCAGTAGCAGTAAGAAGCAACAAGGGGAAGAGTCTGTTAGTGCATCGTGGACCAAACAAGGGTCACCGTTCGCTAACCTTAGTCCTGGATGGCTTTTGTGGCAGTGCTGGCTTTAAGTTGGCCTTTGAAGAATGACAGAGAGGTGACTTGACAGAACCATTCATTTACTACCCTTCTTTTGGCGGTTCTCCCCTGTGGTTCGTATCCTGGTTTTATTTAGCCCTATCTTCATAAGACTCTTAGATTCTTGTAACAGAAACCTCCACCAAGAAAAGCTGCCATCTCCTCTCATACTAATCCCACTCATCAACATCTCTTGGCAGTTTCTGACTTATGTGGGACAAAAATAAATAAATAAAAACAATAACAATAAGACTCTGCCAGGCTAGCAAACTGATCCAGTCAGAGGATTATAAGAGACACCTGTTTTTCAATACAGCAGCTGCTAACACAGCAGAAGCATGGCATCGTAGTAACAAGAAAGAGTTCTCTTCCATTAAAAACCCAATAGTAGCAGAAACTGGCACGGACTGATGTTCAACTATGTCACCTGAATGTGAAAAGAAGTTCAAATATGACCAGACACATAACAGGAACCCTGCTTTGCCAACGTGGGAACCCAAACGCTAGTTTGCTGATGGGGAGGTGATTTACCTATTCATCCAAGTACACTAAGGCACAAATCCTTAAAGCAGCTATTAAATACTTAAGAGTGTTATCAAAAACACACTGAAGCTTTTTGAAGTTTGGTTGATTCATACCCTGTGGCTGACCAAACACCTCTTCACTTAAGCCAGCTTAAAGAAAACTATTGCCCAGTTTGGAATGTAGACACTAACATAGAAGCACGTAAACAACACTTTATTTTTTCAGTTCACCACTGAAGACAGACAAGACACACACACACACACATACACACACACACACAACCTACCAACATATAAACACCACAGGCAAACTATCTCAAATGTACAATATGTACACATCACCTTTTCAGACCAGACCAGGGAGATGCTCTTAGAAACAGCTTGCTAACAGCCCCTCACATTGCTGTTTAACAATCCGTTCATAGCCCATCACAAAGCCAGGCCTCCAAGGAGATATATTTTACATCTATATGTTAGGTTTCTTCGCCACAACAAGGCTGGATTTTGTGTAATCTTTTCCTCTATATGCTAGAAAACAGATTATGCCATAATTTCTGCAATTTATCATCCCATGAGCATGCGATACATGTGGCATATATGCAAACAGAGTCACAAGCACAAACCCTGGAATAAATGCAGGACGGTGCCCAAGAAAGCACAAGCCACTCCAGATAGGCCTGACTAAAGCTAAAAATAGCCCATAAAGGCATTGTGTCAGCTGCCCTCTCGCTGTCCTCCCTAGAGCGTGCTAATTCTAACCTCCAGTGTTGGTGCTTAAGCTTGAGCCTTTGGTAGCTGTACCTAGGAACCGTTCCCTAATCCAGGAAGCTACTTTCTAGGTGTTGGAATATGCAGAAATCGTTCAACGCACTGCAATTATTAGTCCATTCATGCACACAAATGCAGATAGAGACTGAACCTGAAATTGTGCATTTTCTCCTAAAGCCTGCCATTTGTGCCCTGGGGCACTAGGACCAGCGGAGAGATGTCCCTTTTGGCAAATGGTATAACAGAAACCTCTCAAGTGCTAAGCATGCTCAACTGCCCAAGAACCACCCAGCCAACAGGACTAACTCTTGCCTTACCCTGGCTGGTGTGCAGCAAGAAGTTTCTCAAAGAAGCACAATCTTGTCCACACAGACCCCACTTGAGGTCCCAAAAGATTAAAGGGAGTGCACTCTCATAATATGAGACCCTAGGAAGAATCACAGACACCAATTTGGGGACCAGGGCTGCGAAGAAAATTCTTTCCAATTATCTATTTGGCATTTAGTCTGGCAGAAATATGTGCATAAAGGAAGAGTAACTGGGTTTTCCCAAACTCAGCCCTGCAAGTCATCCAAAAGTGCACCCAAATAAGAAATAGGCTGGGGGTTGTGAACTCACATTCACCTATAACCTACATATAAGCCAACCAAGAGGCAGAAGACTCTATTCTCATCCACCCACACCTCCTCCATGGTGAACCTTCAAAGACCACAGCTGAAATGAAAATGTACACAGACCAACTTTCCCTTAAATCAGACTGTTCAACATGATGGCTAACAACGAACGCACACACAGGCATTCCCCCTAGTTCGGAGAAGCTCCATTTGGCCATTTTACCAAGTTTTTCAAGACAGAGAAATTCTCAGAAGAACTGGCTAGTGACTGTCAGAAGAATGTTAGTGATTTGTGCCACTGGGCCCACCTCTTCCCTCTTTGCTGCAATAACAAGGCCTTTCAGTGGGACCTGCTGGCTCACCTACCTTTCTTCCTTCTTGCATTTTTAAGGTTTTTTGTTTTTTTCCACTCTGGGGCCTTATCCCACATCTCTCCCAGCAGGGCAAACTGCCTTGCACCCAAAAGATAAGTAAATATACTTGCTGTCTATGTCAGTGGCTCCTTGTTCATTTTCTAAGGGTAGATGGCTTCAAAAAGATAAAGTGTTGGGAAGGGTGGGAACATGCAAGACAGGTGTACTACCAGGTGCCCTACTTGAGATGTTACCTAACACCGAGGTCCTTTTGCTCATTGCCCTGCCTGTCTCGGCGAAAGTTAAAGATACTCTTACAGCACGCTGCAAAAGATTAGAGGATCATCACCCCAGCCTTGCTGTGCTCGCCAACATTCCCCCTGGATTCCATTGTGTTCCAAAGCCACATCTGACCTACAGCTGACTTCTGCCTGCAGAGGAGCACACCCTCATCTCCTCACTCACAGCCCTGCCAGACACAAGGAGCCTCAGAAATGCAAAGAGGCAGAACACAAAATTCAGAAAGGGAGCCTTTGTTTCTTTGGTTCTCTGAAGGAAAACACTCTTACCTCACCAACAGGTATGCTCTCTCCTTCCACCTCACCCGAAAGTATCAGCGTCAGCAGATGAAGGGAAGGACTAAATGGCACAAAATCAAAGGAGCTGGCTGTTGTCCAGGGGACTGGAGGTGTAGTCAGCCAAATCAGGTCATTCAGGTCTCAAAGTCGGGGAGAACAGGAGACTTACCCAGCCTGAAGAATCTGTCACCCAGACTTTATCCCCAAAACAACAACTCTCCTACTGGGTTCACCCCACTTTGAATAAAGACCAGATCAAAAGGTACAAAGTGAGAGTGTCCTGCTGTTCCCAGCCATTGCTGGCCATTAGTGGCCGTCAAGACCTATTAGTCAGGAGAGTGACGGGTCTCAAAAGTGCAAAGCACCAGTCAAGTGAACTCATGACACGGATCTTTAAAATCTCCCAGATCTCAAGTCAAAATGAGGACAAAATGGCTGGGCACAGTGGTTCATGCCTATAATCCTAGCAGTTTGGGAGGCCGAGGTGGGAGGATCACTTGAGCCCAGGAGTTCTGAGAGCAACCTGGGCAACAAAGCAAGACCTCGTCTCCACAAAAAGTTTTTTAAAAAAGTAGCCAGGCAAGGTGGTGCACCTGTAGTCCTAGCTACTCCAGAGGCTGAGGCAGGAGGATCACTTGAGCCCAGGACTTTGAGGTTACGGTGAGCTATGATCACGCCACTGTAGTTCAGCATGGGTGACACAGCAAGACCTTAAAGAAAAGAGGATACAGCAATTACAAAATGCACCACGGATCCAATCCTTCAGATGTGCCATTTTTCCAAAACCTGTCACAGGGACTTGGGTTATGAGTATCCAAAGAGGCCCAAAGAAAAAGAACTCACCTCTGTCCCTTTGGGTGCCTGGTCTGTGATCCCAGGTCAATACATGAAAATAATTAGCAAAACCACAGAGGTGAGCCAAGAGACACTACCATGAGGCTTACTCTAGCAGGAGTCTGATTTGATGGCCAAGGGCAGTTTGGGAAAGACAAATGGTCTGGAAATAACAACCAGCAATAAACTTGAGAGAAGTTTCCTTCCCTAGTCTGAGTTCTTTAAAGCAGTTAACAAAAGAGCTTAGCAAATTCCCACCATGTCCCCCATCTCCCTTTTTTTTTTTTTTTTTTGAGACAGAGTCTCACTCTGTCGCCCAGGCTGGAGTGTAGTGGCACAACCTCAGCTGACTGCAACCTCCACCTTCCAGGTTCAAGAGATTCTCCTGCCTCAGCCTCCCGAGTAGCTGGGATTACAGGCACCTACCACCACACCCGGCTAATTTTTGTAGTAGAGACAGGGTTTCACCATGTTGGCCAGGCTGGTCTTGAACTCCTGACCTCAGGTGATTCACCCGCCTCGGCCTCCCAAAGTGCTGGGATTACAGGCGTGAGCCACCACGCCCCGCCCCATCTCCCTTTTTATGAAGTCTCCATAATACTTCCTCCTGTATACCCTAGTGCAGATCTACTTGTCCACATATTAGTCACTAGGCTTGAGACCATACTTATTCTAAATTGTCTCTTTGATTTTTTTTGTTGATATATAATAGTTGTACATATTTTGGGGGTACATGTGACATTTTGATATCTGTGCAGATGTGTAATGATCAGATCAGGGTAGCTGGCATATCTATTGCCTCAAACATTTTTCTTTTGTGTTAGGAACAGTACAATTCTTCTAGTTATTTTGAAATACACAATAAATTGTTAACTCTAATTTCCCTATTATACTAATGAATACTATAACACATTCCTTCTATCTAGCTGTATTTTTGTGCCCCTTCGCCAACTCCTCTTCATCCCTTGAACTTGATTCTTCATTAGAGACCCCGGCACTCTTCCAGGCCACACCTGCAAGTGAGGTGGGCAGCTCTGGGCCCTCCCTCTTCCTTCCTCACCTCTTAGCAGTGCCAGAACTTCCCCTGCCACAACCCAGATTCACACTTTCACCAGGGAAACAAGAGAAAGTACTGGGGGAATGGTTAACTTCAGAGACAGGCTGTTCTCTGGGGTTCGATTTTTTAAATTACGAGCCTTACTTCTATCTGTAGCTCATTTTTTCCAGGAAATGCTTTAGAGTCTGCATGTCATCTTTGGTTATGGCAATCTTACGTATAGGGGACGTAAGTGAAGCAGGATTACTGACCTCATCAAAGAGATAAGTCCTAAGAAAGATAAAGTTACACGGCCTGTCATAACCCAAGGGAGAGGGGACAGGGCAGCTGAGAAGAAAATCACAAACTTCCACTTGTGGTTTCCAGGAGAAGATCAGAGGAGCAGTTTCTCTCCAAACCTAAACTCTTGCTTCAAGAGTATTAAGTAGCCCACACTTATTGCATGGTGGTAGGAGGGACAGGTGGGTAACATTTTCTCCACAATTCCTCAAAAAAGGGTTATTTTCCAGTCTATAGTTCATCTTCTCATCTGCCATGTACATACAAAGAATGACTTAGGATCGAATTTAGGTCCACAGCAAGAAGAATACAACTGCTGAAAAGAGACACTTCGGTCCCCTCACATCTGCTAGAGAGGAAGGTTTCCCCATGCCCCAAAGTAACAAACTTGGCCTTTTCAAACTCTTCTGTATAATTAAACTTCCACGAAGGGCCATCTACTCCCTGCTCTTGAAAGTGAACATTCACCAGCCCACAGCAAACAGTGTCTGTTCTGTGGTCAGACAGACATGGAACTGCCTGTTAAACAAAAGCAGACTGGAGAATTGATGCTCTCTTTCAAGTCTCACCCCAGTCACAAATAATAAGCAACTGTATGAAGGAGCAGATCCCTGAATAGGTTCAAATACTTGAGCGCTGAGTAATAATGCTAGTTAGACTCACTGTACAGTACTTCCAGACTTAGGTTTTTTCCTTTTCTTTCATCTCTGGAAACTTATTCAGAACCACATTAGCTATTCCTTCAAAATTCTGCTGTAAGATGCAAAAGGCATTTGCTATTATCATATAATTGCACTTGGCTCATCTCTCCTATTGTTGAGGCTTGTATTCAATTAAAGTTAAAATAAGAGCTTTTTTGAGCACTGACTGAGTGACCCCAGCCCTGTGAACAACTCAATGGGACAGTGACAAGAGCACTGTGCAGGGAGTCAGCTGACTCGGGAGGCCTAGATTTTAGTTCAGATGGCACCACCAACTAGCCACACGAGCTTGAGCAAGGCCATTAACATCCCTGGCCGGGGGCCGGGGACAGTGGCTCACGCCTGTAATCCCAGCACTTTCAGAGGCCGAGGCAGGAGGATCAATTGAAGTCGGGAGTTTGAGTCCACCCTGGCCACCATGGTGAAACCCTGTCTCTACCAAAAATACAAAAATTGGCCAGGTGAGTGGTGCACAGCTGTAATCCCAGCTACTCAGGAGGCTGAGGCAGCAGAATTGCTTGAACCTGGGAGGCAGAGGTTGCAGTGAGCTGAGATCTCGGCATTGCACTCCAGCCTGGGTGACAGAGCGAGACTCTGTCTCAAAAACAAAAACAAAAACAAACCATCCCCTGGCCTCTGTATTCTCAACTGTATAATGTGGGCACAGAACCAGAAAATCTCTAGCCTCTTCCAGATCCATGTGTTATGGAGGATGTATAAAGGAGGAGGAGAACTAACTTTTTAACAGTATAAAGCACTACATTGGGCAATGTACATATCCCAACAACCCTAAGAGACACATTTTTATTACCACTTCAGATGAGTTAACAGGTTCATGATTAAGTAGCTTGAACAAGTTCAAGTTCAGGAACCAGGATTCATGGGTCTGTCTACTCCATTGTCTGTACTCTTCCCCTAGGAGAATTCACAGCATGGCAGTGAGGTAAAGCCCTTTTCTGAGCACCTTACAATCTCCTGAAGGGAAGTCAGCTTTACAGGTAAGAACCAAAGAACAACATAAGACAGAAGAAAATGTAAGTCAAAATCGAAAGACGTGGTGACTGGAACTACACTGTGGCAACACTAACACCATTGAGCACACTCACCAACTGGCACTCAGCAGGGCAATGCGTCCTTTTTGGGTCATTCAGGAAATGAAGTCGTTTTCCGTATATCTGACTCCCACATACAAAGGGAAAATACCCCCAGGGAGGCCATCAGGCCTCAAGAACTTGCAGATGCATTGGCTACCTCTTTTGTGTCTTCATGGGGGAGTACTTTTCATAAATCATTCATCCACGTAACTGAAGCTTAGCCTTTTAAAACTTAACATTATTCTTATGCCAACCATTTTTGTTAGATATCTTTCCAAAATACATTGCATTCTTTCTTCACTTCTTAAATCTCATAACATGAACTCTGTCTTTCACTTGGAAGTCACAATGATGAACACTAATATGTCATGTGAATCTTCAAAAGGAAGCTATGCTTTCTGAATTCTTGCCTGTTTTTTCTCATTTTTCCTCTGCTATGGTGTTAGAGGAACATGGACCTAGGATGGAACACTGATTCTGACTCTGGCTTGATCAGTTAGGAATGTGATCTCAGGCAAGCTCTTTAAACGCCACAAGACTCAGTTTCCTCATTTGCTTCATGACAAATTTGGATAATGCTCTCTGAATCCCCTCATATTATCTCCACAACACATCTCTCTCTTTCTCTGTTTCTTTCCCTACATTTGCTCTGAAGACTCTCTTCACTAGAGTCGTTCAAAATCAGAAATGTATAAAGTCAGATGGCCGAAATGCTCTCTTCATTCCAGGAAATTAGAACAGGCGAGTTGGGTCAAGCCATCGAGACAGGAGTCAAAAAAAGATGATTCCTTTTGTTATAGGGGAAAATGAGGGAATATCTGAAATAGATTCCTGGAAATCACATAATATTAAAGATGTACATGAGAGATGGTTTAAGAAAAACAAAAATTTGTGTTTATGGATTGTGTGAAAAGCTTTAAAAGGAAAAAAAAAAAAGTTGTATAAGGAGAAGCAACTGACCAGGAAGTAAAAAGCAGGCAAAGAAGGTGTCTAGCCCGAGGCCGGGCAGGATGACACAATCTCTCAGATTTCCAACCGCTTCATGAAGAAGCCATTAAGCACCGGAGGAAGCAAGAAAAACACAAGGAAAAGAAAGGCATCTGAGAAAAACAACAAGGGCCCAAAATGAAACCCATCAAAGACAAAATTTCACCAGAGGACATTAGAGACTGGGGTAAATATGGAAAACTTAGACATTCATTCCACAGTGGGTGGTGGCTTTGTGTGACCATCTGGTTGTCCCCGCTACTTGTGTAATGGCTAGGAAGACCCATCTTCAGAAGAGACCAGGAAGCAGAGGAAATTCAGAACCTCTGCAAGCACTTCTGCCAGCTCTATTCCTGCCTCTCATCTCGGCTTATGTAACAATCCACCAGCCACCCGTCACTTCAAGTTTCCTAATTTTCTTCGCAAAAATGGCTGCACTTTGGAATGCCCTCATAGAAAATACTTTGGAATTAGAGTCCCACAGTAGAGATTCTGGCCTTAGCTTTGCCACTTACAGCCTGCGAGGTCTTAGGCCAATACATCACTTAACCTCTCTGGGCTTCAGTTTCCTCATTTGTAGAATGGAGAGAAAAACTGCATCCATAGAGAGCTGTGAAGAGTAAATGAGATAATGTATATAATGTATATAAAACAGCACAAGGACCAGCATGCAGTAGCATTCAATAAATGATGCCGGTGATGATGATGGAGGAGGAAGAAGAAGAGGAGGAGGAAGAGGAAGAAGGAAAAGGAGAAGAAGAAAGTGTTTTGTAATAAATCACTATATAGCTGTAAGCTACAACTGGTTGTTGTAGAACAACGGCCACTAAAACAGCAGACGAACACCTTTAATTACAGAGAATTTACAAAGTTTCAGAAATGCAAGCATTCTACCGTTTCCTGTAAGCGAAATCCATAGGGCTGAGTGAGCAGTTATGCTCATCTGAGAGTCCACACTTAACACGGGGCAATACCTTTTCTAATCAAGCCCCTCGTCCACACTCTGGGAATTCCAGATCATTTAGACAACGACCAGGCTGAACTCTGTATTTTTACTAAGAAGAAAAGGTTATCAAACAAATTAACAGAGCAAATAAAATGTGTGGTAATATTTTGACACTAAAGGAACAGTTCCAAGCACATCGTAGCACTAGTTTCTACCCAATGGATAATGTGGAACACATTCTTGCCTATTCATTGGAACGTTCCCTGAGATGCCCCAGTAAGCAACACTTTATTAGTTTGGTTCCTGTATGTTTGGAAAATCAATAAAAATGTGTTTGTTTTTTAATAGGCTATAATTCTAACTTTTTACTAATTTAGTCTAGTCTTTCTGTCCCCAAATACTAGGTTTGGCAGTGAACAGTCTTTAAGCTGGGTCCCTTTTGGCGTGGGAACCCTGAGTAAATGCACACTCATTCTATTCAACAAATACACACGGAGATTGGTTCCCAACACACATCTAACAACAAATATGGAAGTGGTGGACCCTTACCTGAAAACAAGCTCCAGGATTGTCTCTAAAGTAGTATTCACATAGAACAAACATGTCATTTCTATATGGCACACCTTACGGGGCTTCATCTGACACTGAATCACTTGGCTGGGAGATCCACACCAAAGGGCAAGTTTTAAAAATTGGTGAAAAAAATGAAACTGCTGTGTGAGTTACTCTCAGCAACCCTGTGCCCCCACCTTGCCCCCAGCTCTTTCCTGGTGTGCACAAATACAGCTGCACTCAGAGGAGCAGAATGTGACTTAGCTCTACCTGCCTCTGGTGCTCACATCTGGGGTATTTTTTGCCCTTGACTTACTTATCCTGAGCAGGATAGCTACTTCTCTAGGGCCAGCTGCCACATTTTTAGCTTTGACTGTTTGAAACAGGGAGCTTACTACACAGAAATTAAAGTATAAATAGGATTGTCTGACCCTTGATAAAAGAGCCTACGGCCCACCCAAGGATTCCTCAAAGGAGTCCTAACAGCAGATAGGGGGCCTTCAGCCCAAAACAGAACTTGCAGGCCTTTGTGCACTGTAAAAAATATATATATATACATATATTGATGCAAATAGTGGTGCCAATACAAGTCCGTCAGGCCCTTCTTCTCTCATCTCCTCCCTCCTACTACTTCCTCTTCTCACACCTGACCAGACCCCAGTGGCCCATTTCTACCCCCACATACCATCTTCCTTGGCACATACCCCCGTGCCCTCAGACCAGCTGGCTTGTGATTAAAATGGACCAAGCTAGGAAGTGCCAGAGAGAGCGAAGCCTATTATATCGAGTTTCCTTGGCCTTTTATAGGGACACACCATGAACCCAGAGAATGCAGTGGCCTAAGAACCTGTAGGCCTGTGTCCTCCAAACCTGGCTCACTCACCCATGGGTTGAAGCAAACCCCTTAGCTCTCTGGATCCCCTCCCTGTAAAAAATAGAGGAGGTTGGCCCAGGGGATCTCTAAGGTCTCTCAACTCTGAATGTTTGAAAGTTCCCTGATTCTATTGTCAGAAAAACTGGGGGGCACTTAGAAGCCTGCTAATCTGAACCTGTTAAAGCAATTCCTTAAGCCCCTTTGTTGTACCTTTTCCTCAATTTCCTTCTTTGTTATTTTTGACACAAAAGCAGTTTTTGAGAATTTTATCAAAATAATAAAACATTACGCTGGACGCAGTGGCTCACACCTGTAATCTCAGCACTCTGGGAGGCTGAGGCGGGCAGATCACTTGAGGTCAGGAGTTCAAGACCAGCCTTGCCAACATGGTGAAACCCCCATCTCTACCAAAAGCACAAAAATTAGCCGGGCATGGTGGCGGGCACCTGTAATCCCAACTACTTGGGAGGCTGAGGCAGGAGAATTGCTTGAACCTAGGAGGTAGAGGTTGCAGTGAGCCAAGATCGCACCACTGAACTCCAGTCTGGCGACAGAGCGAGACTCTGTCTCCAAAAAAAAATTATAAAACATTATTGTATCAAAATTCTATTAATAAGCATTTGAGGACAGACCCCCCAGGAGTGCTCTAGCCCTCTCTAAGGCTGTAGTGGGCCCTATTGAGTGCTTTCTGCAAGCAAGCCAGTGGATGAAAGTGTTACGTCACCCTGAGGTTACACGCAGACAGAAAGAGGAAAGGGGGCTGGCCTCCTCCCACCTCTCACTTCATTCACATCAGCAAACATTACTGAGAAATATTTCTATGCCAGCTGCCAAGCTAACTACTAGGACACCAAGATAATCATCACTAAACCCAAGGAGCCCAGAGTCCAGAAGGGGAGCTCGAAAGAGTCTCCCAGTTAGTAGCAAAATTTTAAAAACCAGATTTCCTTCTGCTATGAAAGCTGACTGATACGGACAGCAGGGAAGGAGGGGACTAGAGACACTGTGTGACTCGTTTTTGGATTCTGGTTAGTCCTGGCCCACTAACAAGCTGTGCCAAGCCTGACAAGGGACCGTGTCTGCTAGGCCACAACCACCTTCCGCTGCAACTTGGTCAAACTTAGAACTGAAGAGGTGACTTGAAGGTGAAGGCTGATGATGGAAAAGACAGCCTCTTCCTTCTTCCTGTGACCAGCACAGTCAGCCAGGCAATCCTCTTTAAAACAATTTGACTTTTTATAGAGAGTTGATCCTTTCCTTCCATTTAAACGACCCCAAATGGTCAGGAATTGAAGCATTTGAACTTCCATGACAACAGTGCCACAACCTTCAAGGGTTGTAGGACAGACCCCCCCAGGAGTGCTCGAGCACTCCTGCTTTCTGCAAGTCGCGTGTAGAGAAACAATAAGGCTCAGTGAGAGTTTCAGTGCCCTTGGAGTAGTCAACCTCTCTTCTACCGTAAAAAGTGTGTGTCTGATATTAACTTCCCCAGGCGATGGGAGCAAACTTACACAGTGCAAAAGAAACAGAAAAGCCCTTATCAGGCATTCATTGCGAGCGACCACCACATGAGCCATCTTTACAAAGGCGTCACTGATTGACCAATTCAGAAACTTTCACCTTGGAAACTCCACCCAAATCGGACACTACTCTTTTCTAGCAGAGCAGGCACTGCTCAGAAATAAACAAAGTACTTCCCTCTGTGGCTGCATCTCACCAGCCGCTGAGGAACTGTCTGCCTGCTGACCCGCTACTTGTAAGGAATGAAAGCAAGTGAGGACGGTTTCAGGAGTGGAGAGGAGGACTGGGAAAAACCTCTCCACAGTGAGAGCCTTTTGTGTCACAGGAGTTCGGTATATCAGGTTCATCAGCTCATCCTTGAAAACCTCTGACATTCGTTCTTCACTACACAGAAAAGCATATTGTTTACTGGACTCTAGAAGCAAGCAACTTGCTTGTGGGTTACCAGCAAACATTTTTTATTATGCAGTCACCGTACCACATCCCAAGGACTAAATGAAACGCAGCACACATCACCAGAACATTTCAGATGACCTGGAATAATCCCAGTCCTTGATCTCTAGTGCTTATTATTGGAACACTGAATTAAACAAACTCCATGGAAAGATACTCTTCACATACGTTCACCTAGACACATGCAGTCTAAGCAAATACATACTCGTTCCATAAAGAACGATCCAAAATAAAAGTGATTCTTTCCTTTCTGGTAAAGAACATTAAATCTATTTTAATTACATAGAAGTACACAGTAATGAAAAGAGGCACCCTGAAAGAACTGAGTTGTAAGCAATAAGGAAAAAAATGATATGCAAATTACAGACAATTTTCATGTTGCATTTAAGAACGCGTTTTGCTTGGGATTGGTTCTGTATGTGAGTAAGGCAAGGGACTGTTGTACTCTTTTTCCGACTGGAGCACAATGAAACAAACCACTCAGTAGCAGTCTGCAGCCAGCACACCACCATAAGCCCATCAAAACGGTGGGGATGCAGTATAGAAGAGGATCAAGAAACGTCACAGAAAGCATTGTTTTTTGTTGTTTTTGCCCTAAAGTTACTGATCTGTAGTTGGCAGATTTTCCTGATGTCGGGTTTATTGCCACTGAGCCAAATACAATTTATTTATTGAATATCCTACTATTTAGTTACCTCTATGTTATGAAGCGTCAAATAAATTAGATTATCTATACCGCAGGATTTTCCTGAACTCTGTGTAGAATCTAATTTATACCGCAAAAGAAACTGGTTTTGAAGTATTAATATCAAAGTACCCTAAGTTCTTTAGTGTGGCACGCCCCATGCCCACAGACATACATACTGCTACCTCCAGTTATGTACAAACACAAAAGCCTAAAAGTTCCATTAGGCATTTTTGTGAGGCAAAAACAAAGAAGCCCAAACCACCTTTTGATTTCACATTAGCCTATCCTCAAACCCATGAATATCTTTTCTGATAAGAAACACCAAAATGTGATTCTAATTATAAAAAACCTAGTAAGCACGTATGATGAACTACTGCGTTTCCCCTACACAGACTCTAATTGAAAGGCAGTGTTAAACCAGGAAGGGTTTTTCTAACTCCCCACAGACGAAGAAAACAGGTTATTTGTTCATTGTTGCTGTAGTGTCCATTCAGTGAACACACATTAAATAGGCCAAACCAAAAACAAACTTCAGCAGCTTCAGCCTCTCACAAGAGCGGAAGGCTTTCTACCTGGGTACTGGTGGAACAGCGAAATGAATAAAGTGTACAATAAATGCAGCGATGGGAAAAATAACACGGGTAGATGGATAAATCATCCTGCCTCCCAATGGTGGCAAACTTTACAACAACTTTTTAGAAGCAACAAACCGCAGCACCACAGTCTTTACAGATATATAGACATGCATACACACAACTACTGGGTAGCCCAGCAGTGTGTTTACAAACATCTACCGCCCTGCATTTACAGAGTGCTGCTTAGATAGCCTCTCTGCACTGTCAAACACAGAAGGTCATTTTGCCTGGTTGCTTAGTTCTTCCTCTCCCTCCATCACAGGAGTTTTCTACTTTGGGATTGCTCAACTTTCATATGGATCGGAGTAAAATAACTATTCAGCAACTTTATTCACCTTGGTTTTAAAAAAAAATTCATTGTGCAATGCCTAGGAAAAGCTGACACCAGGACTGTCTCTCCGACAGCGCTTGCAATTACAATCAGACGAGGGGGAAAAAAATCCTGTCTGATCAGACCCAGAGAGTCCTTTAAAAAAATAAAAAGATTCTATCGCAGTGGAAACTGAACAACTTTTTTTCTAAGACGACCACCCCTCGGGAACAAAAGTTATATTTCAGTCACATGTTGGGTGTAGGAATAGGGAGCAGGTTTTTTTTTTTTGTTTTTTGTTTTTTTTTTTTTTAAGCGCACTAATTACGGGGGTGTTTTACGGTTCTGGAGACAATCCGGGTTGCTCTGACCAATTGTGACCGGCATTTCATTGTCAAAAAGCAAGGGGGTGGGGGCCGAGGAGCCGGCAGGGGCTCGGCGGTGGGGGGGAGTAGCAAGGTTACGCTAAAGGGTACAGCAGCCACCGCGAGCTGCATCTCTTTCCCTCTCGCCCCAAATAATTTCCTGCGAACAGAGCAACTGCAACAGCCTGCTCTGAGGAGCCCAGCACGACTGCCCTGGCCGGTGCAGCTCAGGGTTTCCACCACGTAGAAGGAGGGGAGAAGATTTTTACCTTAATGCTACACTGAGCAGGAGTCTCAGACATGTCTCACAGCGAGAGAGATCAGGAAGTTCTCAGGTTTTTTCCACTTTCCTTTCCTCTCCCCAACCCAGAAAGGCTCCACGGCCAGCCAGACGCGGTCATTTAAGAAGTTTCTTCCAGCATCTCTCCCGGCAGCCGCCCCGGGGGTCTGGAGCGCGCGGGGCGGGGCGGGGCGGCCGGCGGAGTTGGGCGCGCGGGGCGGCGGGGGCGTGGGAGACGGGCCCGAGCGCGGCGGCGGGGTCTGCAGGTCGCGGCGCGGCGCGGGGACCCGGGACGCAGCCCGGCCGGCCTCCCGGTCTCTCCTCCCACCCGCAGCCGGCGCCCCCGCCCCCCGCCCTCCCGCGGCTCTCCCTCGCTCTCTCGAATGTTTTCCTTCCTGGAAGAGAGAAACTGAAAGGCAGAACTGAGAAAGCTCTTTGCTCATTGATCTTGAGAGTTTCAGTGCAGAAACTGACGTGAATTCCCAGCACTGAGCTCTGCCTCTTAAAGGAGCCACCAGGAAATAAAAGCTCGGGTTACAGCCCGGCATCGGGGAAATAAAAGCTGCGCGGGGGAGGGGCGGCCGCGGGGGCGCGGGCGGAGGAAACCCGGGTAGCGGGGCCGCGTGGGGCCGCGGCTGCGAGCGGGGCGAGCGGCGCAGCCCCCCAGGCCGGCCCCCGGTGCGGGCGCCCGCCCTCCACGCCGCGAGACCTCCCGCTGGCCGAGCCAATTTCCGGGCTTAAGGAAGACACCTTTAAAAAACGTTACATTGTGGCCCCAGACACCACAAAACAGGTTTTATTAAACTCCTCCCACCTCCCCTGGCTCCGTCTCTTGGATACATCGATGTGCACAAGGGTTTTGAAACGTTTCACTAAGCGCAGATGCAACGAAAGTAATTATCTATGAAGGGCCATTCCGGTTAGGACGCGGAATCCGAAGGAGGAAATAAAACAATAGCCTTTGTTCTGCTTCTCGACCGCTGCCTCTTTAAGAGAATCCACCAGGAAATGGGAGATCGGGTTACAGCCTGCACACGGGGAAATGTGGGGAGAGCGGGCGCCCGAGCGCGACGCCGGAGACAAAGCCGGGGCGGCCGCGCCGCAGACGCTGGGGGACCGTCGGGCGGGGGGATTCCCGGGGAAGGTGGGCGCCCCGGAAAGAGGTGGCGCCACGCGCCCGCTCGGGGATGCGGCGGCCGCGGGCGCTTCCCGAGCCGAGCACGCGCTCCGGGAAGGGAAGGCTGCAGGGCAGTTATCAAAGGCAGCTGAGTTCCTTTTCCTGACCTCCCCCTCCTGTTTCGAAATCCACTGCCCTTTTAAAGAAATAGCGGCCGCTACCAACCGAAATAGGTGACTCGACTACAAAGTTGGCAGGACGTGTTCCTGCAGATAATACCCCTCCCCAGGACCGCTTCTCTGAAACCGTCATTGGCCGGTTGATTGGATGGCCCTGGGATCCTGCAGGGGGAGGAATATTTGGTTGGAAAAGCAGTTGAGGGGGGTTAAGGCCGTTGGGGCTGAAGGGTCTAGCCCTGAGCACAAGTGATCTGATCACTCTATTATTTTTATTATTATTTACACTCTCTTAAAGTGTCCACCACAAAAAACTGAGAACATTATCATTATACTTAAATTCTAACCTTGTTAGCACATATTGGGGGTTTAATATGTGGATGTGTAATGTAAAAGGAAATTTGTTATAATTTCTTAATAGAGTAATATATTAAATATGGTATAAATATGTATATACGCATATATACCCATATATGTTACCTGCACTGGACCAGGACACATTTCCCCGAGTCTCCCCACCCTACAGATTTTTCCTACCCACTTTCCTTCACCTCTTCACATTATCAAATGTGTTGAGACTTGTACACACAATATTTTTGTTCACACATTGATCAGATCATTACGAACGAGGCTAGGGTGGGAAAGAGTGCTGTTGCTGGGATGATGGGAACTGGTGGTTGTGAGCCTCCAGGAACCTGAACAGGTTTTGTCAACTGGTAGTCCTGCCCTCTCTCCAAGAGATCTCTGTCTTGTCCACACCGACTCCTCTGCCTTTGACCACCCCCTTCTCCCCTTTAACAATTTTCTGTATTCTTTTGCTTTTTTTTTTTTTTTTTTAAGACGGAGTCTGCTATGTCGCCCAGGCTGGAGTGCAGTGGTACGATATCGGCTCACTGGAAGCTCCGCCTCCCGGGTTCACGTCATTCTCCTGCTTCAGCCTCCCGAGTAGCTGGGACTACAGGTGCCCGCCACCGCGCCCGGCTAATCTTTTTTGTATTTTTAGTAGAGACGGGGTTTCACCGTGGTCTCAATCTCCTGACCTCGTGATCCACCCACTTCGGCCTCCCAAATTGCTGGGATTACAGGCGTGAGCCACCGCGCCCGGCCTCTTTTGCTTTTCTTAATTGATGTTGCAGACATTGGTTTAGATGTCCCATTGCTAGGTTATGTCTTCCACATCACTTAGCAATGTGATCCCTGACAACACAGTCACTAAGCTTCTGTAAAATGGGGAGAAATAGTACCTAGCTCATAAGATTATCTTATTAAATAAGAAAATATATACAAATGCCTCCTTAGCAGAGAGCTGCACAATATATGTGCTCAATTCAAGTTGGCTACAATTATTATTTAACCCCAGGACTAAATTAGTTCTCGACTTTTCTTCCTAACTCCTCCTCAACGTCTACAAGTGATTCATAGAAGTAGTAGTTTGAAGTAGAATGTTTGTGGTTCCAAAGCAAAAAACATAGTTGACAACTGTAGCAAAAACTACATTTAGACCAGGGGTTGCCAATCTCTGTAAAGGGCCCAGCTGTAAATGCCTTAGTCTTTGTGGGCCAAGAGACAAAATTGAGAATGTCAGGTAGATACTTATATAACACGAAGAAAAAAAAGTCCACAGTTTTTTATTTTGTCAATTCAAAGTGTAATAATAGCAATTTTAATACAGGTATAATAATGAAAGGCATGGAATTCTTTTGGGGGGAAAGTAACATTTCACTTGGTGTTCAAAGTGTTCTTTCATAAAAATTGACTGCAGATGTTCATCTATTAATGCTGATTTTTTATGAGATTTTATGTACTTCATTTTTGAAATGTCTTTCTACCCAGACAGATACCGCCAAATACTGATACCAACCCATGAGCACATGATTTTACTTGAGTGTATTCATTGCTTAGAAGGCATTTCTAAAATTCTATTAGAATTCTATAAATTCTCTTGATATTTCCCCTTTAGCATGCCATTACATTGCAGATTAATCACTTCCAGTTGAAGGTTAAATGGAAGCTTCTCAGTTGCACAGTTAAGTAAATTTTAAATATGAAAATTTCCTTTGCACTTGCATTGAAATTCAGAAAACACTGTTGGTACTGTAGTTTGAGTTCAGAAAAACATAACTGCTGCAAATTTGTGTTGGAATGGAGATCTTGCTTCTTGTTTTAACTTTTGACAGCATGAGAAGTGTGTAAAACAGCTTGACATTATTTGTGATTCAAACAATGTTAGTTGTGTCAAAATGATTTTACTGCAGTTTAAGTTTTGCATATAAGCTCTATTTTGCCTTGTAGTTTTAGGTTAAATTCATAAAGAAACATTATTGAGTCTGTAGTAAAAGCTTATTTGCAGAGCCATTCAGTGTTCAATAACAGTGGTTGAGGGAAGTTTTTCTCATTCATTCATTTCCATTTGTCGCTTGTTTCTCTGTTCCTTGTTTTCTGAGAACTTATGGGTAAATTGGATTTTTTTCTTTCATATTCCATTTAAATTACTAGATTGTCTTTTTAGATTTTCTTCTTTATGTTAAATATGGTGGTTGCTTTAGAAATTACAATTTGCGTATGTTATTATCACAGGCTACCTTTAAATAATATTATTCTATTTTATGAATCTGTAAAAAAGTTACAATGTAATTCCATTTATCCCTCTCCCATCCTCTGTATTGTTGTGTTATATTTTACTTCTATATGTTATAAAATTCATTTTACATTGTATTTTTATGGTATTTAGAAATTTGTAAATATATGCATATAATGAATGTATTAAAGTATGTCTCTTTTTAATTTGCCCAGATATTTATCCTTTCTAGTACTTTTTTATTCCTTTTTGCAGATCTGGTTTTCCATCTGGTATCTTCCCTTTGGCCTCAAGAACTTCACTCAGCATAGCCTGTGTGCTGTTTGTTGGAGAAGTCTCTCAGCTTTTGTCTGCCTCTAAATGTCTTTAGTTCATGTTCACTTTTGAAGGGTATTTTTACTGTACGTAAAATTTTATGTTGACATTTTCTTTTCTTTCAGCACTTTAAACATGTCATTCCTCTTCTGACTTCATATTTTGCTAAAAAATCACTTGTAGTACATATTTTGGTGCCCCTGTGTACAGTGTACACTTTTTTCTGTAGCTGCTTTTAAGATCTGCTCTTTAAATTAGGTTTTCAGAATTTTGACTATGATGTACACAGGAGTGGTTTTCTTTGCATTTATCATTTATTCACCTTGATGTCAGCTGCAGTTATTGGATCTGTGGGTTGGTATCTTTCATTAGTTTTAGAAAATTGTCATTTATTATCTGTTTGAATATTTTTACACCCATTCTGTTTCCTTTTTTTATTCTTAATACAAGTATTAGACCATATATTATTGTTCCATGTATCTCAAATACTCTGTTTTATTTCCTTGTATTTCCTTTTTTTTTTTTTTGAGATCAGCTCAGGCTGGTCTCGAACTCCTGTTCTCAAGCAATCCTCCTGTCTTAGCTTTCAAAGTGAGATTACAGTGCTAGCCACCACACCTGCCTTGTTTCAATTTGAACGCTTTCTACTTATTTCTTTCTAAGTTTTCTTCCTCTGATTTTTTCCAATTTACCGTTAAGCCTATGTAATTCATTATTTACTTTCTTGCTCTGTCTCCCAGGCTGGAGTGCAATGGCAGTCTCAGCTCACTGCAAGCTCCACCTCCTGGGTTCACGCCATTCTCCTGCCTCAGCCTCCGGAGTAGCTGGGACTGCCACCATGCCCAACTAATTTTTTAATATTTTTTAGTAGAGACGGGGTTTCACCCTGTTAGCCAGGACCATCTTGATCTCCTGACCTCGTGATCCACCCGCCTTGGCCTCCCAAAGTGCTGGGATTACAGGAGTGTTCCACTGTGCCCGGCCTGATGGTTTCCTTTTTTGACTACAGATCATATTTTCTTTTTTTGTTTTTTGAAATGGAGTCTTGCTCTGTCGCCCAGGCTGGAGTGCAGTGTCGCGATCTCGGCTCACTGCAAGCTCCACCTCCCGGGTTCACACCATTTTCCTGCCTCAGCCTCCCTAGTAGCTGGGACTATAGGTGCCTACAACCACGCCCAGCTAATTTTTTTTTTTTTTTTTTGTATTTTTAGTGGAGATGGGGTTTCACTGCGTTAGCCAGGATGGTCTCGATCTCCTGACCTCATGATCCGCCTGCCTTGGCCTCCCAAAGTGCTGGGATTACAGGCGTGAGCCACCGCACCTGGCCCATATTTTCTTTTTTTATATGTATCTGTGTGTTTCCATATTTTTTTACTGTGTGCTGGACATTTTTATGTAAAAATACAGTAGACAATGAATTAAATTTAAAAATTAAAAATTAAATTTAAAAAATTTCTTCCAAGAAGGAAGTTGGGGCTCAGTTGATATGATCTGGAGTTGGGCTGGGTTTGGGCTTTGATTCAACTTTAGTTTGATTCAATTTACTATAGGCTTCAAATATTTTGAAGGCAGGATTAGAACTTTTCCTATAAGCAAATATTGTCTTAGAGTTGTTATTCTCACCTTTTCTGCCCTGGTTAGTGTCCTCCCTAGCTTCAGGTCTTACGGGAAGATCTTTCTGCTCCTGCTCTCCCCTCCCTGCACCAGTCTTTCTTAGCTGACAGCCTGGAGTGCTGGGGATTTTCTTTCAGCTCTCTTGTCCCTCTACAAGTCTTTCTTAGCTGAAACCCCAATGTGTCTCTGAAAGTTTTAATAACTCTGTATTGCCCTTGTTTTTGTGGTCCTACCCCAGGAGTTAGTGAATATCAATGAGAAATAATTGCGAGGTAGTATGGTTTTGCTCTGTGCCTGTGGCTCCTGTGTATTCTAACCTGTCGCATCAGCCACACACTTTAAAATATGTTGAAAGTTAGGCTGCTTTCTCCTTACCATTAATTATGGTGATTCCTCCTCTTTCCACTTCAGTCAGGGATGAGAACTGTGGCTCTTTCCTCTCAATTGAATGATTGTCCCTTTCTGAAGTTTAGTTCACCTATGTTTCTTTGTGCTTTCATATCTCCGATTTTTTTAAACTATAATTATTTAGATTATCTGGTTTGTTTTGGGTGTTAGAGAGTGAATTACGATCTCTTAAGACTTTCTACACACAAACCTGTATGATTAGACAAACCTGTATGTCTAATCTTCATTCTCCAAAAAGAGTCATGTGGAGGGGCAAAGAGTGGGGAAGGATGAACATTTAAGAACATGTGGAAGTGCCAGACACGGTGGCTCACGCCTGTAATCCCAGCACTTTGAGAGGCCGAGGTGGGTGGATCATGAGGTCAAGAGTTCAGGACCAGCCTGGCCAAAATGGTGAAACCCTGTCTCTATTAAAAATACAAAAATTAGCCAGGTCTGCTGGTAGATGCCTGTAATCTCAACTACTTGGGAGGCTGAGGCAGAGAATTGCTTGAACCTGGGAGGCGGAGGTTTCAGTGAGCCGAAATCATGCCACTGCACTTCAGACTGGGCGACAGAGCAAGACTGTGTCGCAAAAAAACCAAAACCAAAAACAAAAAACAAACAAAAAAGTGGAAGTGGATGCATTTAATTTGAAAATTTATAGTCGTTATCATATAATGTTATATTTGAAAAAATGAAAGTAATTGCATGTTAAACAATACAAACTACAAAAGCAGATGCTATCGCTATATCTATGCCAGACCAGAAATTCCTCATCCTAATGGGCATGTTTCCTTAAGAAGGGTCTGTCATAACTGGTGAAAAGGGAAAGGAGAGGAGAAGTGTGTATGCTTATCCAAATAAGACATGGAGTTTTAAATATTGAGAATTAGTGCCCTAAGCTGTATGTTTAGGGCATACTGTATAATAAAGACTTTATTATACAGTCATCATACAATCAGAGAAGCAGAAGTGTGTGTGTGTGTGTGTGTGTGTATTCTGCTTCTTTGATTGCATGCTGACTGACATCATAAAAGAAATATATTTAAGGCAGCCATTTGGGAAGAGAAGATGGATGTAAAGTGGGTGAAACAAATTATAAGCTAGAACTCAAAAGCATGAAGTGGATCTCGTGAGAGTGAACCAAAACCCATATTAATTCTCATTGCCTCTGACCTTGATGGCCTGGGTGTTCCACACGAGCTGGAGTCCTTTGCCACAGAACTAAACACCCACATACCCGGCCCAGGAGTTGCAGAAGCTGAAGAAGGATCATGTTAAAGGTGGAGTAGTTGCAGCCCCAGTCACTGGCTCATCCCCATGAGGTGAGCCAACAGTTAAATGACCATGTGCATGAGCTAAAAAAATGTTTGCTGCTTTATATCTACCCTCCAAATCACTCCAGACTCTCCCTCTGTGGCCCACCATAACTAGAATCATAAAGGGAATTCTGGGAATGTAGTTCAACCTAGCCAAGTTGTCACATTATAAAGTCACTGCATATACTAATCAACTTTCCATCAGCCCACTCTTTGGCAGCTATATTTTTAGAATATTTCACAATTTTTGTCACATCTTTTTCTACCTGACCTTCAAACTACTGTCTTCCATATGTTTTCTCTTTATGGCTTCGCCACCTTTCTTACCAATGCCACCATATTGTTAACCTTTGAATTAATGAACCTCAGAATAAGTTTTGACATATTGATCTCTTCTATGCTTCATATATTGCCTGTTGCCAACTTTTTCTGTTTTATTCACAGATTCTCCTCTATATTTCCAGTTATCTTTCTAGAAGTAACAATTTTCTGGTTTGGATTCTTGCCATGTCCCTTTTTCCACCACCAAATTGTGTAGTTCATTTTCACTATTGAATCTTTCGTCTCTGCTAAAACACTATATTAGGTTTCTCTAGAGAAACAGAATCAATAGGATATAGATGGATGGATAAATAGATAGATACATAAGAGGAGATTTATTATGGGAATTGGTTTGTGCAATTATGGAGATTAAAAAGTCCCAAGATGTGCCATCTGCAAGCTGGGGAACCAGGAAACTGGTGGTATAATTGAGTCTGAGTCTGAGTCCAAGGGCCTGAGAAGGAGAGGAGCCAATGGTGTAACTCCCAGTTCAAGGCTGAAGGTCTGAGCACTAAAAGCTTCAATGTCTGAGGTCAGAAAAAGACAGATGTCCCAGCTCAAGAAGAGGAAGACAGAATTTGCCCTTCCTCCACCCTTTTGTTCTATTAGGGCTCTCAATGGGTTGGATGACACTTACCCACACCGGTGAAGGCAGTATTTTTACTCGGCCTATTGATTCCAATGCTAATCTCTTCCAGAAACACCCTCACAAACACACTTAAAGTAGTATTTTACCAGCTACTTGGCCATCTTGGCCCAGTCAATTTGACACATAAAATTAACCATCACAATCCTTACTTCATTATTCCAATTTCTATTTTTAGTCCTTGTTCATATTCAAAATTCACACAAACACACACACACACACACACACACTACGAAACCATTTGTTTTCTGTTAAGTAGTACCTGAAAACTACATCTTTCATGAATTCTTCTCCCATTGCTATAAACAGAAGGTATCCAAAAGATAAGCAGACAGTATGCTGGAGTGGATTTATTGTGTAAGATCCCTTCGTTAGGACCTGGGAGGGTCTCCTTTAATCAAAGCTTTAAGAAATGCATTGTTGCTGGGCAGGTTGGTGCACATATGTAGTCCCAGTTACTCAGGACACTGAGGTGGAAGGATCGCTTAAACCCATGATTTCAAGGCTGCAGTGAGCTATGATTTTGGCACTGAACTCCGACCTGTGCAACAGAGTTAGGGGCTCATCACTAGAAAGAAAAGAGAGAGAGAGCCAGAGACAGAAAAGAAAGAAAGCAAGAAGAGGGAAAGGAAAGGAGAGAGGAGGGGAGGGGGAGGGAGGGGAGAGGGGAAAAGAGGGAAAGAAAGAAAGGAAGAAAGAGAAAGAGAGAAAGAAAGCATTGCTGAAGCAAACACCAGAACCCTTTTGGAGTTCTATAGTAGCCATTCTCTGTAAGCCATTAATGTTGCCACCATCCCACAATTCACTGGGGATAGTGGGATACTGGAACAGAGGCACCAAGTGACATCACGTAACTATCTTTACTGCTAGGGACAAGAGAAACATGGTTGTAATAATGGACAGCAGAACTAAAGTGATAATCAGAATGGTTTGATCTTTGGTGTTGGCTAATTTATTTTGATATCCCTAGAATTAAGGTCGAAGTGGGGAGATCACTTGAGGTCAGGAGTCTGAGACCAGCCTGGCCAACATGGTGAAACTCTGTCTCTACTAAAAAAAACCAAAAAATTAGCCAGGCATGGTGGCGCGGGCCTGTAATCCCAGCTACTTGGGAAGTTGAGGTGGGAGAATCACTGGAACCTGAGAGTTGGAGGTTGCAGTGAGCCAAGAATGGGCGACTGCACTCCAGTCTGAGAGACAGACCGAGACTCTGTCTCAAAAATAAAATAAAATAAAATGATGGGTTACTAAAGCCTTACTTGATTTATATACACACAAAAAAAGTTCTAGGTGTGGAGTAGAAAAGTCTTGAGTTAAATTCCAGAGCAGTCCCGGATCCTCAGCTGATTGATTGCCACACCTGATCTAGTCCATAGACACAGAGCCCCTTGAATCAAGGGGAAGCAAGGCCTTTTGTGGAAGAATGCTGCTAGACTGCAAAAAATGTATTGTAAATCTTACTATCCTTTCCCAAAGGGATCTGTGGCCACTTATCAGTGTGATTGTACCTTGTGGGAGGGGAAATAAGTAGACTTTGGGAGGACTGCTGCACACTAGCACTGTTCCTAGAAACCCAAAATGTCACTGTGGTGCACCAGTCACAGTAGGGCCTTAAGAGGTCAGGAAATAAGTGGAGGTTTTGGCCTGAGTGCAACTCATAGTGGGTCTGGTGGATACCTGAACCCTAGGATTATTTTCCCAATTCTAAAATGCAGAGGTGGAATTCACATATTCAGCAAATGGCAGATTCCCAAATTGATTCCCCAAATTATGGGCCGTATTAGTCTATTTTCACACTGCTGATAAAGACATACCTGAGATTCGGTAATTTATAAAGAAAAGGAGATTTAATGGACTCACAGTTCCGCAGGGTGGCTGGGGAGGCCTCACAATCATGGAAGAAGGTGAAAAGCTTATCTTACATGGTGGCAGACAACAGAGAAAATCAGAACCGAGCAAAAGGGCTTTCCCCTTATAAAACCATCAGGTCTCGTGAGACTTATTCACTACCATGAGAATAGTATGGGGGAAACCACCCCTATGATTCAGTTGTCTCCCACTGGGTCCCTCCCACGACATGTGAATTATTGGAGCTACAGTTCAAGATGAGATTTGGGTGGGGACACAGTTAAACCATATTATGGGCAGTAAGGAATTTTATGATAGAAAAGTCCAGGAAGGAGTCCCTAGAACTGTGCCTACCTGCTAAAATAGTAAATCAAAGGCAGCATAGAATTCTTGGAGGGATTGCAGAGAATGTGCTACGATAAAAGGCTTAGAGGATGGATGGTAAAGATTATAACTGCTTTTAATTGTTACGGCCAGCACTACCCCTCCACTGTCCTATTTTGAGCCTTTATCAACCCTGAAGCCCTCTGTTATAATCTAGTCTGAAAAGACATTGATTGCCTCTCAATTCCACAAGTTATTATTCTACTCAATTATGGTGATGCTACGCTGTTGACTGGACTGGATAAGCGAGAAGTAGCAAATAGCCAGAGGACGAGAAATCAACTTCACCAAAGTTTAGGAGCCCTCCACTTCAGTGACTGCCCCCTCTGATCTGGGACATGGTCAAGATACCTCTTCAAAAGTGAAGAACAAGTTGCTGCATCTAGCCCTACCCCAAAGAAAAAAGCACAACTGCTAGTGGACTTCCAGTTTGCAGTGGGGCCTAACACAAGGGAAGGCTCTTCAACAGGTCCACGCTGCATGCCAGCTCCTCTGCCCTCGGAGCCCTTTGATACAGAAGATCCACTGATACTTGAAATGTCTCTGACAGATTGGGAGACTGTGTGGGCCCTTGGCTGGACCCTATCTGTGAGTTATAGACCTTCAGGACTGGGAAGCAAAGCTATGTGCCATCTTCTAAAGATTAACTTTCTCTTTTTAATAAATAGCTTCTGATTTGCTACTGAACCCTAGAAAAGACTGAATGCTTGACTTTGGACTATCAAGTTGTTATGCAATATGAACTCCCCATTATGAACTTGATGTTGTTTGACTCACTAAGCCATAGGTTGGGCGTCCACAGCAGCACTCCAATATAAGTAGAAATAATATATCCAAGATTGGGCTTATGTAGGTCCCAAAGTCATAAGTAAGCTGCATGTGTAACTGGCTCAGATTCCTATGGCTCTTATTCATATTAAATTGGCTTCTCTCTCTCAGTCCACACCCATGGCCTCATGGGAAGTTCTCTCTGTCCACTTTACTAAGGAAGAGAAAATTCAGGCCTGATTACAGATGGTTTTTCAAGGCATGCGGGCACCACCTAAAAGTGGACAGCTGCAGCACTGCAGGCCCTCAAGGGGCGCCCTAAGGTACAGTGCTTAAGGGAAATCCTTCCAATGGGCAAAACTGAATATGGATTTGTTTTTTCTGCCTGCAATGCTCCTGGAAAAACAATCCTTTCCGAACTTGCAAAATGCCGTATTCACCCTCATAATATTCCACACCACATTGCTTCTGACCAGGAAACTAATTTTATGCCAAGTAAATTACAGCAATGGGCTAGAACTCATAAAGTCCACTGGGCTTGTCATGTTCCTCATCATTTTTAGGTAGTTGGTTGATAGGATAGTAGATGGCCCTTTGGAGACTCAGCTGTGGTATCAGCTGGAGGGCAACACGTTGCAGGGCTACAGTAGTGTCTTCCAGGATGCATTTTTTTTTTTTTTTTTGGTAGGGAGTTTCGCTCTTGTTGTCCAGGCTGAAGTGCAATGGGGTGATCTCAGCTCACTGCAACCTCCACCTCCTGGATTCAAGAGATTCTCCTGACTCAGCCTCCCAAGTAGCCGGGATTACAGGTACGCACCACCACACCCATCTAGTTTTGTATTTTTAGTAGAGATGGGGTTTCACCATGTTGGTCAGGCTGGTCTCAAACTCCTGACCTCAGGTGATCCACCCGCCTCGGCCTCCCAAAGTGCTGGGATTACAGGCATGAGCCACTGCACCTGTCCCAGGATGCAATTTGTTGCACTGAGCACGCAATAACTGTGTGGTGCTTATTTTCCCCCTCAGGTCAGAGAATTAAAGGGAGAAAATGCGATTGGCTCCTCTTATTACTAACTTTAATGGCCTGCTAGCAAAAATTGGGTTTTCCATCCTCCCAACTTTGTTATCTGCTGTTTTAGAGGTTTTAGTTCCCAAAGGAAGAGTGCCTCTACTGGGAACACAACAGCAGTTCTATCAAACCAGAATCTGAGACTCTAATGGGGCCATTTTTAGCTCCTTATGCCACTGAACCTACTGGCAAAAAAAAAAAAAAAAAAAAAAAAACGGGCCGGGCACGTGGCTCACGCCTGTAATCCCAGCACTTTGGGAGGCCGAGGCGGGCGGATCACAAAGTCAGGAGATCGAGATCATCCTGTCTAACACGGGGAAACCCCGTCTCTACTAAAAATGCAAAAACAAAAAACAAAACAAACAAAAAAAAAACATTAGCCAGGCATGGTGGCGGGCGCCTGTAGTCCCAGCTACTCGGGAGGCTGAGGCAGGAGAATGGCGTGAACCCGGGAGGCGGAGCTTGCAGTGAGCCAAGATTGTGCCACTGCACTCCAGCCTGTGCAACACAGCGAGATTCTGTCTCAAAAAAAAAAAAAAAAAAAAAAGCAAGGGGAAGGTGCGGCTTACTCTCCTAGCTAGCATAATTTATTCTGATCCTTAAGGGAAAATTGGGTTGCTACTACATGATGGAAGCAGAGAGGAGTATCATTAGAATTGAACAGGTCCTTTGGGGGCACCTCTTTATACTACTTTGATGAAAAGTTGATAGAAAACTGCAACACCCAATACAGCAGGACTGTAAATGTTACAGACCCTTCAGGAATGAAGGTTTGGGTCATCCTCCAGGAAATCTGGGGTGCCTGTTGAGAGCAGAGAATGCTGAGTGGATAGTGGGAAAAGGAAACTCTAAATACCAGCTATGACCATGTGACCAATTTGCAGAAATGAGTTTGGTAGTAGTTATGAGTGTATTTTTTCTTTGATATGAATTTATTTAAATACGTATGTTTAAACACACACCACCTTTGTTCGTCTTTTCTTTTTTCTCTCATTCTGCTATCTAACATAACGTATTAACTTTATCCATTAGTATTTAAGTTACAGCGTACCAAAGGGGGAATGAGAGTGGGCTAAAAGATAAATCGACATCATCCAAAGATGGATCTCATTTGTGTATCCTTTAGGGCAGCGGTTCCAACCTTTTTGGCACCAGGGACCAGTTTTGCAGAAGACAATTTTTCTACAGACCAGGAGGTGGGGGTGATAGTTTTAGGATGATTCAAGGGCATTACATTTATTGTGCACTTAATTTCTATCATTATTACATTGTAGTATATAATGAAATAATTATACAACTCACCATAATGTAGAATCAATGGGAGCCCTGAGCTTGTTTTCTTGCAACTAGACAGTCCCATCTGGAGGTGATGGGAGACAGTGACAGATCATCAGGCATTAGATTTTCATAATGAACATGCAACCTAGAGCCCTTGCATATGCAGTTCACAATAGGGTTCATGTTCCTGTGAGAGTCTAATGCCATGGCTGATCTGACAGTAGGCAGAGCTCAAGCAATAATGCTAGCTTGCCCACTGCTCACCTCCTGCTGTGCAGCCCGGTCCCTAACAGGCCATGGTCCAGTACTGGTCCATGGCATGGGGGTTAGGGGTCCCTGCTGTAGGAGACTGGATCAATATCTTTTTAGGTATATGAAGGCCTGTTCCATCTTAAGTGGAAACATACTTTTGCTATTATCTTTATCTGGAAGTGGTTAAAAGAGGATATATAGTTACCAAATTGAAAAAGAGGGACTACACTGAATTGCTATGACATTTTCCAAAATTCCCTTTCTCTTGTGATTCTGAATGAGAGTTGGCCAAAAGAGGAGCCTGCATGAAATCTGGAAGGCAGACGTAGAGGTGTAGCTTTCGGAAGTTTCTGGCAGTTGGATGTAGTGATGGATGCAGAGGTCCCCATTGGAACCAAGCTTGTCCTCACTCTCCTTAAATTTCATGTTCTGCCGTCAGAGGCAATAGTTTTCCATAGATCTCTCTAAAAGCTGCCTTTCTGTAGTCCCATTTGGGCAGCTGGAAATGACTGGCCTCTTGGGTTTCCTTGCATGTTTCAACTTGTCCCCTTGTGCCAATATTTTCAGGTGATTCATTACTGACTGCTCAGTGGTATGGTTCATGTAGGAAAGGCATGATAAATCCTTGATTTTTCTCTCTTTATTTAAATAGTTCCCTATCATCTTCCCAAGGTGATCAACTAGCTTTTCCCCCAAATATCTAAACTCATGAATTGAAACATATTTGATCTGTTTTCAATGTGTTGCAATTAATGCCCTTATTAGTGTTCTAATTGGCCATCCTTAGCCACCTCTCAAGTTTTAATATATAATAGTTTTGTTATTTGGTATATAGTATTCTTAAATTTCCATCATTATTTCTCCTTTCACCCATGCATTATTTAAAAATATAGTTTCCTTTTAAATTTTCAAGAGTGTGGGATTATTTATTTTTTATTGGCTCCATATTTTGTTGCATTATGTTTCAAAGATTGTTGTTGTTTGATGCCAATATTTTGAACATTGCTAAAGTACCTTACGGTCATGTACAGAGGTCAACAAATTCTTCTGTAAAGGGCCAGATAGTAAGTATTTTAAGCTTTGTAAGTTTCATTCATTTTTTTCACTGTACTAATTTTTTACTTTACATAATTTGATACCATTAATACTATCTTATTAGATGCATGTTTAGAATTTTTATATCTTCTTGGTGAACTGAGCATTTAAAAATTGTTATGAGTGTCCCTTTTTATACCTAATAATTTTTTAGTCTGAATTTTATATGTTTCTGATAAAAATACAGCCACATTGGCTTTCTTTTAGTTATATCTGCTTATTACATCCTTTTCTTGTCTTCTAAACTTCAAGCTTTATTTTTTCTAACATTTAGGTGGGTCTCTTCTGAACATATAAGTAGATGTTAAAGATCTATTATGACATTACTTGCTTTTTGAGTGTTGTGATTATAGATTTATTTGGATTTGTTTATACTGCATCACTTTAAAATTTCTATTTTTCTCACTTTTGCTGTTTCTCTTTTATCCTTTTATGGAAGAGACAGTAATGATCAGCAAATATTTCTTGTCTGCCCTACATGACACCTGCATTTAGAGGAGGCAACATGAATGATGCTGGGCAATAGGAATGAAAGTGACATGTGTCACTTCTGGTCCAAGGCTGAGTTTGAATTTGGGGGTCTCCATGTGTTCTTTTATCCTGTTGCAACAACTTACAACATGCTGAATGGAAAAGCGTCTATCAATCAAGCCCTTCAATGACTATGTGCAGCAGAGTCTCCTACCAGCCTGCACTGGTATGCGGCAAGAGTGAGAAATAAATTTTCTGTGATGTTGGTGAGTACTGAAGTTAATTTATCACCACGGCATAATGTAGCCTATTGTGACTAATATGTTATCTTGAAATCTTCGGAATGACTGGTTTTTAAAGTCTTCTTTCCCCTTTTTTTCCTTGATTTGGAATGTATTTGGTCTATTTCTATTTACTCTGTGGTTAGTGTGGGCAGAAGGAGGGGTAGGTGGGAGATTTCCATTACTGCTTGTAAGCCCAACATGGAATTTTTTTTTTTTTTTTTTTTTGAGACGAGGTCTCGCTCTGTCACCCAGGCTGGAGTGCAGTGGCGCGATCTCGGCTCACTGCAAGCTCTGCCTCCCGGGTTCACGCCATTCTCCTGCCTCAGCCTCCCGAGTAGCTGGGACCACAGACACCCGCCACCACGCCTGGCTAATTTTTTTTGTATTTTTAGTAGAGACGGGCTTTCACCGTGTTAGCCAGGATGGTCTCGATCTCCTGACCTCGTGATTCGCCTGCCTCGGCCTCCCAAAGTGCTGGGATTACAGGCATGAGCCACCGCGCCCGGCCCCCAACATGGAATTAAAAGTAGGTTTTATTCAGTATCTAATTGTTTTTATTTGTATTATTGTGCCCTTCAGAGTGCTACACCATGCTATTCAAAGTGGAATCCCTTTTCCTTTTTCTTGCGGATAACACAGATACCACCCACCATCAGTCTCCTTTCACGTATGAGACAGGTTCCTAGTGCCCAAGCCAAAATTGTATGGCCAGATGTGCTCCTGATTTCGGATATTTGGATTTAGAAAGGCCATATAGTACACTTCCAAGTCAAACACTCAAATAGTTCAGCAGCCAAATGTGTGAAGAGGATAAATACAAATAATTAAGTATCCTCCAGTAGTTTACATCAGGTTCTGCCACTCAATTGGTTATGAAAAAAACTTGTTTTTAATATTTTTTTGGGATTGCAGATATGGGATTCTTGACCTATATTTCTTTAAATAAGCTACAAAATAATTTATTCACTTATTGATTTGTAAATTGCATTCCAGTCCTAAGGATGAATTCTCATCACTTTAGTGGAAATCTGTGTTTTCCAAGGCTCTTTAGCAGCAGTTAATTTCATATTAGTTTTTACTAACACTATCAGGGTCCCCACAGAGAGGTTATTTCCTCATGACCTCATTCCTGCATCATGTTTATTGATTATAAAATTTAATTTTGGGGACTGGCATGGTGGCTCACACCTCTAATTTCAGCATTCTGGGAGGTGGAGGTGGGAGGGTTGCTTGAGGCCAGGAGTTGGAGACCAACCTGGGCAACGTAGCGAGACCCCATTTCTACAAAAAATTTAAAAAATTAGCTGGGGTTGGTGATGCACACCTGTAGTCCCACCTACTTGGGGGGCTGAAGTGGGAGGATCACTTGAGGCGAGGAGTTCAAGGTTGCAGTAAGCTACGATTGCACCACTGCACTTCAGCTCGGGCAACAGAGTGAGACCCTGTCTCTTAAAAAAATTAATTTTGAATATAAAATTTAAAGGATATTTATTACGTTAATATGTTTTCATAACAGATTGACTAGAAAAGTAAAAAGATCTGGAAGCTATAGCATACGAAGAAAATTTGGAGAAACCAAATATGCTATAGAGTAGAATGTCATGGTGAATGCCAAGTATAGTATAGACTTTTCAAATTATGTAACTTGAGAGGCTTCTTATTCTAATCTTCTATCCAGTAAGAATCTCACCCTAAAGACCTCTCAGTAAATAATCACTGCTCTCTCCTGGAACACCTCAGCTCACTACTTTTTAAGGCAAACCTCCACAATGTTTCCATTGCAAAATTAATAGCTAGGTAGTTTTTCCTTATGTACCCTTCACACCAATCCCTCTAGGACACATGCATACATCTTTTCTCCAGGTTAAATATACTCAGTTCTCTGAAAATATACAAGGGTGGAAATGTTCAAATCTGCAAATTTCAGAACTAATACCCCAAAGTGGACATGATAAAGTGACAGACTAGCACTCACTCTAAGAAAGAATTTTTCTGGTTTTTTTTTATTTGTTGTTGTTGTTGTTTTGTTTTTTGAGACGGAGTTTCGCTCTTGTTGCCCAGGCTGGAGTGCAGTGGCGCAATATTGGCCCACAGCAACTTCCACCTCCCAAGTTCAAGTGATTCACCTGTTCAGCCTCCCGAGTAGCTGGGATTACAAGCATGCGCCACCACGCCCAGATAAATTTTTTTTTTAATTTTTTTAGTAGAGATGGGGTTTCTCCATGTTGGTCATGCTGGTCTCAAACTCCCAACCTCAGGTGATCCGCCCGCCTTGGCCTAACAAAGTGCTGGAATTACAGGGATGAGCCACTGTGCCCGGCCAAGAAAGGATTTTTCTAAGTTGAGCTTTTCAATAAAGCATGTGCCTTTCTAGACCTGGGAACATCTCACTATTGGTAACAAAACAGAGTGGGGAACCATTTGATCTGAAGAAGACATTTCTGCTATAGGATAAAGGTACAGCTTTCTGACTTGTAAGTTCCTCCGCACTTCCCAAGTTGTACAATTATTTGATTCCAAATGGTTGGGAAATGATGAAACAAAACTTCTTTTCTAGTCTTCTTCCTTCCTCCCTTAATGAATAATTAACCTCATATTAAATTATCCTTCCTATGAAAGGATCTGAGTTTGTTATACCGAGGTTTCTTTCTTTCTTTTTTTTAGAAGTGAATACATTACTAGCTTCCTAGTCAGTTTGAACTTAAAAGGCAATTTTTACAAAATTCCCAGCAGAGGTGCCAAATATTGATTCAGTGGTTGCCAGACCAAATGTGTGTCTTGTGGTAATCTGTAGTAAAGTATATTTTAGAAGTCAAACTAGACTTAAAAAAGCTTTTAAAAAATATTTTGGATTGGCCTAGGTGTGATTGTATGATTGTTACTGAGAATTCTTGTGAGACAATATTGCTTTGTTGTCAGAAATACTGTTACCAAAGGCACATATAATATAGCATATTTGAAATTACATAGAAAGGCATCACAAAGGGCAACAGTCTACCACCACACACAAATCTCATTAGGCACAAAATAAAATACTGTAGAAGTCTTATATGACATGATCTGAACTGGGTATAGTCAACAATCGATTAATAGAAAAATTCACTAAAATAATACACACACATATCTTGAACATTGTGTTTTACCTTAAAACATCTAAATATATGTTTTTTAATGTAGGGCCAAAGCTTTTTGAAAAGATATATTTTATTATTTTTAGCATGGGTCTGCTGATTATAGTGACACATCTTTTTTTTCATAAACTACATCCATAATTCATGGTCTATGACTTCTAAGCTTGAGTTTCTTTAAAGTGAATCAAGGACTTCAAAACGCACGTAAAGCAATTAGAGCACAGAATCTTAGGCATTGCATTTTTCTTTTGCCAATCTTTTATAGCTGCCTCCCCACAACTAAATCAACAGCTATTTCTACTACTTACCCTTTTTCAATCTTTGCAACGTGTTGAAATTAGTTTTCAAAGAAACCATGACACTGTTTTTTTTACACAATTTTGTCAGTTCATTCATTAATTTGGATAATTAAAATAACAAGCACAATGAGCAGACACCATTCTGGGAACACATAAGGATGCTTGGTGTATACACCATTCTGGGAACACGTAAGGATGCTTGGTGTATACATAAAGCGTAACTGGAGGGAGTGGAGGTGCCCGGGGCATACTAGGAGCAGCCTACCAACAGCTGGCTTGGGTGTGCCACAGACACATGTCACTGTGTTTTACAGAGGACATGAAAAGCATGGCTCGGTCTAGAGAGTATGTTAAGAGGAGTTGTTTTTTGTTTTTGTTTCTTAAGAGCACTACTATAGTGTCCCAAAACACAACACAGGGGTTATGCCATGGTTGCAGCTAGCCCATAGAGTACCTCTGTGTGAGTTAGAAATAAGTAACCCACAAGCTCAGGGTTTGGTGAGGGAAGCATGGGCTAGATTTCAGCCTTCATTAGTCCACTTGGCAGGGCGCCACTTAAGCCAGTTCTTTTGTGTAGGGCACCACTCAAAGAACTGACACAGCAGCCCTGGCTCCTGGGACAGCAGATGGATTATGATTAGGGGAAGGAGAGAGAAGCTGATCTGTATTCATGCATGAAAAGATGGGGCACAGAAGCAGGAAGGAGGCAGGAGAGCTGAACTGTAGGGCAGGAAGGCTTCACTCCTGGAAGAAACTCCACACAGGTTTCATGACAACAAATACAGACCATCTTGCCTAGCCACCTGGCAGATTGTCCTTGCTGGGGGAGAAAGTTCCTTAGCAAAGCAGCCAGTGTATTCTGTATTAATTTTTACCACAATTTCCTGGACTGCGTCCTTTACCATCTCCTCTACAACTGCTATTCCCAACCCTACGCCAAGAAGGTCACTCAGTCTACTTTAAGAACTCTTACTGTCTTGGAGGCTTTTCTGCTCCTTCCAACAATTTCCCTACCTATTAAGAGATATCTGGAGCTCCTTTAATAGATAGACAGGATCTTTCCTTTTAGAATTCATTATTAAAAACAAAATGAAAATGCTTGATTGAAAGAGCATTGTGAAGTTTATTCATATACAAGTGTAAGCAGTCAATGAATTAACCAACACACATGACTGACAAGGAAAATAAATTAAAGAGCAGGTATCTGAAGGTGAAGGGAGAAGGCCAGAAACAGGATGGTATAGAAGTCAAACTAGGCCTGGTGCGGTGGCTCACACCTGTAATCCCAGCACTTTGGGAGGCCGAGGCGGGCAGATCACGAGGTCAGGAGATCAAGACCATCCTGGCTAACACAGTGAAACCCCGTCTCTGCTAAAAATACAAAAAATTAGCCGGGCGTGGTGGCGGGGGCCCGTGGTCCCAGCTACTCGGGAGGCTGAGGCAGGAGAATGGCGTGAACCCAGGAGGCAGAGCTTGCAGTGAGCAGAGATCGCACCACTGCACTCCAGCCTGGGCGACAGAGCGAGACTCTGTCTCAAAAAAAAAAAAAAGAAGTCATACTAGATGTGGCTGGGTGCAGTGGCTCATGCCTGTAATCTCAGCATTTTGAAAGTCCAAAGCTGGTGGATCGCTTGAGCTCAGGAGTTCAAGAACAGCCTGGATAACATGGCAAGACCCCATCTCTACAAAGAATAAAAAAATAGCCAGGCATGGTGGCACGCATCTATAGTCCCAGCTACTTGAGAGGCTGAGATGGGAGGATTGCTTGAGCCTAGGAGGTGGAGGCTTCAGTGAGCTGTGATTGCACCACTGCACTCCAGCCTGGGCAACAGAATGAGACCCTGTCTCAAAAACAAAGAAAGAAATAAATCAAACTAAAACCTCTCAGTTTCAGATCCTATTATCTTCAACTAAGCCTGGACAGAGAGAAGTTGATTTCTTTTGTTTTATAGTTTTAGGCCCTATGATACCACTAAAACTTCAATGAGCCTAGAAGATTTTTTTTTTAAACATTTGCAATGTTAATACAAAGCAGCTAATTATAAAGTAGTTCATTAACTAATCTATACGTGTATTTTAAAAAAACTGTAGAACTTTGAACACTGAAAGTTCCACTTCCCTTGGCTGTCCGCACACTGAGCCAGTCTTGGTATGTACATTCCTCGTATGGAAATTACTCCCACTGCGTATGTGACCATCCTTGTCTTAGCACTTGTAGTCTTTAGCTTTATTTCAACTCAGGTCATTTCATGGTTGGAATACTCCTTGTATGTGTACACGCCATTCTCACATCTCGTAAAATTCAATGGCAAACATTCGTACCATTCCAAAAATAATTATGTCATTCTTTTGAATATCTTTTAAAAATTTACTATACCAAATACTAGGACCACTCAGCTTATAATTTTCCTCCTTAGCTTACAATTAAATTTGTGTGTTTATAGCTATTAGGGACCTAGAGATCATCTGTCCAGTGGCTTGCTCAGTGGTTCTCAAGCTTTACTGGATGCCACCAAGAGAGCTTGTTAAGACATAGGTTGAAGGACACCATCCTGAGTTTCTTTTTCTTTCTTTTTTTTGAGATGGAGTCTGGCTCTGTTGCCCAGGCTGAAGTGCAGTGGTGCCATCTCGGCTCACTGCAACTTCTGCCTCCCGAGTTCAAGCAATTCTCCTGCCTCAGCCTCCAGAGTAGCTAGGATTACAGGCGCACACCACCACACCCAGCGAATTTTTGTATTTTTAGTAGAGACGGGGTTTCGCCATGTAGGCCAGGCTGGTCTTAAACTCCTGACCTCAGGTGATCTGCTCATCTCAGCCTCCCAAAGTGCTGGGATTACAGGCATGAGTCACCACACTCGCCCTGAGTTTCTGACTCTGTAAGTCCAGGAAGGCAGCTAAAATGTGCATTTCTAATATGTTCCCTGGTGATGCTGATGATTTTGGTCTGGGGATAACCCTTTGAGAATCAGCCCAATTCCTCACCTCATGGCTGAAACTGAGCCTTAGAGAATTGAATTGTTTGTCCCGGAGTGACCCAACCCATCAGTGACACAGAAAAGACATACACCCTACTCTGCTCACTTTTGTATGTGAATTACACACATATCCAATTGTTTCTTCTGAGGTTTGTTAACAGTCCACATTACTGCCTCCCTGTTGTTTTGGCACTGGTCAGGATCTTAAATAAAACTCTGCGACTTCCGTCTATTAATATTTATAGTAAACTTACACAATAATTTTTGGTATAAATCCTGCTGTCTTGCAGCAGTACCGGGCCTGGATCCTTCCTCTCCTGAAGCAAAAGAGTCTTGTGCCGTCTGTTCATTTTTCTTTCTAGAAAACCTTTTGCTGAACCCTTAAATAACAAATTCTTTGTAAAATTCTCCAGTTTGCATTTTGGGTTAAAAGTTTTTTTATTGATGCATAATAATTGTACATACTTATGGAATACATGTGATATTTTCATACATGGATACGATGTGTAATGATCAAGGTATTTAGGAAATCTACCTTGAACATTTATCATTTCTTTGTGTTGGGAACATTTCAAATCTTCTCTACTAGCTGCTTTGAAATATACAATATATTGTTAACTATAGTTGCCTTACTGTGCTGCCCAACACTAGAACTTTTTCCTTCTGTCCAACTCTATGTTTGTACATGTTAACCAGCCTCTCTTCATCCTTGCATTCTCCACCTTCCAAGTTTCTGGTAACAGTCATTCTTCTATTCTGTCTCCATGAAATCAACTTTTTAGCTCCCACATATGAGTGAGAACATGTGTTATTTGTCTTTTTTTCTCTTTTTTTTTTTTTTTGAGACGGAGTCTGGCTCTGTCGCCCAGGATGGAGTGCAATGGCGCGATCTTGGCTCACTGCAAGTTCCGCCTCCTGGGTTGATGCCATTCTCCTGACTCAGCCTCCGGAGTAGCTGGGACTACAGGAGCCCGCCACCACGCCTGGCTAATTTTTTTATGTTTTTAGTAGAGACGGGGTTTCACCGTGTTAGCCAGGATGGTCTCGATCTCCTGACCTGGTGATCCACCCGCCTCAGCCCCCAAAAGTGCTGGGATTACAGGCGTGAGCCACCGTGCCCTGCCTCTTTCTTTCTTTCTCAAGACAAGATCTCACTCTGTTGCCCAGGCTGGAGTGCAGTAGTGCAATCAAAGCTCACTGCAGCCTCAACCTTCTGGGCTCAAGTGATCATCCCACCTCAACCTCCCAAGGAGCTGGGACTACAGGTGTGTGGCACCATGCCTAGATAATTTTTTGATTTTTTTGTAGAGATGGGGTTTCACTATGTTGCCCAAGCTAGTCTCGAACTCCTGGACTCAAGCAATTCTTCCACCTTGGCCTCCTAAAGTGTTGTGATTATAGGAGTGAACCACCACACCCATGAATATTTGTTTTTCTCTTCCTGACCTATTTCACTTAACATAATGACCTTCAGTTTCATCTGTGCTGCTGCAAATGACAGGATTGCATTCTTTTTAAAGGCTGAATAGCTAGGCATGGTGCCACACACCTGTAGTCCCAGCTACTTGGGAGGTTGGGGTGGGATGATCACTTGAGCCCAGGAGGTTGAGTCTGCAGTGAGCTTTGATTGCACTACTGCACTCCAGCCTGGGCAACAGAGTGAGATCTTGTCTTGAAAAAGAAAGAAAGAAAGACAAATAACACATGTTCTCACTCATATGTGGAAGCTAAAAAGTTGATTTCATGGAGACAGAGAATAGAAGAATGACTGTGTATATATACCACATTTTCTTTATCCATTCATCCACTGATGAAGGCAGTTTGATTCCATATCTTAGCTATTGTGAATAGTGCTGCAATAAGCATGGAGGTGCAGGTAACCCATGGATATACTGATTTATTTTCCTTTGGATAAATATTCAGTAGTGGGATTACTAAACCATATGGTAGTTCTATTTTTAATTTTTTGAGGTAACCCCAAACTGTTTTCCATAATGGTTATACTAGCTTACATTCCTACCAACATTGTATAAGAGTTCCCTTTTTTCTGCACGTTCATTAACATCTGTTGTTTTTTGTCTTTTTGATAATAGCCATTCTAACTGGAGTGGATGATTTCTTATTGCAATTTTGATTTGTGTTTTCCTGATGACTAGTGATATTGAACATTTTTCGTATAACTTTTAGCCATTTATATGTCTGCTTTTGAGAAATGTCTATCCAGATCTTTTGCCCACTTTTTAGTTGGATTATTTATATTTTTGCTGTTAAATTGTGTGAATTCCTTGTAAATTTTGGAAATTAGACCCTTGTTGGATGAATAGTTTGCAAATAGTTTTTTCTATTCTACAGGTTGTCTCTTCAATCTATTGATTGTTTCCTTTGCAGTGAAGAAGTTTTTAGCTTAATATAGTCCCATTTGTCTATTTTTGTTGTTGTTGCCTGTGTTTTGGAGGTTTTAGCCATAAAATCTTTGCCTAGACTGATGTCCTGGAGTGTTTCCCTATGTTTTCTTCTAGTAGTTTTATAGTTTCTGCTCTTAGGTTTAACTTTTTAACCCATTTTGAGTTAATTTTTGTATAGGGTGAGAGACAGGGGTCCAGCTTTATTTTTCTGCATATGGTTACCGAGTTCCCAGCACCATTTACTGAAGATGGTGTCCTTTTCCCAATGTGTTTAGTGTCTTTGTAAAAACCAGTTGGCTATAAATACGTGGATTTACTTCTTGGCTCTCTCTATTCTGTTCCAGTGGTCTATGTGTCTGTTTTTATATCAATTCCATGCTGTTTTGGCTACTGTAGTTTTGTAGTGTATTTTAAAGTTAGGTAGTGTAATGCCTCCAGCTTTGTGCTTTTTGCTTAAGTCCTGACTGCTTTGGCTATTCAGGGTCTTTTGTGGTTCCATATGATTTTTAGGATTTAAAAAAAATATCTGTGAAGAATGTCATTGATATTTTGGTAGGAATTGCATTAAATCTGTAGGTTGCTTTGGATAGTATGTTCATTTTAGCAATATTAATTCTTTCAATCCATGAGTGTGGGATGTCTTTTCATTTGTTTGTTTCCTCTTCAGTTTCTTTCATTAGTGTTTTATAGTTTTCCCTGTAGAGGTCTTTCACCTCCTTGATTAAATCTATTCCTAGATATTTTATTATTTTTGTAGCTACTGTAAATGTGATTATTTTCTTGATTTTCTTTTCAGCTACTTTGTTATTGGTGTATAGAACACTACTGATTTTTGTATGTTGATTTTGTATCCTGCAACCTTACTGAATTTATCAGTTCTTAGAGGTTTTTTTTTTTTAAATTGGAGTCTTTAGGTATATATATACATATATATATGTATATATATGTATATATATGTATATATATATGTATATATATGTATATATATATGTATATATATACATATATATATACATATATATAAAATCATGTCATCTGCAAAGAGAGACAACTTGACTTCCTCTTTTCCAATGTGGATGCCTTTTTTTTTTTTCTTTCTCTTGCTTGATTGCTATGGCTAGGACTGCATTTTGGCTTCTAGGGGAGACAAATAACTTTTTCTCCTTCTACCCAATAGATTCTATGGCTGAGGCCCTGGAAATTAAACTAACAAAACATAGATTAACAAGAGGAAAAAAACAGATTAATTATGTGCATACATACACGTGGGAGTATCACAAAGAAAAGACTCAAGGAGACCCAGATGATTGAAGCTTATATAGCATCTCAGACTAAACAAAGGGAAAGGGGTTTGGGGCTTCTGAGTAGAGAAGACAAGTCCTGAGAAAGTAAGGCAGGAAATGTATACGTGTATGTAAATAAGGGTTATGCAGGTAAGAGTGTCTCAGGTGATGGGTTATCCCCAGGCCTAGCTCTCTTTCTGGTACAGAGGAATCTTCACCAAGAGAAATTTACTTTATAAATATAAATTTCCTTTACAAAAGGGGAAATTTATATTCTGCTTTTAGGCAGTTAGGGGACAGAAAGAGCCTTTCCTGTGTCTGTTGGTTCTCAGTTGCTTTTAGCTCAAAATAATCCATATATTGGGTGGCATATTCTGGAACCCTTTATCCCACCCTTTGAAACTTTCTTTTTCTCAGGACGTTTCATACATCAAAAGCCAAGTTTGTAGCTGTTGAGAGAGATTCGGATTAGGTGTTGCAAGATAAGAGATCTGCAAAGGGAAGGAAAACAGATTGGAACGAGAGTGAGTAAGCAGAAAAGGACAAATTTAAACACATTGCCCCATCTCACTGAACCAGTCTCTCAGTCCTGGGAATAGCTTACATTCCTACCAACAGTGTATAAGAGTTCAGTTTACTCAGAAAGTTGTATCTCAAGAGATTGTGTTGCCAGAGGGAATAGGGTGCCCACCGGTTAGGTCTCTATATGGTGCTGTAAGACATTTAATGAGGACCTTTCTATGGAAACAAAAGAAAACCAAGGTTAATAGATAGAACTGTTTATAAACCCAGTTTCTGAGGCCAGAGGGCAATCAGTTGAGAAGATTTCTGAATGTTGGGCTCAACGCATCTCTAGGTGATAGAAGGAGGACGGGCCGTGGCAGTCTGAAGTGTTTCTGGGTTTGTGGTTTGAATGTCTCTGGGAATGGCATATACAATGTGACAGTTATGGTTATTTCTCAGAGCAGAGCACGGAAGGGCCCAGTTTCAGCTTGCAGGGCTTTTTCTGGGTAGTGTCAATACGGATCTAGGCAGTCAGGTTTTAGTTCTCAGTGGTGCCAAATCAGGTGAGATTAAAATCAGAAATGTTAATTACTGACAAAATGCAAAACACAGCAGGAGTCAGTTTACAGAGAGGTTAAAAAAGCTGAAAGGCAGTGAACACGGCTAGAATTTGACAATCCACAAGGGTGTGCTATAGTTTTCAATTGAAACAGCATAGTTCTCTCTACAATCACCCCTATTTCTATGAAAGATAATCAAAGTAACACTATTTTTGTTGCAAAATAAGTCAATCTCATTGACCTTGGCCTGATTATTACATAAAAATAGCAAGAATAATGATTGACAATGTAAGCTCTTTTTGAGTCTGCTTTGTTGCAACTTTTAATAAGGAATTTCAGGTTAGACTGTTAAAGCCTATCAAAGCTGGAAACCAATCCATCAGCCTTCACCAGCAATACCTACAGATTTGGGTGAATTCCTTTTTTCTTGAGGTCCCCAAAATATTTTCAGCTTCCTGGGCCTACCAAGAAGTGACCTTTTTTACTCACCTGTTAGGTTGGGAACCCTGTTAATCAGGTACCAGGCCAATATTTCAAGGGGCTTTTTAAGCACTGGCTTCATAAAGTCAGCATTAGTTTTGTTACCAGAAAGGGGTCCTGATCTAGACCCCCAGAATGGGTTCATAGATCTCAAGCAAGAAAGAATTTGGGGCGAGTTCATAGATTACAGTGAAAGTAAGTTTATTAAGAAAGTAAAGGAATGAAAGAATGGCTACTCCATAGACAGATCAGCGCCAGCACTGCTGGTTATTTCTTGATGATATGCTCAACAAGGGATGGGTTATTCATGCCTCCCCTTTACAGACCATACAGTGTAACTTCCTGACGTTGCCATGGCATCTGTAAACTGTCATGGTGCTGGTGGGAGTGTAGCAGTGAGGACACCCAGAGGCCACTCTCATCACCATCTTGGTTTTGGTGAGTTTTGGCCGGCTTCTTTACTGCAACTTGTTTTTATCAGGAAGGTCTTTATGACCTGTGTCTTGTGCCGACCTCCTATCTCATTCTGTGACTTAGAATGCCTAACCATCTGAGAATGCAGCCCAGTAGGTCTCAGCCTCATTTTACTCAGCCCCTATTCAAGATGGAGTTGCTCTTGTTCAAGTGCTTCTGACAGTTCCTTAAAACTGTCTGATGTTATCTGATTTTATGTGCATCATCCTAAAATATGATATTCCAGTGAAAGCCTTGCTAATATAAGTAATATTTCAAATTGCATTCTGTTATAAGGACAAGAGATTCTTACTGAACATATGTAAATACATCACCATGAAAATAAGAATATTCAATAAAGATTTCCGAATTCTGGAAGGATCGGGTGGGGAGAAAAAGTGAATGTTTCTGGCGGGGCATGGTGGCTCACATCTGTAATCCCAGCACTTTGGGAGGCTGAAACTGGAGGATCACTTCACTGGAGGATCACTTCAGCCTGGGCAACACAGTGAAACTCTCATCTCTTAAAAAAAAAAAAAATAGCTGGGCATGGTGATGCACATTTATAGTCCCAGCTACTTGGGAAGCTGAGGTTGGGGGATTGCTTGAGCCCAGGAGTTCAAGGAAGCAGTGAGCTGTGATCGCACCACTGCACTCCAGCCCAGATGATAGAGTGAGACCCTGTCTCAAAAAAAGTAAATGTTTTATCTTTTCATCTTTGTTCACAAAGGTATACTTTACCAAGTTACTGTAAGTTATAGATAGCTTAAGAAAACAGAGAAAAAGGGTTTCTTAAATATGGAAAAACATTAAGGAACCAGTAATGTTTCAAACAAAAGGGCCATACACATTAGAATTATTCTTATCAGTTCATTCAGTCCCATGGAATTAATTCTTGTTTTGCTTGATGCTGTATTTGCAGCTTTATGAATTCATGTTTCTTCTTTAGTGTTTTGGAAATCTTTACCCAATCCAGTGGTATAATCTTAAATACTTGAGAATACCTCTCTGAGTCTTTTCCATGGTCTCTGGGAAGATGAAGCATTTTCACTTGTTGATTGCAAAAGCATTCAGAGAAGAATTATCATAAAACAATAATTGGCTGTGAATGGCAAAAGACTTACAAATAACCATGATTAAAGATCTGATGAGAGTTCATTATAGTGCAATTAACAAGGAAATTTGGTTATTTCTGTGGCTTACAGCATTTTATAATAGTAACTGTCCAGATAACACTGTATCAGGACATATGAACAGCAAAGATTGATAAATATCTAGGAACTTTATACAGTTTTGAAACACATATTAATTACGTACCTATACAAATATAACATAAAGAAGGTTAAGCATCATATTTTAGTTGACGATGATTCTCATGTAATTTAGCGTATCAAATAAATCTAATTAGTGTAACATCTCTTTTTTTCAATGTGAAAGAGCAAATCCTTTGAGATTTTCAAGGAGAGTTCTGTGGAATGTCAAAGTTAGTTCAAAGTGAAAAAGACTAGGGCCAGCGCAGTGGCTCATGCCGGTAACCCCAACACTTTGGGAGGCCGAGGCAGGTAGATCACTTTAGCTCAGGAGTTTGAGACCAGCCTGGGTAACACGGTGAAACCCCATCTCTACCAAAAATACAAAAATTAGCCAGACGTGGTGGTGCATGTCTGTAGTTCCAGCTAGTTGGGAGCCTGCGCTGGGAGGATCACTTGCATCTGGGAGGTTATGGCTGCACTGAGCCAAGACTGCGCCACTGCACTCTAGCCTGAGTGACAGAGTGAGACCTTGTCTCAAAAAACAAACAGACAACAACAACAAAAGTAAAAAAAAAACAAAACTACAGAATCAGGCTGGGCACAGTGGCTCATGCGCCTGTGATCCCAGCTCTTTGCTCCAGGGTGGGAGGATCACTCAAGGCCAGGAGTTCAAGACCAACCTGAGCAACACAGAGAGACCCCATCTCTACCAAAAACAAACAAACAAACAAAAAAACGAGGAAGGGCCAGGTGCGGTTGCTCATGCCTGTAAGCCCAGCACTTTGGGAGGCCGAGGTGGGTGGATCACCTGAGGTCAGTTCAAGACCAGCCTGGCCAAACATGGTGAAACCCCATCTCTACTAAAAATACAAAAAAATTAGCTGGGCGGGGTGGGTGCCTGTAATCCCGGTTACTCGGGAGACTGAGGCAGGAGAATCGCTTGAACCCAGGAGACGGAGGTCGCAGTGAGCCGAGATTGTGCCAGTGCACTCCAGCCTGGGCAAAAAGAGTGACACTCTGTCTCAAATAAATAAATAAATAAATAAATAAAAATTTTAAAAAATAAAATTTAACAAAAAAAATTTTAAAAGACTTTAGAATTTGATTTGGGGAAGACTATCAAAAATTGCAAAAGGTTTGAACCCTTGATAAAACAGGATAACAGGTAACTATGAAACAATACTTAGTTATCTATTTAATCAAAGGGAAAATATTACTGTAAAGGTAAATACAGAAGGTCACATAATTGTAAAAAACCAAAACCAAAACAAAACCTTAGCTTTTTCCATAGTGAGAAGACTCTTTTTTAAAAAAGTAATCAAAGATATGGTAAAGACAACATTAAGCATAAGAAATTATTAAATTTTTAAAAAGATTTGGGGTCTTGCTCTGTCACCCATGCTAGTGTGCAGTGCTGTGATCATAGCTCGCTGCAGCCTTAAACTCCTGGGTTCCTCCTGCCTCAACCTCCCAAGTAGCTGGGACTACATGTGGGAAATTATTTCTGGTAAGTCACAGAATCTTTGTTTCCTATGCAAAGTACTCAACAGATAAAGAAACCCTTTTATGATCTCTTATTAGGAACAAATCAACAATCCAAATTCCAGTTCTGCATCAGCACACTATTGATATTAGAGTTTATTTTTAAACATTTTAATAAATCCATTTAATTTTATTATTTATAATAATTTTATTATTTTTTATTATTTTTTTTTTTAGAGACAAGTTCTCACTCTGTTGCCCAGGCTGGAGTGCAGTGGCACGATCATAGCTCACTGCAGCCTCAAACTCCTGGGCTCAAGTGATCCTCCTACCTCCAGAGTAGCTGGGACTAGAGGGACATGCCAGCACGTCTGGCTAATTTACAGGGTCTCAGGTCTCTCTGTGTTGTGTAGGCTGGTCTCAAACTCCCAGTCTAAAGTGATCGTCCTGTCTTGGCCTCCTAAAGTGCTGGGATCACAGGCCTGAGCCACTGTGCCCAGCCCATTTTAGATATTTGACTACACAAAATTCTCTCTCTCTCCTTTGACAATTTCCTATACCTGCCTAGTTTTTGTCCTTTATTTTCCTCTTTCTCACTCTGAAATAATCTTTAAATAACATTAAACTACTGTAGGACAAAATTACTCTCCCTTTTCCTTAACAAAAATGCATCCTTCATACTTCATATATTTCCTTGTCAAAACACATCTTACTTTTTTTAAATTTATTTTACTTTAAGTTCTGGGATACATGTGCAGAACGTGCAGGTTTGTTATCTAGGTATACATGTGCCATGGTGGTTTGCTGCACCTATCAACCTGTCATCTGGGTTTTAAACCTTGCATGAACTAGGTATTTGTCCTAACGCTTTCCCTCCCCTTGCCCGCGACCCCCTCACAGGCCCTGGTGTGTGATGTTCCCCTCCCTGTGCCCAACACATCTTAGTTTCTTTGTATACTTTGCATGTAGACTTTTCTCCTTCACCCTTATTATTCCTAATAGTTCATTTATGTATATTGATTAGAGTTTTCAATGATTAATACCTTAATTTCCAGTGAAAACAAGGAAGTAGGAAATTGTGAACTGTTATATATAGGGGCATTCTGTAGATTAGCATATTTATGAATACACCCTTTCACAATTTCTAGAGGCATGTGTTTCCTCATAGTACACTTTTTCAGTGTGGCAAGAAGAATATGTTGACTAACAGACTTAAATATTATTTAGTCTCTCTGTAATAAGAAGCCAAATATAGATAAACTTAATTAAATTTTCAGTATTATATCATATATAGAAATGATCAAATATTTGATGACTATCTCTCATTTAACTAAACTTTCTATATCTTTGAGGTTTTAGGTTACCAGAAAGATTTTAGATACTATATTTAAGCAGACATATTATAAAACATAACTATTGTTGAAAGTTCAGCTATAGAGTTTTATCCCACTTACATCTATTTAATTAACTTGTTCCTAACAATTATGTTTGGATTATTGATGAAAATTTCATGCAAGATTAAATAAAGCTAATCATCATCTAAAGTTTATTTTCTTGTTAACAAATTTGTGACAGGCATGTGAGGTAGCTATCAAAAATCACAGAAGTAAAGAACCTAAAAGTTAATTATATTGCTCTCGCTCTCTGTCTTTCTTCTTAACTGCCATCTTTGACATACATCAAGCAATTCATTTTTATTGTACATTTGATTCTTTGGTTGAATTATAATTTTATAATCCAAAACATCAAATAGAGATAACATCAGCTTATTTGGCTAGTAAACTCAAGTAGAATAAAATTGCATGTCTACATTATATTGAATGCTGACAAATCTAGAGAAATACCTATTTGTATTTAACTAACAATACTGAACTAGTGTTATTTACCAAAGATTAGCCCAGAGCATGTGAATTTGAAAACAAATTTTGGGTTAATTTCTATTTTTTCTGAGGATTTTAATAATACTTAATGTATATGAGCAGTTATTGTTTTCTAAGCCAATTAATGCAGAGCTCTTTGATAAATTTTGGCAATACCATCCGGAGGTAGAAAACGATCAATATGCAAAATACACACATAAGCATATGTAAGCACACAGATGCCAATAGAAATCTCATAGCTTTCATTTTAAACTTTTAACCATGAGTCAGGCATCATATTACAAAACTCACTAGTTTATGTAAAATATTTGGATCCACTTTGTGTTCTTGGCAGATGGAACAAGTTAAGGTAAACTTCTAAATAATGGCTATAATCTTTCACCAGTATTTGTAGAGAAGATGATATGGTTGGACCTGTGTCCCCACCAAATCTCATGTTCAGCTATTAACCCAAGTGTCAGCAGTAGGGCCTGGTGGGAAGTGATGGGATCATGGGCGGATTCCTCATAAATGGTTTAGTACCATCCCCTCCATGCTGTTCTTATGATAGTGAGTAAGTGAGTTATGAGATCTGGCTTTTCTAAAAGTGTATAGCACACATCTCCCCACCATCTTCCTCCTGTTCTGACCATGTAAGACCTGCCTGCTTCCCCTTCACCTTCTGCCATGACTGTAAGCTCCCTGAGGCCTCCCTAGAAGCAGAAACAGCTACGCTTCCTGTACAGCCTACAGAACCATGAGCCAATTAAGCCTTCTTTCTTTCTAAATTATCCAGTCTTGGATATTTCTTTTTTTTCTTTTTTTTTTTTGAGATGGAGTCTCGCTCTGTCACCCATGCCAGAGTGCAGTGGCATGATCTCGGCTCACTGTGAGCCTCACCTCCCGGGTTCACGCCATTGTCCTGTCTCAGCCTCCCGAGTAGCTGGGACCACAGGTGCCCACCACCACGCCTGGCTAATTTTTTGTATTTTTAGTAGAGATGGGGTTTCACCGAGTTAGACCAGGATGGTCTCGATCTCCTGACCTTGTGATCCGCCCGCCTCGGCCTCCCAAAGTGCTGGGATTACAGGTGTGAGCTAGGGTGCCTGGCCATTTTTTTTGTATTTTTAGTAGAGACGGGGTTTCACCATGGTCTCGATTTCCTGACCTCGTGATCTGCCCGCCTCAGCCTCCCAAAGTGCTGGGATTACAGGCATGAGCCACCGCGCCCGGCCCAGTCTTGGATATTTCTTTATACCAATGTGAGAATGAAATAATACACAAGACTTTTAAGATTTTTGTCTAGTTTGTTTCCAAATAGTTATTAAAATTTTTTTTGTCTTTCTTGCAATCTGATTTTCCTATCAGTACCAGTAGGACATTTGTTTTAGGGTGCAAGCTCTCTTAAAAAAATCCCTTTGGATATAAAGTCCAAATTTTCAAAGGTATACCTAGTCCAATGTGACTCTAAACCAATCAGCTTTTTTACAGCTTAACCATAGACATAAGAGACCTTCCCAAAGAGGGTTCAAAGGAGGCAGTACCCACTCCTCCTCCCCAAGATTCAGAGTTACTCCCAAAGATAGCCTGAAAAGCAAAGAAATTCATTGTCGCAGTCAATAAGGAAACTACAGTCTCCCATAAAAGTGAGATGCCTTCAATCACAGACTCACTAATCTGTGATATCAGGTAGGTAATACTGGGATGGTACTTTTCCCAGCACAAACAAGGCAACAAAGAATGACAATAAAGGCCCCAATGGACTGGGGTGCCTTATTAAGGCAAACTCTCCTGACAGCTGCAAGATTTGGTCAAAGAAAATGCTGCTTGTGCATTTTGTGCTTTGGGTTCCTAGCTGGTTGGCTAGCTGCCCAATTCAAGTGTGACAACCTTGCCATCTCAGCTGGCAGAAACCAGACTGATTACCAGAGACCATAGTAGTCACAAAGCTAAACTCTCAGAACACAAAATGAGATAAAAGAAGAATCTCATCCAGTTTTTTCCCATTGGTTGTCCGCAGCAAAGTTTGTCTAAATGGATGCTGCTCTAGCATAAACTGTAAACTCAAGGGTCTGTGAAGCTGGCTTAAACAGCAGGCTTATAGGGCCTATGCCTATAACTATGACAATTCTCCAAAACTATGACTATTCTCCTCATTATAATAAATCACACAAAGGACAGAAACAAAGGAAAACAATGACTATTCTTAGGAAGCTAGAGATCAGTAACCAATGAGTACTCAAAACTGTCAGGCCTCTGAGCCCAAGCCAAGCCATCGCATCCCCTGTCACTTGCATGTATACATCCAGATGGCCTGAAGTAACTGAAGATCCACAAAAGTACAAATAGCCTTAAATGATGACATTCCACCATTGTGATTTGTTTCTTCCCCACTCTAACTGATCAATGTACTTTGTAATCTCCCCCACCCTTAAGAAGGTACTTTGTAATCTCCCTGACCCTTAAGAAGGTACTTTGTAATTCTCCCCACCCTTGAGAATGTACTTTGTGAGATCCACCCTCTGCCCGCAAAACACTGCTCTTAACTTCACCGCCTATCCCAAAACCTATAAGAACTAATGATAATCCACCACACTTTGCTGACTCTTTTGGGACTCAGCCCGCCTGCACCCAGGTGAAATAAACAGCCATGTTGCTCACACAAAGCCTGTTTGGTGGTCTCTTCACACGGACGCACATGAAATTTGGTGCCGTAACTCAGATCGGGGGACCTCCCTTGGGAGATCAATCCCCTGTCCTCCTGTTCTTTGCTCCATGAGAAAGATCCACCTATGACCTCAGGTCCTCAGACCAACCAGCCCAAGGAACATCTCACCAATTTTAAATCGGGTAAGCGGCCTCTTCTTACTCTCTTCTCCAACCTCTCTCACTAAACCCTCAACCACTTTCTCCTTTCCACTCTTCAATCTCTCCCTTCTCTTAATTTCAATTCCTTTTGTTTTCTGGTAGAGACAAAGGAGACACGTTTTATCCGTGGACCCAAAACTCCGGCACCAGTCACGGAATAGGGAAGGCAGCCTTCCCTTGGTGTTTAATCATTGCTGGGATGCCTTTCTGATTATTCAGGTGTCAGACCACGCAGGGACGCCTGCCTTGGTCCTTCACCCTTAGCGGCAAGTCCCGCTTTTCTGGGGAAGGGGCAAGTACCCCAACCCCTTATATCTCTGTGCCCCGATCCCTTATTTCCGCACCCCAACCTCATATCTCTGCGCCCCAATCCCTTATGTCCGCACCCCGACCTCGTATCTCTGTGCCCTGACCCCTTTCCCGCTTTTCTGGAGGGTAAGAACCCCCGAACCCCTTCCCTCCATGTCTCTACTCTCTCTTTTCTCTGGGCTTCACTATGGGCAACCTTCCACCCTCAATTTCTCCTTATTCTCCCTTAGCCTGTGTTCTTAAGAACTTAAAACCTCTTCAACTCTCACCTGACCTAAAATCTAAGTGTCTTATTTTCTTCTGCAATGCCGCTTGACCCCAATACAAAGTCGACAGTAGTTCCAAATAGCCAGAAAACGACACTTTCAATTTTTCCATCCTGCAAGATCTAAATAATTCTTGTCGTAAAATAGGCAAATGGTCTGAGATGCCTGACGTCCAGGCACTCTTTTACACATCGGTCCCTTTCCAGTCTCTGTTCCCAATGCAACTCATCACAAATCTTCCTTCTTTCCCTCCCACCTGTCCCCTCAGTCCCAACCCCAAGCGTCGCTGAGTCTTTCTAATTTTCCTTTTCTACAGACCCATCTGACCTCTTCCCTTCTCCCCAGGCTGCTCCTCACCAGGCTGAGCTAGGTCCCAATTCTTGCTCAGCCTCTGCTCCTCCACCCTATAATCCTTTTATCACCTCCCCTCCTCACACCCGGTCCGGCTTACAGTTTCGTTCCATGACTAGCCCTCCCCCTCCTGCCCAGCAATTTACTCTTAAAAAGGTGGCTGGAGCTAAAGGCATAGTCAAGGTTAATGCTCCTTTTTCTTTATCCCAAATCAGATAGCGTTTAGGCTCTTTTTCATCAAATATAAAAATCCAGCCCAGTTCATGGCTCGTTCGGCAGCAACCCTGAGACACTTTACAGCCCTAGACCCTAAAAGGTCAAAAGGCCGTCTTATTCTCAATATACATTTTATTACCCAATCTGCTCCCGACATTAAATAAAACTCCAAAAATTAAATTCCGGCCCTCAAACCCCACAACAGGATTTAATTAACCTCGCCTTCAAGGTGTACAATAATAGAAAAAAGTTGCAATTCCTTGCCTCCACTGTGAGACAAACCCCAGCCACATCTCCAGCACATAAGAACTTCCAAACGCCTGAACCGCAGCAGCCCGGCATTCCACCAGAACCTCCTCCCCCAGGAGCTTGCTACAAGTGCCAGAAATCTGACCACCAGGCCAAGGAATGCCTGCAGCCCAGGATTCCTCCTAAGCCATGTCCCATCTGTGCGGGACCCCACTGGAAATCAGACTGTTCAACTCACCTGGCAGCCACTCCCAGAGCCCCTGGAACTCTGGCCGAAGGCTCTCTGACTGACTCCTTCTCGGCTTAGCGGCTGAAGACTGACGCTGCCTGATAGCCTTGGAAGCCCCGTAGACCATCACGGACGCCGAGCCTTAGGTAACTCTCACAGTGGAGGGTAAGTCCGTCCCCTTCTTAATCAATACGGAGGCTACCCACTCCACATTACCTTCTTTTCAAGGGCCTGTTGCCCTTGCCTCCATAAGTGTTGTGCGTATTGACAGCCAGGCTTCTAAACTAAAACTCCCCAACTCTGGTGCCAACTTAGACAATACTCTTTTAAGCACTCCTTTTAGTTATCCCCACCTGCCCAGTTCCCTTATTAGGCCGAGACACTTTAACTAAATTATCTGTTTCCCTGACTATTCCTGGATTACAGCTACATCTCATTGCCGCCCTTCTTCCCAATCCAAAGCCTCCTTTGCGTCCTCCTCTTGTATCTCCCCACCTTAACCCACAAGTATAAGATACCTCTACTCCCTCCTTGGCGACCGATCATGCACCCCTTACCATCTCATTAAAACCTAATCACCCTTACTCCGCTCAATGCCAAGATCCCGTCCCACAGCACGCTTTAAAAGGATTAAAGCCTGTTGTCACTCGCCTGCTACAGCGTGGCCTTTTAAATCCTATAAACTCTTCTTACAATTCCCCCATTTTACCTGTCCTAAAACCAGACAAGCCTTACAAGTTAGTTCAGGATCTGCATCTTATCAACCAAATTGTTTTGCCTATCCACCCCATGGTGCCAAACCCATATACTCTCCTATCCTCAATACCTCCCTCCACAATCCCTTATTCTGTTCTGGATCTCAAACATGCTTTCTTTACTATTCCTTTGCACCCTTAATCCCAGCCTCTCTTCGATGTCACCTGGACTGACCCTGACACCCATTAGGCTCAGCAAATTACCTGGGCTGTACTGCCGCAAGGCTTCACAGACAGCCCCCATTACTTCAGTCAAGCCCAAATTTCTTCCTCATCTGTTACCTATCTCAGCATAATGCTCATAAAAACACACGTGCTCTCCCAGCTGATCATGTTCGATTAATCTCCCAAACCTCAATCCCTTACAAAACAACAACTCCTTTCCTTCCTAGGCATAGTTAGTGCGGTCAGAATTCTTACACAAGAGCCAGGACCGCACCCTGTAGCCTTTCTGTCCAAACAACTTGACCTTACTGTTTTAGCCTAGCCGTCATGTCTCCGTGCAGTGGCTGCTGCCGCCCTAATACTTTTAGAGGCCCTCAAAATCACAAACGATGCTCAACTTACTCTCCACATTTCTCGTAACTTCCAAAATCTATTTTCTTCCTCATACCTGATGCATATACTTTCTGCTCCCTGGCTCCTTCAGCTGTACTCACTCTTTGTTAAGTCCCACAATTACCATTCTTCCTGGCCCGGACTTCAATCTGGCCTCCCACATTATTCCTGATACCACACCTGACCCCCATGACTGTATCTCTCTGATCCACCTGACATTCACCGCATTTCCCCATATTTCCTTCTTTCCTGTTCCTCACCCTGATCACGCTTGATTTATTGATGGCAGTTCCACCAGGCCTAATCGCCACACACCAGCAAAGGCAGGCTATGCTATAGTACAAGCCACTAGCCCGCCTCTTAGAACCTCTCATTTCCTTTCCATTGTGGAAATCTATCCTCAAGGAAATAACTTCTCAGTGTTCCATCTGCTATTCTACTACTCCTCAGGGATTATTCAGGCCCCCTCCCTTCCCTACACATCAAGCTTGAAGATTTGCCCCCACCCAGGACTGGCAAATTAGCTTTACTCAACATGCCCCAAGTCAGATAACTAAAATGCCTCTTAGTCTAAGTAGACACTTTCACTAGATAAGTAGAGGCCTTTCCTACAGGGTCTGAGAAGGCCACCGCAGTCATTTCTTCCCTTCTGTCAGACATAATTCCTCAGTTTAGCCTTCCCACCTCTATACAGTCTGATAACAGACCAGCCTTTATTAGTCAAATCAGCCAAGCAGTTTTTCAGGCTCTTAGTATTCAGGAAACCTTTATATCCCTTATGGTCCTCCATCTTTAAGAAAAGTAGAACGGACTAAAGGTCTTTTAAAAACACACCTCACCAAGCTCAGCCACCAAATTAAAAAGGACAATACTTTTACCACTTTTGCTTCTCAGAATTCAGGCCTGTCCTCGGAATGCTACAAGGTACAGCCCATTTGAGCTCCTTTTTGTTAGGCCCCAGTCTCATTCCAGACACTGGACCAACTTAGACTGTGCCCCAAAAAACTTGTCATCCCTACTATTTTCTGTCTAGTCATACTCCTATTCTCCGTTCTCAACTACTCATACATGCCCTGCTCTTGTTTACACTGCCGGTTTACACTGTTTCTCCGAGCCATCACAGCTGATATCTCCTGGTGCTATCCCCAAACTGCCACTCTTAACTCTTGAAGTAAATAAATAATCTTTACTGGCAGGACTATGCTGAATCTCCTTAGGCACTCTCTAATCAGATGTCCTAGGTCCTCCCAATTCTTAGACTTTTCCATTTAGTTTTTCAATTCATACAAAACCGTATCCAGTCCATCACCAATAATTCTACATGACAAATGTTTCTTCTAACAACCCCACAATATCACCCCTTACCACAAAATCTTCCTTCAGCTTAATCTCTCCCACTCTAGGTTCCCACGCCACCCCAATCCCACTCGAAGCAGCCCTGAGAAACATCGCCCATTATCTCTCCATACCACCCCCCAAAAATTTTCGCCACCCCAAGACTTCAACAGTATTTTATTTTTCTTATTAATATAAGAAAGCAGGAATGTCAGGCCTCTGAGCCCAAGCCAAGCCATCGCATCCCCTGTCACTTGCATGTATACATCCAGATGGCCTGAAGTAACTGAAGATCCACAAAAGAAGTAAAAATAGCCTTAACTGATGACATTCCACCATTGTGATTTGTTTCTTCCCCACCCTAACTGATCAATGTACTTTGTAATCTCCCCGACCCTTAAGAAGGTACTTTGTAATTCTCCATACCCTTGAGAATGTACTTTGTGAGATCCACCCTCTGCCCGCAAAACATTGCTCTTAACTTCACCGCCTATCCCAAAACCTATAAGAACTAATGATAATCCACCACCTTTGCTGACTCTCTTTTCGGACGCAGCCCGCCTGCACCCAGATGAAATAAACAGCCATGTTGCTCACACAAAGCCTGTTTGGTGGTCTCTTCACATGGACGCACATGAAAAAAACCAAATTTACAAGAGTCACCATCCAAAGAACTAAATTTTACAAATATTTTTCTCTTGCTAATGCAAATTTGGAAAGGAAAAGACAAAGAGACTTCTACTATCCTCCTTCAGTCAGACTCTACAGACAGAAATACAGGAGGGTGACTTTAGTAAGAACTTTTGCCTTTTGCCGACTTTGTCAGAGATCCTGGATCTCAACTTTAGCCTCCTGAGCAAGTGAGATGTCCTTGCTGTCCCTTAATGGTTGCCAAAACTCTTGGTGAGGAGGACTACTTCCCTCTTCTTTCCTAGGTTCGCTGACTGGGGCCTTGGAGATTAAACTGACAAAAGACAAACTAACAAGAGAAGGACGGCTAAATTACATACCTATGCAGGGAAGTTTCCACAAAGAACTAAGACTCAAAGTGGCAGCCAGATGATTTAAGCTTCTGTACCATCTTAGGCTGAGCAGAGGAAAAGGGGTTTTGGGCTGCTGAAGGGAGGAGGAAAGTTCTAGGAAGGTGAGGGGAAGAAATGTATAGTAAATAACGGTTGTATTGTTATGCAGATAAGAGTCTCTCGGGTGATAACTACTGTCTCCAGGAGCAGCTCTCTTCCCTTACAAATGGAAATTTCCTTTATAAATGTAAATTTTCTGTACAAAAGGGGGACGTTATAGTTCATGTTAGGTGATTAGGGGGAAGTAAAGAGCTTTTACTTGGTCTGCTGGTTCTCTAGTGCCTTTAGCTCCAAATAACCTGTGTGCCAAAGTGACATATTTTGGGGTTGCATATTCTAGTATGCTTCAGTTTCAGGAAGAATTTTATTTTTTTTCTTGTGGAGATTTTTTTGAGATAATTATTTTTTATCCCCATTTTTAAAATTATTATTCTCTTTTTTTGGTGAGGCTCTCCTTTGAAATTGTTTTTTGTTTACATTTTTTGTTGTTGTTGTTGTTAATAACATCTCAGGCAATCTTGAGAAGCTGCCTCTCCTTTTCTTCATGTCTTTTTTCCCCAAATAAATAGATCTGAACAAGACATCTTTTATACTTTTTTTTTTGAGATGGAGTCTCACATTGTTGCCCGGGCTGGAGTGCAGTGGCGCAATCTTGGCTCACTGCAACCTCCGCCTCCCGGGTTCAAGCAATTCTCCTGCCTCAGCCTCCCGAGTGGCTGGGATTACAGGTGCCCACCACCACGCCCAGCTAATTTTTTGTATTTTTAGTAGAGACGGGGTTTCACCATGTTGGCCAGGATGGTCTCAAACTCCTGACCTCGTGATTTGCCCGCCTTGGCCTCCCAAAGTGCTGGGATTACAGATGTGAACCACCATGCCCGGCCTATAATTGCTAATTTTTTTCTGATCAGTTTTTATTTTGAAATTTATTTTGTCAGTTTCCTTTCTGTCAACTGCTGCTTTTGTTCTGTATGGGAGCAGATCAAGTAAAACAGTGCCTGTTTTACTCTCTCTCATCATCTTACCTTAGCTCACGCTTCTCTCATTTGTTCTTATTATGCCTGTAACCTCTCTCTTCCTTCCACTTCCTCTCATTAACAATTTCCTATTGGAAGTCTCTTGAGTTCCAGTTAGCGAGCCTCTAAATTATCCTCTTTTTAACATCACCTTTGTGTTTTCCGGCTTTCAACATAGTTTCTTCAGACTTTAACCTCACCATTTATGTTTGCTTTCCAAATCTCTTTTCAAAATTTTGCTAAATAAACCTCACCGTGTAAGTGAGAAAGCATGGGATGGAAAAAGGAATGTATGGAAACGACACCAACATAGGCGTATGGTTGGGTGAGTCACTTGGCTTCTCAGGGCCTCGCTTTCTTATCTATAAAAATGAACAGGTTGGCTTAGCAAGGGCTTTAAACTCAAAAGCTGCCAATAGAGTCCAGACAGATTATGTAAATGAATTAAAGGAGGCCAGCCAGGGACTGTGGGAAACTGCAGACTCGAGCAACGTCCAAAGGGCACGATCACTGCTCGGCTTTTCGTACTGCCACCGGGAAATGCTGGCAATGTAGGATCCACAGATTTTCTGGTTTCCCAGCAGTAATCAGGAATCTGGACTTTTAAAAAATGTGAACTGTTCTTTTTTAAATGCTGACAACTAATTCAAACTATGCACCAAACAAAACACATCACATCTGTGGGCCAGATTTGGCTCCAAGGCTGCTGTTTGTGACCTTTAGATGAGATGGGGTCTTTAAGTTTCTTACAAGTCAAAAATTGCATAACTCTTTAGCAATACATTTTAAACCTAGCTAGTTCTCCCTTATTACATTCCTGAAATTGCTTCCTTGTCACTTGTATTTGTTGGGCTGTCAGTCTCCCAAGTGAGCACTCTGGAGTTTGTTATGAGAAGAAAGTGCAATTTCTTTTCCCTTTGCCTCTGACATAAAGTAACCTAGTGTGTTGCTCCCAGACCCTTATCACCAGTGTCTGCAGAGTGTGTGTGATCTCCTTGGATGGCTGACTCTGGGGTGCAGGCAGGTCCTGGAATAAGCAGCCTCCTTGCAGAGTGACACACACTCCTCTGTTCCTTTGTCTGGATGCACATTTGTAGTCCTTTCATATATTTTGTATAATGTTAATTTATAAACTAGTCTAAGTAGGCTGGGCGTGGTGACTCACGCCTGTAATCCCAGCACTTTGGGAGGCTGAGGCAGAAGGATCACTTGAGGCCAGGAGTTCGAGACCAGCCTTGCCAATATGGTGAAACCCTGTCTCCACTAATAATACAAAAATTAGCTGAGTGTGGTGGTGCATGCCTGTAATCCCAGCTACTCGGAAGGCTGAGGCAGGAGAATTGCTTGAACTTGGAAGGCGGAGGTTGCAGTGAGCTGAGATTGAGCCACTGCACTCCAGCCTGGGTGACAGAGCTAGACTCCATCTCAAACAAACAAATAATAAATAAGCTGGTCCAAGTAGGAGGAAATGCAACAGTGAAAAAACACTTGAGGCTCAGAAGCCCAGGGAAAGGAATGAATGATAAACAGTAAAAAAATAGAGGAAGTACCTGACAATAACACGAAAGCCGAAGGATAGTTATTAACTTCTGTCATATCCCATTTAGTGACACCTTCCTTAGAAATTTCCCCCAAAGGAGTTCCTTTGGTCATTTCCTACAATGTAGTCTTCCTTGGGCCTGGACCCTGCTGTCTGAGTTCCTCTCCATCTGGGGACTTGATCCTCTCTTTCTCTCCCTTTTTTTTTTTTTTTTTGCGATGAAGTCTCACTCTTGTACCCGGGCTGGAGTGCAATGGCGTGATGTTGGCTCACTGCAACCTCCGCCTCCTGGGTTCAAGCGATTCTCTTGCCTCAGCCTCCCGAGTAGCTGGGATTACAGGCACCTGCCACCATGCCCAGCTAATTTATGTATTTTTAGTAGAGGCAGGGTTTCACCATGTTGGCCAGGCTGGTCTCGAACTCCTGACCTCAGGTGATCCGCCCGCCTCAGCCTCCCAAAGTGCTGGGATTACAGGCGTGAGCCACCGTGCCCGGCCTCCATCTTCTCTCTTCTAAGAGCTGTCAAATTTTTTCTAGTTAAACTGACCGGCTTATGTTCTCTCTTTTATCACCCTTGGTCACTCATGAATAGGGCCCATCATTTCCTCCCTATACATGGACCTTGAGAATCTTTACCTTTCAGTGTTTCAGTGGAATTGACTATAAGTTTCTAAATGACCCTGAAGATTAGAAAGAGAGGCCAGGTGCAGTGGCTCATGCCTGTAATCCCAGCACTTTGGGAGGCCAAAGTGGGAGGATTGCTTGAGCCCAGGAGTTTGAGACCAGCCTGGGCAACAAAGCAAGACCCTGTCTCTACAAAAATTTAAAAATTAGCCAGGTGTAGTGGTGTATACCTGTAGTCCCAGCTACTCGGGATGCTGAGGCAGGAGGACCACTTAAGTCCAGGAGTTTGAGCTATGTTTACATCACTGCCCTCCAGCCTGGGTGACAGAGTGAGATCCTGTTAAAAAAAAAAAAAAAAAAAAAAAATTAGAAAGAGCATAAGGTTTGAAAGTCAAGGATCAATAATATTAAGGAGAGAAAAACTCTCCCAACAAGTTAGCATTTCTCTGAGGTAGCAGGAAGTATTACTGATAAAATTAGGGATTCACACATTTATAGAATTGGGAGACATCTCTCAAACTATAAGTTCTCTACAAGAATCTTCGATTTCTTAATTTTCATGATTATATAGAAATATATGATTTTTTTTTTTTTTTTTTGAGATGGGGTCTCACTCTGTCACCCAGGCTGGAGTGCAGTGGCACGATCTCGACTCACTGCAACCTCCGCCTCCTGGGTTCAAGTGATTCTCCTGCCTCAGCCTCCTGAGTAGGTGGGACTGCAGGCATGCGCCACCATGCCTGGTGAATTTTTGTATTTTTTTAGTAGAGACGGGGTTTCACTATGTTGGCCAGGCTGGTCTCGAGCTCCTGACCTTGTGATCCGCCCACCTTGGCCTCCCAAAGTGCTGGGATTACAGGCATGAGCCACTACACCTGGCCAGAAATATATGATTTTTTTAAAAGCAAGGTCTGAGTCATTTTATAATCTCTTAACCAAGGACTAATGTGCAGTTTCAGGTAATTCATTTGAATTTCTGTTTATGACTAAAGTGTTGCCAACTATTCACCTACACTATCATCGTTAACTCCTAGTTCAGTACTTCTCAAGTATTTTCTTCAAGAAATCCCAGGGATTGCTGAATATTAAGTTGAAGAAATGATTGGGGTATGATGCAGGGTATATGAATATGCCACCTCAAAATATGCCTCTTTGTCATATAGATTATTTTGAGTTAAAGCCAATTGAAAACTATCCGATGCAGGAAAAGCTCCTGTCTCCCTGTGACTGCCTGAAAGTAGAGTATACATTTCCCCTTTTGTAAAGGAAATTTTCATTTGAAAAGGGAGAGGGCTGCTCTTGGAGACAGCACTCAGCACTTGAGAGACTCTTACCTGCTTAACAACACAACTCTAATTATTTCCTCCCCTCACCTTCCTAATACTTGCCTCCCTCACCCCAAAGCCCCAAATCCTTTTTTCCTTTGCTTAGCCTGTGATGATACATAAGCCTCAATCATCTGGCTGCCTCCTTGAGTCTCATTTATCTGTGAACGTACCATGCATAGGTATGTATGAAACTGTTTTTCTCTTGTTAGTCCACCTTTTGTTGGTTTAACTTCCAGGGCCCCAGTTAGAAAACCTAAGAAGGTAGAAGAAAAACTATTTTCCTCCTCTACAATGGTTAGGAACCAGGCCCTGAAATGAGATATTTTTAGACGTTATTTAACCCAGCAGGTTATTTTACCTCTAAATTTCCTCATCTCATGGGGATGCTAATAAGGTTTAAATAAAATCATGCTTAAAACGTACTCAATACAGTGCCTGGTATATAGAAATCACTAAAAATAATGCCAGCTACTTCTACTATATGATTACTACTACCAATGCTGGCTACTTTTAAAACATTGTCACCTATTCTTGTTTTTTGTTCTATTTTTTGTCATATATATTTAATCTAATATTTCAAAATAGTACACAGGCACAGACTTAGGAGACAGAGTTGGTGGTTACTGATATGTTATGATCTGAGGTACCCTATGAGGAACTACTTAATGCTATTAAAAAAAATTTTCCCCCACCACTAAATTTCTGTAATTCAAGATTCAATCCTTATCCTTTTAAATCAGAAACAGCTAGCTGTCTGCCAGAATTTGTGCTTCCCCTTTAGAGAATGGACTTGTCACTGGAAACTGCTCAGACAAGGAGTTTGTCTCCTCATGGACCTGATGTGGCCTTCCTTCCTTCCTTCTAATCTGTGGAATATGAGCAGAAGTGAGGTGTGGCATGTTCAGGTCAAGATTTAAGAAGAAGGTATATTTTCTCCATTATCTTTCTCCTTCCACCAGCTAGATTCATTTGCAGATGTTGCTCTAGGGGAAGACTGAGCCACAAGATGGAAGAAGACTAGATACTTGAATCACACTATGGAGGAAAGATGACCACCAATGGGACATATGCTTTGGGTGGTTAAAATAATGAGAAATAAACATCTATTAAGTTTGAGCCATAAATTTTGGGGTCTATTATCTACTGCCTCTAACATTACCCTAATTAATAAAAAAATTGATACCTTGAAAAAAGTACTGCTATAATAAATACCTAAAGTAACTATTACTCTCTGAACACTTGGGTAGCAGGTAGCAACCCCTCCACCCCCCAAAACAAACAAACAAACAAACAACAACAACAACAACAACAAAAAACTGGTGTTGGGTGCTGGAAAGATGGAGACCCAGGACTGGAGTGCAGTGGCACAATCTCGGCTCACTGCAACCTCTGCCTCCCGGGTTCAAGCAATTCTCCTGCCTCAGCCTCCCAAGTAGCTGAGATTACAGGTGCCTGCTACCACGCCCAGCTAATTTTTGTATTTTTAGTAGAGACAGGGTTTTGTCATGTTGGCCAGGCTGGTCTTGAACTCCTGACCTCGTGATCTGCCCACCTCGGCCTCCCAAAGTGCTGGGATTACAGGCATGAGCCACCGCACCTGGCCTTGGCAAAACATTTTAAAAACCATATTTATGATAACCTAAAAGACAGTATCCATTTCTACAATGGACCAATGACTGCTATGTATCCACAATTCTTCCCTTTCTTAATAGGAGCTTCTATTGTGGTTATCTTGTCCCTGTCTTATCATTACATATTAGAGGGGCAGGGAATTTTTTTTATATGTTTGTGTATCACCAAAGTGAAAAGAGCTTTAGATGAGAAGACTTCATATCACCCAGAGATGCTGGTCTTTGAGCTGTATGCATGAACTGGATAAGAATTTAGCATGTTCTCCATCTTGCAGTGTCCTTAGAATGAGGAAAGAAGGGTGTATATACAGATACTTGGTGAAAAGAACAGCTAAATGAGGAAGAGGCAAAATTTCTCCTCCCTCTTCCGTATTATAAACCAAATTTCATCTAGCCTAAGATTCCATTGATTGTAAAGCACACGCTGTGTATGTACTACCAAAAAGGAAAAATGCTGCCAACCAAATCTGAGTTTACCTTGAATAATAAACTTGCCATTGATTGAACAATACATTCCTATTGAAGAGATGTTAAAATGTGAAAAGAATGTGCAAATCCAGATTGATAAAAAACTAATTTTTCTGAGAACTGGCTGCCCATCAGAGAGTACATTTCTCACTCCCTTGCATCCAGCTGGTGCCCGGAGACTAGTTCTCACTAACAGAGTGGACTTGAAGTGTGTTACTTCTAGGCCAGGCTCTTTAAGATGTGGGTAACTTCTCCACACTTTCGTTTTCCTTCCCTGGCTGACATCAGGTGAAAGTGAGGTTTAGGAGATGGCAGAGTCACAGGAAAAACAAAAAAAACTTCGATTCCTGAATCTCCAAATGGAGGAAAGCCACCCACGGACCCAGATGGAGGAACACCCATCCTGGCCTGTGATGTAAGCAAGAAGTAAACTTTGATTTTGTTTAAGGTATATATTTTCAGTATTTATTTGTTACCACAGTTTATATTATCCTAATTAACACACTCTGTTGCTTGGGTTGTTGTAAGAATTAAAGAAATTATTATGTGTTAAGTTCTTAGAAGAGTGTCTGACATATAATAAACACTGAATTAATGTTAACTATCATTATTATTTAGAATTCGCTTTAAAAATGCAAATAGCCCTGGAGAGGTGATCTTCAACCTTTGGTTTTGGCGGTTACAAAGTTATAGTAGAAAACATTTTCTATACTAGAAGGTAGTACTAAATAACAATCAAAATTCTGTCTTTTTAGAGAAAATTAAATGTAGTCAATCCCTGAGAAGATGAATTATTTGCTCTAAAGTCACTTGGTTGTTCATAAGTACTTTAGTATGAGTTAGCTGCTTTCTGTTTCAGCCAGGAAGGGGCAGGCTGCTGTAGGAATGAGACTGTGCACAGGGAGGAGGAGTGCAGATTCATCCAAAGATGCTTATTCAAAGGTAATAAATATATTTTGGATACTTGGCACAAAGTCCCCTTCTCTGGAACTTAGCCCCAGTAAACCTTTGTTGAAGGGCTGAGCCAAAGTGGTCATTGATAAAATGTATCCTAGTCTCTCTGCCATGGCAGATCTACACAGGGATGTACACCTCACCCACGCTGAGACAATCAACATCTTTTCTTTTCAATGTGGAACTGGCTCTCTGAAAGTTTGTGCTAGCTGCCAGAAGCCTATCTGTCATGTAGCATCATGCCTGGGGGCAGTTTTATGGCCTAGTAAAAGCCACGTGCAGGGCAAAATCACAAGAGAGCAGAAATTTTGAATAAGTGAAGGGATCTGGTCTGCTGAGATGAGAATGGGGCAGATATTAAGAAAAGAGCAAAGGAAAGAGGCCATGAATCTGCCAGGACTTATGAAGCGTGGACCCCAACCCAACAGCTCACCAGTTCCCATCTGCAGCTCCCACAGGCTGGACTGAATCATGTTTTCATGGTTCTGGTGTCCTTAAAAATAAACTTGCTTTCAAAAACTCTGAGCCAGCTGATTTAGTTTCTGTTTTTTTGATCAAGAACTTGGTGATGACTAAGTCACTAAAATAAAAATCTCCTAACCATGCTTGCTTACTTACTGTCAAATAATAGCAACACTACCACAAAGTTCACCTCTGCCCAGGCGGAAGGGGTTATGAAAGCCCCTGCTATCCCTGGAACTATGTCCTCCGATTTCCACTTTTAAGAGCCTGGATTTGATGCTCTTCCGAATAGCCTAATTTCTCAGAGATCATCTTGGTAGTCATTTGAATGACAGGATCACATTTTTCAAATTTCTGCCACAAAAGATCAAATAAACCAAAGTTTTAGATGTTGTCCTATCAGAATTTTTCTTTTTGGTAGAAGAGGAGAGGAAGGGGATTTTTTTTATTCCAATAGTAATACATGTTCATTGTAGAAACTTTTGATGATACAAACATAAGCATAAAACTTGTAAAAATCACTTACAGTTTCTCCACCAATATATAACCATCAATAATTTTTAGGACAAAATCCCGGCAATGAAGAAAATGTAATCCCATCATTATCTTGAATTGCTCTCAAGAATTCATGTTATTTTACTGGTTGCATTTCTTCATGTGCTCATAGACATTTTCTTCAAAGAGTTTACCAAGGACCGGAATCGGATTCACTGGGAAATGCATTTGGAAGCAGGCTTCTTTATTCTTTCCGATAACCAACAAATACATTTACTTTATTCAGCCCCTTTGTTCTTCAGGAAATGAAAAGAAATCATTATCTAATTGAGATATCCTGTATGTCATAGAGACAAGGAGATTTAAACCATGTCCCTAGTTCTTTATATTCTGTCATCTGCTTTTTATCAACAGTTTAATAGAAGCATATTCTTTACTTCCTAGCTGTCCACTTGTATTTCCTGTTAAGACAGCAGATCTAAAATGACTTCAATTCCCAAAGGCTCTGGAATCATGTTTTGTTTTTTCTCCTTATTTTGGGGTTCCATTGCGCTCACCTCTGTTCATTTCTTTTTTTTGATGGAGTCTCACTTTGTCTCCCAGGCTGGAATGCAGTAGTGCCATCTCGGCTCACTGAAACCTCTGCTTCCCGGGTTCAAGTAGATAATCTCTAGTCTTCTCAAGTGATTCTCCCACCTCAGCCTCCTGAGCAGCTGGGCCTACAGGTGTGCACACCACGCCTGGGTAATTTTTGTATTTTTTTGATAGAGACGGGGTTTCACCATGTTGGCCAAGATGGTCTCAAACTGCGGACCTCAGGTGATCCACCTGCCTCAGCCTCCCAAAATGTTGGGATTACAGGTGTGAACCACCGCACCCAGCCTGTGTTCATTTTCTAAAATGCAATATTTCATTTTTTCCTTTCTTTGGGATAACATTCATTATCTTTCGTCCTCTTATCATTATCCCTTGTTAGATTTAATTAACCGTTTCTTGTTTTATTTCTAATATTAAAAAAATGAACTATATGAGCCCATGTGACTTGCTCCTCACACCAGTGATTTATTGTTTGAGTGAAATTGTACTCTTTTACTAATCAAGGTAGGAATGTATCTTTGAGTTTTAGAGGTGCTTTGCCTTCCTTCACACAGATGATTTTTACAATTAGCCACATTTACCTCTGTTTTCCACTAATAAAAGGGATATAGTCCAAAGATGAAATTTCTTAAAATCTGTTCACCCTTCACTGTGGTTTTCTGTTTTCTGAGTTTTTTTTTTTTTCACTTTTAATTTCAAGTTGTTTTGGAAGGGCCATTTAGGAAGATAACATTCTCTTGATTGGCTGCCAATGTTCCCATTCCGCTTAATCATTATCATTTTTTTTTAATGGGTAAAGAATCATACTTTACTTTTTATGTGAAGTTTTTGCTAAAGTTTTGTCAGAAGACTAGAGATTATCTGCTTAATCTGATCACACTTGACTGCCAACCGTCATAGCTGAGGTTCAGAGCTTCCAGGCATAGGTAGCTAGGACAGCAGCTAGGACAGGTAGAATATAGGAGAGTCCTTCAATACTCAGCTAACAAATACTTATGGGATTCCATGGCATTCCTACAGTGTGTTGGACACGGCTCACCTTGAACAGGATGGACACCATCCTGTGTCCAACTCAGGGTCAAGTGGGGAAGATGAGCAGATGCGATGTGTTGCAATACTTGGCATCAACATCTGTGATTTGGGTGAGCACAGCGTTGGAAGACCATGGACCAGGTGGGAATGAAAGAAAAGGGATACATGTGCTGCGAATTGAAGGACTAGAAGAGGGAGGCAGAGCGGAGGGTATTCTTGAACCTGGGAGGCAGAGGTTGCAGTGAGGCAGAGGTTGCAGTGAGCCGAGATCGCACCACTGCACTCCAGCCTGGGAGACAGAGCGAGACTCCGTCTAAAAAAAAAAGAAAAGAAAAGAAAAGAAAATGAATAGAGGAGAGCCCAATGAAACCCCAAAATAAGCAGAAAAAACAAAACATGATTCCAGAGCTTTTGGGAACTGAAGTCATTTTAGATGTGCTGTCTTAACAGGAAGTACAAGTACATCGCTAGGAAGTAAAGAATATGCTTCTATTAAGCTGTTGAGAGAAGAGTGGAAACAAAATCAAAGCAGCATGGGAAGGGGTGTTTGGAGAACTTTAAGGACTCTATGCAACTAGTGACAGTGTGTGTACCATTGTGGTTGTGGATGGTTTTGGGGAAAAGGGAAAAATGCCACCAGATCACGAATGGTTGGTGTGCCGTGCTGAAGAGTTTGCACTTTACCCTATAGAGGCTGAGAAGGCACTGAAGAATCTTTAGTAGACATATAACAGTCAGGTTTTGATTTATAGGAAGTGTTCTGGCAGTGCAGGGTGCTGACACGGCCCAGAAGGTCCTGTCTCACATGTGTAGAGGGGGTTTTTGCATGGACTGAGGCTTGCGCTAGTGTAGGGGGTCAACACTACCCACCAACACTTGAACATTCACCTGTTTTTCCTCCTTTCCTTTTCTCCCCCTTCCCTCTCCTTCTTTCCATCCCCACCTTCTCTCAAACATTTTCTTGGGAAACTCTCAAAACTCGAACAGTTCATAGGCAGGTTAAAAAAAAAAAGTCAGTGAAAACTTTCCAACTCTGGATGTCCTGTGTTTCCAGTTGTGGATGTCCTGTCATTCTCTCTGGTTAATGTTAAATTACTTACTGGCAGAATTTCCTTTGATGGATGCTCAAAGCACTTATTTACCCTTTCTCTACTTGTAATTCTTTGTCACCGCCCATTATCACCTCTGGCATAGGAAGGGAGAAAATAGAAATTCAGGTAAATTGTACTATTGACTTGTGGTTCTTGCAGAGAGTTTATTGGTAGAATATGAAAACTACAAGTGATATTCATGTTTTTTAACCTGTAGATTGTGACCCATGCATAGGTTATTAAATCAATGTGATGAGTAATAACCTACATTTTTTAAAAAACAGGACATAATCTCATAGAATAGAAAATATGAGAGTGCACTGAATATACTGAGCATCAATACTGTCTTGCGAAACTTTTATTTCAGTTATGGGCATATATGTTTATGGATGCAGATAACAGGAAATATATGTCTTACTGTGTGGGTGGTAACAACAACAACAAAAAATCGAATTTAAAAAAAACAGAAAAGACAAAACAAGTTTGAAAACCCTTGTCCAAGATTAACCTTTTTCCACTGTGAAGATGGAGGAAACTGAGAACTAGAGAAAGTGACTTGTCCAAGCCCAGAAATTAGTGGTGGTTGCAAGAAATTTAACTCAGGTATCCTAACAGTCTGATGTTCTCTGAACAAAAGTTGACTAATTGCCTAAGTTAAGGACTATAGATTGTGCAATTAATTTACTTAATTTGTCCTTAAACTCACATTGGGAGAGATAATCAAATGTTCACCATACTTTGTTATCTCGGCAGTTATTAAAAAACATACCATGTTTCTGTTTTCATTTTGCATCATAATTGAGCATTGGATTTTGATAGGTTGTCAGTTTATGCCTTTATTTTTAAATTCTTTCTTGTGAGCAACTTTGATATATACAGTCGGCCCTCCATATGAGTGGGTTCTGCTTCTGTGGATTCAGCCAACCAAGAAATTGAAAATATTTGGAAAAATATATTCCACAAAGTTTCAAAAAGCAAACTTGAATTTGCTGTATGCCAAGTACTACATTGAATCCATGCAAATGAAGTGATGTGTAGACTTTGTATTAGGCATTATAAAGAATCTAGAGATGATTTAAAGTAAACAAGAGGATGTGTGGAGGTTGTATGCAGGTACTATGCCATTTTATTTTATTTAAGGGACTTGAGCATGTGTGGATTTTGGTATCAGTGGGTGCCCTGGAACCAATCCCCCACAGATACCAAGAGACAACTATATTCATGCTTATGTTTATGAATAAAGATAATCTAGTATTTTGTTTCTAAGTTAAGTGCTGAATAATTATTTTGACTCTTTCTTTCATATTCCTTAACCATCTTGAAAAATAATCATTCCAGGATGTTTACAGGATTTTTGCCTGAAGTCAGGGAACTGTTCAGTGGGCCTTTTGAGGCTCCTTTAGCCTTGAGATTCTATTGCATTTACCTATGTTATCAGTTTAGATTTTCTCTTCTATTTTCCAAGATATTAAACATTTCTTTTTTTCTTCACACAGTATTTTATAACTGAATTTCAGGAAGGTATTGTGGCACAGCAAAGAACACTAGAAGGGGAATTGAGAGACCTGAGTCTTGTGCCCTCTTGTCACCTAATTGATTGTGTTTGCAATTTAGCAGGTTCCATAACATCTTTGGGCCTTGATGTCTTCATTTGAAAACTGAGGAAGTAAGTCTAGATTATCTGTAGACTCATCTGTTTCTGCAATCAGTGTTTCCTAACTATGTAAAAGTTATAAGTTCCTTTTCAAATACGATAGAAACTATTGCCTAGAAAATTGCACATGCAGATATGGAGACATGTTTTGTATACAATTTTATGAGTGCTCTTGGATTTTTGTAAGCCATTTAGAGGTTCACAGTTTCAAAACCCTGCTTTAAATAACTTCCTGTTTGTCATACAATGGGCCAGATTCTCCAGCTTTCCTCTTCTGAACTTCCTAAGGAATTCCTACTTTTGCTTCCTTCCTGTTTCCTTTGCACTTCCTTAAAGATATCCTCCATAGTTCAAGGACTTGTAGAGCTGGAAGAAAACTTGAGAGAGCCAGGCCATTCATCTAATTTCTTTCCAGTCTGTTATCTTCCTTCACCCGTTAGCATCATTCATTTGTCCATTCAGCAACTCCACAGTGTTTCTACCTCAAACACTGATATGGACAATACCACTTTAAAATTTGCGCGGTGGTTCACCCCTGTAATCCCAGCACTTTGGGAGACCGAGGCGGGTGGATCACCTGAGGTCAGGAGTTTAAGACCAGCCTGGCCAACATGGTGAAACCCCGTCCCTACTAAAAATACAAAACTTGGCCGGACGTGATGGCCAGTGCCTGTAGTTCCAGCTACTCAGGAGGCTGAGGCAGGAGAATTGTTTGAACCAGGAAGGTGGAGGTTGCAGTGAGCCGAGATTGCACCATTGCACTCCAGCCTGGGCAACAGAGCGAGACTCCGTCTCAAAAAAAAAAAAATCTATTTCTCATATAAGAACACTTCATTCATTCATCTTACAACTATTCATTGAGCATCTCCTTGGGTCAGGCACTGAGCTCCATGCTGAGGCTATAATGGTGAGGAAGATAGACATTGTCCTTGCCTCCATAGGCTTCCATTCTCTTGGAGACAGAAACAAAAAAGAAGTTATCAAAGAAATTAATAAAATTACTTCAAGCTGTGATCAGTATTGTGAAAGAAACACACATGGAGTGGAAGAGAAGAATTACAAGTGGGGAAGTCCTCTTTTACAGAGTGGTCAGGAAGTTCTCTCTGAGAAGGCAACACTTAAACTGTGACTAAAAGATAAGAAAGTGTTTGCCATGCAAAAGAGGAAGAAAAAGCATCCACACAGAGGACTCATGCATTAAGGTCCTGTGGCAGGAAAGGATGGAGCGGAGTTTAGGAACTGAACGAACAAGTTCCTGAAGCTTTGTGAGTGAGAAAAAGAAGGTTCAAGATGGAGTTGGACAGATGGTAGGGGCCCGATCATGCAGGACATTGTAGGGCATGGTAAATGGTTCAGGCCTTATTCTGCAAGGCAGCATATCAGAGAAATTTTAAATGTGTGGGCTTTGAGGCCCGGCTGCCAGAGTTTTTACCCCAGCTTGATTCTTCACTGCCTATATGCGTCAGCCACTTGTTGTGCACTACTTCAGGTTCTCTGGCCTCATGAGTCCTGAGGGTCTTTAGCTACTTGCTCTGCTCCAGTGGTCAGTGTGACAGGCAGCTCTACCTGGGTTCCAGTGGGCTTTGTGTGGACCAACCTGGTAATCCCTTGCCTTGTGTCCTGTCACACTTGTCATCTTTTGCCTAGGTGCATTCCTGTTGGGGCAAAGATCTGCCTTTGGGCACAAGTGCAAGGGAGCTAATGCCCCACGGGGTAAACCTCTGACCAAAGAGTGAGAGATGCCGATGAATAAATTCTTCTCCTCTACCTAGTTGGAGTGACCAGGATAGCAATGGTGTTGCAAGACCAAGCAATCAGTTGTGCTTCATGCCATGCTGTGGCCTTTTCTTGTAAACGGTGGTCCTTCTTTGCCTGACTCACTCCTCTTTTCTGAGATTGCAATCTCCAAGAGGGGAGCAGCACATATGTATTTAGTGGGGTTCTGTTTTCTGGGAAATCCAAGTTAAGGTAGACCTCCTGAATGAATCAGCTCCCAGTGCCTCAGTTTCCTCATTTGATAGATATAAATTATGATAACAGCACCTGCTTCATAGAATTAAATATTACTTACATCAATCTGTGTAATGCTGTTACTATAGTGCCTGACACACAGTATGTGCCACAAGTGTGCTGTTATCATTATAATTTATTCTAAGTGAAATGGGGAATCATTGAACTTTAAAAAGAATATCCCAGATATCTGAAAATGTTTGATAGACATTTTAATATATTCTTTCTTATACCTATATGGGAAATAAATTAGAAGAAGACAAGAGCAGAAGTGGAGGGACATTTAGGAAGCAGTTGCAATAGTAAAGAGAAGAGATCTTAGTAACCTAGAACAGATTATTAGCAGTGGAAACCAATAGAAGTGGGCAGATCCAAGAAATATTTGGAGGTGGAACTCACAGAAGTTAATAGATTGGACGGAGAGTAAGTCAAATGGAAGGCCACCTAAAAATATATTTTACTCTTCCTGCCATGAGAATGATATATTCTTTTTCTTTTTCTTTTCTTTTTTAGACGGATTCTCACCCTGTTCCCCAGGCTGGAGTGCAATGGCATGATCTCAGCTCACTGCAACCTCCGCCTCCTGGGTTCTAGTGAGTCTCCTGCCTCCTGAGTAGCTGAGAATACAGGCACCCGCCACCATGTCTGGCTACTTTTTGTATTTTTAGTAGAGATGGGGTTTCACCATGTTGGTCAGGCTGGACTCGAGCTCCTGACCTCAGGTGATCCACCTGCCTTGGCCTCCCAAAGTGCTGGGATTACAGGCATGAGTCTCCACGCCCTGCCTGAGGATGATATATTCTAAATCCAGCCTTTTTTTCTTAAGATTTCTCCCCATCTATATGCCATAGACTGATATTTTCTTTTTACCTTTGTTGTCTTTGTTGAAATTCTTACCTTGCTCTTCACTCACACATCTCAAGACTACAACCAACAGGATATCGTCTACCACCTGTTTTTTACCTCCTGCCTGCTCCTGTGGCCTCAGTGATGGAATCTTAAAACAACAAGATACAAGTCTTCATCTTGTGCTCCCTCAACTTCCTGCCTTCTCCTCCCTACTCCTCAACTCAACCATCTGCTCTAAGCCGTTCCAGCAAACTCACTAGGTGGGCCCATCATTCACCCTCATATTTTGCATCTATGTTCTCACCTACTCTTGGAATGCCATTTTCATTCCAATTGGCTAAATTCTTTCTCCTTCTTTGCTCATTAAATCCTGACTCCCTCACTTACCACAATAGAAGGAAGTGGAAAAATGATCCTTGACTTCTCAAGCTAATCCCACTCAAGCCAATTCCTGCTCACCTTTGTTTCAGTCAATGCCAATTGACCCTTCCAGCTGTTCAGGCTGAAAAGCTTGGAATCTATCTATATACCTCCCTCTCTCTTACACCTCACATCCAATTTGTCAGCAAATCCTGTTGGTTTTACCTGCAAACAACATACCAAATCCAACCACTTCCCATGAACACCACTCCCATCCTGGTCCAGGTCCCCACCTCTACCCTGGATTATTTCTATGGCTTTTCACTGGGCTTTCTGCTCTGTGCTTGCTCCTTGCAGTCTGTTCTCAACACAGTGGCCTGAGTTATCCTGGAGAGCATTCAGATCATGCTACTCTTCTGCTCAACGTCTTTCGACAGCTCCCCATCTCACCCAGAGTAAGAGAGACAGCCAGGTGGGAAGGGCTCCCTGCAGAACCTCCGACCTGTCTGCGCACTGGGAGGAATGCGCACTGGGGTGGAGCCTGGGGAGGTTCCCGCCATTTGCAGGTGGGAGGAGCCTGGCCCCACCTGGTCCGGGGTGGTACCTGGGATTCAATCTGTGAGGCAGAAAAAGCCGCTAACAAGACTCTCGCTCAGCTGAGAGTTCCTGTTTCCGCCCCCTTCCTTTTTTTTTTCTTTTTTGCCCAATATATTCCATTTTTCTCGCCATTCAAATTGTATGCGAACCGAATCTCTCATGGCCTTGTGACAAGAACCTGGCTTTCAGCTGAACCAAGAAGAAGGTCCTACAACATGACGTTCAGTGTCTTTCGTGGCTCTCCCCACCCCATCTGGCCCAGTTACCTCTGATCTTCTTTTTTATTAACCTTTTCCTGCCACCACCACCCCGCCCTTTATTCCTCCGTGGCCTCCTTGACCCCCTTGCTCTCTCCCGTGCACACTAGATGTGCTCTCAGCTCAGGGCCATCTGCTCTTTGTTCCTCTTGGTGGGCATGGGATTCCCCCAGATCTCCATGTGGATGGCTCCCTCACCTTCAGGCTTAGATGCCACCTTCCCACCGTCTTCTATGCCCACCACCCAGGACTGTCTCTATTTCCCTTCCCGAGGCTACTTTTCTCCAAGACACATTCTGTCATATCATGGACATTAACCCCAGATATAAAGCACGGGGTTCCCATCTTCTGTCCAGCCTCGATCCAGTTCTTAACCAGTCAAAATTCTTGTGGGAGTGGGTTGGGCAGGGGAGTAGTGATTGGAGGTGGGGAGGACTTTAGAAGTGACTCCCTCCTGATAATCTGAGATTTTTAAAAATCAGTTTAGTGTCTATTAGTTGTGTATATATAGTTTGTTTCACTTTTTTTTGTGACATCAGCAACTGAAAAATATCATTCTACGTGAACTTCACAGTGATATAATCCCAAATTTGACCTAAGTGACTTTTTGCAGCCCTCTTTGTTGTGTTTTTGTTTTTCTGAGATGGAATTTCGCTCTTGTTGCCCAGGCTGGAGTGCAATGGTGCAATCTCAGCTCACTGCAACCTCTGCCTCCCGGGTTCAAGTGATTCTCGTGCCTCAGCCTCCTGAGTAGCTGGGATTACAGGCATGCACCACCACGTCCAGCTAATTTTTGTATTATTAGTAGAGACTGGGTTTCTCCATGTTGGTCAGGCTGGTCTTGAACTCCCGACCTCAGGTGATCTGCCCGCCTCGGCGTCCCAAAGTGCTGGGATTACAGGCATGAACCACTGTGCCCAGCCAGCCCTCTTTGTTTTTACTAGTTCATTGTTTATCTGTATGCTGTCCCTGAGGACAGGTATTATAATCTTTTTGTTTTATCTGCTGTATCTCCAACACTGAAAACACTCCTGGCACATAGTATGCTATGCTGCCAATAAACATTTGAATTAGTATTGAATTAGTGGATGGCTCATCCTGTCTCTATATATATTGTACATAATTCTCCTGCTCTCAAATCTAATAATGGAAACCCTTTGCTTAAGCATAATGTTAACACATCACTTTGTTAACAAGTCCATAACCAAAAATTCATAATACCTTACATTTACATAACACTTTGCAGACTCTAAGTTACCTTCTTATACATTGTCTTATTTAATCCTCACAACTTTATATTCCAATTTTTCACAGGAAGCTGAATCTGAGAGAAATGGAGTTTTTCATTCACAGCCACAGGAAACTGAACCAGAGAAATTGAGTGATATGCTCAAAGTCTACACAAGGGAGCCAAGATTCAAACTCAGGTTGTTCTGAGCAGAAATCTGATGCAATTTTCACTACCATATCCCAACTCTCTGGTTCCATATCAGATCAGTTGCCTATATATTATTTGACTCTGTATCAGTAACATCTGTCTAGTGCCCTTGGCCAACCAGGTTGAGGACTCGGAATCCAGTTGATCAGGTTTGTTTCAGATCCTAGTAACTGTGTGAACCTAGCAATATTAGGCTGGCTGAATGGCTCTACTTGGTGCAAAAACCAGGATAAAGTTGTCTAAAAACAACTGTTTTCAATGCAACTTATCTGCAAAAATTTTGATATAGTTTCAGGCTATAAATGCCTGGAACCAAAGACTCTCTAAAACTCAGTTTATATAGAATTGTATGTGGATAGGAGCTTAAATAAGTTCTGGTCAAACCATTTATATAAGTCATCCCATAGCCTTAAAATAACCATGGTTCTCTCAAAGAATAGTTTTTCTTATTGATTCTCAATTCTAAGAATGCAAGTCTTATCTTTTAAGGACTGTCCAAATTCTTACATAAATGGCTATTGAGTATCTACTACAAGAAAGGCAGAAAGCTATTTCTTCCCTTCCTGTTTATTCATAAGCAAATATTTCGCCTTCTTGGGTTTCTTTGTAAGCTTTCATTGCTCTTAGTCATCCATCCTCATTCTTCTCTCCCATCTTCCATAGCTCATTCCTGCACACAGAAAAGTCCTTATTATTAAGGGTTCACTCTGTGTTTCCTTCTCTTGTGGCTTCCTTACTTTAACTGGACTGCTTAGAGTTCAAAATCCATTTCTTTTTACTATCACAGATTGTAAATCTTCAAAAGCTGGTGACTAAGGGAAGGGAGAGGAACGCTATTCGTGATTTGGATAAGAGAAAGGGAGCAGATGTTATCAGATGCCCCATTTTTATGTCATACAAATAACATGACTCAAACTAGTTCAGGTGCAGTCTTCATAGATCAGAGAGAAGATGAACTGCTGACTTGACAAAATGGCAAAAGAGTCACAAATAAAAGTTGACTTTAGTTTGGCACCTACAATTATACCTAAGCCATAACTTGCATTTTTTTTTTTTTTTTTTTTTTTTTTTTGAGATGGAGTCTGGCCCTGTCGCTCAGGCTGGAGTGCTGTGGTGCGATCTCGGCTCACTGCAAGCTCTGCTTCCCGGGTTCATGCCATTCTCCTGCCTCAGCCTCCCAAGTAGCTGGGACTACAGGCGCCTGCCACCATGCCCGGCTGATTTTTTTGTATTTTTAGTAGAGACGGGGTTTCACCACGTTAGCCAGGATGGTCTCGATCTCCTGACCTTGTGATCCGCCCACCTAGGCCTCCCAAAGTGCTGGGATTACAGGCATGAGCCACCGCATCTGGCCCATAGCTTGCATTCTGATTATCTCTTAGAAGAAAGAAAGAAAAAAGAAAAAAAGAAGACAGGAAAGAAGGAAGGAAGAAGGAAAGAAGAAAGGGAGTGAGGCTGGAAGATGTTTTTTCTTAATGGGACAGAATCAGGCATTCGATTTTCTCCCAGAAATTATTTTGAACTGGGACTCCTCTTACAGAGGAAATGAATGAGAATGGTAGGATAGAAAATGATGCAGTTACCTAGATTTTCGTAATAAATGTCTCACAGTTTCCACTGGAAGCATTAATTCCAACACTGAATTAAAGTTTGAAGAAATAAGAGGAGAAACAAACCCTCTTTCCAAATATACATGTCTAATCAATTTGGTGAAAACTTATTAATGTTTGGTACTAATGGTTAACATAGAAGTTTCTGTCCTCAAGAAATTTTATAGCCTAAAAGGAAAATAAGACATATTAAAATAACTGTAGTATAAAGCAAAGTAAAGGTATCAAGTGCTCTAGAAGCAAAGAAAATGTAGTTTGCTGATGTTTGGGAGGTTTTATGTTTCATAAAGAAGGCAGCATATGGCCAGGCATGGTGGCTCATGCCTTTAACCCCAGCACTTTGGGAGGCTGAGGAGGGTTAATCACTTGAGGCCAGGAGTTCCAGACCAGCCTGGGCAACATGGCAAAACCCTGTCTCTACTAAAAATACAAAAATTAGCTGGGTGTGGTGGTGCACGCCTGTGACCCCAGCTACTCGGGAGGCTGAGGTGAGAGGATTCCCTGGACCTGGGAGGAGAAGGTTGCAGTGAGCTGAGATCGTGCCACTGCACTCCAGCCTGGGCGACAGAATGAGACTCTGTCTCAAAAACAACAAACAAAGGTTTAAAAAAAAGAAGTGGCATTTTAAGAATGGGTAGGATTTGTATTCTGGTAGATGGAGAGAAAATTGCAAGCATAGAGACAGGAAAATTCAGGAAATATTTAGTGATAAGTGAGTGGTCATGTTTGCCTGAAGGATATACTGAGAGACAAAGTGGAAAAAAAAAGCAAGTGCCAAAATCATAGGATGTTTGAGGCCATTTGAGTTTAATTTTTGTTCTGTGGGTTCGAGGGAGCCACTGAAGACTACTGAAGAGAAGGCTGACACATTCAGTATTTTTTTTTTCTTTTTTTCTTTTTTTTTTTTAAAACAGAGTCTCACTCTGTCACCCAGGCTAGAGTGCAGTGGCGCGATTTCAACTCACTGCAACCTCCTCCTCCCGGGTTCAAGCGAATCCCCTGCCTTAGCCTCCCGGGTCCCATGTAGCTGGGATTACAGGCACCTGCCACCGTGCTTGACTAATTTTTGTATTTTTAGTAGAGACGGGATTTCACCGTGTTGGCCAGGTTGGTTTTAAACTCTTGACCTCAAGTGGTCCTTCCACCTTGGCCTCCCAAAATGCTGGGATTACAGGTGTGAGCCACTGTGCCCAGCCACATTTAGTCTTTTAGAAGCTTTTTTTTTGGAGACAGAGTCTTGCTCTGTTGCCCAGGCTGGAGTGCTGTGGAGCTATCTTGGCTTACTGCAGTCTCTGCCCCCTGGGTTCAAGCGATCCTCCCAGGTTCAAGCGATCCTCCCACATCAGCCTCCTGAGATGCTGGGTCTATAGGCGCACACCACCATACCTTTTTTAGAAGCTTTTTGACGGCAATTGGAGGATGTTTAGAGAATGCAAGATTAGAGTTTGGGAATGTGGTAAGGAAGCCATTACTGTAACCCAGGGCCTGGGCTAGATGGAGTGGATGGGACACATATGGAGGATGTCTATGAGGAAGAAGCCACAGAATTTGGCAACTGATTAAATCTTTTCCTATCTGGTCAGGGCAAGGGGAAGCATGGGTGAAAAAAGAAAAGTTTTAAGTTTGGACTTTGTAAATGATGAAAACCCAACATGGCTCATTATAAAGAAAAAAAAGGAAAATGTATTTGCAAAGTCAGATGATGAACCTAACTTTGGGAAAGACAGAGATACAGCCAGGTAGGGACAACGAATCAGGGCCTCAGGTGTCATTCTTCCTCCATATCCCCTTTCTGAATGTGGCTTTTTTCTTCTCTGCGGTAGAGACTCTCTCCAAGCTTGAGGGTCATGGCCATAGTTGGTTCAGGAGGTGTGTTCTTCTAGCTGAGGAACTCAAGAAGAATGGGATCTTCTCCTGGGCCAGTCTGAAGGTTTCCAGAGAGGAATTGATGGGCTGGGGCCAAATATCCACCAATTGCACTAGTCACTGGACCTGGCAATGAGGTACTGTTTTCGGCAGACCCCATAAAAATCATGATTTATGAGTAAAGGAAGGCATTATATTCACGGCCACACGGGAACTTCTTGTGAGTTGAGGAGCCACCTGAGCTATCCCAATGTAGGGGGGGAGGACAGTACAGAGGAGTTGAAATTATGACTGGAGTTCTAGGCCATTATGTTTGGAAAGATAGTGATATCTTTAACAGTGAGAGAAATAGATTCGAGTAAAATGCTAAAATTTATTTTAGACATCTTATTTTTAAGGTGGCATCAGACTATCCATGTGGGGTTGTGTAGGAGGCCCTAAGAAATTGGGGTCTTCAGCTCTTAGGAGAGGTTGGTTTTAGAACTGTAGATTTGGGAGTCATTAGCATATTACTTATGATGATGCTAAATGGATAAAACTGCCCAGAGAGAAAATATTCAAATAGAAAAGAGTAGAGGGCAGAATCAAGGAAATTTATATCATTTGCATGGTGGTTCTAAAAAGGACAAAGTAACATCTGTCTATTGCCTTTGGTCAACCAGGGTTAGGATTCACAATCCAATTAATCAGTTTTGCTTCTGTTCTTATTAACTGAGCTAACCTAGCAAAACTGGGGCTGGCTGAATGGCTCTACCTGGTTGAAAAACCAGGATTAGGTAGTCTAAAAATGGGTGTTCTCAATGCAACTCATCTGCATAAATTCTGATATAGATTCAGGCTATAAGTAGATTGAGAAGGAGCTATCAAATAACAATATCTAAGACAGAAATGGGTAAGAAAGTGTAAAAAGTCACTGAGTGTTCTGCAGTTCTTGTTTTCTTTATCAAGTCAACAAGTTATCTCTTGAGTATCTATTATAATTATAGATAGGGCACCGAGTGAAATAAAAAAGAAACAGAAGACACAGATCTTGCAAACTGTCAAGAATAGGCAAGACAATGGTGGGCTATGTGAGACTGTGCTGAGGCAGGGAAGAAAATGGCTTTGGCTGGCCAGAATGCTGATAATATTTGGCTCACTTGCCACCATTGGTGTATGCACCAGAAATTGCAATAAGCCAATACAAGGAAGCCAGGTGTGGTGGCATGCACCTACAGCCCGAGCTACTCGAGAAGCTTTGAACTGGAGACAAGCCTGGGCAACATAGTGAAACCCCATCTCCCTCTAAAAACAAGGAAAGAGAGAGAGAGAAAGAGAATGAATACAGGGAAGAACTGACTGTGGCAGCCTATGGGAGCATTTGCTTGTTAGTTTGTTTTAATAGGAAATTATGTATGGGACATAGTTCCAAATGAATAAATGGTTCTATACTCTCAGAGGATGATTACCCTCCTGGCTTGAAACAACACTAAGGTTAAAAATATCAGGTAACAATGGTCATTATTTTATTTTAATTAATTATTTTGGAGACAGGGACTCACACCGTCACCCAGGCTGGAGTGATTCTCATCCCTCAGCCTCGCAGCTGGGACTGCAGGTACCCACCACCACACCTGGCTAAGTGTTTGTATTTTAGCAGAGACGGGGTTTCACCGTGTTGCCCAGGGTGGTCTCCAACTTCTGAGCTCAGGCTGGGATTATAGGTATGCACCACCATGCCTGGCTAATTTTTTATTTATTTATTTTATTTAATTAATTAATTTATTTTTTGAGATGGAGTCTTGCTCTGTCGCCCAGGCTGGAGTGCAGCAGCGCAATCTCGGCTCACTGCAAGCTCCGCCTCCCAGGTTCACGCCATTCTCCTGCCTCAGCCTCCCGAGTAGCTGGGACTACAGGTGCCCGCCACCACGCCCAGCTAATTTTTTGTATTTTTAGTAGAGATGGGGTTTCACCATGTTAATCAGGATTGTCTCGATCTCCAGACCTCGTGATCCGCCCGCCTCGGCCTCCCAAAGTGCTGGGATTACAGGCGTGAGCCACCGCGCCCGGCCTCGCCTGGCTAATTTTTGTATTTTTTGGTAGAGACGAGGTTTCACCATGTTGGTCAGGCTGGTCTCAGACTACTGACCTCAACTGATCTGCCTACCTCGGCCTCCCAAAGTGCTAGGATTACAGGCGTGAGCCACGGCATCTGGCCTGTCATTATTTTAAAGAAAGTAATTTCCTTGTCAGTTTGGGCAATGTATATATTTTTGTTGCTTATCTTTCCTTTTCTTTTTTCAAGGTGGATTTCTTCAGTAAATGGCAATTGATTGGTAAGAGGTGTGTTCACGAGGTGGAAGGAGCACTGTGTAAGAAGGAAATTGGGATGTTAGTTCTGATCACCCTCTCTCCCCTCCCTGCCTCTGTCCCCATTGCCCACGTAAGCCTGTGCACTTCACTTTGCAACCTTAAATAAATTGCTTCATCTGCATGTTTCAGTTGCCTCAATTAATAAATAAGAATGATAATATTTCATTGGCTCAAGGATAGGAACTATACAGATAATTTCTTGAGCTTCCTTCTATCTTAAAAAATAGAATTCTGTGATTATAACCACTCCTTTATGCCGCATATGTGCAAGGGATACCAAGCTCAGAGGATTGGTTCCTGCCCTCAAAGAGGCTACAGTCGGGTCTGGGGAAACAGGAACTTACAATTCAACACAAAAGTGCTGTAGAGAAGGCACATGAGATATTCCCAGGGCATATAAAGTATGAATACCCATGTCAGTCCAGGGGAAATTAGGGAACTTCCTCAGGGGAAGTAACATTTCAGCTGAGCCTTGAAGGAGTTTCTATGCCAACAACGAGAATGCGGGTTTCGGGCTGGGAGAACAGCACATGTTTTAAAAAGGAGACATGTTTTGAGAAAGAACTAAAAGTAAGTCCATATTTCTGGGATTTAAAGAAGAAAGTATGGAGCAGTAAAAATTGCAGGCTGGACAGATGGTCAGGTATTACTCAATCCAAATGACAATTAGACACTCACTGGTTGAAGGGCAGTATGCCAGATGCTGGGTTGACTGAAACTGGGGATTATGATCCTGGAGAAAGGTTTGGGAAGGCTTCAAACTAGAGATAGAGCAGGGATAAATGTTATTGCTAGAATTTAGGAAAGACGTAAGAAAGGTCTATTAAACGCAGTGGCTGTGGGGAAGAGAGGTGAGGGGAAAATACAAAGGATATTTAGGAGGTAGAATCAACCCTTAGTTTATTGAATGAGGCATAAAGAGAAGGGAAGAATAAAGGGATCACTTTCAACTCTCTGGCTTGGGAAACTGGGTGCATGATGGAAGCATTCATTCACTGAGACAGGAGGCGCAGGAACAGACACAGGTTGTGGAGAAGCATGACGTTTGGCATTCATGTCTTTTATCTTGCTCTTGTTTTATGGATGCAATGTCATTCTTAATTTCTCTGAAGATGCTAATGTGCTTTTGCTGGTTGTCTGTTTCTTACTCTTGCCTTCTGTAGAACTGTAGTCTCCAAGTTGAGACAAATTTCTGAGTTAATTCTAGACAGATCGGCTCCCTTTTTGGCTGTAGTCTCATCCCTCAGGGGTACTAGGCTGCAGCTTCCTCATCAGCTCTGATCATCATCAGTCATCCCTCTTCATCCATCTCCTGACTTCTAGAACTTTGCTGTAACCTCTATTCCTCCATTAGCTTCCCTTCCATTCTCTTTGTTTGGTTGGGTTGGGTGGGGGGAGTGTTCATACCTTTTCCTTTCTTTACCTTTCCTTTTTTTTTTTTTTTTTTTTGTGAGGTCTATGTTGCTCAGGCTGAACTTGAACTCCTGGGCTCAGGCAATCCTCCTGCCTTGGCCTTCTGAGTAGCTAGGACTACAGGTGCACGCCACTGTGCCTGACATGCTTTTTATTCTTTTACTATGATTTCAATATGGTTTTTGGGAAAAAGATAAACAAATGTGCTTAATCTGCCATCTTAAATCAGAGCCTGTGGATTTGATCTTTGATATGATATATTTAAGGTAGCTATTAATATATGGTATGCCCAGGTAGAGTTTTCTTATGGGAAATTAGCTATATGTATGGATTTGAAATTCAAGAAACAATGGCAATCACAAGTAAAGATCTGCAGTTCCTGGTTTAGAAATTATGGGTGGGGATGCACTTGCCTGGGGAGAGCATGCAGAATGAAAATAGAATAGGAATTAAGCTTGATGCAGGGAACATCAACATGTAAGATGCTTGTTTTTAGATACACTATTCCTCCAGAATTAGGGAGACACATGATAACTCAGAACATTCCCCTTATTGATAAGAAGAACTCAGAGGCTCTTCAAGTTCAGGAAAGTTGCATTTAATACACAATAAAGGTGTAAAAGCAGCAGCAAGATGGCTATGTGTAACAAAGCTGAACAGGGTGAGGATAGGAGTTCCTAAGATGAAAGAGATAATCTAGGGTGTCACCAATTCCAGATGATGCTAATTATTTTGGCTCTGGGCCCATTCTTATAAGTCTGCTGAATTGTGACTCCCATGATCTGCCATTCTATTCTTTTCTTCTGCTGAGAACGTGGCTCTGATTCAAGTACCACTGTTCAGTGACATATGTCTTGATAGTCTCCACACATTCAGTAAATATTGATTGAGGTTTTAAAATATACCAGACACAAGGTGAGATGCTAGGGATATATGAAAGTACATAAAACAACATACCCGCCCTCAAAAAACTCAACTACATGCTCCAACTGAGTGTCATCAACTGCCATTATTCTTACTAGCAAAAATTTTACCATTAGCATTTTTTTTTTTTTTGAGACAGGATCTGGCTGCTGCCCAGGCTGGAGTGCAGTGATGGAATCATAGCTCACCACAACCTTGAACTCCTATGCTCACGTGAGCCTCTCACTGCAGCCTCCCGAGTAGCTAGCTAAGACTACAGGCGCTCATCACCATGCCTGGCTAATTTTAAACATTTTCTTTTAGAGAGGGGGTTTTGCTGTGTTGCCCAGGCTGGTCATGAATCCTGGCCTCCAGCTATTCTCCTGCCTCGACCTCCCAAAGTGCTGGGATTGCAGGCATGAGCCATCGTGCTCAGCTAACATTAGCTTTCAGGGAAAGTTTGGCTACCCTTCGTTCTAATAGGTAGATTTGGAAGCTCTTATTCGGGTGTCCAATGTAGCCATTTTCTGTATCTGGTGAAGCAAAGGGTGAGGATTTTCTTCCTCTATCTCGAAAGTGATAGAAAGTCATCACTCTGACCCAATATAGCACAGTGCATGGGCAGAGTGATTTCTTATCATCTATTAGTTTATTTAGTCTTTCTTCTAACTTTTATTACCTTAAATTATTATTAAGTAGGATTCTAAAAAAGCGCAAGCCACTGCACAATAGCATATTTCAGAGATGGTCAATAAAAGAAAACAAATTTTTTTTAAATAATAATAAAACTTAAGCACAGTCTGCAAACAAGTCATTGGTTAAAAAAAATACAACTAATCAAAGAACGATAGTCTACTCATAAATGCCTTCCTTATAAACACCAACATTCAAAGACAAATAATTTCTTTTAAAACTGGAATTCTAGCTGTGGTGTTTCTAATCTTGAGTTTTTTTTTTTTAACCCTGAGATTTAATAAAAGTCTCCAAAAGCGATGAGAAAAATTTAATTCAGTAGAGAATAAGGATGTAGGTTGTCAAAAGGGTGAGTAGAGAAAATTAATCTAGTAGGATGCTTTATTAATATTACTAAAACTAATTAAAATGACAATAGTAATGATGGGATAAGAAGAGAATATGGCCATTTCAAATGATGACATTTTTCTAGTTTAGGTGAGTTGTCAAAATTCCTTCCTTCCTTCCTTCCTGCCTGCCAGCCTGCCTGCATTCAGTCAACACATATACCCAGCATGTGTCAGGCACTGTGGTAGGTGCTGGGATACAAATTCCTTCTTATGAGATATTCACTGATAGCTAAATAAAATCCCACCAAGGAAAGTTACAGCGCAAAGTCTCCAAGATGAACTTTCGTGTTGCCTTGCAGCCTTGTTTTACTTCAGTTGTCTAGTGCTGCCACCTGCTGGGCATTTTCTTTTTCTTTTCTTTTATAAAATTTTATATCCATAGTTTTTAGGGGTCTATATGGTTTTTGATTACAGGGGTAAGTTCTTTAGTGGTGATTTCTTAGACTTTGGTGCAATGCTTGGTATTTTCCTTCTCAGTGAGTTTAACTACAGGTGTGGACAGAGAACCCAGAATTTATTTTATTTTATTTTATTTTATTTTATTTTATTTTATTTTAGAGACGGTATCACTCTGCTGCCCAGGCTGGAGTGCAATAGCACGATCATAGCTCACTGCAGCCTCAAACTCCTGGGCTCAAGTCATCTTCCCACCTCAGTCTTCCTAGCAGCTGGGACTACAGGTGTGCACTACCTCGCCTGGCTAATTTTTTAATTTTTTTGTAGAGATGGGGTCTTGCCATGTTGCCCAGCCTGGTCTTGAACTCCTGACCTCAAGTGTCCCACATGCCTTGGCCTCAGAGTGCTGAGATTGCAGGTGTGAGCCACTGCACCTGGCCTAGAACCCAGAATTTCTTAGGAAAGGAAGGACGGTGAAGAGGGCATTTCCATGTCTGCATGCTGGACTATCCATTTTTCTTGATGAGTACACATTCTCTCTTCCTCTCCACCTAATTCCATGGTGGTACCAGCCCTAACTTCTCCAGAATTACAGGCTCCTCTCTTGCTGGGTGCTGACTCATCTGCCCAATATGCCTAGGGCAATTGCCTTACTTCTCTCTCTCCCACAGAGTTTTGCTACTGAGCTTGTTTGGAGAAAGTTTTGGCCTTCTTTGGCCTTCTTTGGCTTTCTTCCCATTCTTGTGGGAGTTGGAGATTCTTGCCAAGACACTGGAGGTGTGTGCCCAAGTTGCTTAACATGGGCAGGCAGAGGCCAAAAGCCCTCGCAGCAAGCACTTCCACACAATTTTGAATCTGTTCTCACTTCTGCATGTGGGGGCAGTGTTGTGGGTGTTGGGGGTTTACTACTTCCTCATGGGTGGTCTAGGATCAGGTCCTCTGGGCTTCTTCAAAATGCTGCACAAAGTTGCAGCATTGGGGATTAAGTATGAAGTAGGTCATTTGCTTTGCAGCATTACTTCCTGAAGTGAGTCAAATGCATTCTGAGATGGTTTAATCCCTAAAAAGGAGCTCAATGACACCAAGTTCACCACTTACTCAGTGTCACGCCTCATTCTGCTCTGCTTCAAGCTTTGGTTTCCCAAGAATTGCTAATGTTTTATCCAGAAAAGATTAATCAAGTGTACAATACTTGCTCGGACACAAAATCATAGACATCACCATGTCCCATTGCTTGTCATCACATGAAAAATTATTCTGGATTTAAGTTGATAAGAATAACTCTTGGAATATTGAATACACATTTTAAAAATGAAATGCTTAATTTTATGCTTTTTACCCTCACTCAAATCATGTAATGGAAAATGTACTAAAGTAGGCACACATATTTCTTTATATCTAGTAGGCCCCCGCCCCCAAAACTCTCCTCTTCAGAAACCCCAGCTTATCCTTCCTGACTTTGAAACTTCAAGGGCATATCCTGAGCTCAGGGATTGTGCACTGAACTGGGAGAAGAAGGGTGGAATGGCACAGTATTAAACAAATTAATTGCTGAATTTCTTCTGTGACCTTCTGTTTCTTGACTCATTTTCTTTCTTCCTTTAGCTTGACAAATCATGCCATCAACTCCTTCAGCTCTCTCTCCATTCTCAGGCTCTAATTCGTGTTCTCCTTTCCTCTCTTTCCTAGCTACAATTAGTAGCAGTTATGAACCGTCTTTCACACAGCCTGGAACCCTCCATATCTCTGCACTGTTCTTGGATGTAGCCCAGGGTGGTTAGCCTTATTTCTTTCCTTTATCCCATTTTTTAAGGATGAAGTGATTTCCCTGAAAAAGGTTACTATGGAAATTGGTATAGACCCCAGATACTCCCCACATGTGCTCCATCCAGTAGATTAATGCCTCTCACAATGAAGTTATGATGTCTCATGTGGTCTTGAGGATAAAAGAAGATCTTGAGAAAGGGGAATGGGGAAGCCTAGAGGTAGGGGATAATAAGAAATTAGGGGAAAGGCTGGGCGCGGTGGCTCATACCTGTAATGCCAGCACTTTTGGAGCCCGAGGTGAGCAGATCACTTGAGGTCAGGAGTTTGAGACCAGCTTGGCCAACATGGTGAAACTCAGTTTCTACTAAAAATACAAAAAGTAGCCGGGCGTGGTAGCACACGCCTGTAGTCCCAGCTACTCTGGAGGCTGAGGTGGGAGAATCGCTTGAACCTAGGAGGTGGAGGTTGCAGTGAGCTGAGATCAGCCACTGCATACTCCAGCCTGGGCTACAGAGTGAGACTCTTTCTCGAAAAAAAAAGAAAGAAAGAAAAAGAAATTAGGGTAAAGACAAGAAGATAAGAAGTTCTGGGCATGTGAATGTGCATGGTATGGGGAATAGAAAGAGATGTGGGGTGTGGTTTCGGGGTGGGGACAGAAGAGAATGAAGGAATAGAGAAATTTCCAGGTTAACGGGCATTAGTTGAGAAAAGGGGATCAACTCCCACAACCACAACTGAAAGTGGTCCTTGAAAATTAAGACTCAAAACCTAGCAAGATCAGATCTTAATTCTTGAGTTTATTCCACAATGTGGCTTATTTTAAGAAGCTCCCTTTTTCTTCTCATTTTACTCAATTTCATCACTTTAATCAGAGGTGCAGAGTTAAGAGATGAAAAGAGAGAAGTGAAAGTCTGATTATTCAAAATGAGATTCATTTTTATTTATTTTTTAGAGACAGGTTCTCGCTCTGTCACCCAGTCTGGAGTGCAGTGGTTCAATCATGGCTCACTGCAACCTCAACCTCCTGGGCTCAAGTCATCCTAGTCAGCCTCCTGAGTAGCTGGGACTACAGATGTGCACTCCCATGCTTATCTAATTTTTAATTTTTTGTAGTGACAAGGGTCTTGCTATGTTGCCCAGGCTGGTCCCAAACTCCTGGTCTCAAGCAATCCTCTTACCTCAGCCTCCCAAAGTGTTGGAATTACAGGTGTGAGCCACTGCATCTAACCAATATTAATTTTTAAATAAAAATTTTAGAGAGTTTCTTTTGAAACTTACTGCTAAGCTTACGAGATTTTTTTTCCCTTCTCACATCCACTTTTTTTTTCTTTTCACATTTTTATTTTATTGTTTAAAAAATATTGCATGACTAGATCATACCCTTTTTTTCAAGCCAAACAGTCTTGGAGCATACAAACAAAAAATTACTCATTGCTCCACCTCCTTCCAATACCACATACCAAAGAACTGATGTTAACAGTCCCAGCCCTCATCATCACTGTTCTACTGCCCAGGTGGATTCAGGGGTCCTCTGTGAGGGTTACAGTTGCTTGGGTTGTCTGGAAAGGCAGGTAATAGTTCTTTTTGCTACGGAATGCCACACATGCATGCATCTGAGCTTATTATGCCTCTCTGCAAAGGGTTGCCCTTGGGGGAGGAAGTGATAACACTGGGTCCCACTAGCGGTGGAACCCTTAGCACATCCTTCATTAATCCCCACCTTCCTGCCTGCTGGTCAAGCTTTGATCTTCTTCTGAGCAGGACATGGTTCTTAGGACATCACATATTTCTTTCCGTGGTTTTAGTATAAATATTATGTACTTGGCCCTCTGGGGGACTGGCTTTGGATATTTAAAGTCTGACTTTGGGGATTTAAATAACATGTTTCTCTAAGTCTCTGGCTCTAATAATGGAAAGCAATGACTTTTAAGACCTTTTTCTCTGCTATGGACTTTACAGAATTATTCTCAAGAGCTTCAGGTTAAAGATTTAATTGTTCTCTCTGTATCATCTTTGTATCTGTATTTCTAAAACCCTAACACTCCTTGAATGGTGGGGAAAGAAAAGATAAGTAAGAGGAATTAAGAAAAATCACATAGTTGAATATCAAAATATTAACCCACTATAGGAACAAAAATATTCATTGAACAATGAATTATGTGAGGTGATAAAGAAACTTTTATTAACAAGAATTTCATTGGTAGGAGGGACTTGACTAGATGAAAATCTTTTAATCACCTTGAAGTAAAAACTGAAATACTAGGGGCGTGTTACAACAAATTTGGTCTGCAAACAACTGCACCAAAGACAAAGGGAGGAATCTGTCCGGCAAAGGAGGATGGAGGTTAATGAGTAGAGGAGACTGAGGGAGAGAGAAAGCAAGAAAGATGGTGAGATGATGTGCACTGTGAAATGGAAATGTAGTCTATGACAAAGAAAAGTAAATTTCACTGTGAAAGAAAGGTAGGATTTGGAGTTTAGTAGGCAATCTAAGAAGGTAGGAACTGATATAGTTTGGATATTTGTCCCCACCCAAATCTCATATCAAATTGTAATCCCCAATGTTGGAGGTGGGACTGGTGGGAAGTGATAGGATTGTGGAGGTGGATTTCTCACGAATGGTGTAGCACCATCCCTCTTAGTACTGTCCTCACAATAGTGAGTGAGTGAGTTCTCATGAGATCAGATCATTTAAGTGTAAAACCTCCCATCTTACTCTCTCTTGCTCCTGCTCCTGCCATGTGAGACTCCTACTCCCTTTTGCCTTCCACTATGATTGGAAGCTTCCTGAGGCCTCCCCAGAACCAGAAGCTGCTATGCTTCCTGTACAGTCTGCAAACCCATGAGCCAATTAAACCTCTTTTCTTTATAAGTTGCCCTGTCTCAGGTATTTCTTTACAGTAATGTGGGAACAGACTAACACAGGGACATATAGGAGAAAATAGAACTAAGCAACATGGCATTAGTTTGGACATAATTACCTATCAGGCTATTACATTAGCTTGAATGATCCTCACAACAACACTAAGATTTAAGTACTATCATTATTATCCCCATTTTAAAATGTGGAAACAAAGACAAAGGGAAGTGAAGTAACTTAACCCAGTATCAGGGGAAACTCCTCCCTCATAGAGAATGGTGAAGAGTAACAAGAAGGCCAAGGAGATGACTAAGCCAGTAACCAGGTTGGCTTGCTGCCACTTTGGAGGTGTGAAAATAGACAAAGAGACTCAAGCAAGACAGCACAGCACACAGTGGGAACATCAGCATGGTAATTCTGGTTCTCCTGTCCCAAAGTCCCATGGGGTGGTAATGGGCAGCTACTCACACAGTGGGTTGTGCCACATGCGGGGAACCTAGGGTTAAAGGCTCAGCACCTCTTATAGCAAGCAGCAAAGGGGCTAGTCCCCTGCCCAAGGAATAAGCTGTAAGGTAATCATGATGTGGGTACCATGGCCAACTTAACTGTTACATGACTAGCTACAGAAACCTCTTTTAAGGCATCCTTAGAGATTGTCTGCCTTTTCTCATAAGGCAACTTCCATACAGACAGTAAACTGGAATACACTCTAAGGACCACCTTTCACTCTTTGCCTATATTTCATCTCATATTCTTCTACAACACATTGACAAAAAACATTAAAAATATAATAATTCCTAAACTGCATAGTTTGTGAGTCCCCTTTATATACATTATAACATTTAAGTTTTCTTTACAACAGTGGTTTTTATTTGGGGTTTGAGGGTAATTTTACCCCTCACTCCCTGGGGACATTTGGCAATGTCTGGAGACATTTTTGGTTGTCACACTAGAAGTTGGGGGAGTGGTACTGGCATCTAGTGGGCAGAGATCAGAGATGCTATGATGCACAGGGCAGCCCTACATAACAAAGAATTTTACAGCCCCAGATGTCAAGAGTGCTGATAATGAGATTGAGAAATCATGCTTCACAGTTTCCTCATATTATATAAGGAAAACTTAATGAAAACAGGCCCAGAATGGAGGGGAATCAACTAATGATGGAACAAAAGGTCTATCTAGCTATTGTAGTAGCAGTAGAGCATCACTAAGTATTTCAATACTTTGTCAATTATAAGAGAATGTAAGAATGAAGAGGATTTCATCTTTATGGCTGGAACAGTTGTTAGTTGATCTACTATTTGCATAGTTGAAGAGAACCAAGCACATAAAATCTTGTGAGTGGTATAGTTGATCAAAAGCAGACCTGCTCCCAGAAGTTATGACTCCAGACCATTGATGCTCACACCCAGGTAGAAAGGGTAGCATGTGAAGAAGACAGGGGCCTTATAGGTGGAGAGAAGCTTGCAGGTACATGATGTTTGCCACAGTTCACATTTGGCTGAGATAATGGGGATAAAAGTATGATTTTTCAAAGTGCTCTGTGGCCTTTTCCATCATTGCAAAGTAGTGGAGGCTTAGGGTTTTGTCCATAAGAGCAATTTAAAATTACTTCAAATTTCTGCAACTCTATAGTATTAACACATTTAAAGTAGATACAGAAATAAAAATGTGCATGACCCTTCATCAAGGATTCTTTTTATTATAATTTATAATTTCATCCAGATGGCCAATAATAGAATATAGGATTGCAATATAATTCATGAAAAGAGTGGTAAGGAAGAACTAATAGAGCAGCATAGTTTAATGTACAAAATTAATCAAATTCTCTAAATTGCTTGGTGCTGTGTTTTCAGTTTTAGTGTTGATATTTAGTATCTTTTTTTTTCTTGGCTAGAATGAGAACAAACTCTCTCACTGTTCTCACAAAGACATTCTGAAGTTTCTTGAAAACTATAGAATCTGACATTATGCTTGTGAAAGAGAGAGAAATCTCTAATTCAGGACCAAGTTACACAATGTGAAAAAGAGATTATGGCAAAAGAATTGGTGTCACCAGGTACCTCTGTGCATGTATAATTTTGATTAAAATAACAGATGGATCATATAGGCACAGAGATGGAAATTCTAAGAAAGAATTTAAAAAATGCCAGAGCTCAAAAACACTGTAACTGAAATGAAAAATGCCTTCAGTGGGCTCATCAGGAGACTGGACATGGCTGAAGAAAGAATCTTGGAACTTGAAGATATGTCAACAGAAACTTCCAAGACTGAAAAGCAAAAAGAAAAAAGCTTCAAAAAAACCCAGAATAGAATATCTAAGAACTGTGGGATAACTACAAAATGTGTAACATATCAGGATAAGAGAGAAAATAACAGAAGAAATATTTGAAGCAATAATGACTGAGAATTTTCCCAAACACTTGTCAGACACCAAACTGCAGACCCAGGAAGCTCAGAGAACATAAAGCTGGAAAAATGCCAAAAGAAAAAAAAAAAAGACACCTAGGCATATCATTTTCAAGCTTCAGAAAGATAAAGAAAAAATCCTGAAAGAAAACAGAGGAAAGAAACACCTTACCTATAGAGGAGCAAAGTTTAGAATTACAGCTGACTTCTCCATGGAAACCATGTAAATAAGAAGAGAGTGGAATCAAATACTAAACACGGTGAGAGGAAAAAATCCTACCGACTTAAAATTCTATGCCCTGTAAAATTATCCTTCAAAAATGAGGGAGAAATAAAGGCTTTCTCATACAAACAAAAAAATGAGGGAAACTGTTGCTGGTAGGCCTGCCTTCAAAGAAAGTTGTTGTTTTTTTTTTTTTTTTGAGACAGAGTTTCACTCTTATTGCCCAGGCTGGAGTGCAGTGGCGTGATCTCGGCTCACTGCAAACTCCGCCTCCAGGTTCAAGCAATCTCCTGCCTCAGCCTCCCGAGTAGCTGGGATTACAGGCATGCGCCACCACGCCCGGCTAATTTTGTATTTTTAGTAGAGATGAGGTTTCTCCATGTTGGTCAGGTTGGTCTTGAACTCCTGACCTCAGGTGATCCTCCCACCTTGGCCTCCCAAAGTGCTGGGATTACAGGCGTGAGCCACCGTGCCCAGCCAGAAAAATTAAAAGAAGTTCTTTAGTGACAAGGAGAATAATCAAGGTCAGAAACCTGGATCTACACAAAGAAAGGAAATGTACCAGAGAATGAGTAAATTAAAGCAAAATAAAATCTTTGATTTTTCTTAGCCTTACTTGATCTAGCAGATAATCATTTGTTCAAAATAATAGTAGTAATGATGTTTTTGATTATATGTGCTTATGTATATAACTTTGGTAAAAACAAATAATAGGCCAGGCACAGTGGCTCATGCCTGTAATCCCAGCACTTTGGGAAGCCAAAGCAGGAGGGTCACCTGAGCCCAGGAGTTTGAGACCAGCTTGCGAAACACAGCAAAACCTCATCTCTAAAAAAAAAAAAAAAAAAAAAAAAAAAATTAGCCTGGCATGGCTGTGTGTCCCTGTAGTCCCAGCTACTCTGGAGGCTGAGGCAGGAGAATAGCTTGAGCTCAGGAGATCAAGGCTGCAGTAAGCTGTGATTGCACTCCAGCCTGGGTGACAGAATGGGACCCTATCTCAATTAAATAAATAAAAAAAAAGGATGCCTTTCTGTTTTTTAAAAAATGAGTTATAGCCAGATGCCAAAAGTGTCTTTTTTCAATTTCTTGAAATATATACCCTAATAAAGAGGAAACATAAAAACTTGCATCAATATTAAAATTAAGAATGATACTCAAGATATTGCCAGAATCTGAAATAAATGTTCACTCTTTACAATTACTGTGGAGTTTGCAGTAGATTATTCTTGGGACAGGTGCTGGTCTTCAGATTCTTTCTTTTCTGGGCCCTTACCCCTTTCATACAGGCAATCTGGTCGCCATAGTACGATATTATATTATGTGACTCTGTTTCCCTGGCCATGATTTATATTGATCCAGGGTGACCATTTGTCTCTTATCATTATTCATGGCCTTTTTAGCCACACATATATTTTTACTTTAATAGTATACAATTGTATAATAGACAAATATTTCCATATTTTTCTTAGTTGCCATATTAGAAAACCCTTCTCCAGAAAGGATATATGGTTTTATATACATATTCATCTATAGTTCTTCCAGTATTTATTTATAAATGTGTTATTTATTATTTAATCCTTAACCCATCTCTATAATGTTGGTTTATTGGTTTGAGACAGCATTTGCTGAATCAGATGAAGAAAATAAGCCGTTATTTTTTGTTGAAAGTGCTTATCAGGAAACACTAAAAACAAAACAAAACAAAAAAACCCATTATAAAACTCAAACCTTCACTGAACCCTTAGTTGGGTAAATAAAAAAGTAATTACACCTATAAAAGCAACTTTGGGGAAATTTGAATATGAAGTAGTTATCCCACTTTTGTGGGATTATTGTCAATGTTTCTTAGGTGTGGTAATAGTACTGTGGTTTTGATGGAGAAGTCCTTGTTCTTAGCATGTACTTAGCATGCTAAAGTACTTGGAGGTAAAATGTCACTATGTTTGAAACTTAATTCCAAATGATTCAGCAAACAGAAAATGCAGATATCCAACTCACAGCAGATATCCAAAGTATATGAAGCAAAAACAGACAAATTGAGAAAAGATACAGAAAATTCAATAATGATAGTCAGAGACTTTAATGTGCCAATTTCAACAATGGGTAGCACGACCAGACAGAAGATTAACAAGGGAATAGAAGAATTGAATAATACTATTTGTGTAGTGTTGTATAGTTTGTGAAAACTGGACCTAACAGACAGCTGTAGAACACCTTACTCAACAACACAATACCCATCCTTCTCAAGCACATCTGTATCATTCTCTAGCACAAAACATGTACGAGGCCATAAAACAAGCCAAAATACATTTAAAAGGCTTAACATCCTTTGAAGTATAGTCTCTGGCCACAATTAAAAAATTAGAAATCAGTAACAGAAGGAAATTTGGAAAATTCACAGATATGTGGAAATTAAACAACATACTCCTAAATCATGAGTGAGTCAAATAAATCTCAAGGAAAACTAGCAAATAATTTGATATGAATGAACACAAAAATGCAACATATTAAAATTTATGGAATTTAGCAAAGCAATGCTTAGAGGGAAATTTATAGCTGTAAAGTACCTATATTAAAAAAGAAGAATCTCAAAAGAATAACATAACCTCCTACTTTAAGATACTACAAAGAGAAGAGAAAACTAAACTCAAATCCAGCAGCAAGAAAGAGACAATAAATGTTACAGGATAAATAAATGAAATAGAAAATAGAAAAACAGCAAATCGCAAGGCTAAAAATTGGTTATTTGAATAAAATGAGCAAAATTGACAAACTTTAGCTAGACTGATCAAGAAAAAAAGAAAAAAATCCTCAAATTATTAACACCAGGAATGAAAGAGGAGACATTGCTACTGACCTGTAGAAATAAAACGAATTATAAGGGAATACCATGAATAATTTTATGCCAACACATTAGATAACCTAGATAAAATAGACGCATTCCTAGAAAAACACAATCTCCCAAAAGTCACTTGAGAAAACATAGATTATCTAAATGGACCTAAGATAAGTAAAGAGATTGAATTAATAATAATAAAAAATATTCCACAAAGAAAGGCCCAGGCCTAGATGGCTTTACTGGAGAAACCTACCAAATGTTAAAAGAATGACAAAATTTATTTACAAACTCTTCCAAAAAGTAGAAGAGAAAGAAGTGCTTCTTAATTATTCTGTGAAGCCAGCATTACCTTCATATCAAAACCAGACAAAAACTTAAGAAAAAAACACTACAGACCAATATTCCTTATGTATACAGATGTAAATATTTTCAACAAAATGACAACAAACTGAATCTAGCAACATATAAAAAGGATTATACTTTATGACCAAGTGATATTTGTCTGAGCTATGCAAGGTTGGTTCAACATATGAACATCAATAGATACAATATACCACACTGATACAATAAGGACCAAAAAACATATGATCCTCTTAACAGATGTCAAAAAAGCATTTGACCAAATTCAGCACCCTCTCATGATTAAAAATACTCCATAGACTAAGAAAAGATGGTGACATCTATAATTTAGTAAAGGGCATCTACAAAAAACTCACAGCTAGCAACATATGTAATGGTGAAACATTGAAATAGTTCTCCTTAGGATCAGGAAAAAGGCAAGGATGTCTGCTCTTGCCACTTTTATTCTATATTGTACTGGAGGTTCTAGTTAGGGAAATTAAGCAAGAAAAAGGAAAAAAGGCAACCAGATTGGAAAGAAAGAAGTGAAAATATCTCTATTCACAGTGACATCATCTTATATATAGAAAATCCTAAGGTATCCTCTCCCCCTGCCACATACGCAAACTATTAAACTAGTAAATGAATTCAGCAAGGATGTAGATATAAGATCAATATATAAAAAAGTTTATTCTATACCCTACCAATATCTAAAAATAAAAATAAGAAAATAATTTCACTGGTAATAACACCAAGTAGAAAACCTATTTAGGAAGAAATTTAACAAAGGTAGTATACATTTTGTACATTGAAAAACTAAAAAACATTATTGAAAGAAATTAAAGATCCAAATAAATGAAGACATCTTGTGCTCATGGACTGGAAGGCTTAGTATTGTTAAGATGGCAACATTCCACAGATACACAGTTTCAAAATAGTCTCTATAAAAATTCCAGCAGCCTTTTTTGCAGAAATTGGCAAGCTGATCTTAAAATTCATATGGAAATTCAAGAGACCCAGAATAGCTAAAACAATCTTAAAGAGGGGGAATAAATTTGGAGGACTCATACACACTAATTTCAAAACTTACTACAGGGCAACAGTAATCAAGATAGTATGTTACTAGTATAAGGATAGGCATATAGACCAGAAGTGAGAATCTAGAAATAGACTCTCACATATTTGATCAATTGACTTTTCACAAGAGTGTCCAAATAATTCAATAGGGAAAGAATAGCATTTTCAATAAATGGTGCTGGGACAACTGGATATTCACCTGCAAAAGTGCAAAGTTGGACTCTTCACAATGTATACAAAAATTAACTCAAAAAACACATTGGCTTATGCAAAGAATTCATGACTAGTACATCAAAAGTGCAGGCAACAAAACCAAAAATAGACAAATGGGACTTAATTGAACTAAAAAGCTTCTGCATAGCAAAAGAAATAATCAACCAGGGGCAGTGGCTCACGCCTATAATCCCAGCACTTTGGGAGGCCGAGGCAGGCAGATCACTTGAGGTCAGGAGTTCAAGACCAGCCTGGACAACATGGCAGAACCCCATCTCTACTAAAAATGCAACAATTAGCTCGGCTTGGTGGTGGGAGCCTGTAATTCCAGCTACTTCGGAGGCTGAGGCATGAGAATCACTTGAGCCTGGGAGGTGGAGGTTGCAGTGAGCCGAGATCGTGCCACTGCACTCCGCCCTGGGTGACAGAGAGACTCTGTCTCAGGGAAAAAAAAAAAAAAAAAAAAAAACCAACAGAATGAACAGACAATCTGCAGAATGTGAAAAAATATTTGCAAACCACATATGTGACAAGGGACTAATATCCAGAATCTACTAGGAACTGAAACAACTCAATAACAACAACAACGAAACCTCCCACAAATAACCTCATTACAAAGTGGACCAAGGGGGCAAGCATAACCATGGCAACCCTGACCCAGTTGTGAGAAGCTCCAGGCCCCTTGCTGGTGTGTGAAATATCAAATTTCAAGCACAACAAGTCACAAATCCAGGATCTGACTGAGATATAATACCACAATTACAGAAGGAAAAAAGCTGGCAACAATGTCTCCAGATGCTGCTGAGCTTGTAGCACTTAACAGGACTGTTCACCAGGCCACCCAGAGGCCCAACAGCAAACCCTATCCCTGTCCTGAGGGAGAGGTCCTGCAGCGGACCCTGGGCCAGCACTGGGAGGAATATGTCTCCTCAGACCCCACTTCCCAGCAGCAGAACGCCACCTCTGCTGACTCTGAACCAGGTCCTGAATTTAAAAGACAATTTGAACTTGGATTCGTATTACATTTGAGAGACAGGGAAATATCACAGTTGCATATACTCATGATTCCTTTCCTTCTCCAAGCCCAATGTTATGAAAACAGAATGTGAAATTTTAAAAAAAGTGGGCAAAGGGCATGAACAGACATTTTTCAAAAGAAGACATACAAATAGCCAACAAGCATATGAAAAGAAAATGCTCATCACTAATCATCAGAGAAATGCAAATTGAAACCACAATGAGATATCTTACACCAGTCAGAATGGCTATGATTAAAAAGTAAAAAAATAACAGATGTTGGCAAGGATGCAGAGTTTATAAAGGGAACCCTTATGCACTGTTGGTGGGAATGTAAATTAGTTCAACCTCTATGGAAAATAGTATGGATATTTCTCAAAGAATTAAAATTAGAACTACCATTTGTTCCGGCAATCACACTACTGGGTATCTATCCAAAGGAAAAGAAATCATTTTATCAAAAAGACACCTTTCATTTGTATGTTTATCACAGCACTATTCACAACAGCAGACATAGAACCCACCTAAGTGTCCATCAATGGATGGTTGGATGAAGAAATGCTACCCCGTAGTATACTAAATGTGGTATACTATTCAGTGGTATACTAAATAGTAGAATACTATTCAGCCTTAAAAAACAATGAACTCGGCCAGGCACGGTGGTTCACACCTGTAATCCCAGGATTTTGGGAGGCTGAGGCGAGCGGATCACAAGGTCAGGAAATCGAGACCATCCTGGCTAACACGGGGAAACCCCGTCTCTACTAAAAAAAAATACAAAAAAATTAGCCAGGTGTGGTGGCGGTAGCCTGTAGTCCCAGCTACTTGGGAGGCTGAGGCAGGAGAATGGCGTGAACCCGGAAGGTGGAGCTTGCAGTGAGCCGAAATTGCGCCACTGCACTCTAGCCTGGGCAACAGAGTGAGACACCGTCTCAAAAAAAAAATAAAATAAAAAAAATAAAAAGAACTCATGTCTTTTGCAGCAACATGGATGGAACAGGAGGTCTATCTTAGGTGAAGTAACTCAGAAACAGAAAGTCAAGTACTGCATGTTTTCACTTATAAGTAGGAGCTAAAAAATGTGTATATATGGACATAGAGTGTGGAATAATAGATATTGGAGACTCAGAAGGGTGAGGAGGAAGGGAGGTTAAGAGATAAGAAATGGGCTGGGCATGGTGGCTTATGCCTGTAACCCCAGCACTTTGGGAGGCCGAGGCGGGTGGATCACGAGGTCAGGAGATCGAGACCATCCTGGCTAACATGGTGAAACCTCGTCTCTACTAAAAATACAAAAAATTAGCCAGGCGTGGTGGCGGGCACCTGTAGTCCCAGCTGCTGGGGAGGCTGAGGCAGGAGAATGGCGTGAACCCGGGAGGCGGAGCTTGCAGTGAGCAGAGATCGAGCCACTTCACTCCAGCCTGGGTGACAGAAAGAGACTCTGTCTCAAAAAAAAAAAAAAAAAAAAAGATGAGAAATGACTTCATGGATATAATGTACATCATTTGGGCAATGGTTACAGTAAAAGCCCAGACTTCGCCACCATGCAGTATGTCCATATAACACAACTGCACTTGTACCTCCTAGGTTTAGATTTTAAAAGTCAACTCACAATGGAATGTAAACATAAATATAAAAATCAAAACTAGGCCAGGTGTGGTGGCTCACACCTGTAATCCCAGCACTTTGGGAGGCCAAGGTGGGCGGATCACGAGGTCAGGAGTTCGAGACCAGCCTGGCCAATATCGTGAAACTCCGTCTCTAGTAAAAATACAAAAATTAGCTGGGCATGGTGGCACGTGCCTGTAGTCCCAGCTACTCGGGAGGCTGAGCAGAAAAATCGCTTGAACCCGGGAGGTGGAGGTTGCAGTGAGCTGAGATTGCGCCACTGCACTCCAGCAGCCTGGATGACAGAGCAAGACTCCGTCAAAAAAAAAAAAAAATCAAAACTATAAACCTCTTAGGAGAAAGTGCTGTAGTAAATATGCATGAACAGCGGTTAGACAAAGCCTTCCAAGCTATAACACCATAGAAAAAAGTGGCCCCCAAAAGTAATAATAATAAATTAGACTTCCTTAAAAAGAAAACTTTTTCTGCTTCAGAAGACACTATCAAGAAAGTGAAAAGACAACCTACAGTAAGAGAGAAAGTATTTGCAAATCATATAACCAATAAGGGACTTTTATCCAGGATATAAAATAACCTCAAAACTTAACAGTATAAGACCACCCAAGTAAAAATGGGCCAACTATTTGAATAGACATTTCTTCAGAGAAGATAACTAAATGATCAATAAGTACATAAAAAAGCTCAACATCATTAGTCATTAAGGAAATTAAAATAAAAAATAAAAAACATGTGATACTGCTTCACACCCACTATGATGGCTATATAATAAAAAAGATGGCCAATAAAAATTGTGGGGGAGAATGCAGAGAAATTGGAACCCTTATACATTGCTGGTTGAAATGGAAAATGCAGCAACTTTGGAAAACTCTTTGACTATTTCTCAAAATATTACAAATAGAGTTACATAGGACCTAGCAATTTCAATGTTGGATGTATATCCAACTGAACTGAAAACACGTGTTCACACAAAAACTTGTACACGAATGTTCATTGCAGCATTATTCATAATAGCCCCAAGGTGGAAACAACCTAAATTTCCATCCACTAGTGAATGAATAAACAAAATGTGGTATAAGCATACAGTGGATTTCCCCTTTCACTCAAAAGATATTTCAAGATATTATTAAACTTAAATTTTAAAATTAGTTTCCTTTGCTTTATGCTAAGAGAATAATAAGTCCTGTGGAATTTGTGATTTCTTAAACTTACTTTTAGACAAACCATTAAATTATAGTAAATATTTCAGGCACATTATAAAAGATGGCATGTGGTTTTGACGCATACATAATTTTATAAGTATTTATTAAATAAAATATGTTACTTACATCAACCATCCCCAACCTTTTCGGCACCAGGGACAGGTTTCGTAAAAGACAATTTTCCCACGGATGGGGGTTGGGTGGAGGGTTTCAGGATGAAACTGTTCCACCTCAGATCATCAGGCACTAGATTCTCATAAGGAGCTCACAGCCTAGATCCCTTGCATGCACAGTTCACATGGTTTGCTCCTATGAGAATCGAATGCTGCTGCTGATCTGACAGGAGGCAGAGATCAGGCGGTAATGCTCACTCACCACCCCCTGCCACCTTCTGCTGTGTGGCCCAGTTCCTAACAGGCCATCAACAGGTACTGGTCCATGGCCTGGGTACTGGGGACCCCGGAATTATATTACTCAGCTGTCTCTACATTTAGGTATTACTTATTTTGCCTGCCAAAGAGTAAAATGTGTTAAAACTTCCCAATACAATTAGTTTCTGTAATTTTCTTCTTGTCTTTCTGTTGTGTTTTGTTCTCTATATATTTATCTAGTGTTTATGAATAAAATTACACAACTCATACTACAGCACAGCTTTATCAATAAAGTGGAGATTTTTACCCTACTTTTCATTTTCTACCTTAAGTTATACTTTGTCAGATGTTAATTCCTGCTTTCTTTTTATTTTAATTTCTTGGTATATCTTTGCTTATCATTTTGCTTTCAATGTTTATGCTTATTTTGGTTTGAGTATGTTTTATAACCTACATAGACTGTGTGTGTATATGCTTGTAAGTGCAAGGGTGTGTATTTAACCAGCTTGAGAACCACTGTCTTTTAATAGCGAAGTTTAAGAAGTTCAACCCATTTTCATTATTATTATTGTTACATATTTTACTATAATACATTATATGTAATATATATTTTTATATTTCACTGTGTCTGGGTATGGTGGCTCATACCTGAAGCCCTAGCAGTTTGGGAGGCTGAGGCGGGAGGACTACTTGAGCCCAGGAATTTAAGATCAGCTTTGGCAACATGAGATCTCCATTTCTACAAAAAGTTTAAAAATTAGCCAGGTGTCATGGCTCACGCCTGTAGGCCTGGCTACACGGGAGGCCGAAGCGGGAGGATAGCTTGATCCCAGGAGGTCAAGGTTGCAGTGAGCTGTGTTCACGCCACTGATCTCCAGCCTGGGCAACAGAGCAAGACCCTGTCTCAAAAAACCAAACCAAACCAAACAAAACTTCATTGCTGTTTTTCTGTTTTGTAATTGCTAGACTATGTTTTGTTTTATTGATGTCTTCTTCGATAATGTTCAAAATTATCAATTACGTTTCTCAATTTTTCAATTGAATAAATCAGAAAAAATGGATATATATAACAGCATAAACATAAAAACCTTACAAGCATTGAATAATATCTTAAATTAAAGGACAAAAAGACTGAGAAAATATTTGCAACAAATAAGATACATATTCACAATACAATCCACAATATAAAAGAAGTCATGAACATCCATAAGAAAAAAATGGGTATAGCAGTCAAAACTGTATTTGGCTACGAGAACCAGCAAAACATACCATAGTGGCTTAACAGATGAAAGGAAGGACTGTTTCACTTGGGTAATAAGAAGTCCCATGGGAATCAGTCCAAGGCTGATACATTGACTCCAAGTATCCCCAGTGTCCCAGGCTCTGTAAATCTTTAGGTTCATGCATTCTTAGTATGCAGTTTTTATCTTTTTGGTTTCAAAACGACTGTTGCATCTCCTGGCAGCTCAAGTGGAAAGAAGACAGAAATTGGAGAGGAATGCACCAGAAGACTTATTTCTCATATCAATAAGGGGGTGGGGGTGGAACATCAAAATTTAGCTTTTACTCTCTCTATAGTGGAGTCAAGTAAGGGAGAAACATGTTGCAAATGGAGATTGGCTTGGCCAAAGTACAGCGCCTGCTACATAGAGAACTGAAATAGAAAATTCACAAAATAAGAAATTAAAAAATAAAAAATCATACCAAAATAACAATCCACTAAATAGTAATCAAAGCAATTTATGAAAAACTCTTTGGCAGGATTAGAAAAGTTCTTATCTCTTTGGTCTGTCCATTTTAAGTCCAGTACCCAATCCTTAGAAAATAATTTAAAACACAGACAAAATGTACCTTCTAGACTATTTATCAGTGTTTTGTTGTTGTTAGTTTTGATTTTATTATATAACCTATACATTTGTTTATGCCAGGCAGCTTCTTTTAGGTTGCAAGGAACAGATACATCTTGAAGTTGCCTCAGTTTATGGTTAATGTTGTAAGAACATATGAAAGCAGGAACAGAATAAAATAATGTCATCAGCCACAAGCTGAGGAACGGGACACACAGGTCTCCCTGAGCCCAGCTATTCTGATAAGAAGCAGCTCTATCAGTCCATTATCTTGCTCTTTAAGAGTGGACATTTGTGGCTCTCGACACAGTGCTCTGCCATTATGACTCAGCTTCTCTCTTTTTTTTTTTTTCTTTTTGACAGGGTCTCATTTTGTCACCCAGGCAAGAGTTCAGTGGCATGATCATAGCTCACTGCAGCCTCAAACTCCTGGGCTCCAACTGCACTGGAGGATACTCTCACCTCAGTCTCCCAAGTAGTTGGGAGTACAAGTGTACAACACTATGCCTGGCTAATTTTGTACAATTTTGTAGAGATGGGGTTTTGCTATGTTGCCCAGGCTGGTCTCAAGCTCCTGGCCTCAAGCAATCCTCCCACCTCATCCTCCCAAAGTGCTGGCTGGGATTACAGGCATGAGCCACCATGCCCTCGCTACTCCTTAAGTACTATGCTCTTAAAATTAACATTTTAGGCTAAATCTACTAGAATGATGCATTCAAGTATTTTATAATTTTATTTCAAGTTTTCTTAAAGAAGCAAGGTGTGCTAACTATAGAGCACTTGGGAAATACAAAAATTATACAAAACAGTAAAATCGCCCATAGTCTCACAGTTCGAGGTAACCATTATTAATATTTTGGTGTTTTTCCTGGGGCCCTTTTATCTTTGATAATTTTTTCCTTTTTCTCTCTAATTTGAAGAAGAAAAAGCTTTGTTATTTGTATCATCAAAAGTTAGAGTGAGTATATATGACCAGAAATAAAAATGAACAAATTACACAACACATTTTGGTTGATGTACAGCATGCGAGACCGAATATGAACAAAGATGGGATACCAAATGCTATTAATATCTTTCTATTTAAAATAAAATTTCAGGCCAGGTGCAGTGGGTCATGCCTGTAACTATGTAATCCCATAACTTTGAGAGGCCGAGGCAGGCGGATCACTTGAGGTCAGGAGTTTGAGACCAGCCTGGCCAACGTGGTGAAACTCCGTCTCTACTAAAAGCACAAAAATTAGCCGGGTGTGGTGGCACGCACCTGTAATCCCAGCTACTCGGGAGGTTGAGGCAGGAGAATCGCTTGAACCCAGGAGGCAGAGCTTGCAGTAAGCCGAGCCTGGGCAACAGAGCGAGAGTCTGTCTCAAAAAGTAAAACAAAATAAAACCTCAGAAATTCAGTTCCATTCATTTGCAATTGTTTCTACATAAGCTGATCTGAAACTTACCTCTGAATTACGTATGAAACAATTTGCCAGGTGAATTCATAGCATAAACAAAATGACTAGGGGCATGTTTGACTTATGTGAGGGCTTTTAAGGATTTTTAAACACCTTAACAGCACCCCTGTTTCTCTACTCATTAATTATTAGTTTTCAGACAAGATCCAGCACATTCAGAGTGGTATGGCCATAGACAATAACTAGTTTCCAATGAGTCTCATCTGTTCATTAAAGTTTGTCATCCCACAGAGCAATGAAAAGTGAAGAAAATAGGTTTACATTCTGAGACATGCTTCACCATCCAAAACCAAAACATGCAATCTAGTGTTTACTTTTTTTAATGGCCCAAATAGTGTCTATAGTTACTAAGTAACTATTTTCTTAGTGAAAACAAACCAATGAATCTTGGAAGTCACATTGAAGATGAAGAATATAACTCAAAATTGAAGGCTTTTTCCCTTTATTTTAAGAAGCATTCCTTGACTCCCAACCATGTTTTACATTCCTTGACCATATTTCTTATATTAGACATCAGTCTCTTATTTTGTTTTCTTGGTAAGCCTTTCTTAGTAGACTTTTAAGGTCTATTATTAGGATATTTTCAATTTCTAGCATAACAGTTAGTCCCTAATATTTTCTCAATAAATATGTCTGGCTGAGGGAATGCACCAACACATATTTTAATGAATACATTAAATGTGTTAGGTTTTTAAATGTTGAGACCATGTTCTTTCATTTTCCACTTCTTCAGGGCTTGCTGGTCACCTTAGATGAGATGATGATTAACCTAATGATTACATAAAGTCACTAAATTAGGTGAAGCAAGACATGAGAAAGATTTCAATGGGAAGATAAAATCATCCTCAAGAAAACCACAGAGGTAGGCTGGGCACTGTGACTCACACAGTGCTGTAATCCCAGCACTTTGGGAGGCCAAGGCGAGAGGATTGCTTGAGGCCAGCAGTTTGAGACCAGGCTGGGCAACATAGCTGGACTCTGTCTCTACGAAACATTTAAAAACCTAGCTGAGTGTATAGTGATGCACACCTGTAGTCACAGCTACTCAGGAGGCTGAGGTGGGAGGATCACTTGAGCCCAGGAGTTTGAGGTTACAGTGGGTAATGATTGAGCCACTGCATTCCAGCTTGGGTGACAAAGGAGGATACTCTCCCCCCACCAAAAAAAGAAAGAAAACCATAGAGGTAGATCTATAGGATATAAATAGACTATACAACGTAAAAGCTGTGTACAGACATTAAACAAAAACCACAGTATCAATATTAAAGGGTAGAAATAAATACATTTGGCCATAATTAAGCTAATCTATTTTAAAATCTTCTGTAAGACAGACGTATCTTTAATTAGAATCCTTTTCAATGATTTTCATCATTTCCAACTAGTAAAGTCCTTTTAAAGTCAAGAATATAGATTTTTAACAAGGATCTAATGCCTGCAAAATATTCTTAAATTCTCTTTTCCTTAAATTCTCAATCCCTTTTATACTTCTTATTTAGCACTTTTCATGATTATCAGTCAGTAGGAACCGGGTGTTTGTGTCTTCCCACAAAAGAATGAACAGATGGAGGAAAAGCACCAATTTTTTTTTTACTCATGTGGTACCAATTTATCTCCTTTCTTAATATATTTCTCATAAAAGGAGCATAGTAATTTTAATTGAACCAAAATAATCCCAACTCTTTGCAAGGAATCATTGTCAGAGAGGAAATTGATCTTCTATCTGCTTTATGTTCTAAAACCTTCTGGGCTTCTACAGATGCTCACTTCATCTCTTTTTAAATAAAGGGCAGACTATTTGAGATGTTTTTACAGTGAGAAATGAGAAAAGTTAAGCGCTACGAGTGAGAAACCAGGAGTCTAAGTTCTCTCTCTGACATTGACTATCTGTGTGACCCTGGATAAGGCATGTAACCTCTCTGGTCTTGTTTCTTCATCTGTTAAAACTATTTGAATTGGTTGACATTTACCATTCTTTCCAGGACTCTCTATGATATTCAATCAATTATCCATCTTCTCCAACTAGTCTTTGCTCTTCTTGCTTATCTCATGGAAACACGTTATTTCCACCTTCTCCCACACTCAACTACTATTTTCCTTAGGAGAGACCTTGAGTACTGTTAAATTTCCTCAGAGAAATGTTAAGCAAGTCACTCAAACTCTCTAGGCTGCAGTTTCCTCATCTGTAAAAGAACAGATCACAAGCTCACCAGCCACAGATCTCAGCATCAGATCCTTACAGAGGACTGGTGACCAAGTGAGCAAGGCTCATCACTCTAGAGAGAAGCTGATGCCAACCAGCATAGGTCAAGGACCATCATAAGACTAGAGGCTTCTCACCCCTTTGCCCAAGGCTACATTATGACTGGGAAATTTCTAAAATATTATTTAAATTATTAGAGCAAACTAAACTCTGAATCAGATTCCTGCTCTGCCACCTCCACTAATCAGGTGCCTAGAAAGGGAAGCAGAATAGGCAATGTTGGCAATGTTATGTTAAATTGCTATGTTTCCTCCAGAGTGGTAACTGTGATTCAAGACATGTGACTTTGTTTATGTATTATCTTTAGCAAGGTGACCCTCACCTGGAAGATTAACTTTGTGACTCTTAAACCAGAAGGTTGCTTATTGCCCCTTCCTGTTTAATGGGGTTCATGGAGGTCCATACCTGCCAGCCATGCCAGTCCTGCTCTCTCCTGTGCCTGAGTAGTGATTTAGGTATCATTCTTGCCCGTGCAGACTGTCCTGACACTTCTGCCACTGTAGGAAAGACAAAAACACAAAACTTCCCAACAATCATATTCCTAGATCTTTACCTAAGTAAACTGAAAGCTCACGTTCACACAAAAACCTGTATGCAAATGTTTATAGCAACTTTATTCATAATCTCCAAAATCTAGAAGCAACCAAAATGTCTTTCCACAGGTGAGTGGATAAAAAAATTGTGGTAATTTTTGTTTTGCTTTGTTTTGAGATAGGGTCTCACTTTCTTGCCCAGGCTGGAGGGTAGTGGCATGTTCATAGCTCACTGCAGCTTCAAACTCCTGGGCTCAAGCGATCCTTCCATCTCAGCCTTCAGAGTAGCTGGGACTACAGGTATGCACCACCATGCTTGGCTAATGTTTTTTTTAATTTTTTTTTTTTTTTTCATGGAGACGGGGTCTCCTATGTTGCCCAGGCTGGTCTCAAGCTCCTGGGCTCAAGCGATCCTCCCACCTTGGCCTCCCAAACAGTTGGAATTACAGGCATGAGCCACAATTCCTGGCCATGGTACATTCATATAATGGAGTACTATTCTGCTGTGAAAAAAAGAATAAACTCTTGATTCACACAATGATGTGGGTCAGTCTTACGTGAATTTTGCTAATTGAAGGAAGCCAGACTCCAAAGGGTGCACACATTGTATAAATCCATTCATATGACATTTTAGAAGCAGCTACACTATGGGGATGGAAAACAGATGCCAGGGGTTGGTGGCAGTAGGAAGAGGGTAGATTAACTGTACATTAACTGCAGAGATAATTCATGGGGGGAATTTTTAGGGTGACAGAACTGTTCTGGGCTGGGTGTGGTGGCACACACCTATAATCCCAGCACTTTGGGAGGCCGAGGTGGGAGGATCGCTTGAGCCAGGAGTTCAAGACCAGCCTGGGAAAAATAGCAAGATCCCATGTTTACAAAAAGTAAAAAAATTAGCTGGGCATGTGTGCACATACCTGTAGTCCCAGTTACTCAGGAGGTTGAGGTAAAAGTATTGCTTGAGCCCAGGAGTTTGAGACTGCAGTGAGCTATGATCGCACCACTGCATTCCGACCTGGGTGGCAGAGAAAGATTCTGTCTCCAAAAGGCAGAGGTGGGGAGGGGGTGGGGGGTAGGAACAATTCTGTATGATACTGAGTTGTGGATAAATGGCTCTGCATTTGTCAAAATCCATAGAACTGTACATCACAAAGAGGGAACGCTAATGTATACAATCAAAAAAATATCAACCAGGATGGTGGGGACTGCAGACTTTCATGAATGAATGTAACTGTACACATAACATCCCTGAAGGGGTTGGGAAAAGGTGCAAACCAAAATAATCTTGCAGGTGCTGCTTTGACTTATAATTGTAAGGCTAAAGGCCAAAGGAACTGGACATAAGCACTGTGTTCCAACTGGCAAGTCTCTTTCTCATCGGGTTGGGGTGGGGCGGTATTACCTATGCTGAAACAGCTTTACATGCACCGTTAAGTAATAATGGGCAAATAAGGAAATAAAAGTGGATAGTGGGGGTCAGGTTTTTCACTGTTGGAGAGAGAAGTTATAGATAAGCAAAGGCAGAAGGCTAGAAGGAACCCTGTGATACTGGATTAGAGTCAGAAATATGAGTATGAACTCATATTTAACCATATATATAAATCATAATAGATATGTGTATATATATGGGTTAATATATGTAGCTCCTATCTGTGCCCTCTGAGAGGGCTTAGTACAGGGTTACAGCTAGTATAGGGTTGCCAGATCAAACATAGGATACATAAGTAAATTTGAATTTCAGATAATAAATACACACACACACACACACACACACACACCACACAGAGAGACACACACACACAGACACTTAAGCCTATAAAGGAGTAAAATATATTTGCAAGGGTATACAAGAAAATTGTAACTGGGTGGCCAGGGCAATGAGATGGAAGGAAGACTGACTTTTCACTATATACCCTTGGACCATAAGTTTCTTATTCACAAAATAAACAACTTTACAAAAATTAAGCAAGTAAAACCTTGTAGCTAACTCAACAAATAAAAGTATTTTCTATGAATTAGAATAAAAAAGGGCTACCTGGTTAACTTTTAAAAATTTCACTGCTTTGTAGTGAAATCACTTATTCGTTATGTAATTCATAGAAGCTCCAGACAGAGGCCGTCTTTTTCCTCCATAAGCAGGTCTTCTCTGCCTTTCTGCAGACCAGGTGGGGGTCACAGGCAAGTGTGACATTTTCTTCCTGGACCCCTTCTTCCATGGTGTTGGGGGAAGGACACCCGCACATCTTGGGGAGGAGACAGGAGAAAGACGCGCTTCCCGGAATCTTGGCTGCTTCTCACTTTAATCAAAGTCTCCTGCTGCTGACACACGGAAATTCTTTAATTAAACTCAGCCTGGCTCCTGTGCTAACCCTCTCCAGGCCGGTGCCAAGGCAACATACTCTAAATGATGAAGAGGAACCTTTTAAAAACTTTTTAATAGAGGGGATAATTAGCCTGTGCAATTCATTGTTACAGAATCTCCCAGAGACAAGGTAACTTATTACAGTCTTTCTTTCTTTCCTTTCTTTCTTTTTCTCTTTCTTTCTTTCTTTCTTTTCTTCTTCTTCTTTTTTTTTTTTTTTTGAAAGCTTTCAGTTTTATTCTGGATAGGAATTGTCTCCCTGTGCCAGACAGGGCGAAGCTTCCCAGGTCTCTTGAGGCATATGGTAATTGTCAGAAAGGATTGCTGAGGTCAAGAAGAAATTTCTTCCCACTATTGAATAAGGGCAAAAGGTAGACGAGAAACACTGTGGGAAGAGAGAGGGAACAGTCTGTCTTCTGCAGCATCGGACTGCACTGATTGTGCTGAGCCAGAGAGAGTATAACAAAAAGAAAGTAAATAGTGCAATGAGACTGCTCTTTGGTTCAGCCTTTGCCAGAATACAAGGACCTGCCCAGGCTCTGTCACAGGCTGTGCTAACAAACCCAGCCTTGGTTTTGCTCACAGAACTGAAAGAGGCTGGGACATCATTAGGGAAACGGAGTCGAACAGCCCTGCTCTCTCTGCTTCCTGCAGATCAGCAGACATGGAGCAGGGACAAAGCTTTCTTCCCACCTGGAAGGAATCTGCGCTTTCCTCATGAGTCTTCTGTTCAAAGGACAGTACCCCCAGTTTGATGTGAAAGTGATAGGGCGAGTGAGTAGAGTTCATAATTGTTTACTGCTACCTGGTTTCCTGAACTGTAGAAGTCATGACGAAAGATGTCAACTTTATGAAGCCTTAGGGGACATTTTAGATATCCTTTTCCAATTCACGTGTCTTCTCTTTGCTCCCTTAAGTAAACGAAGAGCTTCTTAACCAAGCCCTCAGAACTAGCTGCCTTGATAAGGATCAGCTGGAGCCAGTCACAGCCTACGCTAGTTTGTGGGCAAGAAGAAAAGCACTTAAAGCAAACTCCCACCCTATGTGGCTCAGTGGATTCACTATCTGCACTACCTCTTTTCAAGAAAACAGGTTTTTGGCACTGTGGTGAGTTTCAGCCTAAGTTCCTAGGCAAGCTTACTTTCCCTGGTTTGAGTTGGGGAGGATGGCGTTACTCTTTAGTAATTTTGTTGCCCTTTCTTGTGTTGCTATTTGTCAGTGCCTGTATATGATTTTTCCTTCATTTGCTAGGGATTAGGGAAGTTAGGTAGGGTTACACTGTTGATAGCAAGTGATCATGCTTCTGTGCAGTCTCCTACCAGATTTTTTGCTGAATGAAAAAGCAATAATAATCGTGATGAGGAGGAAGACAAGGAAAACAACTCTAAAAAAGATGGAGAAAATTGTCGCATAGTTTCATGATAGCTCACCAGTAAGGGGTGCTACCTTCTGTGCTAAGGCTTAGGTAATCATACCCTTTACCACTGTGTGTTGGCAAGAACTGTACTTGAAATCAGGAGACCTGGGAAGGCTGAGGAGGGAGGGTTGCTTGAGCTCAGGAGTTCGAGGCTGCAGTAAGCTATGATCACGCTACTGCACTCTAGCCGTTGACAGGCGACAAAGCGAGATCTGTCTCTAAAAAATAAAATAAAGTAAAATAAATCAAGAGCTCCAGATTTTGAATTCTGTCTTTGCCATCTGTATTATTAGTACCAGTTACTTAACATCTCTAAGATTGTTCCATCATCTATAACATAACATTAAAAATGACTATTGACAAAGATGTTTGAGAAATAAAGGAATTAAAATTGCTGCAAAACACCATTTTCTCAGTGTTTGTTGGATCTGGATAATGTTGTGATATATGAATTGCATCAGAGTGTTGTCATCATTCATCATCATCATCATCATCCATCATTTCTAAAGTATCTAGATTTGTTCTAGAAAATGTAGCATGCTTCCCAAAGACAGAGTTTCTGACAACTAAGGGTTGGCAGTGGAAGGGAATATCCCACAGAGGTGCTGAAGTCAGTTTGCAAAGAGTTTCGAAATATTCAGCAGGAAACTTAACTGGTAAAAGAAAAGGATTATTCAGGGAGCACCCAGCATGCCACTCATTCTATGTGTGACTTGTATACACTTATTGAAGAATCAGTTATACTGCAGGGTTTGATGTGTTCAATAAATGTTAACATAATTTGTTAACATATAAAAATGGCACAAAGCGATCGTTTTTCTACCTACTTACCGCTTGAGAGGTTTTTTCCTTCTCATCCATTTTGACCAATTTCATAGAAATTTTATTTTCAAATTCTAAAAAGCTATTTCTCTCCATATCCTTGAATGCCTCTGACAGAAGCGACTGGAATCCCCTTTCTCTCAGAACAACGTTCATTAAACATATTTGGTTAAAAATACGTGGAACTCTAATAAGTTTTACTTTAGATAACACAGAAAATCACACAGGGTCTGCATACTTCATGCTAAAGAGCCTTGGGGTTTAGTGAAGAGGAGAACAGAAAATGTCTCTGACTTTGGCTTTGGTCTGATTTCCTCTGATCACTAATTTCCTAGCCCACATGTCTAGGCTAGGACACCATTGTCTGAGAGAGACAACTTCTCTTGTTGTTGTTCCTACAGACTATCCTTGTTGCACGAAGCACAGGATAATCTGTCACCCTGGCTTTTTGGCTTCCTGCTTCAGCACCACCTCTCCTTGAAATGCTCATGTATGGATATGGGTTCACGGGTTCCATCTAGCGGCCACTACTCAAATAATTTGAAAGTCAAGAACATTTCATAGATGACATTGACCTCACCTTTGCTTTGACGTACGGGGAAATTTAGATCTCAAGAGGTGAAATGAAGCATCGTAGGCACATGGCTAGTTAGTGGTAGAACTGGGGCCATCACCAGCCTCCTGACTCCAGCCCAGTTTCTCAGCCACAACAAGGTTTTTTTTTTTTTTTTTCCACAACCTTGATATTCTTCCTCCTACAAAATACTTAACTCTCCAGAGACTTAAACATCTTGATTCAACTCTGATACAAAAATAAGCAGAAAACATAACAACTGAAATGATAACTATAGCAATAAAAATATTATAGATTTCCATCGTATGTACTGTAACAATAAGATTCAAATGAATGAAAGATATAGCAGATTTCAGTATGGGGGAGTTAATGGAGGAAGATGGAACTCCATTACCTTCTTGAATGTGAAAGAGTAGATAAATTGGAGGAAGCTCCTAGGGGAGGGCATTTCAGGAACATGGAAAAGCATGAAAAAAATGTCTTCATGTGATGAAGAGGTTGGTTGTATTCCCTAGGCAAATATTAGGAATTAAAAAACAATTATTTCATGTTATTTAACCTATTAATAGATTTTTAAAGTGTACAACATAGTAAATTTCGACCTATTTTACACCAAAGAGGCAACTGACACAATCAAGATAATGAACATGGCTGGGCAAGGTGGCTCACGCCTGTAATCCCAGTGCTTTGGGAGTCATAAGTGGGAGGATTTCCTTGAGACCAGGAGTTCAAGACCAGCCCCAGGCAACATAGTGAGACCTCATCTCCACCAAAAGAAAAAAAACAGCCAGGCATGGTGGGCTGAGCCTGTAGTCCCAGTTGCTTGGCAGGAAGATCCCGTGGGCCCTGGAGTTTGAGGATGCAGTGAGCTATGAGCTGGGTGACAGAGCATGACCCTGTCTCTAAAAAAGCAAAAAAAAAAAAAGGATATTCATATCCTCCCCACCAAGTTTCCTTGTTGTGCCCCCTTCGTAATCCTGACTCCTCTCTCCTCTGGCCCATCCCACTCAGACAACCAGTGACCTGCTTTCCGTCACTTTGGATGAGTTTGCATTTTCTAGGATACTTGTACATTTTTTTCATTTTGAAACAATTTCAAACTTATGGAAAAGTTGCAGGTGTAGTAGCACAAGAGCTTCCGTACACCTTTCATCCGGATTCCCCAGTTGTTAACATTTTACCATGTTTGTCTTCTTATTCTATCTACACATTTATACGTATTATTGCTCTTAAATTTTTCTGAACCAGGTGAGAACAGTTGCAAATATGATGCCCCATGAGCCTTTACTACTTTGGCATGTATTTCCTTAAAATGAGGACATTTCTATAACCAGAGTGCATCCATCAAGATCGGGACATTACATGGGGTGCGGTGGCACATGCCTGTAATTCCAGGTACTTGAGAGGCTGAGACAGGAGAATCGCTTGAACCCAGGAGGTGGAGGTTGCAGTGAGCCGGGATTGTACCACTGCACTCCAGTCTGGATGACAGGGACTCTGTTTCAAAAAAAAAAAAAAAAAAAAAAAAAAAGAGAAAGGAAAAAGAAATGAAAAAGATCAGGAATTTAACATTGATGTAATAAAGCCACAATCCGTAGACTCCATTCAGATTTCACCAATTTTACAATAACGTTCTTTATAATTCCAGAATCCAACCCAGGATCATGTGTTGTGTTTAGTCATTATATCTCTGTTAGTCTCCCTTAATCAGGAACATTTTCTCATTCTTTCCTTGTTTTTCATAACCTGGGTGTTTTTAAAGAGAACAGGCTAATTACTTCGTAGAATGTCCCTCAGTTTGGGTTTGTCTGATGTTACCTTATTGTCAGATTTGGGTGGTGCGTTTTTGGCAGGACGTTCACAGAAATGATGCTGTGTTTTCTCAGTTTGTTAGAGTAACTTAATATAGATTTATCCTGTTTATAGACAACATTATATGTTAGCACTCGATTAAGATGATATTGGCTAGGTTTCTATGCTATAGAGCTAACTAGTAAGTAATTTGTATTTCTAAACTACTAATAAGCACTAAATATTTTGGGGGAGATACTTTGAGATTGTATCCATTTCCTCATCAAATTTTCACCTACTAGCTTTTCCATCCAATGATGATTCTATCTAAATTAGTTATAACTATAATGGTTGCAAAATAATAATTTTCTGGCTGGGTGTGGTGGCTCATGCCTATTATCCCAGCACTTTGGGAGGCTGAGGTGGATTGTTTGAGCCCAGGAGTTGAGACCAGCCTGGGCAACATGATGAAACCTCATTTCTACAAAAAATACAAAAATAGCCGTGTGGTGGCACACGCCTGAAGTCCCAGCTACTTGGGAGGCTGAGGTGGGAGAATTGCTTGAGCCCAGCAGGTTGAGGCTGCAGTGAACTGTGACTGCACCACTGCACTCCAACCTGGGTGACAGAGCAAGACCCTGTCTCAAAATAATAACAATTTTCTAATTCCATAATTATATTTACATTGATTAGTTGGCATTTACTATAAGTTAGAGCTCTCTCTTCTCTCTCATATTTATTCATTCATGTATTATATAAGTATGGATTCATGAGATTTGATTTTTCAATGAATTATAATCAGTTACTATCATTTTTTATTTTGATCCACAAAATGACCTAGATGTGGACAACTGGAGCCCCATGAAGTTGGCTCCTGTGTTTATTTATTTATTTATTTATTTTGAGAGGAAGTCTCACTCTATTGCCCAGGCTGGAGCACAATGGTGTGATCTCGGCTCACTGCAAGCTCCACCTCCTGGGTTCACGCTATTGTCCTGTCTCAGCCTCCCGAGTAGCTGGGACTACAGGCGCCCGCCACCACACCTGGCTAATTTTTTTGTATTGTCAGTAGAGATGGGACTTCACCGTGTTACCCAGGATGGTCTGGATCTCCTGACCTTGTGATCCACCCGCCTTGGCCTCCCAAAGTGCTGGGATTACAGGCGTGAGCCACTCCTGTGTCCTTTAGACATGTCCTCATAATTATCTGAGGGCTTCCTTACTTTCAGTACAATAGAGTTCCAGGGTCATCTTGTTCTTTCCCTGCCCCAGCCCTGGTTCCTTTTAGTGGAAAAAGGTATTTAGAAACTGAGATCTAAATGCTAGGATGCTCATTGCAACTGGGGTGTCATTGCTCCTGGACTAGGAAATATAACACATTCATACATTTCTACTTCTCAATTTACCTGTCTATCCCTACCTATCTATCATCTGTCACATTCCTATCTTTAAAATCCATAACTTCGGACTAATGCCTTCAATTCCAATCCAGTATCACATTTTCCCCTTTGCATATTTGTAACTCCTTTCTTCAACAGTGAGAAATTGCATTCCCAGTCTCCTTGATACGTTGACTCATTCACTTGATCCTCCTGCATGTAAGCAATCTCCCAGCTGGGCCAGCCTTGTCCCCTTAGCCCCAGTGCCACCCATCACACCATTTGAGTGTTCCAACTCCAAAAGAAGGGAAGGCGAAATAGGAAATTATTTTTGCTCTTCTCTTCCCTATTCCTTATGTGTATATTATTATTTTCCCTTTTGGATATTGCTCACATCCATTTTCTCCTCTTCAGCTTTACTTCTGTGACTAGAATTCAGGCTTGAACAGGTGCTTCTGGTTTTGTTCCTGGTAATCTGTCCTGCACATAGCAGCCCAGATGATCTTTCACAACAAGAATATGACTATGTTATTTCTCTTTAAAGTCTCCAATGGCTCGTCATTTTCTACAAGGTTAAGTAAGCTCTCTAACTTACCCTGACCTGGCCTCTGTCCATACCTCCATTCTCATATTCATGCCTTCCTCCCTTGGACTATCAGTAGAAGTGAATTTTTGTAGTTGTCTGCATATACCATGTTCCATCACTACCATTTCAGTATGATGCTCCCTTGATTTATGAACCTCTTTCCCCAGTGCACCCTTAGAAATCCTGCTCAGGTGTCACTGTATCTAAGAAGCTTTTTTTGACACTTCTTTCCAACCATTAGTTGTTAATTATCCATACTAATTGGATTTCTTATACATAGTTTTATTATTGCCTATGTCACTCTCCACTATATTTGTTTACATGTCTGTCTTCTCTACTAGGTAACCAATTCAGAGGACAGGAATTGATTTTTGCCATTATAGTTTCAGTATCTAGCACAGTTTCTGCCATGTGTTATACACTTAATAAATACTTATTGAGGCTGGGCGCGGTGGCTCACGCCTGTAATCCCAGCACTTTGGGAGGCCGAGGTGGGTGGATCATGAGGTCAGGAGTTCGAGACCAGCCTGACGAACAATGGTGAAACCCTGTCTCTACTAAGAAAAATACAAAAATTAGCTGGGCATGGTGGCACTCACCTGTAATCCCAGCTGCTCAGGAGGCTGAAGCAGGAGAATCGCTTGAACCCGGGAGGCGGAGGTGCAGTGAGCCCAGGTGGAGTGATGATCGCGCCTCATCACTCCAGCCTGGGCGACAGAGCAAGACTCTGTCTGAAACAAAACAAAACAAAACACAACAAAAACTTATTGAACTGAAACATATATGTATGTGTCTGTGTGTATTTCTTTTTCTTTTCTTTTTGCCTTGGAAGAATGTGGAGAAACATCTGAAAAAGGAGCTGTTTTAAGATACCCAGTTTGTGATCATTTATTATGGCAGCCAAAGCAAATAAATACAGCATCAAGCTTATCAGAATCCACTTGCATCATGCTTGCTAATATCCCCATTGTCAAAGCTAGTCACAAGGCTAAGCCTGCTGTCACCATGAGAGGGGACTATACAAGGGCGTGCATTCTGAGAGGTGTGGTTCATTGGAGAAATCAAAGTAACAGTGTGCAGTGAGATTTATTAGATCATTTCATGTATCATAATAAAAGACATTGAATTTCTGATGAAGGATTTCGAATGTGGTAAAATAATTCAGTGGGAACCCAACGCAGTACCTTGAAAGAGAGTTACCTTGGGTCAAGTACAATAATTGGCACTCAGACCTGACACTTCCTTTTCAATAGACTAAATTCACCATGCAGCAATTATTGGAGCTAACAAAGTGTAATCTGTATTGGAAGAGAGTTATTGAAACCAGTATTTAAAAACATTATAGCAGAACTCTTCAAATAAATTCTTATATTAACACAGAAACAAGTATGGCAGAATACTCACGGTTATTTTATTTAAAGTTGGGTTTTTCGAGTACCCTCTATTTTCATGTATTTTGGGAAATTTTAGTAATGAAAGCAAATAGTGAAACAGAATTAAATATCCATTTTATAAAATACGACAAACAAGAGGAGAGCGGCTCTGAATTCCACCCCTGTGGAATTCAGGACTGCCATAGAGCGTATTTTCAAAACTGTTGATTTTGACAAGGCTGACTAGGAGATGCCCTAGAAGCCCCAGGTATGTGTTTCAGTATGATTCTGGCAACGCTGACTTAAAGCACTAAGTAGAATCAGTAGCCTACAGTGGATACTGCCCCATAAGGAGTGACGGGGGAAACGTTGCTGATTAAATAAATGGTCTTTTGAATTGGGCTGATGGTAGATGCTATAACTGAAGTTGCAAACCACACTGGGTTCGTTTGCTAGGGCTGCTGTAATAAATGACCACAAGCTGGGTATCTTAAAACAGCAGAAAGTTACTCTCTCACAGTTCCGGAGGCCAGAGGTCTGAGATCCGGGTGCTGGTGTGTCCGGAATCGGTGGGTTCTTGGTCTCACCGACTTCAAGAATGAAGCCGCGGACCCTCGCGTGAGTGTTACAGTTCTTAAAGGCGGCGTGTCCGGAGTTTGTTCCTTCTGATGTTCAGATGTGTTTGGAGTTTCTTCCTTCTGGTGGGTTCGTGGTCTCGCTGGCTTCAGGAGTGAAGCTGCAGACCTTCGCGGTGAGTGTTACAGCTCATAAAGGCAGTGTGAACCCAAAGAGTGAGCAGTAGCAAGAGTTATTGCAAAGAGCGAAAGGACAAAGCCTCCACAGTGTGGAAGGGGACCCGAGCGCGTTGCCACTGCTGGCTCGGGCAGCCTGCTTATATTCTCTTATCTGGCCCAACCCACATCCTGCTGATTGGTAGAGCCAATGGTCTGTTTTGACAGGGCGCTGATTGGTGCGTTTACAATCCCTGAGCTAGACACAAAGGTTCTCCACGTCCCCACCAAACTAGCTAGATACCGAGTGTCCACACAAAGGTTCTCCAAGTCCCCACCAGAGTAGCAAGATACAGAGTGTCCATTGGTGCATTCACAAACCCTGAGCTAGACACAGGGTGCTGATTGGTGTGTTTACAAACCTTGAGCTAGATACAGAGTGCCCATTGGTGTATTTACAATCCCTGAGCTACACATAAAGGTTCTCCACGTCCCCACCAGACTCAGGAGCCCAGCTGGCTTCACCCAGTGGATCCCCCACCGGGGCTGCAGGTGGAGCTGCCTGCCAGTGCGGTGCCGTGTGCCTGCACTCCTCAGCCCTTGGGTGGTCGATGGGACTGGGCTCCGCGGAGCAGGGGGTGGCGCTTGTCGGGGAGACTCCGGCTGCACAGGAGCCCACGGAGGTGGGGGAGGCTCAGGCATGGCGGGCTGCAGGTCCCGAGCCCTGCCCCGCGGGAAGGCAGCTAAAGCCTGGCGAGAAATTGAGCACAGCAGCTGCTGGCCCAGGTGATAAGCCCTTCACTGCTCGGGCTGGTGGGGCCGGCCTGCCGCTCCGAGTGCTGGGTCCGCCGAGCCCACGCCCACCCGGAACTCGCGCTGGCCCGGAAGCACCGCGCGCAGCCCCTGTTCCCGCCCGCGCCTCTCCCTCCACACCTCCCTGCAAGCTGAGGGAGCCGGCTCCGGCCTTGGCCAGCCCAGCAAGGGGCTCCCACAGTGCAGCGGTGGGCTAAAGGGCTCCTCAAGTGCCGCCAAAGTGGGAGCCCAGGCAGAGGAGGCGCCGAGAGCGAGCAGGGCTGTGAGGACTGCCAGCACGCTGTCACCTCTCACTGGCAGGGTTAGGTTTTTCTGGGGGCTGTGAGAGAGAAACCAGTCTGTGCGTCTCTTTGGCATTCCTGGGCATCCCTCCAGGCTCCGCCTGTGCTGTCACACTGAGTTCCCCCTGTGTGTCTGCTTTCTCCTCTTATAAGTGATATAGGAGTTAAGAAGAAATTATTTAGGCAGATAGTGAGGGTAAGGAAGTCCTCAGTAAGGTTTTCCTTTTAATGAAAAGCAGCCCTCAAATCGTTTTCTTTTCTTACAATGAGCAGCCTGTAAAATCAAGCTGCAGACATAGACAAGCAAGCTAGAAGCTTGCACGGGTGAATGCCAGCAGCTGTGCCAATAGGAAAAGGCCACCTGGGACTAGGCATGTCCAACTTCGTATACTTGGTCATCATTTCCTACATTCTCACACAGAAGAGAGCACTCAAAAAATAGTTTTGAGAATCATTTGCTAATGATTTAATACTATTATAAGGGAATAAAAGACTTTTCTTTTAAATGAGTGCTTAAAGGCGATTGGAAGCCCTGCTAAAGTTCAGGGGTGAATGCCTTATTATTTTTTTATATTTGGGGGCAAGGGCTTTCCAGTGAAGACTGGAAAACCTGCTAGACAGATTCTAAAAGAGCTGTAACACTGGGTGAATGCTGTAGAAGCACATAGTGTTAGTAAGGTGTGGGTCAGATACGGCTTTAGAGAATGTAGCAACTGAAAGCCCAGATGGGAAGCTCCGTAGGCAGCTGGATAAGCTAATATTTCTAAATAATATGTTCAGAGATTCGGACTGAATGCAATTGCAACCTTCTCCACCAGTCAGCAGTGAGTTCTGAAGTTACAGAAGTGTGATGAATTGCGGTCAATATGGGTTCTACCTTCACTTTGGAGTCAGTCAGTGACCTTAAAATACCTGCCCAGCTGAATTTTCTTAGAGTGCTTCATTTCCTGTGGGCCCTTTTACTCCAAATTCCAGATGATGGCTTTTAGTCTGTGGGGCCGCTTTAAGAGGCAGAAATCTGATCAGAACTACTAGAAGGCTGTGAAGGTGCTGCTGTGTGGACAGGCAGGGCAGAGTGCTCAAGGCTTTCCAATGCTCCTGCAATGGATCCTCCCTACCCAGCCCACAACCTGGCAGCTCAGGGGCCAACTGTTCTCTGTTGCTTTCTACTATCATGAACACAGGAAATGGGGGTGGGTAGCTTCTGGTTTCTGATTGAGGGAGTAGAAAGTGATGCTGCAGGGATCAAAAGCAGAGAAGCTTTTAAGCCATTTGAGAAACTGTGTCCGAAGGCAAGCGGATTTTAGCAGTAGCAGCAGCAGACCCCAGAAAAATTTGAAGAAGCATTAGTTTGTGCACTGTTAATGCCACTCTCTCATGAATGAAGAGAAGAAGGCAGGCCTAATGAAGGCTTTCCTAATGAAGGCTGAAGGCAGGCCGCTATTTGCCAAAGGTGCTGAGTGGCAGGGGGAGGAAGGGAAGGAAGCTGTGCAGTGTGTACTGCTTGCTTATCAGGAATCACGTCATTTCCTGTGTAAAGGGGCTGTGTGGTCTCCAGGGGCACTGGGAAGCCTTGGATGGCATGATTTCACCTTCTTCTTGCTCATCATTGAGGAGCTCTCATTAGTTAATGCTAGCCCTATTCATTTCATCATACATCTATTGTGTTCATACTGTGTTCTGAGCTCCGTGTTTAATCTTCGCAGGCTCATGAAGAGGAGTTAAGGATACTTTTGTCTTGAAAATGCTAACAGTCCCTCATGTGCTTGGGACCAGGGCTGCTGGAAAACCCACTAAGCAGCACACGGGAAACTAGAAAAGCAGAGGAACAAAGTTTTGGGGTTTTTGGGAGAGGGGGTGAAGAATGACATATTTTATTCCAAAAGCATAAAATATTTAATAGTGGAAACTATGAATGATACTGTTTAATTTTTAGGAGGCCAAAATATTTTAAGATTTATAAGTTTTAAGCTGGCCTTGGAGTGAGGGCAGAAAATATGTACACAAACAACTCTAATACAAGACTGAATGTGATGTATACCATAACAGAGCACCAAAGTAATAATGAATTGGGAGACAGAAGAACCACAATGTCTTTATAAAGTGGTATTTGAAGTGGACTTTGATGAACAGATAGGCAGGGTTGGAGTGCATGATCACTAAATCCATTCAAACCTTCTAACATTGACTTTTTATGGTGTGGGGGTGGGTGGGATGGGCACGGATTCTCCATGCAAAGGGACTATCTCGGGAACAGACAGTCACGGGGGCGGGGGGACTAAGCTTTCCAGTGTGCCTGGAGAAAAAGGCACATGTGAGGTCATGGATCTCAGGGCCCAGGCTAGTCTAGTTTGGCTGTAGCAGGAAGTGTTCCTCACTCTGCTCAGACCCAGGTACTGCTTCAAACCAGAAAGTCTGGAGAGTGGGCTCCTTCCTCCCCTAATGGGGCAATTTGCCCAAGGACAAAGTCCAGGCTTGCTCCTCCGTATCAGACCCTGCTCTGGGTAGAGGGAAACCACCACATGCTTTCTTGTTTGATGTGCTGAGTGCTCAACTGAGCTGTCTGTGCCCCTACACTGCTTCTGTATACTTAGAGTCAACCTTTAGAGGATGATATTTCAACATTCTGCATGGAGTTTTCTCTGTAAAGTACAATGAGTTTGTGACTGACCAGAACTACAGACATTCCCTTTTGTTTGTGAGCTGCATGACCAATGTGTTTGGCCTCATTAAAAATGAACTGGGCAAGCTGGGCATGGTAGCAACTCAGGAGGCTGAGGTGGGAGTCTCACTGAGCTCAGGAGTTCGAGTCCAGCCTGGGCAACATAGCGAGACCCTGTCTCTAAAAAATATAATAATATAAAATTTTGAAATAAGAATGAACTGGTCAAATAGGAAAGTTTTCAAGGACATCAACTGGTCTTTTCTTGCACAGAGGAGATTCGCAGGATGAAAATACTCTGAGGCTTCTTCCCACTGCAGGGCACAGACCCGAGTTAAGTGTGGCCTGGCCCTCAGCACTTCCCAGGTGCCCTTGGTGCATCCTGGTGCTGACCTGTGCCCCTCCACACTCCTGCTGTGCAGCTCCTGCTACCCTACAGGAACCTGCTCCTGAATAATCCCTGTGTCTCCTCTCTGTGCTCTTATGAGTCACCGAAACTCGCTTGTGAATTTTATTCACAGGGTTTTGACGGCTTCTTTCTATCCAAATTTATTTCCTCCTTGACCTCATTCCTTCTGTCTTGTTGCCATCACCAGTGAAAGCTAATATTATTTACATAGGGAAATGCATAGTGGATGGAAGGATACAGTTCTAGGAGTCACATGACCAGCCAAAAAAAGTTCTGCGTAGACACACACACACACACACACACACACACGTATAAACATATCATAACAAACTTAGCAGCTTGAAGATGAAGATTAATAGTGTTACTGTTTAAGGATCTCAAAGATAAAACATTTGCAAATTTAAAGCACACTTACACATGTATTCCTCTTGAGGACTTGGAAACACAGTTTTGCAGAATAACTCTGGCTGCCAGCTAGCACGGGAAGAGAAGTGTTAAGTGTTGAAAACTGTTAACTGTTCATGGACCAGTATAAATTGAGTCATAGGGGTGAGGTGTTTTTATGTTTGCTATATTTCCTATTTCCACTACTTTCCTGAATAAGTACATTTACTCTGGGTTAATTTTTGAAATAATTTTGAAATTATTCAAAACATTGTTGTGTGTATATGCAAAGACTAGGGAAAAGAAGCTTGGATTGGTAGCAAAAAGCCAACTGTGACTTTGAGCAAATTATTTGACCTCTCTCAATATATCTTTTCTTATTTTAAAATAAGGAGGTTGAACTATATCATTTCTATGCTTTCTTTCATTGTTAGCAATCCACGAATAATGGAACACTGCACAGAATAGTAAACACTGGGTTAAGATCCAGTATTGGCTCGAATCCTTATAACTGTGTGATCTGAATACAGTAATTTCTTCTCCCTGGGCCTTACTTTCTTCATCTGAAAAATTACAGGATTGGCCTCTATCTTCCTTATTGTCTCTTCAGACTCTCATGTTTTGTAGTTTTCCTCAGTTATGGTAGAAATCTCATCCTTCTCTTCTTAACATTTAGTCCTGTGCTCCAGGGAAAGAGGAGGGAGTTGGGAGAGGCCTGATATAATCATTAATTTTCTCCGTCTTTCTCTTTGTTTTGTTTTAACTCTCTTTCTCCTTCCCCCTCCCCACCTTCTCCTCCATTTTTTTTTTTCTAGAACACTGAGAAAGTTTCCTCATAGTCTACTTGGCAGTTGCAGCTGTCCCTAGAATGAGTCCTGAAACCTAGATCTGAGTTGCGGTAGAAAGCCTATTACTTCCTTGCTTGTTTGAAGACAGCCTACTGTAAGCCCTATGGCTTGGAGGTGACCAGGCTCTCCAGGAGATCAACACTTCGAGCCCTGTATGTTTAAGGAATAGTTTTGACTTAGAGTGATAGAGAACACCTAAAGAGACCATGGCTTTTAAAAATAGAAGTTTCTGAGTGTGGTGGTTAATGCCTGTAATCTGGGTACTTTAGGAAGCTGAGACAGGCAGATTGCTCGAGCCCAGGAGTTCAAGACCAGCCTCAACAACATAGTGAGACCCCATCTCTACAAAAAATACACAAATTAGCTGGGCATGGTAGTGCACACCTGCAATCCCAGCTACTCAGGAGGCTAAGGTGGGAGGATCACATGATCCTGGGAGGTTGAGGCCACAGTGAGCTGAGATTGTGCCACTACACTCCAACCTCAGTGAGAGAGTGAGAGCTTATCTGAAAGAAAGAAAGAAAGAAAGAAAGAAAGAAAGAAAGAAAGAAAGAAAGAAAGAAAGAAAGAAAAGAAGGAAGGGAGGGAGGGAGAGAGGGAGGGAAGGGGCTAAAAACAGTTAAGTATTATAAAGCGAGCATCAGTCCAGAAATCCAGCAATAGTCCCTCCTGGAATCCACTGACTTTTCTCAACAGTTTTTGGCCCTTCTCTTTTAGGGTTGCCAGATAAAAATACAGGATGCCCAGTTAATGTGACTTGCAGAAAATAATAATAATTTATTATTATATAATACATAATTTTTTAGCATAAACATGTCCTTTGCCATGCTTAGTTTGGGACATACTTACACTAAAAAATTATTTGTTCTTTATCTGAAATTCAGAATTAGGCATTTTATATTTTAAATTCAGAACTAGGCATTTTATATTTTTATTTGCTAAATCTGGCTACCCTATTCTCTTCTTAATATTCTTCATCTCTCCCAGCTTTGCCCTCCTTCCCTGCCCCCTCTTCTAGGGGAGTCAGATCGAGTTGTAAGGAGAACATGCCCACTGTCTCGATGGCTGCAGCGTGCAATCCATACAGACGGTGAGGAAGAAATGGGTTTCCACCCATGCTGTAGACGAATGTTTGTGTCCTCCCCAAATTCCTTTGTCGAAGCTTAACAACCAATGTGTTTGGTATTTGGAGATGGGCCTTTGGTAGGTAATTAGGGTTACATGAAGTCATGGGGTGGGGCCCTCATGATGGATCTGGTAAGAAAAGAGAACACTGTCTCTCTCTTCCACCAGGTGAGGATGCAAAGAGAAAGTGGCTGCCTGCAAACCAGGAGGAGAGCCCTCACCAGGAACCAATCTAGCTGACACTTTGAACTTGGACTTCAAACCTCCAGTATTGTAAGAAATAAATATGTTTTCAAAGTCATTTAGTCTATATTATTTTGTTTTGAATAATACAACCTGAAAATACATTTTCCCCTCACCCTACCTGAGCAATATCTAAGTTGCTTAAGGCACCCAGGGCACATCAAAGGAGAAATGTCCCATGCACAAGGCACAGCCATGCCCAGGAGAAGCAGCCCGGCACAGAAGGGAGCACACAGGCTCGGGGCTCTGCCACTCATTCTTCCTGTGACCCTGGGCAAGACACTGAGGGGGGCTTCAGCTGATTTGTTTGTAGTGGGCTTAATAGTGCTTGCCTTGCCTCCTCTGGAAGGCTGCAGAGACCGGATGTTAAAGCGCTTTGTTATCTGTAGGGTTTATTTGAACGAGAAAGGAAATGTGCATATGCTCCAGGATGTCTGTGTATCCAAAGACACACGCACACACTCTCTCTCTCACACACACTCTCACACTCACTCACTCACACACACTCACACACACATTCAACACATGCACACACTCACACACTCACACACACTCACACATGCTCACACGCTCACACTCACACTCACACTCACACACTCATTCAACACTCACACATGCACACACACTCCCACACACACTCATACACATCACACACTCACACATGACACATGCAATCTCTCACATACACTCTCTCTCACACACACACTCTCACACACACACACTCACACACTCACGTGCGTGCACACACACACACTCCATGACATACCAAACCTGGCTGCATGTTCTCAAAAATGTGCTGCTAGGCACCATTCCCAGTTCTAGACCCAGCCCAGCCAGTTTACCCTTAACTTCATAAAAGTTCTCTACCTAATGTACTACCGACAGGCTCATCCCAGACCTAAATTTTAAAGATTTCCTAGGAGCTGGATTGTAGACTTTTATCCTCACCCCTCAAGCTGCAGTGGGAATCCTTGACCCCAGCCTAGACAAAGAACAGCTGCAGGTCATTCTCATGTGTGGACATGGAGGCCATGACTGCCTTTGCTGGCCAGCTGGGCTGAGTGGGCCTGGGGAATGAAGGCTGCAGGGTTGGCCCCGGGCAGTCTTGCCTAGGCTTGCCAGCATCCCCTGGCCTTCTTGATTTCCCAGGATCCATGAGTATGGACTTTAGGAATTCTGGTGAAGGGATGAAGAGCATGCAGCAGGGTGTCCTCAGCCCTGATCTACAGGAAGAACACTGGAAACAAGGCCGAGAACTTAGTTTGAGAAGTTCCCTACCCCACCCAACCTCTAGCTCTTGTGTACCAGTTCCTGGAACAGACTCCCCTCTCCTGAACACCACTTTCCTCTCCAGCATTACATTTCTCCAAAGTGCATTGCTTTTTGGGAAGGCTTTCAAGGATGCTCGGAGAAAGGAGGATGGAAATGTCCCACTCTCTAAACCATTAGACAGATGCAGACAGACAGAAGGAACAGCCAGCTTCTTTTGCTGTTTGTAACGTATTTGAAAGAAGCTTGGGTCCAGAACTCTGCCGAAAGAGCTGTATGCTGTGCAGGGAAAGACAAGCACTTTCCCTTGTGGGATCCTTGAGCTGAAGTCATCGCTGGTTCTAGAGCCAGTTTTACTGAACACCCATGAATGGCTGTGTTCTGAGTGAGTTGGTCACTCACATCACCCTGACCTGCCCCAAGTTAGATTTTACATGATCCTGCTTCTCCAGGAAGCTTCCGTGACAGCCCAGGGACCTCCCCATTCTCTGAAACACACAGCATTTGAAGCTCCACTAGACAGCTTAGCCCCCATGTTGTGCTATTTGGGGTTGTTCTCTGTGAGATAGTAGAGAGTAGTGGTTACCAGGAAGACCTTTGGTACTGGGCTATCTGGGCTGGAGTCCTTATTCTGCTTAATAGCTATGTGATCTTAGGCATGTGACTTGTGCCTCAGTTTCTACTTTATAAATTTATGGAAAATACTGCATCTGTCTCTGTGGAGAGAATTCAATGAGTTAATATATTTCAAGTGTCCTTGAAATGTATTGTGTCCATAGATGGATAAATGGATAAACAAATTGTGGTATGTACAAACAATGGAGTATTACGCAGCCAGAAAAAGGAATGCAGAACTGATGCATGGCACCATGTGGTTAAACCGCAAAAGCATTATGTGAAGTGAAAGAAGCCAGACACAGGTCACATATTATGTAATTCAATTTATATGAAATATCCAGAATAGGTAAATCTATGGAAACAGAAAGCAGATTGGTGGTTTCCAGGGGCCGAGTGGAGGGGAGAATGGGAAGTGGCTGCTTCATGGGTGCAAGGTTTCATTTTGGGTTGATGAAAATGTTTGGGAACTATGTAAAGGGAGTGGTTGCACAACACTGTGAATGTACAAAATGCCACTGATTGTTCACTTTAAAATGGTCAATTGTATGTGCATTTCACCTGGCGCATAAGAAGTGCCTTGCAAGTACTAGTTGTCGTCCTGCATGCATTCCTTGACTTCCTCGATGGAAGGACCAGGGCTATGTCTTGTACTTTCATATCCTCCTTGGTGTGGACATTTACTGGCTGCGAGGTGGAATCAGAGGAAGCGAGAGCCTGAAAGACTTCAGTGATCGCAGAGCTGATGCTCCACCGATAGAGGAGATGGGAGGGGACATCACTGGGCTCTTCAGTGTGCTCCAGGGAAAGCTTTCCTGTCCTCAGGTCCAGGATGAGGAGACACAACAATGTCCCTGTCACCACAGTTATTGAGTGCTTGCCCCGTGCCCTCAACAAGCCAGGGAAACAGACACATAACCAGATGATATGAGTGCAATGGGTGTTTTGACAGGCACTGCAGAGGGGAGCCGGGTGCCTGGGAGCACTCACAGAGGAGCTCGTCTAGCTCCTGGCGACTCCTCCCTTCCCTCTTTAGCAGGGGAGCTCTTTTTGGCCTTCTGCTAAAGGGCCAAGCCTGACCATGGAGTGATGGAGCAGGTCCCCTCCCGTCCCTGCCTCACCCTGATGGGAGGGGCTGATCTGTGAACAGTCCTCAAGTGCTGCTTTAGTAAGGCTCAGGGGAGCGAGAGCAAGTGATTCTCCTTTACCCCAGCTCTGTGGGGTCTCCCCACACCGACCCACATGGGGGTCAGCTCTGTGGGGAGGAGAACAGTGTACATCTGAAATGGGAGAAACTATTGATCCACCGGGACCCCATACATTTTCCAAAAATTTTTGTTTTGAATTACAATAATACTACGTGTTAATGCTTAAAAAAAAAAAACTAAACTAAAAAAAAAATAGATTGGCAAAGAGATAGATAAATCCCCCCCATTCTACTATTTGGATGTAAGCAGTGCTAATATTCTGGAGTCTCTTCCTAAAAAAAATGATACACACGCACACATGGACAAACACTTTTAAACACCGCAGGTTTTGTATACTGATTTTTCTCCATGCTGTATCACGAACACATACCATTATATATTCTCCAGCATTAATTTTAATGACTATAAAATATGAACTCTTGAGGTGGGAAGCCCTCAACATACAGGGACGTTGTCCACCAAAGCTCAAGGTGAGCTCTGGGCATGTGACAGGGGCACCACCAGCGTGTGATGCATGCTGTGTTTTATAAAGTCCCACAAGGAGCATCTGGGGCTCTGCCAAGTGAATGTATCTGAGAATGGCTGCCTCGTGGTACCTCTTCACTGATGTCACAGACCAGAGGCCAGGAGAACACCTTCCTATGAAGACCTCCAGGTATGTGACCAACAGCAGGGTCCCAAAACTGGAATAGCAACTTCTTTAGTTGTAGAAAGATTACCAAAAAATATTTTGTTTCTCTAATATTTGTTTAAAATATTAGAATTTTAAACGTAAAATGTTTTCCAATTAAATACTTTAAATTGTATCATTGTAGACATTTCTGAAAATATTACTAAGAAAAATGTAGGAAAATACTTTTTGGCCGGCACTTTATGAGTTCAAAGCAACTCATGTCAGCTCCTAGTGCAATAAATCTTACTTTAGAATGATTCTAGTTAATAAACTGGCAAGTTCAGAATCAAATACCAAGAAAGTCCTAAATAAAAGGTTACCAACATTTGAAATGCTAACAGACTATAGTACTTTTTAATTGCTGAAAACTTTTTTTTGGAGGTTATGTGCTTCTTTTTAAAAAATTTTTATTTTACTTTAAGTTCTAGGATACATGTGCAGAATGTGCAGGTTTGTTACATAGGTATACATGTGCCATGATGGTTTGCTGCACCTATCAACCCTTCATCTAGGCTTTAAGTTCTGCATGCATTAGGTATTTGTCCTAATGCTCTCTCTCCCCTTTCCCCCGATCCCCTGACAGGCCCCGGTGTGTGAAGTTCCCCTCCCCGTGTCCATGTGTTCTCATTGTTCAGCTCCCACTTATAAGTGAGAATATGCACTGTTTGGTTTTCTGTTCCTGTGTTAGTTTGCTGAGAATGATGGTTTCCAGCTTCATCCATGTCCCTGCGAAGGACATGCAATAATTCTTTTTTATGGCTGCATAGTATTCCATGGTGTATATGTGCCACATTTTCTTTATCCAGTCTATCATTGATGGGCATTTGGGTTGGTTCCAAGTCTTTGCTATTGTGAATAGTGCTGCAATAAACATACGTGAGCATGTCTCTTGATAGTAGAATGATTTATAATCCTTTGGGTGTATACCCAGTAATGGGATTGTTGGGTCAAATGGTATTACTGGTTCTAGATCCTTGAGGAATTGCCACACTGTCTTCCACAATGGTTGAACTAATTTACACTCCCACCAACAGTGTAAAAGCGTTCCTATTTCTCTGCATCCAAGATGCTCTGCATCTTGCAGCATCTGTTGTTTCCAGACTTTTTAATGATCGCCATTCTAACTGGCATAAGATGGTATCTCATTGTGGTTTTGATTTGCATTTCTCTAATGACCAGTGATAATGAGCTTTTTTTCATATGTTTGTTGGCTGCATAAATGTCTTCTTTTAAGAAGTGTCTGTTCATATTCTTCACCTACTTCTTGATGGGGTCGTTTGTTTTCTTCCTGTAAATTTGTTTAAGTTCCTCGTAGATTCTGGATATTAGACCTTTGTCAGATGGATAGATTGCAAAAATTTTAAATAGTTGGAAGGGTTTCAGAAACAAGGAGGACAAAAGCACAAAAATTAATGTATTCACATGTGCATATTTGTCATATATTTAAACTTTTAAATTGAAAAATTATGTTTAAAAAATGCCACATCATAAACCATTTTCACAAAGTCAGTTTTTGTAGTGCTCTGAAAATAGTGGTCTTTGATAAGGGAAAGCATCAATTTAGCCTTTGCCCTGTAGTTTATCTTTTCTCTTTTTAAGTAAAAAGCACTGATACTTCTGTTTTCAGAAGCCTAATAAGCACAAGGCACATTCAAATGCCTGGAAAATATTCTGCACTTGATGTATCTTGTTCCCATAATGAAAAGATCCATCAATTCATAACAAATCTGTCAGAGCTGAGCCTTTGGAAAGATACCCCTATTGCCAAAATACACCACCATCCCCTCCGCTGAAATTACATAAACGGGTTTAGTATAAGATAGAATTTTCTAAAAGAAACAAGTCAACCAAGCTGTTCTTTAGTCCTGAAGAACTTGGATATTGGCAAAACATTCAAGACATTTTCTAAAGCTCTGGACTCTAGACACATACACGCATGACGGGTCACACTAAGGGTCTTTCCAGACAGTGGTTCTATATTGGGTTTAATCTTCACTGTATTTGGAAGAAATCTTATGCTGCTATAAACCCTCATTGCAAGTGGGATAACTTCAGGTCTTAAACTGACCCGTTCTGTTTTTCTGTGCTCTTATGAATGAAACATGTTGAAATACAAAGAAAGAAACTCATCAAAATGCATTTGCTAAATAGAAAATGACACTTTACGAGTAACACTTCTCTTGTTTTTCTTGGAAGAAGAGTCATTTTTATCTTCAAGTGCAAAGACTCATGGTCTCAAATTCAACTTTTAAAGTCATTGGGAAAATTAAGGCCAACAGCAAAGTCAGGGGAACAGACCACAAGACTGCCTTCACTTCTGACACAAGCTGCATATTTGGGGGGTTCCCAAAACCACCTTAGGTTCAATAATTTGCTAGAAAGACACAGAACTCACTGAAAGCTGTTGTAGTTGTGGCTATGGTTTACTACAGTGAATGGCTAGATTAAAAAATCAGCCAAGGGAAGAAGAGCACAGGGCAGGGGCCGGGAACAGTACTAATTGCAGTTCCCACTGTCCCCTCCCCACGGAACGAGAATGACATTACTTTCCCAGCATCAATGTGTGACAGTACACGTGGGGTAGTGCCAACCTGGGAAGCCACTGTAGCGTTAAGTCCAGAGCGTGTACTGGGCCTCCATCACACAGGTATGACTGATGGTCAGCCTGGCTGATCTCAGCCTACAGACTCCTGCCCTCCCAAAGTTGACCAACACCACATGGCCCAAAGCCCAAAGCCCCCACCCCACGTCACATCGTTGCCACCTGGGGAGACCAGGTCTCACTCTAAGACTATCCAGTGTGGCAGCCCCATCCTAAACCACATTTAGACCAGCGGTGTGAGCCCAGGACCCCAGGCAAATGAAGACAATCCTAACAGGTGTGATGGGAGATCATCTCCCAGAAGCAGAGACAAGTCAGAGCTGCTTAGGACAAAGTTCAATTCTTTACTACACAGTCATAGAATTGTATGATTATTACAGTTGTGTATTTTATATTTCAAGGACTGTGTTTGGCTATTGTGAAATATGGTTAAGGCCTTTCAAGCCTTTAAAACTAACAACTATATGTTTTGCGTATTTTGAAATGAAAGTTGTGACTTATTTCTTACTTCAGTGATAGCAAACAAAAATAAAGCTAATTTTAAGTTTTGCTTGGAAAATAAAATGAGTAAAAAGACAAGAAGGAAGAGAACGAGGCAGATCATTTCTGGGTCCCTAGAGTTATCTTGCATTTTAACATCATCAGTTCTAATAGATTGTATCTTCTTCTTTAAAATGGGGAAAGGCCACATATTTGAAGAGATTAAAGAGACACAATAACTGTAATGTGGGATCCTGAATTGGATCCTGGAACAGAAAATGAACACTGGGGACAAAGTTAGTGAAATGCAAATAAGATCAGTAGTTTACTATGAAGTGTAACTATTGTGCAATATGCTAATGTTATCCTCCTGATTTTGATGATTATGTTATAATTCTCTGTGTTGATCATATTAGGAAAAGTTGAGTGAAAGATATGTGTGAACCCAACCTTCTGCATTGCTATTGCAACTTTTCTGTAAGTTTGAAATCATTTTAAAATAAAAAGTTTTTAAAATGTAAATTTATCTATCTCTGCCTATTCAAGGATTCTCTAAGACACTTGTTTTAACCTTTTTGGAGATTAACTAACTCTTTGATGAAAAGTTCGTACCATCTGTCCCAAAGAGCCTTAAGTCCACTGCTATAGTTTGAATGTCCCCCAAAGCTCATGTTGGAATTTGATCCCCAATGTCACAAGTGGGGCCTAGTGAGAGGTGTTTGGGTAATGGGGGTGGGTCCCTTGTGAATAGATGAATGCCCTCCCTGTGAAGGAGGGGAGTGAATGAGTTCTCACTCTGTAAGTTTCCCCAAGAGCTGGTTGTTAAGAAGAACCTGGCACTCATTACTTTTCTCTTGCTTCCTCTCTCATCATGTTATCTGCACACACCAGCCCCCCTCTCACCTTCTGCCATGAGTGGAAGCAGCCTGAGTCCTCACCAGAAGCAGATGCGGGTTCCATGCTTTTTGTGCAGCCTGCAGAAACATGAGCCCAAACCTCCTTTCTTTATAAATCACCCAGCCTCGGGTGCTCCTTTATAGCAGCACAGATAAGACAGCCCTCAAAAGTCTTCAGGAGTGTTTCCCACATTTCCTCACCAGGTTGTTTTTCTTTTCCTGTTGACTTTTTGTTGGAGCCATCATACTAGGGGCAGGAGAGCCAACTTCATGAGAACCAACCACAACCACCTGTTCCCAAGTTCCTACTTGGTGGCCTCATGTTGGTTACTTGAAATTGGCCACATGAAAGTACTTATATCTTGGAAATAAGCAAATGCTAAAAATTAGGACTTTTTTGGGTTTTGAGAGCCATTATTAAACATTTTCCAGCCCACCACTATTTACAGAATTTCCTTATGTATCCTAGTTCTAGTCACTCATTGATTACATGTGCTGCAAACATTTTATCCCATATTGTGGCTTTTAAAAATGTTCATTTGAGGTAACTTTTGATTAACAGAAATTCTACATTTTGATATGGTTATATTTTTAAATTGCTTTTCTATATGGGTAGTATGTTTTGTGTCTTCTTAAAGGCTTTTTTCTACCCTAAGGATATTAAGATATCCTAGTATATTTAATTCTGAAAGCTTTGGAATTTTGTCTTTTATATTTAGGTCTCTAATACACCTGAAATTGATTTTTGTGGACTGTGGTATAGTGGTCCAATTTCTTTTCTTTTCATCTTGAAAGCTTAGATCTCCTACATATCTTCAGAGACACAGAAGAATGCATTTTATCCCATATGTTGATAGCCATGCCAAATTGGGTGAGATAAGGCAAATAATCCAAAAACTGGTTAAAAAATCAACAGTATTGAGGAGACATCCAGAAATTTAATTATCTTACATCTGTCATTTGGTTGAATTGTCCCAAGATACTTATCTGCATGGTTGCCAATTATGGCAGATCAATTGCAGAAATAAGCCCAATTTTTAATGCATCCTTGTCAACAGTCACTTAGGTAGGGCCCTCCCAAAATGATGCTGTGCTAGGTGCCATGACTTGCTTTGGCCAATGGGACAGGAGCAGAGGTTGGGAAAAGCCTAAGTTCATTTTCACTTGTTTCCTGGACCTCCATCACTACTATGAAGAACAGGCCCAACTTAGCCCACTGGAGGGATGTGAGGGACATGTGGAGGAGAGCTGAAACCATCCAAGATGAGCCAGGCTCAGCCAACCCATCAGCTGATCACCCATGAGCCAGCCATGATTGGTCACATCCAGCCCAGAGCAGCAGAACTGCCCCACCGCCCTGCAGACTCCTGAGAAATAATAAAAGGTTACTGTTTTAAGCCCCTAAGTTCCAAAGTGGTTTGCTACAGAGCAATATCTAACTAATACACCAGTTATCTGAGAGTACTCCAGACCCTTGATGTCCTCAGTGGCACTGTTTTATTTATTCAGGCTATAATATTGATTGAGTATCTTCTGTGTGTGATTCGTTAAGAGTACTCCTTGAGATATTCAGGAATTGAACTCAGCTCTGCACCAAGCTGACCTAACAGATATCTACAGAACTCTCCACCCCAAATCAACAGAATATACATTCTTCTCAGCACCACATCCACTTATTTCAAAATTGACCACATAGTTGGAAGTAAAGCACTCCTCAGCAAATGTAAAATAACAGAAATTATAACAAACTGTCTCTCAGACCACAGTGCAATCAAACTAGAGCTCAGGATTAAGAAACTCACTCAAAACCACTCAACTACATGGAAACTGAACAACTCGCTCCTAAATGACTACTGGGTACATAATGAAATGAAGGCAGAAATAAAGATGTTCTTTGAAACCAATGATAACAAAGACTCAACATACCAGAATCTCTGGGATACATTTAAAGCAGTGTGTAGAGGGAAATTTATAGCACTAAATGCCCACAAGAGAAAGCAGGAAAGATCTAAAATTGACACCCTAACATCACAATTAAAAGAACTAGAGAAGCAAGAGCAAACACATACAAAAGCTAGCAGAAGGCAAGAAATAGCTAAGATCAGAGCAGAACTGAAGGAGACAGAAACACAAAAAAACCCTTCAAAAAATCAATGAATCCAGGAGCTGGTTGTTTGAAAAGATCAACAGAACTGATAGACTGCTAGCAAGACTAATAAAGAAGAAAAGAGAGAAGAATCAAATAGACACAATAAAAAATGATAAAGGGGATATCACTACTGATCCCACAGAAATACAAACTACCATCAGAGAATACTATAAACACCTCTATGCAAATAAACTAGAAAATCTAGAAGAAATGGATAAATTCCTGGACACATACACCCTCCCAAGACTAAACCAGGAAGAAGTTGAATCCCTGACTAGACTAATAACAGGCTCTGAAATTGAGGCAATAATTAATAGCTTACCAACAGAAAAAAGTCCAGGACCAGATGGATTCACAGCCAAATTCTACCAGAGTTACAAGGAGGAGCTGGTACCATTCCTTCTGAAACTATTCCAATCAACAGAAAAAGAGGGAATCCTCCCTAACTCATGTTATGAGGCCAGCATCATCCTGATACCAAAGCCTGGCAGAGACACAACAAAGAAAGAGAATTTTAGACCAATATCCCTGATGAACATCGATGCAAAAATCCTCAATAAAATACTGGCAAACTGAATCCAGCAGCACATCAAAAAGCTTATCCACCATGATCAAGTGGGCTTCATCCCTGGGATGCAAGGCTGGTTCAATATACGCAAATCAATAAATGTAATCCAACATATAAAAAGAACCAAAGACAAAAACCACATGATTATCTCAATAGATGCAGAAAAGGCCTTTGACAAAATTCAACAGCTCTTCATGCTAAAAACTCTCAACAAATTAGGTATTGATGCGAAGTATCTCAAAATAATAAGAGCTACTTATGACAAACCCACAGCCAATATCATACTGAAGGGGCAAAAACTGGAAGCATTCCCTTTGAAAACTGGCACAAGACAGGGATGCCCTCTCTCACCGCTCCTATTCAACATAGTGTTGGAAGTTCTGGCCAGGGCAATCATACAGGAGAAAGAAGTAAAGGGTATTCAGTTAGGAAAAGAGGAAGTCAAATTGTCCCTGTTTGCAGATGACATGATTGTATATCTAGAAAACCCCATCTTCTCAGCCCAAAATCTCCTTAAGCTGATAAGCAACTTCAGCAAAGTCTCAGGATACAAAATCAATGTGCAAAAATCACAAGCATTCTTATACACCAATAACAGACAAACAGAAAGCCAAATCATGAGTGAACTCCCATTCACAATTGCTTCAAAGAGAATAAAATACCTAGGAATCCAACTTACAAGGGATGTGAAGGACCTCTTCAAGGAGAACTACAAACCACTGCTCAACGAAATAAGAGAGGACACAAGCAAATGGAAGAACATTCCATGCTCATGGATAAGAAGAATCAATATCGTGAAAATGGCCATACTTCCCAAGGCAATTTATAGATTCAATGCTATCCCCATCAAGCTACCAATGACTTTCTTCACAGAATTGGAAAAAACTACTTTAAGGAAAGAAAGAAAAGAAAGAGAGAGAGAGAAAGAAAGAGAAAGAGAAAGAAAGAAAGAAATAAAGAACAGCATAGAAAGCAGATATATGGGTACAAAGGGTAGGGCATCCTTTTTCTCATGAGGTTTATAAAAATATTTGAAGGTCAAAGCCAAAATTATAACATTATCTGATGCTCAAGACAGTAATATAAAAAATCATGGAAGGTAAAGGTTTCTTTTTTTTTTAATGTGCTTATTTATTTATTTACAGACATTCAATCAATTGGTATTTGCTATTTACTTGTCTTTTTATTATTATTATTATACTTTAAGTTTTAGGGTACATGTGCAAAACAGGCAGGTTTGTTACATATGTATACATGTGCCATGTTGGTGTGCTGCACCCATTAACTCGTCATTTAGCATTAGCTATATCTCCTAATGCTATCCCTCCCCCTTCTCCCCACCCCACAACAGTCCCCGGTGTGTGATGTTCCCCTCATGGAAGGTAAAGATTCCTACATTTCACTTAAAATAGCAAAACACTGATACCAGCAGACTGCAATAAGTCACATATGTATGCTTGAAATATCCAGTGCAATCAAAATAAAAATGGTACAAAGAAACACACTCAAAAAGATTATCAATAAACCAAAATGAAATGCTGAAGTTTACTCAAGTAACTCAAAGGAAGACAAGAAAAGAGAAACCAGAATGAAAACCCAAGGAAACAAGCAGAAAACAAATGACAAAATGGGAGGCTTAAGCTCGAACATATCGATGATTACCTTAAATGTAAATGCTCTAAATACACAAACACGAAGACAGAGATGGGAGGAGTAGGTTAAAGCACACACAGAGACACACACACACTCACACTTCAACTATATATTGAGTACAAGGAGCTCATTTCAGATTCAATAACCTAGGTAGGTTGAAAGTGAAAGGATGAAAAAAATTACCATGAAAAATTAATTTAAAGAAAGTAGTTAGGAGTGGCTATATTTTCCAATAAAATAGACTTCAGAGCAAAGAGACTTAGTACAGACAAAACCCAACATTTCATAGTGATGAAAAACTCAATCCAGCAGAAAGTCATAACAATTCTAAATGTGTATGCATCAAAAACAGTGCTTCAAAAATACAAAGCAAAAACTGATAGGGGTGAAAGAAGAAACAGCTACATCCACAATTATGGTTGGTGACTCCAACACCTCCCTCTCAGCAACTGTTAGAAATACTAGACAGAATATTAACAAGGATACAGTAGACCTCAACAGTGCTGGCAATCAACAAGACCTGGCTGATCTCTGCAGAATGCTCCACCCAACAGCAGCATACACATTGTTTACAAGTGTCCATGAAACAGTCACAAAATATACAATGTCCAGGATCATAAAACAAACCATAACTAAATGAAGTAATAGATATCGTATAGATTGTCTTCTCTAACCAGAAGGTAATCAAACCTGACATCAATAACATAAAGACAACAGGAAAATCTCTAAATATGTGCAAATCAACCAACCCAATTATAAATAACCCATGGGTCAAAGAAGTCTCAAAGTAAAATTAGAACATACATAGAACTTAATGAAAGTGGAAATACAACTTACCAAAATATGTGAGATAAAGCTAAAGCAATGCTGAAAAGGAAACTTATGACACTAAATGCTTACATTCAAAATGAGGAGAAGTCTCAAATCAGTAATATAAGAAACTAGAGAAAAAAAAAGAATGAAATAAACCCAAATCAAAGAGAAGGAAAGAAATAAGAAAGATAAGAGCAGCAATCAATGAAATTGAAAACATGAAAGCAACGGAGGACACTAATAAATTTCAAATCTGGTTCTTCAAAAAATATCAGTAAAATTGATAATCTTCCAGCAAGACTTCTATGGATAAAAAGACAAAGACACATCACCAATAAAAGGAACGAAACAGTAAAATTACAAAAAATCATGCAGTTATTAAAAAGATACTAAAAGAGTGCTATGTCCAACTTTCTGCTCATAAACTCAACAATTCAGAATAAACGAACCAAGGACAGTTTCTAAATAAAGTTTAAGAATACGTAGAACAGAAAGAAAGTGAGCATACAACTTATCAAAATATGTGGGATGCGCCGGAAGCAGTGCTGAAAGGGACACGCACAGCACCGAATGCACGGCTCAGAAATGGGGGAAGTCGCCGGGCGCGGTAGCTCACGCCTGTAATCCCAGCGCTTTGGGAGGCCGAGACGGGCGGATCACAAGGTCAGGAGATCGAGACCATCCTGGCTAACACGGTGAAACCCCGCCTCTACTAAAAATACAAAAAATTAGTCGGGCATGGTGGCGGGTGCCTGTAGTCCCAGCTACTCGGGAGGCTGAGGCAGGAGAATGGCGTGAACCCGGGAGGCAGAGGTTGCAGCCAGCCGAGGTCGCGCCACTGCGCTCCAGCCTCGGTGACAGAGCGAGACTCCGTCTCAAAAAAAAAAAAAGAAATGGGGGACGTCTCATTTGACAAATGAGGACAGATCCCATGGAAAGCAAATACGACCAGTTTGACAAGGATTTGGATTTTGTCAAACGCTTTTCCTGCATAAATCGATGTGATCACGTGAGTATTCTTCTTTAGATGTTGGTATACTACAACTATTAACAAAATCCTACAACTCTTAACAAAACCGAAATTGAAATTCCTAATGTAAAATCTCCTGAACAAGAATCCTCATGCCCAGTTAGTCTCACTGGGAAATTCTTCTAAGCAGTTAAAGAAGGAATAACTCCAATTTTAAACAATCTCTTCCAGAAAATAGAAGAGGAAACACTTCCCAACTCATTTTATGAAGGACAGTATTAGTTTATCAAGCCAAACATCGCCACTATACTAAAAGAAAACCACAGATGAATATCTCTTATAAACTTGGACACGAATAACCTCTACTGATTATTAGCAAATCAATTCCAACAACTTTACCCAGTGGGATTTATTCCAGATACGTAATATAACCAAGCATAACAACAATTTAAAGAAGAAAACTCACGTGATCACATCAACTGATGCAGGAAAAATATTTGACAAAATCCAATACTATTCTCAATAATAATTTTTTAACTCTAAGAATGTTAGAAATAGAAGGGAACTGCATGAACTTCGTAAAGAGCATCTTAAAGGCATACAGCCAAGATCATACTTCAGAGTGAAAGACCATTTCCCCCCTAATATTAGGAACAAGGTAGAGATGTCCACTCTTAGTACTTATTCCACCTTATTCACATAGTACTGGAAGTTCTAGCCACTGTGATAAGGAAAGAAAAAAAATCCAGTTGAAAAGGAAGAAGTAACCAATCCCTGCCTGAATATAATATGATTATCTACATAGAAAATTCTAAAGAATCTACAAAAAAAAAAAAAAAAAAACCAGAACCAAGAAGTGAGTTCAGCAATGTCTCAGGATATAGATCAATACACAGCAAAAATCAGTCACATAATTTATATACTAACAATGAACAAGTGGAAACCAAAAGTTAAAATTCTGTATCATTTACAATCTCTCCAAAGAAAATGAAATACTTAATATAGACTTAAAACATGTACAAGACCTGTATGCTGAAAATTACAAAATGCTTATAAAGAAATCAAAGGCAAAAATAAACGTACTGTGTTCATGAATGGGAAAACTTGCCGTAGTGAAGATGTCCATTCTCCCCAAATTGATTTATAGATTTTTTATAGACAAAAGCAAGCTTACTATAAAATTTATATGAAAGTCACAGGCCCTAGAATAACTAAAATAATTTAACAAACAAAAATAAAGTAAGAAGCAGCATTCTATCGAATATGATGGCTTAATAAATAACTACAGTAATCAAAGCTGTGTAGTATTGATGGAGAGGCAGATGTGTAGATCAATGGAACAGGATAGAGAACCCAGAAATAGACTGATATAAATATGCTCAATTTATTTTTTGACAAAGGTACAAATGCAATTTGATGGAAGCCATTTCAATAATGGTGAGAGCAATTTGACATCCATAGGAAAAAATAAATCTCCACCTAAATCTTGTGCCTTATATAAAATTAACTCGAGATGGGTCATAGACTCAAATGTAAAATGTAAAACTGTAAAAAATTTTAGAAAAAAAAACCAGAAAAGAATATCTGGAGTCTAGGGCGGGGTAACGAGTTTTTAGTTAGACCTAACAGAAAAGTACAATCCATAAAGGGAAAAATTGAGAAGTCGAACTTCATTAAAATTAAAAACCTCTTGCTCTATGATACAAGTGGAAATAAAATATTACATGAGAATAACAGTAATAAGGCATGCGGGGGAGTGATCTGAGGTCCTTGTATTAATTGAGAGAAAACTTTCTAATGTTCATTAATTCAGTCTTTTTAACCAGCAAGTTAAAATACAAAGAACTAAAACTGTCATTATTTGTAGATGCTGATAGTATACATAGAAAACCCAAAGGATAAGTTTTTAGAATTAATAAATCATTTTAGCAAAGTTACTTATATAAGGCCAATATAGAAATAACAATTGCATTGTTGTACAGTTGGAACAAACATACATTTAAAAATTTAAAATGATACCATAGGCAAAACCATCAAAAACAGAAATCAAATACCAAGGAATAAATCTAACAAAATGTGTGATGGAGGTCTTCACAAAAACCACAACACCTAAATGAATAAGATGTATCATGTTCTTAGATTAGAAAATTTAGTATAGTAAAGATGTTAACTATCCCTACATTGATCTTAGATTCGATATAACCAATCATAGCCAAAATGTCGACAGGATTGTTAGAGGGATTGAACTACCATGCCAAGCCATGAACATTATTAATTGAAAGGAATATGTTTTCTAAACTTATTAAAAAAGGTGTTTTGCTCTACCAGCCCAAGGCAAAAGTAGGGAATGGCAGATTCGGATTTACTTGATTACCCTGCATGACTTAAAGATATTCGAGGCTTTTCTACAGGTGGTGAAAGTTTTTCTTGGGAGTTCAGGTTGATCTTATGATGGCCAAACTTTAAAAGTGACACACAAATTAGAAACAAAAGTCCAAGAGCCATATATAAAAGAATGGCATCAAACCTAGATGACATTAGAAACTAAGATAATATTTACACATGTTTAAATAACATTTTTATAAATTACACATTAGCCTGTTGTTCCATGACTAATATTTATCTAAGCATACATTTAGTTTTTTTTTTTTTTGAGAGTTTAGAATTAATCTGTCTCCAAGACCTTTAATTAGTCAGGGATCAAAACACCACATTTTCTGTTCATTCACAGGACAAACAAATAACAATAATAGCTCTATGAATAAGGCAGTGAGAAGTTTATTTTTCCTTTCCATTGTGAAACCCCGTCCTATAGGAAATTGCTATTGGTGCAATTATGCCAAAAAGGCTGATTTAGATGAAATAAATTGACCACATTGCTGTGCTGTCTCCTACATTTTGACTTGCAAAGTATTTTATTCTGAGAATGTAACCAGCAAGAATGACTCAATGTGGGTAATTATACAATCATCAGATATTTCAATTTCATCACTATTGCTACAATGTAGCAAGTATGTCAGGTTAAATCTCTCCAAAATTTGCCACTTTTGTGTTTTTCTGGCATCTAATACTTTTTTTGTGAATGCAATAACTAACTAAGTATGTAATAAGTATCTATATATGGATTAAAACGTATTATTTGAAAAAGAAAAACTACCTGGGGGCAAAAACACAGTTTACCGACTCATCTCTCCAACAGCAGTTACCTCTTTAATCTTTCCATTACTGATTTATTAAACTTAATTAACTGTTCTCAATAGATTTATAAATTATAAATCAATAGATTTATAAATAATGAGAACAAATTAGTTCATTTAGCTGGCATAGTATGGGTTACAATTAAAGCCTATAGAAACCATTTGAAAATGAAAAAAGGGTGGGAGAAAAGGATTTATATTTGTGGAAAATCAAAAGGGTGGTTACATGTACTTACCCCGGAAATTGAAATAGTGAAATTCCTTTTAATCATTTGGGCAATTAAGTTTTGGCAATTTTCTCTTTCAATTTAATAAGTCAGAAAAGATGTTTGGCAGTGTTTGGTATAAGATGATTCCCAGTTATTCAAGACCAATTATTTAGTGCCCTCTATTGCTGTCCTATTGATCAGCTATTTTAATTTAAACACTAATTATTAAAGGTTTAAATATAATTTTATTTATAATTATAGCTACCATAATATTATTCCACTTAAAATTTATTTTAAAGTGGGTGTCATGTGTGGTTACCCTTTTCCATGTGTGTCCAAGAATATTCTGGACTGTCACACACACACACATATGTGCACACACATACAGTGACTAGATGGAACTTCTATATTTTGGATAGAAAAACATCATCAGATATGTAGAAATATCAATCAACTGATGAAAATTTGCAGAAAGATATTCCGTGGATATTTCACATTCTGTTTGACAGGCCAGAAGACTCTCTCAGGAGGTAAAATAAAAGAATCACATGTAGGGGTGGGGGGAGGGGGAGGGACAGCATTAGAAGATATACCTAATGCTAAATGACGAGTTAATGGGTGCAGCACACCAGCATGGCACAGGTATACATATGTAACTAACCTGCACATCGTGCACATGTACCCTAAAACTTAAAGTATAATGATAAAAAAAAAGAAAAAAAAATCACACGTAATTATTAGACTGACTCTTGGACACAAATCACATCAATCTCTTCATTCCTTGCACTACTACTGTTGTCTATTTTTCTTTACCAGTTGTCTTAGCCTGTTCAAGTAGTTATAACAGAATATCATAGACTAGGTGGCTTTTAAACAACAAACATTTGTTTCTCACAGTTCTGGAGGCTGGGGGTGCTGCAGATTTGGTGTCTGGTGAGGGCCCACTCTGGTGCATACACAGATGTGAGGTGTGTTCTTGCTATGTTCTCACATGGTAGAAGAGGGTGAGGGCATTCTCTGGGGTCTCTTTTATAAAGGCATTGGTCCCCGTGTAAAGGCAGAACCCTCTTGACTTAATCGACTTTTAAAGGCTCCACCTTCAAATACCATTACCTTGGGGGTTGAATTTCAACATACAAATTTTTAGGGGATATAAACGTTCAGTCTCTAGCACCAGTTAACCATTAACCTTAGATAATTCGCCTTTTGAAAATAATTTTCTTTTTTTGTCCTTTTTAGAGACAGCATCTAGATCTGCTGCCCAGGCTGGAGTGCACAGGCATGATCCTAGGTCACTAAAGCCCCAAATTCCCAGGCTCAAGTAATCCTTCCACCTCAGTCTTCCAAGTACCTAGGAGTACAGGCATGTGTCACCATGCCCAGCTAATTAAAAAAATTTTCTGTAGAGATGGGGTCTTGCTATGTTGCCCAGGCTGGTCTCAAACTCCTGACCTCAAGCAACCATCCTGCCTCAGCTTCCCAAACTGATGGCTGGGATTGCAGGCATGAGCCACTGCACTTGGCCAAAATTATTTTTTTTCAATTAACTTCTTTTAAAAGTTTTCTTCTTTTATAAAAGACAACTCTTCCATGAGTAGGAAAATCCTTTATTGATTAACTAACACCTTTCATGTATAAATTTAATTCTGTTTTTCTCAAAGAGGGAAAATAAACTTTCCTTATTTTTGTATTTAATACTGAAATAATATTGATTTACTGCCAGACAACCATATTAACAAAGTAGCTACCTAAGTTATTAACATGAATCGTGAGGATAAAATTATATTAGAAATAAATGTGCATTGATGTCTTCAACTTAACTATATGTATAATAGAACATTAATCATCATTACGGGCCGGGTGCAGTGGCTCACGCCTGTAATCCCAGCACTTTGGGAGGCCAAGGCAGGTGGATCACGAGGTCAGGAGATCGAGACCATCCTGGACAACACGGTGAAACCCGGTCTCTGCTAAAAATACAAAAATTAGCCAGGCGTGGTGGCGTGCGCCTGTAGTCCCAGCTACTCAGGAGACAGGCAGGAGAATCGCTTGAACCTGGGAGGCGGAGTTAGCAGTGAGCCGAGATGGCGCCACTGTACTCCAGCCTGGGTGACAGAGTGAGACTCCATCTCAAAAAAAAAAAAAAAAAAGAAAAATCATCATCATGATAAGTATTTTATTTTCTGATGTATCTTCTAAATACTTCTAAAATGATTTAAAGCAAAGTTTCTAATGTATAGATAATTACAAAAGCATTTGAACTCATTATTTGGAAATTTTATTATACATAAATTTGAAAGGATACTAGAAATTAGCCACACTCATTAATAAAAAGCTGTTCTGCCTCTGACTGTGTTGGACGTTATGGTTCATCACAATTCTGTACAAACATTTCACCATATTGTAAGTCATCCAGCTTCACCTTTCCACCACCATCTCCACTTTCTATTTTATTCCTGGGGCTGCTCCTATGTAGGTCGGTGGGGAAAGGGATGTCAGGCAGCCTCTGTTGGCAAGAACTGTGATAATTTGGAAATGTTGCTCAGGCACTGGGCCGTAAGATAGGCATTTGGCATGAACACACATGACCAGATCGAGATAGCCATGTAACAGGCATAAGAGAAAACACCTGACCAGGTGACAGGTATAGGATGTGTTGGGATTAAGGCTGACTGGATCTTTTTGAATTGCATTTACATGGCTTATTATTTAACTTCTTACATTGTTTACAAAAAAAATGTAAACATATTTTTGATATGGTAGAATCAACATATGGTAGAATATAGTAGAATATGTAAACATATTTTTGATATGGTAGAATCAACACTTTGCTGAATTAAAAATTACTCATGATGATTTTATACTTTAATTTTTTTCCTAGAGGCTGAATGATTTCATGCACATTTTAGGCTTGCTTTCTTTTTAAAGATTAAGCTGTTTTATTTCTAAACTTCTGCGCTTTCCAAGATTGGGGCTACTAAACCATAAAGTAATATTATTAAATGTTCCTTTTTACTTAAGCATTTTTGTACTTAGTTCTATAATTTATGTTATCAAGATTAAGACAGGGCCCAGGGTTTGCCATGAAACATGCCACTACTATAGAAATCTATGTTATACCCCATACAGTTTCTGGAAAATATTCCAGTGAAATTAGTTATTTCTGGGATAGCCTGGAATTTTTTTTTTGAGATTGTCCTCTTAAAATTGACTACTATAAAGATAATTTATTAAGAATGTTATCAGTAATTGAAATGTAATTTTAATTAAAATCTAATTTTCTCTGATAGTTGATGTTTGATAATACCCTCTTTGTAAAGATTTTCATTCGATTAACTTTTATACTCATAAACATCTGTATATTTCAATTGCCAAAAAATCTCGTTGGTTGGAATTTTCTTGTAAGGTATTTTAAGCATGTATTTTAAGCATAAGCAAAGTAAAAATGTGTTTTTATTCTTATTAATGGCCAGTTTTACAAACATTGAGTTCCTTGGCTTCTTCTGTAATCAACAACACTGATCTCTGTACTTGCTCATCACTTATTTAGTGCCAATTATTAATTGAGGTGATATTAGGTGTTGAAGATACTATCATAAAAACACATAGCTTAGTGTGGTATGTATGCATGTATACAAATGACTGCAAGTGAGCGAAAAAAGTGGCAATGTTTATGTGATGAGAATACCATAGGGCCCAAGCAAGGCATGATAAAATGTGCCTTGGTGAGTCAAGGGAAATGTTACAAAGGAACTGAAGTTTAGAAGTAAAGGAGAAATGCTGGACAGAAGAGTGGTGAAATTTCTAGGCTACAAAAACTTCGTGAGCAAAGCTACAAGTACAGAAAATGGTATCATTTTTTGTCAGTCCATGGTGGCTGTGGGTAAGTTACAAGTAGGACATTAGTTGGTACCTGGAGAGATTAGATCACAGAAAGCTTTGTCTAAGTATGGGAAATTGAGATTTTATTCTCTAGCTACTGAGAAATAATAGAAGGATTATAAGCAAAGAAAGTTCAGATTGTAAAACGAGAGAACTCATTTTTGCAGTCAGCTGTAGGAATCATTAGCTAGTGGTGGCGGGGGGTGGGGTGTGCCTGGGATGTGCCTGAAGTCAAAGTAACCTATAAGAAGCCTAACTAAGTAGTTAGGAGAGGTAACTAGCTTCTCAGTTAGGGTAGTACAGGTCAAGGGGAAGAAGAGGGCAAAGTCTCTCACAAATGTTTAAGAGGAACATCACATGGGAGGAGAAATCTTCCAAAATTTTATTTTAGGAAACAAGATGAACATTGATACCATAACAGTAGACATTTGATATATTGAAATGTTGATAAAACGGCATGTTCTGAGGAAGAGAAAGATAAATAATGGTTTCATTAAGCACATCCTTGAGTTTGAGAAGGCTTTGTATGATCCTCCTTCTGTAGACAAAAAAAAAAAGTGAGTCTGGACTTTAGGATGTATCTAAAGATAAGTATTTGGTGTAGTTTTGACCATCTAGGGGAAAACTGGAGAGAGAAGGAAAAAAGTCCAGAAAATGGATAAAAACAATATTTAAGCAACATTTGATAGAGTATCCCCCAAAAGACCGAGAAGGTGTTGTGAGGTAAGAGAAAAATCAGTGGAATCATTTCGTTTCAAGAAATCATATCAAGAATGGTGAGGTAAGCTGTAGAATTAGATATCAAAAATAAGTGAAGAAAATTTATACACCTCTATGGAGAAGACTCCAATGCCTGAGCCAACTGTCAAGGTTCATTTTATATTTTATATCATTAGGAGGGAAATAAAGAGAAATAATTCTCAAAATTAATTCAACTACCATGTAAATGAGAAGAAGCTTGCTGTTAACCACAGTTCTTTAGTTTCCTCTATTTGCTAAACATTTTATTATGTGGACAAAAAAAATTAAAAAGGATGTAACTTTCAAAAATGGTTCTTACTCTTAAAAAGATAATTCTGGTTCAACATAAATATGTACCCAAAACAAGGAAAAAGTATATAAATCGTATAAATAAAAATATAATCCTAAAACAGTGCTAAGTAAATTATGGCTCTTAATATTCTTTGACTGAACGTTCAGGCCAATGGAGAAAACAATTTATTGGGTGAGGTTTCCTGAGTAATTGGAAGTACTATAGCAGAGCAATTCCAGTGTGAAAGTGTTCAGGTTGGAGATGAACCTTCAACAAGAGTGTGACTTGCCCTCACTAAGAAACAAGATCAAGTGTTATTCAAGGGTGATGCCTAATAAGCACAAACTTTAGCTTTATGTTTATATGCAAAATAAGTGATTATGATAGGAACCCTATCAGTGTTAAGATTGGATTACTTTAATCCACATTAGAATATGCTTTCAAGAGTTTGCCATTTTTAAATGGGTAAATATGGTTTCCCTTGGTGCTATGCATCTCTGTTTCTCTTTGCTTCTTTCATGAAATGTCTAATTTTCTTTTATTTGGACTACGTGTGGCCATGTTCTTTTTAACTAACAAAAAAATAGCGTGTCGTGTACGTGTTCTCAGTTATATGCAATGGAATCTATTGCTGTTGCTTAATGTTTTAGTTTCACAAATTTTTATGGAGTATTTTGCTTTAGTTAGAGAGTCTATTCTTATATTATGCTGTAAATTGAAATCTTATGGGTTACCACCTGTGTAATGAGGTCTGTACCTTTTTGAAAATCTGTCCTTACAATTGGATATGCTATCTTGTACTTAAAATTCCTTATAGGACAGGAGCTTTACCAGTTGCCTCTATGAGGGGTTGAAGAGAAGGCAGGGTCTTTCTGAAAAGCAGTTATGACATAGACAGACACAGAAATGGTGGACCACATATTTTACCATAAGGTCTGGTTAGTTAATTTAAAATTATTTATTATGTGAATTCATTCAAAGCGGGGCTAAAACACTTTAGTTTGTAACTCCTGATTGATTTCTCCTCCTTAATGCTCAAATGAATATACCAGATTTCCTTTATCACATGTAAGCAGAGACGTTATAACCTGTGGCATCTCTCAGTTTCTTTATTGTTTTTTTTTTTATATATTATTAAAATATGGCACTTGGAATAAAAACCTACATAGATGAGTGGCATAGTAGTTCCATTTTGAGCTCCAAACATAAAATTGGAATTCCAATAGCACATCTTTGTATTTTGATGTTTCAAAGCTTTTTAAAGTAACACAAATCTTATGACTTGCACTATCTTTGGCTGTTTAAATTGTAAAAATGAGTCACTGACACTTAAACTCTATGTGAAGAAAATCTTTGTTTCTGAAACCATTGATGTAGACCTACATATTTAAGTCTGTGTTCTTTTCAAATTTCAAGAAAGAATACTATAATGTAGATACAAACAGATAGTTGGAAAAATCTATTAAAAATGAAGATGTGGCCGGGTGCGGTGGCTCACGCCTGTAATCCCAGCACTTTGGGAGGCCAAAGCGGGCAGATCACGAGGTCAGGAGATCGAGACCATCCTGGCTAACACGGTGAAACCCCGTCTCTACTAAAAATACAAACAAACAAACAAACAACAAACAAAAACAAAAAATAGCCGGGTGTGGTGGCAGGCGCCTGTAGTCCCAGCTACTCAGGAAGCTGAGGCAGGAGACTGGCCTGAACCCAGCAGACGGAGCTTGCAGTGAGCCGAGATCGCACCACTGCACTCCAGGCTGGGCGACAGAGCGAGACTCCGTCTCAAAAAAAACAAAAAACAAAACAACAACAACAAAAAAGATGTTCAGAAGTTAAAAAAAAGTTCTGAAGTATGTTCTTGATCTCAAAGTAGAAGCTCTTTTTCATCAAGGAGAACCTTGTTTCATTTTTAAATGAAAGTAGAGATGCAACCCCGTCTCTAAAAACAAAACAAAACAAAACAAAACAAAAAAACAAAAATTAGCTGGGCCTGGTGACACTGGCTTGTAATCCCAGTTACGTAGAAGGCTGAGGTGGAAGGATCCCTTGAGCCCTGGAGGTTGGGGGACTGCAGTGAACCAAGATCATTCCACCGCACTTCAGCCTGGGTGACAGAGAGAGATCTTGTCTTAAAAAAAAAAAAAAAAAAGAAAGTAGAGAATTTGCTGCTGTTGTTTAATCTTGAGTGATGAAGTCACATAGCCAAAGCCTGTAGAGTTGTGTTTATACTAATATTGTTTTTATATCTTTTCATATTGTTTATAGAAAGGATTTAAACCAAGCAGGAAGATAATTTTTGTGAGACCTGGCAAATCTAGTCATAAAAGTGGGAAATTCATTAGATGAAAACATAACTTTTTATAATCATTTATACAGTACCAAAAAGCAGTAAAATTTTAAAGAAATAAATATTATTGTGAGGTAGTAAAAGAGTATACATATAAAAAAAGCTCAAATTATGCTTTTGGTAGCCTACTTTCTTGAATAAATTAATGGATTGGTCCTATTCAATATTGCATTTCAATGTGATAACAGAGTTAAGACATATGCTTTTTGCATGTGCCTGGGTGTTAAGTTTGTAAATACAACCAGCAAGAAAATCATTCATTTCATAACAGATACAGGTGTAGAAAGGACTTTTCTGTTCTCTTTTCTGTCAGTGAAAAGGCTTCTAAGATTCTGTTTATCCCTGGTTCTTAGGTGAAGAGTACAATTTTATGAAGAGGGATCCTGGAGAAGTAAACTCACTTGAAGAAAGATATGATTTTGACAGTATCATGCGCTATGCCAGGATCACCTTCTCAAGGTTGGAGTCTCGTGTTATACCTTTTGACTATTAATTCCTTTCCTCCATGTGGCTCTTCACAAAGCTATGTTTGAGATTAGAAGTATAACCACTTTCAAAAATTGTTGCCTCACTGCAGAAATAAAGTTGAAAAATAGTTGATTAAAATTTATTGCCTTTGGAAGTTCAAAGCAGGTGGATCACCTGAGGTCAGGAGTTCGAGACCAGCCTGACCAACATGGTGAAACCCCTTCTGTACTAAAAATACAAAAATTAGCCAGGTGTGGTGGCACGTGCCTGTAATCCCAGCTACTTGGGAGGCTGAGGCAGGAGAATTGCTTGAACCCTGGAGGCAGAGGTTGCAGTGAGCCGAGATCATGCCATTGCACTCCAGCCTGGGTGACAGAGTGAGACTCCAAAAAAAAAAAAAAAAAAATTACTGCCAACAACAAGCATTTAAAAGGCATTTTAAAAACATATTTTTACATTTTCTACCAATTACATAAATTTAAAATGACAACTAAGATGGCATGAATTATTTAAACAATTTTATATTCCTAAATCATTAAAAAGTCCAATTAAAAGGATTACCAAACCAATCATTATGTTAAGTTGGTGAAGCATTATTTAATGAAAATTAGACATTTTTAAGTTAAATTAAATAGGTTATTCAGTTGTTCAGTTGGAATGTCACACTCTATGTGACCTGTCCTTTATACTGTGTATTTTTTATTGCTCAAATACCACTTATGCTCAAAAATTGATATTACTAAAGGAATTGTTGAACATGTTAGAAAGACATTTTACCTCATATAATTTAGAATTATATTTCACCACTCATCAACCTTAAAATTCTTTCATTAATGACTGAATGCTATTTTTAAAGAATGCAACAATTTGGGTTTTTATCTACTTCATTCTAAAGATGAAGCCATCAGGCCAATAGTTCCCAGGTATTGAATTTGGAACTGAAACCATTAGACTCTTCCCTTTTTCCATTTATGCCCAGTTTACACTCACATGTCCATTTCAACTCATTTTTTTACCCACTTGTGTCCATTTCACAGTTCATTAACATCTATTTCTAAAGGCAAAGTCACGAAGAAGAGAAAATACTTCAAATTTGTTCCTCTGTTTTTATAAAAAATTCTTGGTAAAAAGTAGAGAAAGATGAGTAAATGAGCCCTTAATACTTGGACACATTTTTAAATTATTCATTTTTACCAAACCAAACTGTATTATTAAAAAAATCAGTGTTCACTGTATTTTAAAAATATTCTCTTCAAAAGTATATTATAAATATATATGCACATATGTATTTATTTGTTCAATTATATTAACTATCCAAATGCTTATCATTTCTGTTTTTTAGAAGGACACAGTTTATTCAACAGAAGGCATAAAAATTAGAATTATCTTTCCCAAAATACGACTTAATTTCTCTGTTTTTCAGCTGTTCACCAATAAAACAATACTGGGGCTATTCTTTTTGTTCGTTTGTTTGAGATGGAGTCTCTCTCTGTCACCGGGCTGGAGTGCAGTGGCACGATCTCGGCTCACTGCAACATCCACCTCCCGGGTTCAAGCAATTCTCCTGCCTCAGCCTCCCGAGTAGCTGGGACTACAGGCTCGTGCCACCACGCCCGGCTAATTTTTGTATTTTTAGTAGAGATGGGGTTTCACCACGTTGGCCAGGATAATCTCGATCTATTGACCTCGTGATTCGCCCGACTCGGCCTCCCAAACGCTGGGATTACAGGCGTGAGTCACCGCGCCCGGCCAGGACTATTCTTAACATAGAAAAACTTCAGCACATTAGCCACCTCTGCAGGGCATTGAAGGATAACTGAAGTCCAGGGCCAAGAACACTCAGGGACGTCAGGTGCCTAAAAGTACTTAGGGGCCTTTAAAAATTTAAAACCAAGTATACTTCAGTATCTTAATGTTTGCAAATAACTATAAAATAGCCTTGGAAAAAATGAGCTCACACACACACACACACACACACACACACACACACACACATATATGACCCATCATAATAAATAAATATGGAAATCTATTATTTACACTCAAATAATTTTACATTTTCTTCTGTTCAACTACTTCAAGACTGGAATGTTTTTAGTCAAATATTCATGAGTGTGAAATCCCTCATTTCTCCCTAGTCTGAAAGGAGAGCTTTCAGAGATGTAATTCTTCTCAGATGTCTCCTGAAGTTTTGATTTGCGGTAAAAGCAAATAGGAATCATCCACCAAGTTAGGAAACAGCTATGCCCTTATGGGTTTATCTGTGGCCCTGGTATTAGCAGTCATCTTCCAAATCTGAGACATTAAATTGGCTGTCTTGATTGTTCTTTTGCCACTTGTCAATAAGTCCTTCTCAAATTCTTCAGTAATTTTGCCTTTAAAAATTTTTTTCAAGAGCTCTGAATCATTGAGAAGTTCTTCCATGTCCTCATCTTTGTATCAGAACATGCTTCCCTTTTCCTTATCTCATTCATGTTTTTCTTCTTCTCTTTTTTGGCCTTCTGCTTCGACCAATCTTTATTTTTTATGAATTTTCTTCTCCCTTCATTTTCTGTTTTTCTCTTTCCTTTGTTGCTCCAGTAATTTCTGCCTCTGCTTTTCTCTAATTTTATCTTTAAATGAAATAGTGTCTGTATTAATGTCCACAGGCACAAAATCTGGAAACTGCTTTCCTCTCAATTCTGGCATCTTGGGCATTCTCAGCAGGGAAAAACCTCGAGCAAGACTTGCAAAATCAAGATTATTTAATCTGAAAATCAGGTTGCATTCTTACTTTGCATAAGCCTGGACATAGGACACAAAAGCTTTCATGCCCTTTTCAAACACAGATTTTTCTGCCAGGGTCATGGACTTGAGTTTTGGCAGAAGGTCAGCTGTGTTTTTCTAGAGTTTCATCTCCGCCAGGGGGCATTTTTGGTTAATTGCAAGGAAATTGATGTATGACTCTTCCACGGGCAGGAGGAACACCAGAGCTCTGCCTCTGTGGCCAATGAGGGCTGTGCGGCTACAGTGCTGCACAAAGGCACTTGCATTGTAGGGGCGATTGTACTGCAAAACCCAGTTTACTTCAGGAACATTGATTCCTGGGCCACCACATCAGTGCACACTAAAATTCCACTTTGCAATTTGCAGAACAATTGCAATTTTCAATTTGCATGAAGATCGTATTTCATCTTTCCATGGATGCACACAATCTTCACACTCTTCATCAGCACCTCCAGAGCCTTCCTGTAGTATTCCACACAGGTGCAAGTGCTAAAGAAGACCAGGTGTTGCTCTTGCTTATGACTGCGAAGAAAATGTAGCAGCTGATTAAATTTCTCATCTGCCTTGCATACCATGTAGTAGTTTTCCAGGGGAGAGTGGTGTTCTGGGCACTGCTGGCTGCCACACCCTTCTTCACTGAGACTGGACAGGGTTCCGGCATCCCACTCTCCCCAAGTTCTCCACTTCCTGCTTCTGAGTGGCAGAGAAAAGGCCTGTTCTCCTCTGCTTTGGCAAAAACTCCAGGATGGTATTTATGCTTGCCTCAAATCCCATGTCCAGAAGTCTGTCTGCCTCATCCAACACCAGGATATGCAGGGATCACACACAGCTGGCCAGATACAAGCCTTCTGCCTTCCTTCAGAACCTGTCTTCAAGTGGCCTGGAATGGCCACAGTGATGTTCCCACCTTGTTGCTTAAACTCTTAAACTTGGAACAGAGGAGATCCTGAGAGCAGAGGAGAATCGTTTATTATTATTTTTTTTTTGAGATGGAGTTTCAGTCTTGTTACTCAGGCTGGGAGCAATGGCATGATCTCAGCTCACTGCAACCTCCACCTCCCAGGTTCAAGCGATTCTCCTGTTTCAGCCTCCTGAGCAGCTGGGATTACGGGCGCCCACCATCACGCCCAGCTAATTTTTGTATTTTCAGTAGAGACAGGGTTTCACCATGTTGGCCAGGCTGGTCTTGAACTCCTGACCTCAGGTGATCTGCCCGCCTTGGCCTCCCAAAGTGCTGGGATTACAGGCATGAGCCACTGCATCTGGCCTAGAATCATTTATTCTTTCTGACCTTCATAGATGATAAACCAAAGTTTTAAATAGATGTTTCCACTTATCCTGCCCTCTTTTCCATGTTCAATTGCTCATTTCCTGGTAAGCATGTCTGCCCTGGCTGCCTGCAGTCCACTTCCCTACACCTGCCATTGCCCTGCCTGCCAGTCAGCCTTGACCTATCCTCTCCTAAGGTTTCAAAATGATATGATTCATTTTTCATAAATAAACTTAACATTTCCACATCATATCTACCAGTTAGAAGGATAGTAGTCTGATTGCTTCAGTTCACATTTTTTTGGGTATTTAAAGAAGCTGTTTACTAACTTATATTTAAATGGCTTCTTTCAGGAAAAGAAAAATTTGACACACTACTCTCTCTGCTCCTCACCCCGAAGTATTTGAAGTTTCTTTTTTTTTTTAATTGTGGAAAGAATGCAAAACATAAAATTTACCATCTTAGTCATTTTCAGCATACAGTCTGGTGGCACTGGGCACAGTCACATTGTCGGGCAACTGTCACCACCATCCATCCACAGAACATTGTCATCTTCCCAACCTGAAATTCTGTACCCATTAAACACAAACTCTCCATTCCCTTCTCCTCCAGCCCTGGCAAACATTTCTCCATTCTCTGTCCCTACGAAATGGATGACTCTAGGTAATTCTTAGAAGTGGAATCATGCAATATGTTGCCTTTTGTGTCTGGCTTATTTCACTTTGCATGATGTCCTCAAGGTTCATTCATGTAGCAGGGTGTGTCAGAATGTCATTCCCTTTTAAGCCTGGATAATATCCCATCGTATGGATAGACCACATTGCGTATCCATTCATTCCTCTGCGAACGCTTGGGTTGTTCCCACCTTTGGGCTATTGTGAATAAGTCTTCTGTGAACATATGTGCAGAAATATTAAAAATGATTCATAAAAGATAATTGATTCAACCAGTCCTCCCTTAGCTTTGCTATGGGGTAGACACAGTGCCAGTGGCCACAATAAACAAGACTGCAGACACAGCCAGCTGCCTCCTGGACCTCAGAGCCTAAAAGGAACAGAGACTCAGTGTGGTGAGGTAACTGTCAGGACTGGAGAAACAGGGTCCCCATGAGCACATGGGCTGTAGCCTGCCCACCTCCCCCAAAAAAAGGCCCCAGAAAAAGTTGTGTGACTTAGTATCTGGGCTCTGAAAAGTGAATTTGGGACAAGGTTGTGGGAGCAGGCAGGAGAGGGCAGAGCAGATGGCAGAGACCAGAGGCATCTGAGTCAGTGGAAGAAATGTGGGGGTGCAGCCACCCAGGGTGAGGCACATGCAGGAGCCAGAGCAGATGATGCCAGCCCTGTGAACCTGTTAACATCTTGGGTTTATCCTAAAATAGTAGGAAGTCACTGAAACATTTCAGGTAGGGAAGTGACAGGATCTGGTCTGCACTGTACATGAACAGCCTGTCTGTGATGTGAATGCATTGGACTGGATGAAGGCAAAGTTCAGACAGGAAGTGACTGCTCATAGCCAAGCCATCAAGGATGGAGGCCTGAGCTCACTGGATAGCAGGGAAGGAGATAAGGCACAGCTGGGGGTGACTGAGCCCAGGAAGTGAGAGAAAAGGTGGCATCGAGGAAAGAAAGCCACAGGTTTTTTATAACAACCAGTTAATTATATTTATATAGCCAATGAATATATATAAATATAATTTAAATATACATATGTATTTATAATTTATAAATATAATTTAAATATAGTTATATTTATACAACCAGTGCATTTATATATATATAAATTATATTTATATAACCAGTGAATATAGGATAAGTAGAGGAGTAGCAAAATATTGATGCTGTTGAGTGGGGTCTGGTGCTCATGTTCAGTTCTTCTCCAAGGATCTGGGGATATCTTGGTCTTGGTCTGGTCAGATCTTTCTTCATCAGCCTGATTTGTTGCAACCTGCTAGACCTTCTGGATGACCCACATCCAAAGAGCTACCATTTTCAGAGTACAATCTACGCCCTGTGAGCCTCAAAAAAGTGTGTTATGAGTTGAATTGTGTCCCCCCAAAATTCATGTATGGAAGCCCTAAACCCTAATATGACTATTTGAAGATAGGGCCTATAAGGAGGTATAAAGGTTAAATGAGGTTGTAAGTGTGGGACCTTAATCTGATAGGACTGGAGTCCTTATAAGTAGGGGAAGAGACACAAGAGATCTCTTTCTCTGCATGTGCACAGAGAAGAGGCCACATGAGGCAAGAAGGCAGCCATCAGCAAGCCAGGAAGAGAGCCCTCCCCAGAAACCAACCCTGACGGCACTTCAATCTCAGACTTCCAGGCTCCAGAACTGTGAGAAAATGCATTTCTGTTGTTTAAGCCACCCAGTCTGTGGTAGCTGGTATGGAAGCCCCGGCAAGCTGATGCACGGTCTTAAGAGGTAGGTATTATCATTCCCATTTATAGATGAGGAAACTGAGGCTCAGAGAGATTGACTTGACTAAGATCCACAGGTGGTAAGCCACTCATCCGCTGCCTTGCATTGGAGGCTTCCTTTTAGCAAGCCTTTTGTATTGGCAGAGAATTTTCTGCACATATCCTTGAAGAACCACCTCTTTACCCACGCTATTTCTAAAGCTCTAGCTGTGACTCTGCCTTCCAGCCTGCTGTGCAGATCCACACAACAATGTAACCACAGGGCCTGCTCTGCAAGATCACCCAGAGCAGGCTTCCCAGTCTCGGAGGTGCAGAAATGTGCTGTACTTTCTCTGTCCTCCTGCAGTAGTGAGAGGGAGTTTTATGATAAGTCGGCTATACACTTTTCAGCTGGAGAAGAGTGACTTTGTGGCTAGACAGGATTCCACATGAGTCCCCTGCTTCCTAAGTGAAGCATGTGCTTCCTGCTGTGACTGCGACGCTGCAAGGTGCACAGAGAAGCCTTGCTGCAAGGCTTCCAGTCACCTTCCTGTAAGTGCCTTGAGTTCCCAACTGCCTGGCTGCAAGTCCAGTTCAACATGAACCCTACTGAAGCAAGTTTTGAAGTTTTAGTTTGAACCAGATGAACTTATGATTTTTGTAAGTAAAAAATGACCAAATATCAGCAATTTCATGCGAATCAACCTAATGTAGTTGGCCCTTTAACCCTGCCCCCTCCGTCTCATCATGTCCTCTCAGGCTGTCCTCAGATCACCCCAGATCCCTGGCTTCCTCCTCCCACCCTCCCTGGCAGGGTCCCCATGATGGACGGGGATGGACGCCTGGGAGAGAACTCCACAAAGAAACAGAGAGGAAATGGTCAGAGAGGTAGGAGGATAGTGTCAGGGTCCAGAACACATTACCCCAACATGTGGCCCCTTGGTCTGCTGAATATTTTACATGGAAGGAAATGCAGAAAACAGCAGGAGCAGGAAGGTAACTCTCTGACCCTTTCTCCCGTGAAGCGTGGCCAGAAAGGAATTCTCTGACTTGCCTTGCCTGAAAGTAGGTCGGGAGACTCTCATTCCAGAGAGGTGCTGACTCAGTCCCCACACCGCCTTCTTCCCTGCTGGCCCCATCCAAGCCTCTGCTTAAGGAGGGCTCCATGTCCAACTTTAGCAGCTCAGGGTGGATTTATTCCCCAGCTTCTAAGGGCATTTTCTTGTGAAGCTTTGTTCTCTATGATGTAAGAGGAGAGGGATGTTTAGAGGAGCTGGGGGAGGAGACCCCAGGGATTTCCTTGTCCCCACAGATGCATCTCTTTGTGAAGCAAAACACACGCAAAGCACCTAGCAGTGCCCAGCCCACAGTCAGTGCTCATGAAGTGTTGGTTCCCTCTCTGCCCACTGCAGTTGGGACAAACAACACACAGGGTGCCAAGATTCAGCTTGATGAAGAAAAGTGTAGCCCACATTCCTGCTCCTGGGCCTTGTCCTCCGTGTTGCAGCTCAAAGTTAAGGACAGCTCAGGTACCAGCATTGCTTGTGTTGAGGATAGGCCAGCACATCCTGTGCCCGGTGGTCCCCAGAAATGCTATTGCCTGCTGACACTCTGCATCTCCAGTTCATCCCCCCGTTCCTCTCCAAAGCCCACTCTATCTCCCTCGCCTCCTAATCTACCTGGAGCTCTCACCTCTCATCTTTCCTTCCCACTGCGGGGCAGGTGGCGATCTGCAGGCCTCCACGAGAGAGAACTGCCCTTACCCTGCCTGAGATACTCAAAGCCAGGGGCACTGATTCAGCTCTCAGCACTGAGAGGATGGACTGGGATCTTTCTCTGATGCCCTCAGTGGTCTGAGGATAAAGCGTGCCGGGCATGCAGGGTCTACAGGAAGTAAGACAGAGGGAGGCACTGAGCTGAGCACAGATAAGAAAAGGAAGAGCTCATGGCCCAGAGCTAAAGAAGACATGACCCAGTGACCAGAAGACCGTGTCCCAGTGGGAAAGGCACATCTTAGTGTGGAAGGGTGTGGACATCAGGAGGGATTTAGACTCAGCAAGGACTCAGGCTCACTGCCCTCTGCTCAGGAGAGCAAAACCCTCTAGGTGAGGTTTCCTCTCTGTGTCTTTAATCCAGGGAGCAGGTGTCAGAATCAAGGGCACCATCAAAATAGGATGACAGGGACATCTGAGATGTGCCAAATTTTCAAAGGCCTAGCTGTCACAGCTGGGGGCGGATGGGGAACAGTCTTCTCATGGGTCCACCCTGCCCTATATGGCACAGCCTAGGACCCTTCAGTCAAACCCGGCTCTTTCCACCCCCAGAGCAATGTCTCATCTGTTGCCTCTGAGTTAGGCAGGGCATATGTAATATAAATTTCATAGAAAGGGAAACTGAGGAATGGGGTGGGCTAAGTGACTTGGGCCAGAGGATAAGTGACTTGGGGTCAGGACTCAGATCTCCTCGGATCCAACACCAGATGTCCTTCTCCCACATGAAACCTTCTCCCTAATCTTAACACTTCTGTGGCTCCATGGTTTCATCGGCCATCACAGGAGAATGAAGCCACAGAAATTGCACGCATGTTCACATGTGTGTATGTGCACATATTTGTGCATGCATGTACATGTGTGTGTGTGCATGAGTAATGTGTGCACGTGTGCTGAGCAAAGTGGGGGAGGGTGGCAGTTCCTGATGATTTTCTCCATCTTGAACACTGTAGGTGCTTTTCCTGGGAGAGCCAGACAACCATGGTGTGTCAGCAGGAGGGGTCTCAGGACAAGACCTATGAAGTGAAGATGAACAACGACACAGAGGCCTGCATTGAGCCCAGCCTCCTCTCCACAGAGATATGAGCTCTGTTGCCCTCTTCCCAGGCTGGCCTCGGTGTGGGAATGGGTTTGGGGAGGCAGGGCCAGGTCTCTGAGATCCCACCTCGGGCTAATTTGCAGGAGGAGAGGAGATCACAGAGAAAAATCCGTACAGCCTATCTCTCTCTCTCTGCCTCTCTCTTTCTCTCTCTCTCTCTGCCTCTCTCTCTCTCTCTCTCTCTCTCACACACACACACACACACACACACACACACACACGTCCTTTTTAGCTTGGCCTTTTCACCAGGAGTATTTCTAAACATTGCTTCTTAAATCTTTTAAGCTGTAACCAACAGACATAAATCTATTTTCTGGTGAGACTCAGTTCACACATACAGATGTTGACAATTAAACAATGTTTCAAGGCAGTACTTATAATAAAACTGCCCAGAAGAGGGCACTGGTGGCAAATCTAGGCCTGCGTTTTTGTCCTTGCTGGAATTTTTGAAGTATTTTAGCTGCAGATCTAGATTCATTAAAAGTTATGACATCCACTTGGTCAGTTATAATGGGCCCTTAAAAGAATAGCATAGCATAGCATAGCATATCAAAATAGAAACCATCAGAGTGCATCAAATTTCACAAAGTTAAATACTGTGTTGTGCAACACTGGCTGAATTGCCAATATCTGTATATATCTAGGTGATCTCTGTGTGAAACATCTTTATGACTGTGGGTGGCATTCATAGCAGTTGGAGACACACTGTTTCAGAAGGTTTTCTGAAAGGACTTTAGAGTGAGGAAGGACTAGCCTCATCGGCTTTTGAAGACAGGAGAGGTGTGGCTGGAGGTGGTGGGAGGGGGCACCAGGCCCCTCTCCCCGGGGAGTGTCGGGGAGCAGCAGCCAGGCCAGCACAGCATGTGGCTTTCAGGGGACCTGGTGCTTTCTTCTTGGGAAGTGGGGGGAGGATTAGCAGAGATGCCTCCTTTTCCTCTGGCATAGAAAGAAGAATCTAGTGAGTAAGGAAAAACATGGAAATAGTCCCAACCAGTGACTCTTGACAGATCACTCAACCATCCTGTGCCTTTGTGTCCCTGCCAGAAAATGGGGCAGCGGGGGTGACAGAACTACTTTTCTGACTCGGTGAAACATAGCCACTGTAAAACCAAGATAAATAGATAAATAATCTGATGTTCCTTATGAGATACTATTCTCTACATTGATTCTTAGAGAATACAAATTAATACATGACCACCACCTACCTTAGAAATCAGAAAAAACCTGTATTTTAACATATTTTAGTCCTTCTAGAGTTCTTGGTACACTCAGGCACTCTGCTATGTCATGAAGAACCTGGTCTCAATCCTCAGGGAGATTCCACAAACTAGGAAACTAGGAGGGTCTCAGAAGAGAAAGATAATACAGACAGTTTCTCACTAATCTCCCTCAGAGTGGTACAACACTGAGGGGTATAGGCTTCAGAGAAGGTTGAGAGCAGGGTGACCTTAATGGGTACCATGCACAAGATCAAACAAACAGAAGTGTGCTCTGCAAGAGTGAGGGTGATATGCAAAAGAAAAAAATATAAAGAGGCCTTACCTGGCTGAGAATGAGAATAAGGCTTGCAGGCATATACACATGTGGTCTTTGCACAACCAGCATTCGTGCACATCTATAAGTACTTCAAGTCTCTGTACTGTGCCAGGAACAGGTGTGAAGTCATCCTCAGAGGTGTGGGGTGGAACCATGGATCAGTGAGTCCATGGTCTTGTCTGGAAAATGGGGTTGGAATGCAACAGTGCTTCTTGGATGGCAGGCTGAACCAGTAGGGATTGTGAATTGATTTTTTAATAAAATAGAACAGACTAAAGTAGAGTAGGACTCACCAGGGTGCAATACACGCACCTAAGGTAAATAAAGGGCATGAAGTTTCATTCCATTAGGTGCATCTGTACATGATGGGAATCTGTCAAATCTATGTCTCATTGAATCAAGGCTTGGATGCCCACTGGGGTCCCTATTAGCCCTGCTGTTCATCTACTGAGTGATTATAGGATGCTTGTAGGCAGCTACTTATGTGCGCTTGCTGATGAGGCAGGTGTCAGGGAACAGAAATCAGGGGCCTGAGAAGACCTCTTTAAAACCCCAGGGGAGTCAAACACTTGCTGACAGAGGCTGGAGTAATTTTGGTTTTTAAAGAAGACCTGGCTCTGGGGCAAATACCAGCACAGAGAGGACTGGGGAGGGTGAAGGCAGGCAAACAAGGGGCGTATTTTGACTCCCTCTGTGTCTTTTCCCATTTCATGGAAGGAGGTGTTCAGCTCCCCACCCACAGTGACCAGCGTGTGGAGCAGCTGATGTCTCAAGGATTTACTTTGGGAAGATGAGAAAAGGGTGCTTTTCATCTGTTGGTGTTTTTCCAGCCATATCAGCCTACCTGGTGAGGTGTGAGGGTGTGTGCCACCCTGTTCCCCCTCTATTGATGTTCCTCTCCTTGTGCTGCCCAGGTGCCATGTGACACAGGCTCCTGTGTGAAGGCAGATGGGAAAGCCCTAACCTCACTCACAGGGCAGCCCTCAGTCACCAGAGTCCAGGTTCTCCAGCAGCTACAATTTTAGGAAGTTGTAGGGAAATATATGGGGAAAGAAGTGTCCTACAATTGTCAGGGATGGGGCACCTTTGCCTGTCCCTAAGCACACCTTCCTCTTCCTGCTGCCCTTCCCAGCCCCAGCTCCCTGTCCTCCCCACAGCCTGGTGAGAGGGATGGTGCATTGAAGGAAGTCCAATGGGCAGATGCTTACACGGCTTCTTTGTGGAGCCACTTTTTGTTTTAACTTAATTCATTAATTTATTTTTATGACAAAGCAATGAAACATTTCTTTGTGGAGCCAAATACCAATGTAACAGGTAAATGGGTTTCTGCCACATCTCCACATTGTTGGCGGGATGCTTGAACACCCCCCACCACACACTCTTAAGGCCCAAGGTTGAGCTCTAGATGAGGGACTTTCCTACTCCTGGAAGGGCAGGCACTGTGTAGACAAACATGGAGAGAGAGCCAGAGTGACTTCCTTGTGTAGAAAAGTGACTTCCTTGGGGGGAAGAAAACCCAGAAATAATACAAGGTCAACATATAAAACTAAATTCAATATTTATATGCTAGTAATAACTGGACATTTAAAATTTTGCAAAAATTCCATTTATAATACCTCTGAAAAATGAAATTCTTAGGTATATAAGAATCTGTATTCTGAAAACCAAAAATGCTATAAACAAAATCAAAGAAAGCCCAAACAAATGAAGAGATATATTCATGGATGGGAAAACTCAACACACTAAAAATTTTAATTCTTCCAAAATTGATGTATTCCTTTAAAGCAAATCCACCAAAATCTCAGCACAGGATATTTTGTCTGTATAGACAAACTGATTCCTAAATTTATATGAAAAGGTAAAGATAAAAAGATGAATTCAGTAGGAGGAATTGTGCTACACAGTTTGAAGTCCTACTCTGATGTTAGAGGAGTCACGACAGTGTGTGTTTTGGGGAAGGGCTGGATATACAGACCAGTGGAACAGAACACAAAGTCCAGAAGTGGATCTACACAAACATGGCCAAGTGATTTCCAACAAAGCTGCAAAGGCAACTCAATAGAGAAACGAGAATCCTTCACCAAATGCTATGGGAACAATGGCATTTTCATGTGCAAAATTTGAACCTCAACCTAAAATTCCTATCTTATATCAAAATTAATTTCAATGGATCACAGATTTAAATTTAACATGGAAAGCTATTAAACTTTTAGAAGAAAACAGGAGAAATTTCAACACCTAGTTCTGAGACATGACACAAAAACAATTCATAGAAGGAAAAACTGGTAAGGTGAACTTCAAAATAATTTAGGGCTCTTGCTCTGTGAAGGATCCTATTACAGGGACAAAAAGAAATGCTACAGACTGAGTGAAAACATCTTCAAACCATATAACAAAGGACTTATATATAGAATCTATGAAAAACTCTCAAAACTCAATACATTTTAAAACACTATCCCATGAGAAAATGGTCAAAAGACACGAAGAGACATTTCACCAAAGAAAATGTGATCAGCAAATATGCACATATAAATATGGTCAGCAACATTAGCCATTAAGAAATGCAAATTAAAACCACAATGGGCTACCACTATGCCTGTTAGAATGGATAAGATAAAAAATGACACAAAATGTTAGCAAGGATGCAAAGAAACTGGATCTTTCATACATCGTGGGCATGACTAGAACACGGTATAGTGACTCTGCAAAGTATTTTGGCAGTTTCTTCAAAAACCAAACGTGCACTTCTCATGTGACCGAGCAATTATACTCTTTGGCATTTACCCCAAAGAAGGAAAAGTTCTCTCTCCTTAGGAGAAAAGACCACTTAGTATCGTGGAAGAATGTCCCTTTTTGCTGAGCCTTGAGGAATGAGGGAAAACTGATTTTCTGCTTTTTATGCTAGACAAAGAAATGAAACAAAACAACCAAAAAAAAAAAAGAAAAAAACAGAAAAAAAAACAGGTGAAACTGAGGGAAGTGCAAATGGGTCTTTGAAGGAAATGGGATAGAAAACTGCATGTTTTTGGGACTTGAATGAAATGTTGTAGGTCTGCCAAGCCAGATCATCTTCGATGTTTCCTCTTAGATTCTATGGTTCTGGTCAGCTTACACTGTGAGCTAACATGCCCTAACTTAGCTTCTCTAAGTCCACAACAGACGAGAGAAAAAAAATGAGTTTTAAGGAATACAGCAAATCTTCACAGTTATCCCCAAGATTTGAAGCACACATGAGACTGAATGAAGATGAGATCCTCAGCTCTACTTTACCTCTCTCCATCCCCTTGAGCATCACCATTGTCAAGGCCAGGTGCTGACCAGATACAATTTCCCTCTCACTGGTCTTCCATGCAGTTTCCCATCACCTGTCTAATCAGAGAAGGAAAGCTGACATGGGCACAGACTTTTCAGTACAGAGAAGAGAATATTCCAGCCCGTTTAAGGTTTCTTCCCATATTCCTAGTTTATGGACCTCCTGAGTGAAGAAAGAGCTTGAGGTCCTAGGTCCTGGGAGGATAGCATTTCTCTCATGACCCACGATGAGATTTTAGTGATCAGCAAATAGCCAAAAGGAAATAAGGTTTGCAGTTGCTGGCCCTAACAAGAAGATTAAAACAGGCATGACAACCGAATATCAACTCCATCTGCCAACCATCCCCCATGTCATTGTTCCCTTTCCACGATGGCCAACGCTATTGCATGAAAATCCTCCTTGAGTCGGAGGAAAACGCTATTACCAGACGGAGTCCTCAAGGTATATGTGAGTTCTTCATTGGTTTGATGGGTGTTTCCTTGCAACACTTCCACCCCTTCGGCTCACTTTGAAGTGAGCACCCCACTTTGGGGGGTGCTCAGAAGAAAGGTGCTCACTTGGGTCAGAGTAGAGAAAACTTCCCCAAATGAGCCCCTCTTGGCTGTGACTCCCGCCGCACCAGGTAAAGAGCCACATTTTCTCTTCCTCTGCCTCCAGCTCCCCTGGTTTCCCACATCACTCCTGCTTTTCAGCGTTGTTCTCCACCTTCTGAATTCCCCTCTACCCCAGTCCTACTCTTCCTTGGCCCCAGCCCTTGTAAAGCTCTTCGCATGCCTCCATGTCTCTGACTTTTTCGTATCTCACTCTCCATTCAAATACTTCTACTACTGAAACTCCCTTCCATTTTTTTTCTAACTTAAAAAAATATTTCAATGGTTCTATTTTCTTCAGTTTGATCTTCACTCCAACTTCCTTCTAGTCTAGTCCCTTTAAATGCTGCCAGTTCCCAATATCCCCAATCGCTTAAATATCCTCTTTCTTTCGTCTTTTGCCCCTACTGATGATCTGGTTACTCCTTTTTGCGCCAACATTCCCCAAAACCTTCTCAAACACTAATATTTTCCCCTCTTTTCCCCGAAATCTCCCTGTCAGGCTTCTGCCCCCAAGCATCTTCTCACCCCTTCGCGCCACATCACCCAGGTCCTTTAGACTCCCACGCACCCAATTTCTGCATCTCCCCCTCACACCCGCTTGCTTCCCTTGCTTCCACCACAGCAGTGCTCATCTGCTCTTCCCCGCTCACTCAGGTCTCCTGCTCAGGACTCCCTTGCCGAGGGCGCGGGAGATTCTTGCTGAAGGGGGGTTCCGGGGGCAGCGCAGCAACCCGGGGGACCTTTCTTCTCCTTGTTGGCCTTGACCCCAAGTGTTCCCGGGTGCTGATGGGGCGACTGGGTTGTGTGAGCCCTGCCTCCAGGGTCTGGCTCGGGTTGCGCCAGGAGCTGTTCGTGGTTCTGAAACGATGCCAGCTCGGGCGCGGGCAGTGGCCGGGCGGATGAGCGCTGTCCGTGGTCCTGAAGATGTTCCTGGGCCCCGGCGGTGGCGGCGGCAGCGGTGCCTAGGAGGGCCGGCAGCGGGGACGGCTACGAGGTAAGGAATCCGGGCGGAGGCTGCGCTTGCGGCAGCTGCGGATGCTCCCACAGGCTGCGATTCTAGGCGCTCAGCTCGTTCAGCCGCCGCTCCAGCTCGTCGATGCTCTGGCGCTGGGTGCGGACGAGCCTCTGTTGGTTCAGCACGATGGCCCTGAGCTCCTTGAGGTAGAGCCCGGCGCACCGGATTCTCCAGAAGTCTCTCCAAGCCGCCCGCCAGCCTCTTGAGCCCTTCCTGCGCCTGGGCGGCGGTGGGGAGCGCGAGGGCGCGGGATCCCAGCAGCCCAGCGGTCGGCTTTCTTCCTTCTCCCCCTGGCCTAGTCTTCCTCTCGCCGCAGGCGCCGCGTCACTGCCACCCTGACTTTCACACACCCACCGCGGGGCAGGGTCATGGCCCAGGGCAGCCCTTCCTGTCTCTTGGCGTCCAGAGGAGGCTTTGCTACTCGCAGGGCATTGAGAAGAGGGAGGAGGCGAGCAAGAGGTTCGGGCGTGGGAGGGAAGCAGGATAAACGCAGGTGACCGCAGAAGGACAGGGGGCGGCCCTCTGATCAGGTGGGGGATGGGTGGCAGCACCCACCTGCTGAAGATGTCTCCAGGGACCTTCTGCAGGCACTGCCGGGCATCTGCCACCTGCCGGACGGCCTCCTCTCACTGCAGGTCTGGTGGGATGTGGGACAAGGCATAGGTCTGATCTGCCAGGGGATGCTGGGTCCTCGCAGGAGTCATGGTGCCTGTGGGTGGGAGCCAGAGCATCAGAGCCACCCACGCCCACCGGCACCCACTTACCTCAGGTAGCGTGGTGTTGAGACACCACAGCCCTTATCCTAATCGTGTGCACAGCTTCAGTCTATAAAGGTGGGGATGGGAGACAGAGCATTTGGTGGGAGGCCAGGAGCTCATAGGAGATGGGATTCTGCTGATAGCTGCTGAGTGAATGAGGGAGGGAATGGGCAGGACCAGGGGCTGGGTAATTGGTAGGGAAAATGGAGGAACTTGGAGAAGGAGCAACATTTCCTCACCCCTTATAAGGTGCTTGGTACCTGCCAAGAACCCTGTCCATACATGATCTCAGTTCAGCTCCCCACCTTGGGTATACAAGAAAGGAGCCCTGGCTGCAGAGGAAAACAGAGGCTGGAAACAGGGATACATGGGCAGTGTGGTGGTGGTGAGAGAATTGCCCGAATCAGCTGCCAAATGGTGCCCAGGTTGGAAAAGCAAATGTGCACACATGGGTTCTTCCCACTCTAACCCTGAGGAATTCGAGGCCTGCTTCTTACACAGACTGGGCAGTGGCTAGTGACTCTAGGTATAGCAGTGTCCAGGCCCTGCTCACCCAGACTAGAGCTTAGGGAGCCAGAAGGAAGGAGGTGCATGACAGGTGGGAAAAATAATCCTCAAATTGCAAGGTGAGAGCACAATCTATTTATACTGGGTTGAATTAACTCCTCCCCCAATGCCACTAAAGCAGGAATCACACTGCACATGGCACTGATTTGATTGGCAAGAGACATGCCACGCAGAATATTAAGAGACCAGGCCCCTATAATTAGGCCTAATCACAGCCTGTTGCTTGAACATGGCCAGAAAGACATTCATCAGGCCTGGCATTGTGCCCTAGGCCAGCTCTACTGGGCACTGTAGTGAGGCCCTCCATTGCAACAGAGGTGTGGGTGGGCCTGGGTGAGTGTGGCAGGAAATGCCTAGGAGGCTTCATTTGGTCTTAAAGGGCCATGTGCCTTCTCTGAATCTCTGATCCTTTCCATTTCCCATTCTTCAGGCTGAGAACTGCACTCTGATACACGGTTATTCCCAATAATAATAATGTGTGTATCATACACAATGCACTGCACCTCTTCACCATGCTGGTACCTACTCCTCTGCTCCCCCTGCCGGCTTCCTCAGCCCCTACTTCTACCCTGATGGTTCTGTCCTCGCCTCCTCAGGCCAGCACTTCCCATGATCTGAGATGTCTGTCTTCCTTCCTCTTCAACTTTTTCTCCAGCAGTGAGTTCCTCCTCCTAACTCAGGCTTCCAGGAAGGATATCCTTGGCTTCTCAGACCTGAACCTGCCTCAAATACTCATGAGGACCCAGGAACTACTCCTCACCTCCCACTTCTCTTCCCTCCTGTCAGATAACCAAGGCACGGCCAACTGATCCTCCACCATCCGAGGAACCCAACCATCTGAGACCACCACACCCCTTTCAAGAATGTTCCTCCCCTCCCTTTGTTTGTATTTATACCAGTGCAAATTTGCTGGCCATCTTAACTTAGTCTTCTGCCTCAGTTCTCCCATCTGTAAGATCAGGAGGCGGATAAAGATGTAAGATACTTTCTTTGCATATCTTAAGATGAATTCCGTGTTAGTTACCACATCTGAGGGAGTCCGTGTGTGTTTACTGTACTATCCATGTGAGGGGATTGTACAGACACAAATCGAAACAAGGAAGTAGCAAGTCCATTCAAGCATTAAGAGACTGATTAGTGGTTTATTCATTCTGTCTGCAAACATCTACTGATCCTGTCTTCAGTGCAGACCATGATCACTACAGAAATGAATGAGACCCTGCACTGGCCAGGAAAATAGCCTCAAAAACAATGGAACTCTAATCCAGCCATGAGTAAAATAAGGAGGGACAAATCCCTTCTAGGGTTAGGGAAGTCAGGAAAAGTCTCTTAGCAGAATGTGTGCCTCTCTACCAGGCCCAGGGAGCTGGTACAAAGACAGCATTCCAGGTGGGGAGCAGTGGCTTACACCTATAATCCCAGAACTTTGGAAGGCTGAGGTGGGAGGATTTCTTGGCCCCAGGAGTTCAAGAACATCCTGGTCAACATAGGAACTGGAGTCACGCAGTCACATACTTCACGCTGGGGCCCACCATGTGAGGCACAGAGTGGGCTTCCAGGAAGGAGACTAAGCCTCATTTCGGGTTGCTTATGGCCAAAGACAGGACCTGTGTACTCTGTCCTCTGTCCCTCACTGCCTTCCCCCTGGGCTCAGGGCCAGGCTGACAGCCAGTCTTGGCTCCTCTGGGCAGCCCTTGCTCTGTGTGTGCCCCGGGGCAGAGGCCATAGTCCAGGCCCAGAGGCCATAGCTGCCCTCCAGCCCTACACCCTGACCCACTTTCCTGCGTCTCTCAGTACACCCGACCTTGTCTTTACCTGTGCGGGAAGCTCCTCTATGGTCCACTTAGTTCCCACCCACCTTTAAAAAATAAATAGAGGCCAGGCACAGTGACTCACGCCTGTAATCCCAGCACTTTGGGAGGTCGAGGTGGGCGGATCACAAGGTCGAGAGATCAAGACCATCCTGGCTAATATGGTGAAACCCTGTCTCTACTAAAAATACAAAAAATTAGCTGGGCGTGGTAGCATGCACATGTATTCCCAGCTACTCGGGAGGCTGAGGCAGAATTGCTTGAAAGCTGGGAGGTGGAGGTTGCAGAGAGCCGAGATTGCACCACTGCACTCCAGCCTGGGTGACAGAGCAACGCTCCATCTTAAAAAAAAAAAGAAAAAAAAATTAAATAGAGAAGTCAGTCATGATGACGTGGGAGGATCACCAGAGGCCAGGAGTTCATGACCAGCCTGGGCAAAATAATGAGACCCCTGTCTCTTAAAAGGTTTTATTAAAAAAAATTAAATAGAGAAGCTAGACATGAAAGGACAGATATTGTGTGAGTCCACTTATGTGAGGTGCCTAGAACAGTCCAGTTCATAGCAGCAGAAGCAGTGGCCGCCAGGGATGGGGAAACAAGGTGGGAGTTGGGCAGCTTGTGTTTCATGGGTAGAGTTTCAGGTTGGGATGATGGCAAAGTCCTGGAAATGGCTGGTGGTGACGGCTGCACAGCAGTGTAAATGTGCGAATGCCACTGAGCTGTATGCTTAAAAATGGTTTTGATGGTAAATTTTAGGTTAGGTCTATTTTACCACAATAAAAAGCTAGGAAAAGCTGGTAGAAAGAAAGAAAAGAAAGGAAAAGAAGACAAAGAAGAAAAGAAAGAAAGAGAGAGGGAAAGAAAGAAAGAGAGAGGGAAAGAAAGAAGGAAAAGAAAGAAAGAAAGAAAAAGAAAAGAGAGAAAGGATGAAAAAATATTAATTTCTTTCTCAGGCAATAGTCCAGATTTTGTATTATGAAGCTTGTGTATCAGCTCTGCCCTATGAAGTCCTTGGGATACCAGGCTCCTTCCTCCTTTCTGCCCCACCATTCCTTGGATGTAGCCCTTGACCTTTTAATCGAGGTTGGAGGATGAGGAGAGAAAAGGAAGCAATGGCCTAGAAACTGCCATTGAGCACATGCCTACATCCCATTGGCCAGATGTCAGTCACATGACCACACCCACCTGCAAGAGATGCTGGGAATTGAAGTCTCATTTGTGGGTAGTCATGTATTTAGGCAAAATTTGAGGACTCCATCACCTTGGAAGAAGGAGAGAATAGATAGTGGGGACAACTTAGCCATCTCTGCTGTCATCCCCATTTGATCTCTCAATGGTCAGAAACCACAGAGGAGAAGGAGTGACTCCCAGAACATCCAACATTCAGCCTCCCCTTATTACTCTTCATTCTTTTTCATCCTTAAAGAATCCTTCTGGCCACTCCCACTAGGCATTGTCATCTCCCAAGAATTACAAACTATCCATGGATTCCTTCATCTTACAAACCTACCTGCTTCGTGGTAGGCACTGTATTAGGTAAGGGGACTAGAAAGATAGAGGAGGTGCAGTCTTTTCCCTAAGGAGTCTTCAGTCTAGCAGGCAGGAGTAGAAATGTGGACCAACTGTCCTGAAGTGTGACAGTTGTATAGATAGACATTTGAACAACATATGGTGGGGTATTAAAAAAAAACAGTTAACACTAAACTCAAAAACAGATAAGGGAGGGATAAGAAAATGCATCATAAAGGAAGTCTGCCGTAAACTAAGTGTTTAAAGTTTGGTTCATTGGATGGAGGGGACAGGACAGAGTCTCTGTCTTTCTCCCTCCTTTTTTGCTCCTTCCCCCATGCCTAATATGCTTTGTATAAAACCACCTGTATGCAAAACAGATCAATCCAGCTACTATCCTATTAAAAATATAGTGCATTGGCTATAAGCTTAAGTTACTAACTTGCATATTCATTTACATGGCAATTCCTGTAACCTTGCCTCTTAAGAAAACTAGACGAAATAAAATTAATTACCAAAGGCAGCCAGCAGCAAAAATATCCAAACCTTAATTCTAGGTACAAGCTACAGAACATGGCACAAAGTGGACTGTGGTGGGGGTCTGTAGATAAGGTGAAGCAATAGTTTTACATCAAAAAATTATTGGGTTCTATACAAGTGCAATCATAAATGAGGCATTGGAATTTGGCTTCACATTGACTAAACTGTTGAGCCATGGTTCACTCATTAACATTCTGTGTTAATGATATTCTAGTTATCATTAAAAAAGTAAAGGTGAAACTGAGAAACTATAAGCAATAAAACTTGGTGTTTAGGAGAAAATAATTTATCATCCATAATATATAATTTTGAAAGATTAAAAACACATTCATCTCAATACAAAAATTCAATAATGCTTGAATTACTTCCAACGTGTTCATCCAAGGTGAACCTTCACATTTTTACAAACTCTTTTTCTTTATGAATTTTTGTTGACTAAGAACAAATTTTTTTCATTTTCTGAACTTCAAAATTATGCATTTTTCTATATGCTATACACATGAAACTTATGCTTCCTATGTATTAATTTTACAATTTTAAATTCCTTGGAAGATATCTTGTTTTTAAGTATTAAATTCAACTTTATTAGCATGTGTTCATTATCTAATAAAACAAAATGAACCATAGAAAGCAGGGATCCCCAGACTTTTTAAATAAAGAGTCAGGGAGCAGACATTTTAGACTTTGCTGACCACATACAGTCTATGTCACATATTTATCTTTGTTTTTTTTCTTTTAACAACCTTAAAAATGTAAAGACAATTCTTAGCTATGGGCCAAACAGGTCTTAATTTGACCCGTGGGCCTTACTTTGCAAACCTCTGAAAAGCCTTGATATCAGAAACCTATATGCCTATAAATAACTATAATACAAGGGAGATATATTAATGCTATGTACGAAATAATGAAATTGGTGGATATGTAGAATATGGTTCTTTTCCAGTGTTCCTTTGCTCAGCAACGGTATCATTATCCATAAAGCTATGAAGCTGGAAACCGTTGAGTCATCCTCAACATGACTCTCTCCCTTTCTCTCATGCATTATATTGAATCTATCATCAAGTTCCATCCATTTTACTTCCTAAACGTTTCTCAACTTGATTCACTTCTACCTCACTGCCACAGTCCTATAAAACTATCATTACCCTTTACTTGGAATGCAAGATTCCTAGATTCCTAACTGGTGTCTCTAATCTACCCTCATCTATTTTTCTTCTCTACCAAAAGTCTAGTTTTTCTTCTGATTTCTTTTATTTTTTCTCACTTTCTCTCCTTTCCCATCCCTTCCTGAACAATTCAATCCTAAACCATCTTTGGTATGGGAGGTGGTACAGAGCTAACATAGCCTGGTATGGGTGTCAGAACCTGCACTGGGTGAAGACAGTGTTAATGTGAGGAAGGAGTGTGTCCTGATGCGGAGTGTCAGAGCCCAAGCCAGTTAAGGAAGGCATCTTATGGGAGAGTGGCTTGCAATGGGAATCAGAGTCAGAGCAGGGAGGGAGTGGCAGGGAAGATGGGAGATAAGTTACATACACTGGGATTGATCAAATAGGTAAATATATTTAAGGTTATTGGAAGCCAGGTTTTTCACTATCTGAGAAGGAAATTGCAAGTATAGAAAGAGAAGAAACTGGAATGATCCCTGTGATCTGTGGTACTAGATTGGGATTGAAGGTATCAGTAGATTTATGGTTTTTAGTATGTAGGTAGACAGATACAGATAAAGGTGTAGATGTAAATGTAATTGGTGTGTGTATGTATGTTTGTACTGAAAAAAAAAAGGAGCCAAACAAATAAAATTATGGGAAAATGGCAAAAGGACATGAAACCAGCTCAAATGGCTTCCACTGATCAAATCTGCTTCATGGTGTAGCCCAGGGGTTTTTAAACATTCTGTATAATCATCAACTTAAAAATACAATGCCAGGAGTGTCCATAGTTTGTGGTAGCACGTAGACAGATATAGATATGGGTATAGAAGTAAATGTGATGGTATTTGATATTTTCCTCTTGTAGTTCTCATGGAATGTCTTGACTGGTGTAGAATAGAATTGAATCATTATCTTTTAGAGTCTAGATTTGATAATTCTGCTAATATAGTCTAGGATCACATTAATTATTGGGTGGGAGAGACATTTGGGCGGTAAGAGGACATTTACTATTGGTGATATCAAGTTTTCCGTCTATTGAAATGTTAATATATTTTCTTCATGTCCAGCTGCTAAGCTACATTGTTTTTAAACTATATGTATGAAGCTGAGATGTTTCACTGGGTCATGTGATGCCTCATTATTCTATTGATTTATTTGAAAAAACATTGTGAACATGAAATCATGTCAAAGGCTTTCTTATGCTGACAGGTGGCCAGGGGCTGAAGAATGCTGATTATCCCCCTCCTTTGTGATGTCATATTACCTTTAGAGCCTTCAATTTCACCACTTGCGTGGACCATAATAGTTTTTATGTCTCCCAATGTAGTTTGTAGTTTGCTCCCCCGTGGATTGCCTATTACTTCCGGGTCAAATTATATGTTATCTATTTCTACCCTCCGACACCCACCTTTACAGTAGCTGCTTATTAGTGTGTGACTGGTCTGGTGAGTAAGCACAGTGAAGGGACTGGCCTCAGAATGCACACTTACGGAGCCAGATAATGGTTCTCAATGACTGACCGCGTCCAAATGGAGAGGAAAACAGACATTAAATGCCTCCTGAAGAACCGCTGACACCTATGATGTAGTCTTGCAGAGCAAAAATTGGCCCTGAGCCCGATCAAGCCTCAGGGTGTAACTACCAATGTATAGGAAATAGACAAAACAGAAGAATGTGTTAAATGGCATTAAAGGCATGTAGCTCAGCAAAATCCAGACTGTGGGGGAAATTCTATAGAAAAAACAACCCAGCTATTTCAATTAAGATTTTTAAAAGCAAGAAAAAATAGACAAAAGGAGGAATTTATAGATAAAATGAGGCTTAGGAGACATTTCAATTCATCACAGGGTCTGAATCATATCTGCAAAACAATTCAAACAAACAAATGGAAAAAGCGTTTTAAGATCAGAGAAATAGAAACATGAAATACTTAATGATACTAAGCAATTAATTTTCTAGGTGTGGTAATAATGATGCCAATTATAATCCCAAAAGACACAATTCCGAATGCTGTAATCCCAAATGTTGAAACCCCAAATGTTGAGATACTGAAAGCTGAATTCTGGCGATGGGATTAGCGCATTTTTGGTTGCATAAAAGGTAGTTGTATCATGTTAGTTGCATCATGTTTGGTGGAACTAGCACCTTGTTGTGGTCTTTATTTGGAAATTAAATATGGTGTAAGGAGATGCAAGTAAGTGTCATGTTAACAAGAGGTGAATTTGTGGACTTAATTTTAGATGTAAACTTAACCAGATTAAGGAATAACTAAAAACCTGGTAAAGCATTATTTTGGGTGTGTCTGCGAGGACGTTTCCACAGGAGATTATGTATGAGTCTGAGAGGACTATGTGGGGAAGATCTGCCCTTGGTGGTGGGAGACACCATGCCGTGGGCCAGGAGCCCAGGAGCCCAGAGATAACAAATACAGAAGGTGAATTGATCTGTCTCTGAGAGCTGGGACCAACTTGTCCCATCACAATTTTTGATCGATCTCATCAAAAGACTTAGGATGCTCTTCACGGTATTTCAGATGAACTAAGAAAGCTGGGTGCACACATTTACTAACCATAGTGATATGCGTTTATACATTTCACTTTTTGACCTATTTCCTTTTTTTCCTTCAACTTTTATTTTAAGTTCAGGTGTTCATGAGCAGGGTGTGCAGGTTTGTTACATAGGTAAATGTGTGCCATGGTGGTTTGCTGCACAGATCAACCCATCACCTAGGTATTAAGTCCAGCATCCATTAGCTATGCTTCCTGATGCTCTCCCTCCCCACCGACACCCCCCAGTAGGCCCCAGTGTGTGTCGTTTCCCTCCATGTGGCTTTTTGACCTATTTCTTTGTGAATATGATTCATAATTGTTATACCCATGTGACTGTCTTTAGCATACCTGAGTGTTTATGTTTATGAAAATATGTATGTTATTATTGTCCATTTTATTGTGTAAAGTGGCCTATGGTCTGTTGTGTTTTTATGTTTCTCAAATAAATCCTCTTTAAAACATGTAAATGAATGTCTTTTAAAGAATTTTTTATGATTTATTTTAGGAATTTGACCTTTCGGGATTTGAGATTGTGGCATTTTGAGTTGTATCTTTTGGGATTATGAACCCAGTAACAACAAAGATCAAATGGACTGACTCTCTATTCTGTTGCATTGATCTATATGTCTCTCTTTATGTCAATATTATATTAACTTGATTACTATAGCTTTATTTTATTTAAAAACACAGAATTTAATATCTTCTTTAATTCACTAAATAGGATACAAAAAGCATGAACCACAAAAAAATGAGAAATTGGACTTCACCAAAATTTAAAACTTCTATTTTTTCCACACGCACTTTCTGCTTATCTAAAAAACTTGTTTTTTGAACAACACTATTAAGAAAATAAAAGCTGGGTGCAGTGGCATGCCCCTGTAGTAGTCCCAGCTACTTGAGATGCTGAGGTGGAAGGATTGCTTGAGCCCAGGAGTTTGATGATTGTAGTGTACAATGATTGCATGCCTCTGAGTAGTCACTGCACTCTAGCCTGGGCAGCATACATCTCTAAAATAGTAAGTAAGCAAATAAAATAAATTTTTTAAAATGAGAAGATAAGCCACAGACTGGGAGAAAATGTTTATGACACTTGCTAACAAAGGGCTAGTATCCAGAATATATAAAGCACTCTTACTACTTAATAATAAGACAAATAATTCAGAAAAAAAGTGGTGAAAAGATTTGAACAGACACCTAAATAAGGGTGGTGTATAAGTGCATGAAAAAATACTCAACATTATTATTCACTGAGGAAATGAAACTTAAATCCACAGTGAGATACCATAAAACACTCATGAGAATGACTAAAGTTAAAAAGACAGACAATACCAAGTGATGGTGAGAAGGTGAAGGAAATGGATCTCTCATGGATTTCTGGTAAGAATTCAAAATAGTAGCACCGTTTTGGAAAACGGTTTGTTAGTTACCTAAAAAGTTAAATATAAAGTGCCCATACGACCCATCAGTTCCACTCCCAAGAGGAATGAAAATATATGTCTACACTAAGGCCTGTATGTAAATGTTTATAGTTGATTCATCCATAAGAGCCACAAACTGGGAACAACCCAAATGTCCATCACCTGATGAAAGGAAAAACAAATTTTGGCATACCCACATGGTGGCATATTACTCAACAACAAAAGGAACAGACTGTAGATCCCCATGCCAGCATGGATAAATCTCAAGAGCATTTCATTAAATGAAAGAAATCAGACATGAAAGACTACATAGTATATGACTTCACTCGTGTAATATTCTGAAAAAAGTAAAACTGTAAACATAGAAATCAGAGAACAGGAGACAGGAGTTGGGAGTCAGAGGTGGGGATTAAAGACAGGGGAACCCTTTGGGGTGTGAAACATTTCCTATATGTTGATGGTGATGGTGCGTAAATGACTATATACAATTGTCAAAATTCATCAAGGTGTACACTTCAAAAAGATAAAGTTACTGTCCTCCCACTGCTGAATTTGACTGGCTTAAAAAACATAAATGTTACTGTATATAAATTATAACTCAAAAGTGATGAATAAAGGGGAAGAGAGCACAGAAGTTCTGTATTCTCCCAGAACTTTAGCAGGTAACTTGACTGTCCCAGTAATATTCTGAATAATTTTTAGCCATATGAAAAATAATTAGCAGGTACTTTGACTGTCCCAGTAATTATTCTTCATATTATTAAAAATTATTCATGTCTGTCCATAGTGCTTCACTAAGGTCAAGCTGTAACTTTACATGCTGAAAAAAGAAAAACAAGGAGAAAAAAATGAGACGATCTAAGGATGGATACTGGGATTAAAAAATAAAAACAGTTTATTTTATTTTCACAGAAAAAGACTGACCTGTTGAGCAAACTTCTTGATGGTGAAGGGCATGAGGATCCCATCTATTATTGACTAAACATTTATGAAGCAAAATTGTTCTACTTTGTTGTAATGACCACTGTATCTATGTTTTTCAGGTTCTACAGAGAGTACTACTAGATGGAAGTAGCTGTAATAAACCAGAGATTGTAAAGCAGTAAATTCTACAGGATAGCCTTTATTTGTAGCCTTCAACCCTTCTTCAGAGCTCCCTCTTCCTCTCCTTTCAGATAGAAAAATGATTTGGAAAAAAAACTACCCAAGATATTTGAAGTTTAATGGGTTAGTCCTCTGTGGGAATGAGCCTCCAGTGAAAGATGCTTAACACAAAGAAATTTCCTGTTAATAATGGTTTGTCACTTCAGTGGGGAAGGAATGGCCCAAAGCAGCCTCCTTTTTGACTCCTTGAATTGTATCATGTCAGTGATAATTTCCACTGCTGAGGTACTCATTCTAGGCAGCATCTAAAGAAAATTTTGTATTTCTTTCTGGTGAGTATCTTTTTCAATGTTTTAGCTTACAAAAGATGAGTTAAAAGGCAGGGATACACTGGAAGGTGGCTCACCTAGCTGTTATCACTGGCACTATGCTCTGATAGCTTTCCTTGTAGCTCTGGGGTTGGTTAACAGGTTTGGTTAACTCTGATTGTATGCTCACAAATTAATTTAATCCTCCATCCTCAGTCCTGTTTTAGTCTCAAGCTTCATGTTCTTCCCTGGTGAAGTAATCATCTTCCACACCTTCAGCTACCACCAGTATGCTGACAATTACCAAATCCATCTGTCTTGTGTCAAAAACGATATATTTGGCCACCTACTGGGCATCTCCAGTGGAATGGTAGGTAGACCTTTCTGAAACATGTATGCTTCCCATTATATTTCTTATTTGGGGATGGCACAAAGATCTATTCCGTCACCAAGGTCAGAAAATTGAGATTCAACTTTCTCTCCTTTTCTCTTATCACCTATATAAAATCAGGCTCCAAATCCTGAAGAATCTAAGTTCTTCATATTATTTCAAAACATTTGCTCCCATCCTCCTGTTCCCTGCCTTATTTCTGATCCCTCTGATCTCTTACACAGAGTCTACCACCTGTACTGGACGTTTATCTTTTATTTTTTGACCATTCCAGAATCTAGCCTCTTACTTCCTATTTTGGGGATCCTCTAGTTGTTCCTCCAATACCCATTTCCCTTCTTCCTAGTAGTAGGATTTTAATTGCCCACATGGCCACACAGGATCCTGACTTTGTTAGTTTTTCTTGTAGCTAGGTGTGGCTATGTCATGAAGTTCTGGACAATGGCATGTGACTAGAAGAGAGATATGCCACATCCAGGTTGTGCTCTTAAAAGAAAGGAACATGCCATCTTATTTTTCCCCCTTGCTCCTGCTAGCTGGAATGGAAAAGTGATGGTGGGAATCGGAGGAGCCATCTTGGGCTGTGCAACGGAACCCGTGAAGTATTGCAGAGTGAAAAGGCAGAGGCAGGCTGGGCCAGCAATAGCTTCACAAAGAGCTGCCAAACCAACTTGGGCCTTCGTAGGAGGAAGAAATACACTTCGGTTTGCGTCATTGTTAATTTTGGTCTTTGTTACTGTGGCCAGACAGATACCCTAACTAATGCTCATTTTATGAAGTCATAGCAGCTCATTATTCCTTACTCTGCTACCTGGCTACCAAGGCAAGGGCAAATGGCCTAAAGCTGCCAAGCTGGGATCCCACTGGGGTGATTAGGACTAATTCAGGGCAGTGGTGGCAGCGATGACCTATTGCAGCAGAAGCCTGTCAGATTCATGAGACGGCTGCTGTGCGTACTCCAAACTAGCTATGCTCCTGCCCATTTCCTAGTCTGATCTTCCAGCATCTTGATAACTTGGCGCATTTTTGATACATCTCCAATAAATTTCTCTTTTTATTTAAGTGAGCAGAATAGGTTTATATGACTTGTAACAAAAAAGACTCCAAACTGATGTACCAAATTTCGATTTCACTTTCTTCCAATCTATTCTCTATGCTTCTGCTGAAGTGGTGTTTGTAAACTGATTTAATCCTGTATTTTCCCTGCTTAATACTCATCAGTGATTCCCCAGTCATTGCCTCCAGGATAACCTCCTTAGTCAGGCATATGAAGCCTTCCATGATCTGGCCTCCTATGTCTCTCTTGGGACCTGTTGCTACACCTCGTGGTTCAGCCACGCTAAATCACCCAGCTAGCACAATATCTTCACATTGCCTGTATTTCTGCCTGGAATTCCTAACTCCTCCTTCTCATATCTACTTGTCAATTCTTATTCAAGAGACACCTTAGGGTTCCTTACCTCTGTAAAGCTTCCCTAACTGCCCCCACACTGGTCATCCGTAGTAGATAGACAACTCTGTCCTTTGGGCTGTACACTGTATCCTGTCCTTAATCATCTTTCTACCACCTCACCAGGACCTCACCTGCCTTCATGTCCGCCTCCACAATATTGCGCTACATTTCTACTTATAGCACCTGTTTTTTTTTGAATGATTGGTGCTTAGTATAGTAGACCTGTATTAAATAAAAGAAAAACATTTGAAAAGTTTAAAAATAAACCGATAGGTGGCAGCAGAGCCCTGCTGTTAAAAGTAACTTTTGCAGTTCTAAACGTTTTTAACCCTCATGAGCCAGCAGGTGGTGCTGTCTGACACCAAAGCGCCACGTCACAACGGATGCGCAATCACTATTTTATGTGAGTGCAGATTTGTATTAAAACCGGAAAGCATGGACACCCAGACAGCTTACTGTCAATGACTGTACTATTCACTGTCTTCAACAAAAGTCAGCTATTCCAGGAAACTCTCGTCCAGAAAGATAAAAATTGCAAGTAACTGTTTTTTGTTTCAGGAAATTCCCCAGAAAACAACCCTTGAGAAAACCAGACTGTTCAACTTTCCCGCTGATAGCGCTGAACAACCTTTTACTCCTCAGGACTCTTCAAAATCCATGGCATTTACTGATCCTTAATTACCACATCACGATCTTTACCAAATTCTGATCAACCTCATGCCCCCACCTTGAAAGACCCACCTTCAATGTTATAAATATCCCAACTTTGGCACCTGGCTTTGAGACACTACTAAGAATCTAGATAGTGTGAACCCAAAATATCTGAGACAGGTCTCAGTCAACTTAGAAAGTTTTTTTTTTTGCCAAGGTTAAGGACGTGCCTCAGGAGGTCCTGACAGCATGTGTCCAAGGTGGTTGGGGTACAGCTTGCTTTTATAAATTTTAGGAGAATGAGACATCAATCAATATGCGGAAGATTTACATGGTTCGGTCTGGAAGGGTGGGACAATTCGAAGGGTGAGGAGAGAAGAGGAGCTTCCGGGTCATAGGTAGGTTTAAACATATTCTGATTGGGAATTGGTTGAAAGAGTTACGAAAGGAATGTCTGGGTTACCAGGAGGGGTTGTAGAGACCACGGTTTTATCATGAAGATGAAGCCTCCAGGTAGCAGGCTTTAAAGAAAAATAGATTGTAAGTATTTCTTATCAGACTTAAGGTCTGTGTTAATGTTAATGAGGCATGTCCAACCCTCACTTCCCGTCACGGCCTGAGCCAGTCTTTCAGGTTAAATTTTACATGCCCTGGCCAAAGAGTTAGTCCATTCAGATCGTTGCCAGGGGCCTTCAAATTCTATTTTTGGTTTACCGCAGGGGTCTCCTACCCCTGCAATAACTTTACCTAAAGGTATCCTGTTAGGAACCAGGCTGCATAGCGGGAGGTGGGAAGCAGGCAAGTGAGCATTACTGACTGAACTCCGCCTCCTGTCAGATCAGCAGCAGCTTTAGATTCTCATAGCAGTGCGAACCCTATTGTGAACTGTGCATGTGAGGGATCTAGGTTGTGTGCTCCTTATGAGAATCTAATGTCTGATGATCTGAAGTGGAACAGTTTCATCCCCAAACTATCCCCACCTGACCACCCCATCCGGAGAAAAATTGTCCCATGGAAGCTGTCCCTGGTGCCAAAAAAGGTTGGGGACCAGCAGTTCACAGTAGCCATCTCCCTATGGCGGTGAGCAATAAACTCAACTTTGCCTTATGAAAAGGTTCTTTCACTGGTGTTTGAGAGAAGCCGGCATTTGACAATATATGTCAACCTAAACAAACAAAAGTATTTTAGGGCTTTGCTACTCAGAGTGTGGGGTTGGTTTAAAATGCAGGGTCTCAGGCCCCACCTCAGTCCCGTAGAATCAGAATCCGCATTTTCACAAGATGCCCAGGTGACTGTGTGCACATTGCAGGCTGTGGTCTTGGGCATTATTCTTCTAAAGAATGAGTGCAGGCTGGGCGCGGCGGCTCTTGCCTGTAATCCCAGCACTTTGGGAGGCCGAGGTGGGTGAATCACAAGGTCAGGAGTTCGAGACCAGCCTGGTCAACATTTTTAATAGAAACCCCTTTTCTATTAAAAATACAAAAAATTAGCTTGGCGTAGTGGTGAGCGCCTGTAATCCAGCTACTCGGGAGGCTGAGTTACGAGAATCGCTTGAACCTGAGAGGTGGAGGTTGCAGTGAGCCGAGATCACGCCACTGCACTCCAGCCTGGGTGACAGAGCGAGACTCTGTCTAAAAAAAAAAAAAAAAGAATGAGTGCAGATGAAAGTTTAAACTTTAAAGAACAGTGGTTTTGTTCTTTTGTTTTTAGTCGGTTTATCACCAACAGAATAGGAGAAAGATTTGGATTAAAATTTCTGCTTTGTTTAAAAATTCTTCAGTTTTGTGACCTGCCTTAAGAGGATGAGTGGGTTTTTCAGGTATATGGGGAAACATTTATCTGCTGAATTCTTTTAGATCATTAAAAACAAAACAAACACAAACCTGCCGGTTTTTCCTAGGAGGCACCTGTGAGGACGTGGGCTTGTATTTCCTAGATACATTTTAAATCCACAAGCATAGTATATTCAGTAATATCTAGAAAGCTGGTTGATATAAAGGTTTTCTAAATATATATATTTTAAATTTGGATCTGTTATTTATACCACACTTTCTTATGTGTTATATTTGTACCTTTTTTCAGTGGTGAGTCCCATTTGTCTTAATGATTTCTGCTGATATACCAAACAGATGTGATGAAAAGAATAAGTATTTGCCTTCAGAAGGCATGGATTAAAATCCCAGCTCTAGGCTAGGAGTGGTGGCTTATGCCTGTAAGCCCAGTGCTTTGGAAAGCTGAGGTGGGTGAATGGCTTGAGCCCAAGAACATGGTGAAACCTCATCTCTACAAAAAACACAAAAATTAGCTGGGTGTGGTGGTGGGTACCTGTAGTCCCAGCTACACAGAAAGCTGAGCGGGGAGGGTCGCATGAGTTGCAGTGAGCCAAGATCACACCACTGTATTCCAGCCTGGGTGACAGAGCAAGGCCGTGTCTAGCAACAGGCAACAACAACAACAGGGAAAATCCCAGCTCTGCTTCTGTCCGGCTATGTAACGTGGGCCTATCCCCTTAACCTCTCTGAGCCTCAGTTTTCTCATCCTAAGTGGGGAAAATATTATCTATATAAAAGAACTGATTGGGGGATTAAAAGAGAGTCTGTAATAAAACATCTGTAAACCACATTTGTTTTGTAGTCATTTCTCCTAAACCCTCATGCTGCCATAGCACGTATTACCAAGCAGCACAACGGAGGATATTAATGAATGAAATAATGCATCACCTATTAAGTCACTTTAATAGGAATAGAAGGGAGAGGCAAGAGTTTCTAGAGACGATGACTTACCACTCCCAAATACTGTTTCTTATGGCGGTAAATGACAGCTTTGGAGGTATGGTAGGTATGTGGTTTGGGTCTGGGTTATCTTATATCACACCCCACATTAGCTACCTACCTAACTCTGCATCAGACAGGTTACATGTATTTCATCTAAAGTAGTAACTCAGAAAGTGCACTTATCTTCTGTTGAATTTCCTTTCATGTCAGCCTCTCTAAAAAACCACCTGACCCACTGCTTTTTGCTATTGCTGCTTAAAGAGCTTGTTTCCCCCACCATGATTAGCTTTGTGCCTACACTAAGGCACTCCTACAGATTCTTCAACCTCTTCTCATGTGATGCAGAAAGTACAAAGGAGAGCCCTGGCCGAACTGTCCAGTTTAGTAAAACACCCAGAGGAGTAACTATGTTTATTTAGGGTGTTTCAGAGCTTGCTGCTCTGCCTAGTCTATTGTAAGAGCTCTGAAATTATTAGAGCTTTTCCTAAAAATATCCACACTTGGATGTGACTCAGTCATAGAAAAACAACTGACCCAAGAAACAGAGAGTCTGAGTTTTGGTTCTTGGTTTGTTTTGTTCTTATTGTGTTTTCATTTTGTTGCATGAAACATGAAACCTCCGGTCTTGGGATAGATTTGAGTCCTGACTCAGCCAGTGATAAGTTGTTTGACCTTGGGTGAGTTACTAAACTTCTCTGGGGCTAAATTTCTTCATCTAAGAAGTGGATTAGATACAGCAACATATTATAGTTCGAAGCTTCTGGCTGGACGTTGTGGCTCACGACTGTAATCCCAGCATTTTGGGAGGCTGAGGTGGGAGGATCTCTTGAACCCAGAAGTTCAAGACTAGCCTGGGCAACATGGCAAAACCCTGTCTCTACTAAATATACAAAAATTAGTCAGGCATGATGGAGCATGCCTGTAATCCCAGCTACTCAGGAAGCTGAGGTGGGAGGATCGATTGAGCCCAGGAGTTTGAGATTGCAGTGAACCATGATTGAACCACTATACTCCAACCTGGGCAACAGAGCAAGACCCTGTCTCAAAAAAAAAAAAAAGAAAAAAGAAAAAGTTTATGTGGAATATGCCAAACAGGTTCAGCCCCAGGTTTTTTCAAGGATCTATTTTTTAAAACTTCTTTGTAGAGATGGGTGTCTCACTATATTGCCCAGGCTGGTCTGGAACTCCTGGCCTCAAACGATCCTCCTTTCTTGGCCTCCCAAAGCACTGGGATTACAGGTGTAAGGCGCTATGCCTGGCCCCCACAAGGGTCTATCTATTGCCCCAGGAAACAGTTGACTGCTTCTAGACCCATTGGGTTGGTAGCTCTAGAGCAGCCATGAACTGTGCAGGTGATTCGGGAAAGTAGAAGATGGTGCTGAAAGAGACCCAGGGACAATCAGCTGACAACACACCCTTCTCACCTCTGTGTTCCTCTGTGAATGCTCTCATTTTAATAACTAGATTGAGTAGTCTTCTCCTCTTCTCCTCTTCCCAAATGAACATTTGCTCTGTCACAATATTTATCTTTGTAAAATGCAAATATGATCATTTTGGTCTTCTCTTTTAAAAGGTTGATAATTTATTGTTAATAGTTTGTGTGTGGCATGACACTTAATGCCTTCAGAATCTGCCCCAGTTTTACATTTACTCTTTGCCCTTTTCTGTATCTCCAAAGCATACCTTCGGACTGTCCACATAGCACTTGTATATGTCCTCTCAGCCTACCATGCACATCCTCCATGCTGTGACTATTTATATAGGCTACTAATTGTATAGGAAACATACTTCCTTACCTCTAGGTAAACTGTTTCTCATACTTCAAGTTCTAACTCAGTGATCATCTCCTGTAATCTCTTCATTCCCTCTGCAATTGATCACATTGCGTTATAATTTTTTTAAAAATCATCTAAGCCCATTCAAATGATTTATTTTCAACAAACATGTAAGCTCAATAATGAGTAACTAAAGGGAACTTATCCAATAAGATGAAGATGGCATCTCTTCTTCTAAGGTTTAGGTTTCAACCAGAATTCCTGAAACATGGAATAGCCCACAACAAGAGCCACTGCTCCCACAACAAAGCCTTGGGCTGCTACACACATGTGGATCATGAATGGACATTTTAGTATTTCCCTTGCTCTTCAACTCATGTAATCCGTATGCAACAATTGCTGAAAAGCCCACCATTCTAATGGGGACACTTGGTACCTCTTTAGCTTTTCAGATAAGTTCGGATCCTTGATCTTTTTTATATGAAGAAAGAGCAACACCTGTGCTGGCTGAAATAGTGATTGCCTGGAGAATCTTCCAAGAGTGACAAAACTCTTAACCATCCAACTGACTTCTTGTAGGTTGTTTTTATGCCTCGACCCCCAACCAGCAGATGAGCTTCAGGAAAGGCAGGTTCTTGGTTTTATTCTTCTTTATTTCCTCTATAGTGCCTAGCACACTTCCTTGAACATGGTAGTGCTTAATCAATCAGTGCTTGGTGAATAAACACATACTCTCCAAAGCAAAGTAGGAGAATAGGTCCTTTCACCTTCTCTTGACACATCTGGAAGACTCTTCTTTCATAAATTATTTTTGAAGTTTTCCCTCATTGTTTATTTTGTCAATCTAAAAAAAAATAACAGAGAGAGAGAGAGCCTCTACAAATAAGTGAATTTTGGGGGGAATGAGCAGAAGGATTATAATCCAGGGCACGCAGGCTATGTTGAATCATGGGCATATCTAGAGAGGCTGGGCAAGAAGAAGCTGTTACAGGCAAAAAGAAAACTTTTATGTAAGTTGTTCTGAAACAAAATCCATCAGCCATAGAGGCTCACTGCAGGAGCTGGTGATTACACATCAGTAACCCTGACTGTGGCTGGGAAGGTGCCTTCATAGAAGCAACTTAATCCGGATTTTTTTTGTGTGTGTGCTGGCAGAGAGTTCTTGTAATAGTGCTTGTCATAGGCACACATGCATAAAGACCTTCAGAGCACCTTTGTAATAGTTCTGATCTCAAACATACAAGCGTGAGAGCCCCTTCCTCATGACCCTCTGGCTCCGCTTTGCTTTGGGTCTGACGTAAGTGACTCCATCTTAGCATCGGCAGCTTTCACAATTTTAAAGTATTTTATTGGTAGGCAAATTAGGATGAAACCAATAGGGCTAGCAGGCATTAAGGATGGCTTTCTCAAGTGCAAGAGTGGGGAGAGCAGAGTGGGGGTGGTGGAGAAGGGGACAGGATTGTGGTGAATCGAGGAGTAGTGGATGGAGTCACCATGAGCATTCATCTCAGGCCTTCTGTTTGAAAAGGTGCTCCAAGAGAAGGGGACCTTTTAATGTTATCTGAGACTTGATGTTATCTCCAAATGAGATTTATCCATATAATTCCAGGTCTGTGCTAACGGGATTGAAGATGTCCAACACAAGAGTTTAAAATTGCATTCCAGTCCTGGAGGCTCACACTGCTTATAGTATTTTGCAGATTATTATTTTTAAATTGCAATTATCTGATAAACAGCACATACTAGTTGACATCTTTGTATTTTTGGCATAGCTTTTTTTTTCTATGTCATAGGATTTTCAAAAAATGGAAGTAACTGATAGCCTCTCTTAACTTATGAGGTTCCTAGGTAAGATAAGCAATGCAAACTAAAACTACCATGAATTACACTGACACACCCACAAAACTGGTAAAAATTTAACATGGAGGGCATACCAAATATTGGTGAGAATGTAGAGAACTGCAAACTCTCATGTGATTGTTATAAGAATTTAAATTGCATATCTACAACTATCTGATCTTTGACAAACCTGACAAAAACAAGCAATGGGGAAAGGATTCCCTATTTAATAAATGGTGCTGGGAAAACTGGCTAGCCATATGTAGAAAGCTGAAACTGGATCCCTTCTTTACACCTTATACAAAAATTAATTCAAGATGCATTGAAGACTTAAATGTTAGACCTAAAACCATAAAAAAACTAGAAGAAAACCTAGGCATTACCATTCAGGACATAGGCATGGGCAAGGACTTCATGTCTAAAACACCAAAAGCAATGGCAACAAAAGCCAAAATTGACAAATGGGATCTCATTAAACTAAAGAGCTTCTGCACAGCAAAAGAAACTACCATCAGAGTGAACAGGCAACCTACAAAATGGGAGACAATTTTCACAACCTACTCATCTGACAAAGGGCTAATATCCAGAATCTACAATGAACTCAAACAAATTTATAAGAAAGAAACAAACAACCCCATCAAAAAGTGGGCGAAGGACATGAACAGACACTTCTCAAAAGAAGACATTTATGCAGCCAAAAAACACATGAAAAAATGCTCACTATCACTGACCATCAGAGAAATGCAAATCAAAACCACAATGAGCTACCATCTCACACCAGTTAGAATGGTAATCATTAAAAAGTCAGGAAACAACAGGTGCTGGAGAGGATATGGAGAAATAGGAACACTTTTACACTGTTGGTGGGACTGTAAACTAGTTCAACCATTGTGGAAGTCAGTGTGGTGATTCCTCAGGGATCTAGAACTAGAAATACCATTTGACCCAGCCATCCCATTACTGGGTATATACCCAAAAGACTATAAATCATGCTGCTATAAAGACACATGCACACGTATGTTTATTGCGGCACTATTCACAATAGCAAAGACTTGGAACCAACCCAAATGTCCAACAAGGATAGACTGGATTAAAAAAATGTGGCACATATACACCATGGAATACTATGCAGCCATAAAAAATGATGAGTTCATGTCCTTTGTAGGGACATGGTTGAAATTGGAAATCATCATTCTCAGTAAACTATCACAAGAACAAAAGACCAAACACTGCATATTCTCACTCATAGGTGGGAATTGAACAATGAGAACACATGGACACAGGAAGGGGAACATCACACTCTGGGGACTGTTGTGGGGTGGGGGGAGGGGGGAGGGATAGCTTTAGGAGATATACCTAATGCTAACTGACGAGTTAATGGGTGCAGCACACCAGCATGGCACATGTATACATATGTAACTAACCTGCACATTGTGCACATGTACCCTAAAACTTAAAGTATAATAATAATAAAATAAAATTAAAAAAAAGAATTTAAATTGACAAAAATCTTCGAAAAACAAATTTTTATTATATAGCACAATTGAATATATACATACCTATGGCCCAGAAATTTTGCTCTAGGATATACATCTTGGAGAAATGCTGGCATATATTCACTAAGAAAAATGAATAAGAATGTACTTAGCAGCATTGTTTGTAATAGCACTAAAATGGAAATCATTCCAAGCCCATAATACTGGAATAGATGAATAAATTTCAGTAAAATCGTAAAACAATATTTTATAGCAATGAAACTGAAGTCTGAAGTTACAGAAAACAATATGGTTGAATCTCACAAAATGCTGGGTGAAAGAAGTAAGCTTAACAAATACGTGGATATATATATGAAGTTGAGCATTAGCCAATATTAAACTATATTATCTAGGGTTTTATATGTAGAAGGTAAAGCTATTAAGAAAACATTAAAAAGCAAAATAAAACAAAACAAAAGTCATGATAATAGTAATACTTCTAGCAACTTCTGAGGTGGTAATGTTCCATTTCTCGATCTGATGGTCCCTATATGGGTGTTTGCTATATAATTTCTTATCAAAATTGAATATATATGTTTTATGTTTCTGTTATATTGCACAATAAATAAATTTTAAAATTCAACATGTGTTTCGTATATTAAAATTTTAATTTGGGCTGGGTGCAGAGGTTTATGTCTGTAATCCCAGCATTTTGGGAGATTGAGGCAGGTGGATTGCTAGAGTCCAAGAGTTCAAGATCAGCCTGGACAACATGGCAAAATCCCATCTCTACAAAAAATAAGAAAATTAGCCGGGTGTGGTGGTGTGCACCTGGGGTTCCAGATACCTGAGAGGCTGAGGCAGGAGGATCACTTGAGTCAGGGAGGTCAAGGCTGCAGTGAGTTATGATTGCACCACTGCACTGTAGCCTTGGTAACAGAGCGAGATCCTATCTCAAAAAAATTGATTTGTGTTTCTTTTAGCCTAGGTTTAATATTAACCAAATAATACATAAAAGTTATCTTTGTATGTAAGTTAAACATCATTAGAATCTGCTAAGTGAGATATAAAGAGAAAAATAATCAAAGAAAATAGGGTCTGGAGGTCAAGTAGGCAGTTAAATGAAGAAAGTGGAATGTAATGATAAGAATAGGGTGGAGAGTCTGGTCTTAAACATGAAGACTGTTTGCCTAGAAGGCTTTTGTATACTTGCTGGTCCTTGGCTGGTGGCTGGGTCAGGGCAGCTGTAACCCCACGGGCAGGCACACACAAGGAGAAATTGGTGCAGGTTAAAGAGAGTTATCTGGGTAGAAAAGAAGGAATGACAAGGATGTTCTCCTGCTGTGTTTCTCAGGCCTTTCTTTGACTCTAGATCAAAGCATCTCAGTTTTGCTTCAATCTCTCAATCAGAAATAGCAGTAAGAATTCCTTTAGCCTTCTTGCAGCTCTGTCCTAAGTGTCTAGAGGCTGCCTCCGACCATCTCTAGGGTTAAGGTACTCAAATACTCACTACCATGTTAAAGAAAGTTATAGACCCTGCACTTACATATTACAATCACTACTTCCTAATGGTCTTTTGATTCACATTTATTTTTGAAGGATGAGTTTTTCTGTGACAGTCACAAAAGTTCCAGATTTAGACTCTTCAGTTTGGGATCACCACTCCATAATATAATACCAGACATCACCTAAAGGTATGTGCTCCGTGCTATGTTGCAAAGCATGGGGAGGGTGGTTTTTTGAGGCTGCTACACAATGTAGAGAGACTCCATTCTTCTCACTTTAGCCCTTGCCTATTCTTGTCCGGCTGTTACCATTCACTCACTCACTCATCCACTCATTGCACAAATAATTTCAACACCACAATATTTTCAAGATCCTCGTTAGGCACAAGTCTCCTGAATATTTGTGGAGAACTCCTGAAAAACCTCAAAATTTGAGGGATAATGGTATCTTGGTGCAGCCTCAAGGCCCATGCTGGACAATGTTAAACACATTTAGGGGAAAGATAGGTCTTTTTGAGATCCTCCATAAGCTCTTAGGAACTAACTGTGTCAGTGGTGACAAATGCAGGTCCTTTGCCTTAATCTGACATTAACTTTCTTTTCCTGCTTCTTTTTTTACTTTGGATGGGAGAAAGAAAGTCAAAGTGCCCACATTCCATGCCAGGGCTCTGGCCTCACAGTCCTGGCTGTAGCCTCTGACCTACCATAGCACCTGCCTGGCTGGCGGGCACTGATTTTGCATCACAGCTTGACCCTGCCTGAGGCCACCATACCATGCTCTTCAGCAGAGCCTTGTGGTCTCTGATGTTAGATAGTAAAATAACAATGATGATGACAAGAGGGCTTTTTGGGATCCCTAGGTCTGTGCTTTGGTTCTGTGCTACTGTCTTATTCAAGTCATCCAGGGTGGAGTCCATTTTTTCCTTCTGGCAATTTCTGCATCATTCTGTACCCAAAGAACTGCCTGACTTTGAACTTTTCTAAAAGCAAGGAGGCTTCTAGGAAGAGATGTGGCATGGATATAAAAATTTGTGATTGCAAAAATAAACTCATATGGTCAAATGATTTTCAACAGGGTGCCAAGACTACACAATGGGTGTCTTATTCTATTTTGTATTCCTATAAAGGAATACCTGAGGCTGGGTAATTTATAAAGAAAAGAGGTTTATTTGGCTCATGGTTCTGCAGGCTGTATAAGAAGCATGGTGCAGGATTCTGCTTCTGGTGAGGACCTCAGGAAACTTCCACTCAGAAGGTTAAGGGGAGCCAGCATGTCATATGGCAACAGAGAGAGCAAAAGAGAGAGGAAAGAGGTGCAAAGCTCTTTTTAACAATCATATCTCATGGGAACTAATAGAGGGACAACTCACTCGTTACTGTGAGGAGGACACCAAGTCACTCATGAGGGATTCGCCCCCATGACCAAAACACCTCCCACTAGACCCACTGCTACCATTGGGGATCAAAGGTTAACATGATATTTGGAGGGGACACACATCCAAATTATGTTATTCTGCTCCTGGTCTCCCAAATCTTGTGTCCTTCTCACATTGCAAAATGCAATCATCCCTTCCCAATAATCCCCAAAAGTCTTAACTTGTTCCAGCATTAACTCAAAAGTCCAAAGTCTCATCTGAGGCTTAAGGGAAGTTTCTCACAACTGTGAGTCTCTAAAATTAAAAACAAGTTATTTATTTCCAAGATATAATGGGGGTACAGGCATTGGGTAAACATTCCCATTCCGAAAAGGAAAAATTGGCCAAAGGAAAGGGGCAAGAGGCCTCACGCAATTCTGAAACCCAGCAGGACAGACATTAAATCTTAAAGGTACAGAATGCTCTCACTTGACTCCATGTCTCACATCCTGGGCACAATGGTAGAAGGGGTGGGCTCCCAAGGCCTTGGGCATCACTGTCCCCATGGCTTTGTTGAGCATAGCCCCTGTGGCTGCTCCCAGGGGTTGGGATGTGGTGCCCATGGTTTTTCTAGACTGAAGGTGCATGCTGTTGGTGGTGCTACCATTCTGGGATATGAATGGCAGTGGCCCTGCTCCCAGGGCTCCACCAATCAGTGCCCCAGTAAGGATGCTTTGCTGGGGCTCCAACCCCACATTTCCCCCTAGGCACTTCCCTAATAAAGGCTTTTTGCAGATAGGCTTCTGCCTGGGCACTCAGGCTTTCCAATACATCCTTTGAAATCTAGGTGGAAGCTGCCAAGCCTCCATGGCTTTTGCCTCTGTGTGCCTGCAGACTTACCACCATGTTGAAGCTGCCAAGGCTTATGGCTTGTGCCCTCTGGAGCAGCAGCCCAAGCAGTCCCTGGGACTCTTTGAGCTGGGGATGGAGGCAGAGCAGCAGGAAAGCAGCATCCAACAGGGCAGTGGCACCCTAGGCAGTTCCCCTGAAGCCATTCTGTCTTAGGACATTGGGCCTGTGATGGAGGGGTGGCCTTGAAGATTTCTGAAATGTCAGGGTCTTTTTCTCATTGTCTTGACCATCAGCATCTGGCTCCCTTTTATTATTGCCAATCTCTCTAGCAAGTGGTGACTCCAAGCCTCCTTGGATTCCTCTCTTTGAAAATGGTCTTTCCTTCTCTACCACACCTCTGCCACACCTTGTCTACCACACAGTGGGCTGTGAATTTGCCAAATTTTTATGTTCTGATTTCCTATTCATTATCAGTTCCAACTTTAGGTAATTTTTTTGCTCCCAAAACCGACCCTAGGTTGTTAGAAGCAGACATGACTCTTCTCGAATGTTTTGCTGCTTAGAAATTTCTTCTGCCAGATACCCTAAGTCATCAATCTAAAATTCAGCCTACCGCAAAGTCCTAGGACATGGACACAGTGCAGCCAATTTCTTTGCTAGGGCATAACAAGGGTGACATTTACTTTAGTTCCCTATAAGTTTCTCATTTTCATCTGAGACTTCATCAATATAGCCTTCATTGTCCCTAGTTCTATCAGCATTTTGATCACAACCATTTAACCAGTCTCTGAGAAGTTCCAAGCTTTCTCTCTTCTTCCTGTCTTCTTCAGAGTCCTCCAAACTCTTCCAACTTCTGCCCATTACCCTGTTTTCAAAACTGCTTCCACATTTTCAAGTTTCTTTATAGTAACACCCCATTTCTTGGTACCAATTTTCTGTTGTAGTTCATTTTGCACTGCTATAAATAAATATGTGAGGCTGGGTGATTTTTAAAAGAAAAAGGTTAATTTGGCTCACAATTCGACAGCCTGTACCAGAGGCATGGCACCAGCATCTACTTTCTACTTCTTGTAAGGGCCTCAGGAAGCTTACAATCATGGCAGAAGGTAAAAGGGCTGCAGGCATCATATGGCAAGACAGAGAGCAAGCAAGAGAAAGGAGGGAGATGCCAGGCTCATTTTAAAAATCAGATCTTGTGAAAACAAATAGAGAACTCACTCATTACCCTGGAGACTACTGTATTAGTCTGTTCTCATGCTGCTGATAAAGACATATCCATGACTGGGCAATTTACAAAATAAAGAGGTTTAATGGACACACAGTTCCACGTGGCTTGGGAGGGCTCACAATCATGGTGGAAGGTGAAAGGCACATCTCACATGGCTGCAGACAAGAGAAGAGAACCTGTGCAGGGAAATTCTCCTTTATAAAACGATCAGATTTCGTGAGACTTATTCACCATGATGAGAATAGCATGGGAAAGACCCGCCCACATGGTTCAGTTATCTCCTACCGGGCCCCTCCCACAACATGTGGGAATTATAGGAGCTACAATTCAAGATGAGATTTGGGTGGGGACACAGTCAAACCGTATCAACTACGCCAAGCCATTCATGAGAGATCCACCTACATGACCAAACACTTCCAACAATGGGGATCAAATTTCAACATGAGATCTGGAGAGGACAAATGTCCAAATTATACCAATGGAGGAAAGGACAATTCCTTCAACAAATGGTGTTGGGAAAAGTGGATACTCAAATGCAAAATTATGAAGTTAGACACTTACCTTACACCATATACAAAAACCAACAAAATGGATTAAATATCTAAACACAAGACCTAAAGCTATTACACTCCTAGAAAAAAGGAGAGGAAAAAATGTTTATGACAATGGATTTGGTAATGATTTACTGGATATGACTCCAAAAGCACAGGCAACAAAAGCAAAAGTAGGCAAATAGTATGACAGGAAAGTTTAAGGTTAACTTCTGCTTGTTAACATAATTAACAGAATGAAAAGGCAATCTATGGATGGGAGAAAATATTTGAAAATGACATATTTGATAATGCATTTTAAATATATATAAATATGTATTTAACATGTATATATACACATATACAAAAATTATAATTAAAAATGTATTTATGGAACTTCTACAACTCAACAACAAAATGACCTGATTCAAAAGTGGGCAAATAACTTGAATAGAGAATTCTCCAAAGAAGATATACAAATGGTCAACCAGCATATGGAAAGGTGCTTAATATTACTAATCATAAGATAAATGCATGTCAAAACTACAATGAGATTTTACTTCATGTCCCTTAGGATGGCTACTATCAAGAGAAGAGAAAACAACAAATGTTGGTGAGGATGTGGAGAAACTGGAACCCTTGTGCCCTGTTGGTAGGACTGTAAAATGGCGTGGCCATTATGGAAAATGGTATGGAGGTTCCTCAAAAAATTGAAAATAGGATTATCAGATGATCTGGCAATCCCACTTCTGGGTATATAGCCACAAGAATTCAAAGCAGGGTTTTGAAGAGATATTTGCATGCCATGTTTATTGCAGCCTTATTCACAATAGCCAAGAGGTGGAAACAACTCAGATGAGTGGACATATAAGTCAGAGATATATGCAATAGAATATTACCCAGCCTTAAAAAAAGGAGGGGCCAGGTGCTGTGGCTCACCTGTAATCCCAGCACTTTGGGAGGCTAACGTGGGTGGATCACTTGAGGTCAGGAGTTTGAGACCAGCCTGGCCAACATATAGTGAAACCCCGTCTCTACTAGAAGATATAAAAATTAGCTGGATGTGGTGGCGCATGCCTGTAGTTCCAGCTACTTGGGAGTCTGAGGCAGGAGAATCGCTTGAAACTGGGAGGAGGAGTTTGCAATGAGCCAAAATTGCACCACTGCATTCCAGCCTGGGCAACAGAGTAAGACTCTGTCTCTCAAAAAATAAAAACAAATTTGTAATACCACAATTATCTGGATAATTTATAAACAAATTTGTAATACCACAATTATCTGGATCATTTTCCTTCTTCACAAATCAATGTAGAAATTTTTACTTTTTACTTTTCAAGTTTTGAAGTATGGGTTTTTCTCATTTAAACCAGTGGTTCTCAATCTGGGCAATTTTGTCCCATAGCAGACATTTGCCAGTGGAGATATTTTTGGTAGTCACAACTTGGGAAAAGGGGGTGCTACTGGCATCTAGTTGGTAGAGGCCAAGAATGCTATATCCTATAGTCACCAGAGCCCCCCACGACCAAGAATAATCTAGCTCTTGGCTCTATGAGCCCATCTCAATAGTGCCAAGGTTGAGATAAGCCCTGATTTTAAAAAAATCAGTTAATAACCGAAAACAAAATTATTAAATGTATACTATTAAATGTTACACTTGTTAATATGTGAGTTTTCATGCAATTATATTTAGAAATAAAAATAACATTATGAGTAGTAACATTTCTGGGGTTTCTGCTTTGGTAATTAAAGCAGGGTAAATCTCAGTTTAATTATAGGACAGCCAGAGTCTCAGTTTCTATGCTGTTCAAATTCACCGAAGAGGAAGAGATGAACTATTAGGGTTAGAAGACTAGCCGGTTGCAATCAAATATTTTTAGGAGTAACTGAGTTGTTCTTTTAGCAGTTGCTTTATGTAAGAAATTTAGTTTATGTATGTAACATCCAAGGTCCTAGCAAATGTGAATGAATAATCAGTTATCCAATTTTCCATCTGTCATCTTATTGTCATCAATAAGAATAACATTTGATGAAATTATGTCTTAGGCACTTCCTAAATTATCCCAAAATGTCAGAAACATTTTATTAGAGTTTGTTCCTTTTAACAAAAATACTACTAACATGCAGTTTATTAGCAAGCGGATCTTTTTTTTTTTTTAACTTTTATTTTAGGTTCAGGGCTGCATGTGCAGGTTTGTTACGTAGGTAAACTCGTGTCACGGGGGTTTGTTGTACAGATTATTTCATCACCCAGGTATTAAGTCCAGTATCCAATAGTGATCTTTTCTGCTCCTCTCCCTCCTCCCACCGTCCACCCTCAAGTAGACGCCAGTGTTTGTTGTTTCCTTCTTTGTGTTCATAAATTCTCGTCATGTAGCTCCCACTTATAAGTGAGAACATGCGGTATTTGGTTTTCTGTTAATGCATTAATTTGCTAAGAATAATAGCCTCCAGCTCCATCCATGTTCCTGCAAAATACATGATCTCATTCTTTTTTATGGCTGAATAGTATTCCATTGTGTGAATATACCACATTTTCTTTATCCAATCTGTCATTGATGGGTATTTAGTTTGATTCCAAGTCTTTGTTATTGTGAATAGTGCTGCAGTGAAGATTCGTGTGCATGTGTCTTTATAGTAGAATGATTTATATTCCTCTGGGTATATACCCAGTAATGGGATTGCTGGGTCAAATGGTAGATCGAGCTAATGGTAGCTTTTAGCTCTTTGAGGAATTGCCATACTGCTTTCCACAATGATTGAAATATTTTTTACTCCCACCAATAGTGTATAACTGTTCCGTTTCTCCAAAACCTGGCCAGCATCTGTTATTTTTTGACTTTTTAATAATGGCCATTCTGACTGGTGTGGGATGTTATCTCATTTTAGTTTTGATTTGTATTTCTCTAATCATCAGTGATGTTGAGCTTTTTTTCATATGATTGTTGGCCACATGTCTGTCTTCTTTTGAAAAGTGTTGCCAGGCGTGGTGGCTGATGCCTGTAATCCCAGCACTTTGGGAGGCTGGGGCGGGTGGATCACCTGAGGTCAGGAGCTCAAGACCAGCCTGACCAATATGGTGAAACCCTATCTCTACTAAAATTACAAAAGTTAGCCGGGTGTGGTGGCGTGCATCTGTAGTCCCAGTTACCTAGGAGGCTGAGGCAGGAGAATCACTTGAACCCGGGAGGTGGAGGTTGCAGTGAGCCAAGATTATGCCACTGCACTCTAGCCTGGGTGACAAAACGAGACGTCATCTCAAAAAAAAAAAAAAAAAAAAAGAAAAAAGAAAAGTGTCTGTTCATGTCCTTTGCCCACTTTTTAATGGTTTTTTTTTCCCTTGTAAATTTAAGTTCTTTATAGATGCTGAATATTACATTTTTTTTCAGATGCCTAGTTTGCAAAAATTTTCTTCCATTCTGTAGGTTGTTGTCTGTTTGTTGACAGTTTCTTTCACTGTGCAGAAGCTCTTTAGTTTAATTGGATGACACTTGCCAATTTTTACTTTTGTTGTAATTGCTTTTGCTGTTTTCGTCATGAAATCTTTGCCCATTCCTATGTCTAGGATGGTATTTTCTAGGTTGCCTTCCAGGGCTTTTACAGTTTTGAATTTTACATTTAAAGTCTTTAATCCATCTTGAGTTGATTTTTGTATATGGGGTTAGGAAGGGGTCCAGCTTCAATTTTCTGCATATGGCTAGCCAGTTATCCCAGCACCATTTATTGAATAGGGAGTCTTTTCCCCATTGCTTATTTTTGTCAGCACTGTTGAAGATCAGATGGTCATAGGTGCATGGCCTTATTTCTGGGATCTCTATTCTGTTTCATTGGTCTATGTGCCTGTTTTTGTACCAGTACTATGCCGTTTTTGTTACTGTAGCCCTGTAGTACAGTTTGAGTAGGGTAACATGGTGCATCCAGCTTTGTTCTTTTTGGTAAACAGATCTTTATAGTAGGCTAAATGGTGACCCTCAAAAAGATATGCCCATCCCCTAATCTCTAGAACCTGTAAATATGACCTTATTTGGAAAAAGGGTTTTTTTTTTTTTTTTTTTTGAGACATGGCCTCACTCTGTCACTCAGGCTGGAATGCAATAGTGTGATTATAGCTCACTGCAGCCTTGAACTCCTGGGCTCAAGTGATCCTCCTGCTTTAGCCTCCCAAATTGCTGGGATTACAGATGTAAACTATCATGCCCAGCCTGGAGGAAGGATTTTTGTAGATGTAGTTAAATTAAGGATCTTGAAATAAAATTATCCTAGATTATCTGAGTGGGCCCTAAATCCAGTGACAACGGTCCTTATAAGAGACACACAGGGAAGAGGAGAAGGCCGTGTGATGGCTTAGGCAGAAAGAGTAGTAGGCAAAAGCCAAGGAATGCATGGAGCCCCCAGGAGCTGGGAGAGGCAAGGAAGGATTCTCCCCTAGTAACTTCAGAGGGAGGGCACCCCTAACGATACCTTCATTTTGTATTTTGAGCCTCCAGATCTACAAGAGAATAAATTTCCATTGTTGTAAGCCAGTTAATTTGTAGTGGCTATCAATAGTAGTAAAGAAAAAAGAGAATGAAAGGGGAAAATAATCCAAAACTCCTTAAGAAGAGCTCCTGTCCTTCTGATATTAACACAAAAAGCAAACTAACCAGAACAGTATATCCTACTGGAAATCACTCAACCAGGAGTGAGAGAAATCTTATTGATTGGTAACTTATGTGATTGTTATTTTTGCAGGTTAGTGCTATTGAAGTATGCTAAATATACGACAGTGCTGCAAAAGACAGGCTAGGTGGTAGAGGAAGGAGCTATTTCACTGTTGCTATTCTTTTTTTGCCAGAATGAAGATGGTGGCCAGACAGTGGTTGAATGATATATTGTAATTAAACTATTTCTTTCAGTCGGAATCAGGAAAGACTTTAGAGAAGGAGCAATCTTTAAGCTGGATCTTGAAGCATGAATAAACATTCCCCAGGCAGAGAATAGAATGGAGTCAGGGCAGAAAACACAGCATGTGCAAAGGCACAGTGGTGGAAATATGTGTCATATACTAGGGAAAAATATATGGTTTTATGTCATTGCTCTTTCTAGAGCACAGGTACTGTCAGGCCTCTGAGCTGAAGCCAAGCCATCGCATCCCCTGTGACTTGCACGTATACACCCAGATGGCCTGAAGTAACTGAAGAATCACAAAAGAAGTGAATATGCCCTGCCCCACCTTAACTGATGACATTCCACTGCAAAAGAAATATAAATGGCCGGTCCTTGCCTTAAGTGATGACATTACCTTGTGAAAGTCCTTTTCCTGGCTCATCCTGGCTCAAAAACACCCCCACTGAGCACCTTGCGACTCCCACTCCTGCCCGCCAGATAACAAACCCCCTTTGACTGTAATTTTCCTTTACCTACCCAAATCCTATAAAACAGCCCCACCCTTATCTCCCTTCGCTGACTCTCTTTTCCGACTCAGCCTGCCTGCACCCAGGTGAAATAAACAGCCATGTTGCTCACACAAAGCCTCTTTGGTGGTCTCTTCACATGGACGCGCATGAAATTTGGTGCCGTGACTCGGATCAGGGGACCTCCCTTGGGAGATCAATCCCCTGTCCTCCTGTTCTTTGCTCCATGAGAAAGATCCACCTACGACCTCAGGTCCTCAGACTGACCAGCCCAAGAAACATCTCACCAATTTCAAATCCAGTAAGCGGCGTCTTTTTACTCTCTTCTCCAACCTCCCTCACTATCCCTCAACCTCTTTCTCCTTTCAATCTTGGCACCACACTTCAATCTCTCCCTTCTCTTAATTTCAATTCCTTTCATTTTCTGGTAGAGACAAAGGAGACATGTTTTATCCATGGACCCAAAACTCCGGCGCTGGTCACGGACTGGGAAGGCAGCCTTCCCTTGGTGTTTAATCATTGCAGGGACGTCTCTCTGATTATACACCCACGTTTCAAAGGTGTCAGACCATGCAGGGACCCCTGCCTTGGTCCTTCACCCTTACTGGCAAGTCCCACTTTTCTGGGGAAGGGGCAAGTACCCCAACCCCTTCTCTCCTTCTCTCTACCCCTTCTCTGCTTTTCTGGGGGAGGGGCAAGTACCCCTCAACCCCTTCTCCTTCACCCTTAGCGGCAAATCCCACTTTTCTATGGGGCAAGAACACCCAATCCCTTATTTCCATGCCCCAACCTCTTATCTCTGCACCCCAATCCCTTATTTCTGTGTCCCAACCTCATATCTCTGTGCCCTAATTCCTTATTTCTGCACCCCAACCTCTTCTATCTCTGTGCCCCAATCCCTTATTTCCATGCCCTGACCTCTTATTTCGGTGCCCCATCTCTTATTTCCATGCCCCAACCTCTTATCTCTGCACCCCAATGCCTTTTCCCACTTTTCTGGAAGGGAAGAACCCCCGAACCCCTTCCCTCCATTTCTCTACTCTCTCTTTTCTCTAGGCTTGCTTCCTTCACTATGGGCAACCTTCCACCCTCCATTCCTCCTTCTACTCCCTTGGCCTGTGTTCTCAAAAACTTAAAACCTCTTCTACTCACACCTGACCTAAAATCTAAATGCCTTATTTTCTTCTGCAATGCCGCTTGACCCCAATACAAACTTGACAGTAGTTCCAAATAGCCAGAAAATGGCACTTTGAATTTTTCCGTCCTGCAAGATCTAAATCATTCTTGTCATAAAATAGGCAAATGATCTGAGGTGCCTGATGTCCAGGCATTCTTTTACACATCAGTCCCTTCCTAGTCTCTGTGCCCAGTGCAACTCATCCCAAATCTTCCTTCTTTCCCTCCCGCCTGTCCCCTCAGTCCCAACCCCAAGCGTCACTGAGTCTTTCTAATCTTCCTGTTGTACAGACCCATCTGACCTCTCCCTTCCTCCCCAGGCTGCTCCTCGCCAGGCTGAGCTAGGTCCCAATTCTTGCTCAGCCTCTGCTCCTCCACCCTATAATCTTTTTATCACCTCCCCTCCTCACACCTGGTCTGGCTTACAGTTTTGTTCCGTGACTAGCCTTCCCCCTCCCGCCCAGCAATTTACTCTTAAAAAGGTGGCTGGAGCTAAAGGCATAGTCAAGGTTAATGTGCCTTTTTCTTTATCCCAAATCAGATAGCGTTTAGGCTCTTTTTCATCAAATATAAAAATCCAGCCCAGTTTATGACTTGTTTGGCAGCAATCCTGAGACACTTTACAGCCCTAGACCCTAAAAGGTCAAAAGGCCATCTTATTCTCAAAATACATTTTATTACCCAATCTGCTCCTGACATTAAATAAAACTCCAAAAATTAAATTCCAGCCCTCAAACCCCACAACAGGATTTAATTAACCTCGCCTTCAAGGTGTAAAATAATAGAAAAAAGTTGCAATTCCTTGCCTCCACTGTGAGACAAACCCCAGCCACATCTCCAGCACATAAGAACTTCCAAATGCCTGAACCGCAGTGGCCAGGCATTCCTCCAGAACCTCCTCCCACAGGAGCTTGCTACATGTGCCAGAAATCTGATCACTGGGCCAAGGAATGCCCTCAGCCCGGGATTCCTCCTAAGCCGCGTCCCATCTGTGTGGGACCCCACTGAAAATCGGACTGTTCAACTCACCTGGCAGCCACTCCCAGAGCCCCTGGAACTCTGGCCGAAGGCTCTCTGACTGACTCCTTCTCAGCTTAGCGGCTGAAGACTGACACTGCGCGATCGCCTCGGAAGCCCCCTAGACCATCACGGATGCCGAGCCTTAGGTAACTCTCACAGTGGAAGGTAAGCCCGTCCCCTTCTTAATCAATACGGAGGCTACCCACTCCACATTACCTTCTTTTCAAGGGCCTGTTTCCCTTGCCTCCATAACTGTTGTGGGTATTGATGGCCAGGCTTCTAAACCTCTTAAAACTTCCCAACTCTAGTGCCAACTTAGACAATACTCTTTTAAGCACTCCTTTTTAGTTATCCCCACCTGCCCAGTTCCCTTATTAGGCTGAGACACTTTAAATTATCTGCTTCCCTGACTATTCCTGGACTACAGCTATATCTCATTGCCGCCCTTCTTCCCAATCCAAAGCCTCCTTTGCATCCTCCTCTTGTATCACCCCACCTTAACCCACAAGTATAAGATACCTCTACTCCCTCCTTGGTGACTGATCATGTACCCCTTACCATCTCATTAAAACCTAATCACCCTTACCCCACTCAATGCCAATATCTCATCCTGCAGCATGCTTTAAAAACATTAAAGCCTGTTATCACTCGCCTGCTAGAGCATGGCCTTTTAAAGCCTATAAACTCTCCTTACAATTCTGCCATCTTACCTATCCTAAAACCAGACAAGCCTTAGAAGTTAGTTCAGGATCTGCACCTTATCAACCAAATTGTTTTGCCTATCCACCCCGTGGTGCCAAACCCATATACTCTCCTATCCTCAATACCTCCCTCTACAACCCATTATTCTGTTCTGGATCTCAAACATGCTTTCTTTACTATTCCTTTGCACCCTTAATCCCAGCCTCTCTTCACTTTCACTTGGACTGACCCTGACACCCATCAAGCTCAGCAAATTACTTAGGCTGTACTGCCACAAAGCTTCACAGACAGCCCCCATTACTTCAATCAAGCCCAAATTTCTTCCTCATCTGTTACCTATCTCAGCATAATTCTCATAAAAACACACGTGCTCTCCCTGCCAATCGTGTCCGACTGATCTCTCAAACCCAAGCACCTTCTACAAAACAACAACTCCTTTCCTTCCTAGGCATGGTTAGCGCGGTCAGAATTCTTACATAAGAGCCAGGACCACACCCTGTAGCCTTTCTGTCCAAACAACTTGACCTTACTGTTTTAGCCTAGCCCTCATGTCTGCGTGCAGCGGCTGCCACTGCTTTAATACTTTTAGAGGCCCTCAAAATCACAAACTATGCTCAACTCACTCTCTACAGTTCTCATAACTTCCAAAATCTATTTTCTTCCTCATACCTGACGCATATACTTTCTGCTCCCCGGCTCCTTCAGCTGTACTCTCTGTTGAGTCTCCCACAATTACCGTTGTTCCTGGCCCAGACTTCAATCCAGCCTCCCACATTATTCCTGATACCACACCTGACCCCCATGACTGTATCTCTCTGATCCACCTGACATTCACTCCATTTCCCCAAATTTCCTTCTTTCCTGTTCCTCACCCTGATCACGCTTGACTTATTGATGGCAGTTCCACCAGGCCTAATCGCCACACACCAGCGAAGGCAGGTTATACTATAGTACAAGCCACTAGCCCACCTCTTAGAACCTCTTATTTCCTTTCCATCATGGAAATCTATCCTCAAGGAAATAACTTCTCAGTGTTCCATCTGCTATTCTACTACTCCTCAGGGATTATTCAGGCTCCCTCCCTTCCGTACACATCGAGCTTGAGGATTTGCCCCCACCCAGGACTGGCAAATTAGCTTTACTCAACATGCCCCGAGTCAGATAACTAAAATACCTCTTAGTCTAGGTAGATACTTTCACTGGATAGGTAGAGGCCTTTCCTACAGGGTCTGAGAAGGCCACCACAGTCATTTCTTCCGTTCTGTCAGACATAATTTCTCAGTTTAGTCTTCCCACCTCAATACAGTCTGATAACAGACGAGCCTTTATTAGTCAAATGAGCCAAGCAGTTTTTCAGGCTCTTAGTATTCAGTGAAACCTTTATATCCCTTATGGTCCTCTGTCTTCAAGAAAAGTAGAATGGACTAAAGGTCTTTTAAAAACACACCTCACCAAGCTCAGCCACCAACTTAAAAAGGACTGAACAATACTTTTACCACTTTCCCTTCTCAGAATTCAGGCCTGTCCTCGGAATGCTACAGGGTACAGCCCATTTAAGGTCCTGTATAGATGCTCCTTTTTATTAGGCCCCAGTCTCATTCCAGACACCAGACCAACTTAGACTGTTCCCCAAAAAACTTGTCATCCCTACTATCTTCTGTCTAGTCATACTCCTATTCACCGTTCTCAACTACTCATACATGCCCTGCTCTTGTTTACACTGCCGGTTCACACTGTTTTTCCAAGCCATCACAGCTGATATCTCCTGGTGCTATCCCCAAAATGCCACTCTTAACTCTTGAAGTAAATAAATAATCTTTGCTGGCAGGACTATGCTGAATCTCCTTAGGCACTCTCTAATCAGATATCCTGAGTCATCCCAATTCTTAGACCTTTTATACCTGTTTTTCTCCTTCTGTTATTCCATTTAGTTTCTCAGTTCATCCAAAACCATATCCAGGCCATCACCAATCATTCTATACAAAAAATGTTTCTTCTAACATCCCCACAATATCACCCCTTACCATGAGACCTCCCTTCAGCTTAATCTCTCCCACTCTAGGTTCCCACGCCGCCCCTAATCCTGCTTGAAGCAGCCCTGAGAAACATCGCCCATTCTCTCTCCATAGCACCCAAAAATTTTCGCCACCCCAACACTTCAACACTATTTTGTTTTATTTTTCTTATTAATATAAGAAGGCAGGAATGTCAGGCCTCTGAGCCCAAGCCAAGCCATCGCATCCCCTGTGACTTGCACGTATATGCCCAGATGGCCTGAAGTAACTGAAGAATCACAAAAGAAGTGAATATGCCCTGCCCCACCTTAACTGATGACATTCCACTGCAAAAGAAGTGTAAATGGCCGGTCCTTGCCTTAAGTGATGACATTACCTTGTGAAAGTCCTTTTCCTGGCTCATCCTGGCTCAAAAAGCACCCCCACTGAGCACCTTGCGACCCCCACTCCTACCCGCCAGAGAACAAACCCCCTTTGACTGTAATTTTCCTTTACCTACCCAAATCCTATAAAACAGCCCCACCCCTATCTCCCTTCACTGACTCTCCTTTAGGACTCAGCTCGCCTGCACCCAGGTGAAATAAACAGCCATGTTGCTCACACAAAGCCTGTTTGGTGGTCTCTTCACACAGACGGGCATGAAAGGTAGTACTAGTAAAAAATAAATTTGGGCGAGGCACAGTGGCTCATGCTTATAATCCCAGCACTTTAGGAGGCCAAGACAGGAGGATCACTTGAAGCCAGGAGTTTGAGATCAGCCTGGGCAACATAGCGAGACCCTGTCTCTAGAAAAATATTTGAAAAATTAGCTGGGCATGGTGGTGCGTGCCTGCAGTCCTAGCTACTCAGGAGGCTGAGGCAGGAGGACTGCTTAAAGCCAGGTGTTGGAGGCCAGCCTGGGCAACAAATAGATACTCTTCCTCTACTTAAATTAAAAAAAATAAAAAGAAAAAACATTTGGAAAACTGGGTAGGGACTGGATTGAGACAGCACTTCATGATTTGCCTTGGCATTTGCCCTTTTTCCTGTGGACAATGGAAAGCCATTAAAAAGGCAGTGCCATGGTTAGATCTACCAAACATGGTAGCATCCCTTCCAAGCTGGAATGTTGAATGAGGTGAGGAACACGCTGGGGCCAGTATAGGTCTCAGAGTGAGCTAGGTCGGAGGCATGGCCTTTTCCCTGCTGGGAGACTCCTGCTACCTGTGCTTGAAGACACTAAGGCATGCTGGCTGTGGTCAGAAGGGGAGTAATTAGCTGGCTGATGATGCATAATGGGGCGTGGTGTTTCCCTCCTAATGAGGAACGTTAGACACCCATATGTGGAAAAGAGTTTTGAACTAGTGTAAAGTTTAGATGTGATACACACACATGTAGTATGTACGTCTGTAATACTTTTTAGAATGTCAATTTATTTTCCTCCCATGCTGAAAAATTTTGGAAGATTCCCCTTAGTATAACAATTGTTGGGAAACTTTAGTATACTTAAGAATCACCTGCCAGCCTGGGCAACATAGAGAAACCCCACCTATACAAAAAAATACAAAAAATAGCCAGGTGTGGTGGTGTGCACTTGTAGTCCCAGTTACTCAGGAGGCCGAGGTGGGAAGATTGCTTGAGTCCAGGAAGTCGAGGCTGCAGTGAGCTGAGATCGTGGCACTGCACTCCAGCCTGGGCAATGGAGTGAGCCCTTGTCTCAAAAAAAGAAAGAATGACTTGGTGAAGTTGTCCAAAATATAGATGTTCAGGCCCTCCTCTCTGAAGTAGTGTCCAGAAACTCATATTTTTAGCAAGTCACTCTGTTGATCTGAAGCAAGGGATATTTGCCCACTGAGTTACAGGATAAAGCCCAAGCTCCTTAATGAAGTGTTCAGGGTCCTTTATCTCTCTCCAGTCCTGAAATGTGTGCTGTTGCTTCACCAAATTCACCACTTTGTTTTAAACCTACCTGGCTCTATTGTGTTTCAGATGTTTCTCCCCACCCCTCTTCTACATTCACCCCACCCCTTATTGGGAACTCCCCTCTCTGTGAAGTGGGTTTCAGGCCCTTCCTTCACCCTACTCTATAGATAGGCAATTGCTACACTATGTCTCCACGCATTCTAGCTCATTTTTTGTGTGCCATTATTTTGTTGTATGCCTGTCTCTCTCATTAGTCTTTGAAATCTGGGGTGGAAGAAATCATGAGGTTTTAATCTTTTTATGCATATTGTTTAGCAAACTGCCTGGCATCTTGTATATGCTCAGTAAATGATTAATGGATGAGGAATGTGGGGCTGTACCTGGAGTCAGATAGAAGTGATTAAAGAAAAATACATCTCATTTTAGTGTTGTGGAAAGAAGAGCCAGAACAGACCTTTTGTCTTCTCTTCAAGTGAAAGCAATCACATAAAGAATCCCAGTCTTGTGGTCTGAAGGAAGCATAAGGATTTCTTACCCATTCAGTGAAATCCTTCCAGAGGAATTAGCAAAGGGATAAAGCATTGGCAGACTTCTATTTACTTGTCTTTTCTTAGTAGTTAACATTAATAGTCTAGTGAAACAGGGTTTTGGGTTCAAAATATCCTTTTGCATCTCTTAATTTCCTAACCTTTCAAAGCACAAAACAAACTACTTTCTCCAATACAAGTTTTCCAATTCCTGATTCCTGCTTTCACTCATGGGTCCTTCTGAACTTCCATAGCATTGCTTCTTCCTTTTCTTCCCTCATTCCTTACACACCTGTCTCCCAGAACTAGATGATAAAATCAAGGCTTGGGCCACATGTTCTTATTTTCTCCCCACTTTTCCTCTCAAATAAGGATGGGAGAGGTTAGGAGAAGAGACTATTCTTTCCTCTTAATTTTGTACACAGTAAGTGCTCAATAGACATTTATTGACCACGCCCCTGCCAAAAAAAAAAAAAGCTACATGTTGTGTTATATTTACCTGGTTCCAGCCTTAGGAATGACCACTATTGTCTGAAGTCGATTAATATTACTGTTTTAGTTATTACTAGTCTGGCTAAAAGAGATAGAAAGGCTTACCAAGAAATGTGTTACCAGTGAGCTGGTAGTGGTGAGTTGGTAGAAATCTATACTTGAAATAATGCAGGCCAGGAGTGGTGGCTCAAGCCTGTAGTCTTAGCACTTTGGGAAGCCAAGGCGGGCACATTGTTTGA